>NC_000015.10:62026874-62651874 GCF_000001405.40 Homo sapiens
GTGAAGAATACAGTGACTACTACTACAGTCTGGTGCCACTGCCTTGAATCATGCTAAGGCAGCTAGCAATTTTTACACACTATTGCTTTTGCACCAGCAATGTAAATGTCAATAAAAGGAAAAATCAAATAATGCTTAGTATTATTATGAAAATCATTTTGACTTTTTGAGAACCACTGCTTTAGAATAAAAAAAAGTAATATCAAATGAGGAAATAATATGCACTCAGAAACTGAAAAGAGGAAATGATCATGAAACACACGTTAAGTCCTAGCCAGCTGAATGAAGATATCATCAACAAAATAAACTACTCTCATTTCAGAAGCACCAACATTCTGGACCTCATTTTTTTATCTACGTTAATATACCTTTAAAAAAAAACTGAATCAATGATGTTTTCTTTTACGGTGACAGCTGTTATAGTCTGCTGTTTTTAACAATGCTACCCAGACTACAGTAAGCTGGTTTGATTATAACCTACAAAACCAGACAGTGAGCCATGAGTATCTCCATGCTATCTTTGATATTAAACAAAGTAACTATAAGACAACACAGGCACACTTACGGAAGGAGTAGGTTTATTAGAACGGAAACTGCTTTCAGGGTAATTTCACCTAATGCTGTAAAGCCTGTCATGAAAATTCCACTTCCATCTGTCACATGAATCAACCTATTAAAGTTCCTAGCTACAGAAATAATTCTAACATGATGCTTATTGTTTACAAATTTCAAGATACAGACCCACTTGCCATTTAATCAAAACAAATTTAAATGTGACTGAGTTCATCTAACAAGCTCTTGAAGTATGATATAAAACATAAAGTTTAACAAATAAGATTATGTAAAATACTAAAAAGTATTATTTTAATATATTTGGTAGATTTCCTAGTATATAAAAGAATCATATCATAAATCCTAATATAAACAGTAAGACTTTAATTTGCCTTTTGCGAAGCTTGAAATTTCAATATGCTGTACAGGACAGTAGTCTAGAGGCACCTCCAGAGCTACAACAGAGGTGAAACAAATCAAAGCTCAGAGGAACACCTCCTGTCACGGTTCTGAATTCAAAGAAAAATTCCACTTTATTGCTTTTTACGTTCCAAAACCACCGCTATCAGAGAGGAACTGCTTAATTCAGAAACTACTGAACTCTAGAACTAAACTCAAAAGAGTAGCCCAAATCTGAAAGTTATCTGTAGTTCATATTCTAAGCTTCGTAAGAACAGTGAATCATGTTTGTTTACCCCACAAACATCCAGCATCATCCAGCACAGTGATTGCCACAAGACACTCAAATATTTAGTAAATGAATAAACGACTACAGGTAAGGAAAAGGAAATGATGGTAGAGGGGGAAAACAAAAATTGCATTTCCATATTTTCTAAAAGGATGGCATGCCATCAAATGGACTCCACCAAAAGCACAAGCATACACAAGAATATGTTTATATAGTTGAATATAATTAACCATGCATACCCACCAGGCTTGATGTCCTTGTAAACAAAGTTCTCCAAGCCATATATGAACTCCCCTGAATGTGTGCCTGCATCCCACATGGCAGCAATAACCAAAATGCAAAGCAATTTAAAGACACCTTTAATTTCACATGTAAAATATACCTAAATTTAATTTCATATAATTAGAAATCATGTAACAGGGTAATTAAAATTTGGTGACACCAAAACTATTTTATTTCTGAGGAAATATTCACAGTGACACCATTTTCGTTCTTTCAACACACAAACTTCTTAACAATTAAAATTATAATAATCATTTCAAAATATGTGAGGCAGGTAAATATCAATTTCGGCTAACGGCTCACTAAAATTTTTGACAAGTTTTCAAACAGTGCAAAAATCCACTATTTTGGTTCTCTTTTTGCATGCCATTTTGTCCATTTTCAGAATATAATATTACTGTGATATTTGACGCTAATTTTAGAGTGGGCTGAAATGACCTCATCTTACTTTAGTGTGATCTGGTCCCTTTACATACACTATCTGAATCCTTTATAGCCATTCTCATTAATGATGGCTACATAGCATCTTCTACTTCGCTCTCCAAATCCAGTCTATCCTAGACAACACTGCAAGTTTTTCCTTAAATCATAACTCTGATCATGTCATTCTTTGGACTCTTAAAGAAAGAAAAAGGAAAACTTACACCCCCGCTGGCTATGGATGAAAGTTCACATTGTACAGGGTTAAGATTACAAGATCTAGAGCCAGACCGGATTCAAATTCTAGCTCTACTATTTTCTAACTGTGTGACCTAGAACAAATTATTTAACTTTCACTTTCCTCAGCTGTAAGATGGCAACAAAAATAGCACCTATATCAAATGTGACTATTAATGGGTTAATTCATATAAAGTATTTTGAAGAGTGACTGCTGAATAGTAAATCCTCAATAAATGTCAACTACTTTCACTGTCATTACCATTAACATCATCAGAGCATGCAAATCTCTTAAAATTGACCTAAACTTAGCTTTCCAACCCTACATCCAACTACTCTCTATCAGACTCCCAAACTGTTAGCTGATCCCACAGATGCTCTATACTTTCCCACCTTCACTGTCTCCTCTACCTATGCCTTCTCTCCTTTCTGCAGATCCATCCTTTAAATCCAGTTGAAATATACACCTTCATAGTGTCTACCCTGATCTCTTTGGCCGACTATAACATGTTCATTCTGAACTCCCATAAAACTGTCTGTACCTCTTTGATGGGACTCAACACTTTCTCTTGCTTATTATTATGCAAATTTCTTATTTGTCCAATTAAAATATAAGGTCTTTGACAGGAGGGTCCAAGGACTCTCTAATTTTTCTGCTTTCAACAATGTGTAGACTGGCATCAGACTTTTTTTTAAAGGAGCCTGGAAGCTAGAAAACATTGCTGCCTACAAAATTCTAATTTTTAACCTAGCATTCTATCCCCAGACAAATCAAACGAGTGTAGAAGTAAAACACAAAGACATTCAGCCTTAAAAGAATTTTCGAAATTATATCCGGTGCATCCATTCTTAAAAGCTTCTAGATGTGTTCTAGGAAAACAAATGAGTAAACTAAGGAAACAAAAAAGGCAAAGGACCCAGGAAACAGGGAATTAAACATAGACGAGCAATTCAGACCAGTCCTAAGATGACACCTGTGCAGCTGGTCCAAAAAACAATCAGTTCAGAGGGGGATCTCCAAGAGACAACAGGGTGGTACAGAGTACCAACAGATGGGTTTACACGATTGGAAAATACTATCATTTCTCATATAGCAGACAAATTTCATGTAGCATGTGAAAAAGAATTAAAGATAAATTTACATAGAAGACTAAGCAAATAAGAAAGCAGCATTTACAAATTCAAGGAAAACAAAAGGTTGTATAAGAAAGGAAATATAGTCATAGTACATTGATATGATTTGGATATTGGTCCCCTCCAAATCTCATGTTCAAATGTGATTCCCAGTGTTGGAGGTGGGGCCTGATGTGAAGTGACTGGATCATTGGGGTGGGTCCCTCATAAATGATGACAGGCCTGCTTCCAATTCATCTTCTGCCGTGACTGAAAGCTTTCTGAGGCCCTCACCAGGAGCAAGTGCCGGCATCATGCTTCCTATACAGCCTACAGAACTGTGAGCCAATTAAAACTCTTTTCTTCATAAATTACCCAGTCTCAGGTATTCCTTTATAGCAATGCAAAAACTGCCTAACACACACATCATGTGACCTGCGCAGTGAACAATAATCACATTGTCATAGTAATCTAAGTAGTGACTAGTAATTGGCCAAAAATTATGATATATTCATATTATGAGAAAATGGGAAGGAGAATTCAGGGTGCAAGGAGATAGTAAGAGAAGTAAACTCCGTGACTACCATAACAGGAAGTCCTAGATAATGCCTTATGTTAATGAACTAGATTAATGACAGAATGTTAACATCGCTAAAAAATATTACTAACTCAAAGGAGTTGGTCTGGAGGGTAGCAAAGGATGAAACAAGGGACTGCCATTTTTTATCATGTCATTTTGGCAAAACTATTGATTTTCAAGTGTGTGTACATATTACTTTGATAAAATCCAACATCTTAAGTACAGAATCTAGCATTTGCGAATCTTTTGGCCTTACTAGGAATTTAATCTTTCTCTTTATGATAGCCTTCCAGAAAAATAAACTCACTCCAATGAAATAAAAGGAGAAAAACATCAAAGAGTTTATTTTTACAGTTAAGCAAACTTTCTAAAAATGAACTCATAGTTTTATTTCAATTTTATTTTATTCCTATACGATAGTGGGAAACAATATAATTTTACCACATAAAACAAGCTAAGTCAAAATCCTTTTTATGAGCAGACCAGCATGATAATTTTGTTTTCATTTTTATCATCTGCTACTTAGAGTTGAATCATCTCCTCTCCTTCCCTCTCTGAGTCCCTATACATGTGCAATGGTGCTTTTGTGCTTTTAATATCAATAAACAAGTAGAAAAATAAAGTATAATCAATAACTATTAATAATGGTAAAATGTGAAATATATAAAGGTCAGGGTTGTCCTCTATCATTCACATGAATAATATTATTTGAAGATGTGACTCATATCCACAGAAATGAGAAAAGAATACTGCAATATTCTTAAATGTGTTTCTTAACAGTTAAGAAAAAAATAATCTAAATATACTTCCCAATTCCTGAATTCATCTTTTAGTCTCAAAACTTTTTTGACAAATATAACATGTTAAAACTGAGTGTTAAAAGAGTTTCACTTTTTGAATTTTAATTCTATATGAAAAAAACTTAAATTTTATCATTCAAGAAGCTACAATGTCATTACCATATACAGCATAGGCCTAACAGTTCTATTTACACAAAATTAATACTACAGATGTACATCCTTTATATCAAACCATTCATAATAGCCTCTTTGTCAGACCCAAATGTCTGTTTTCTCAGCACTGAAGACTCAGGAGTCAAAATTTCCTAAGTCTGAGTACGAAATGTGTAATAATCATATTACCAATTAAACTGTCAATCACGAAAACAAATGAGACTATATACCACGACTTTTCTTACAGGTGACTGAAAACACTAACATATTTTTAGGCAAATATAATTATGCTCCATTTTTTAAAAAGGAGGAGCTTAAGATTTGTTTCTAAATAATATATGTAACTTATTATGTAATTGTAAATGATAAATGTGTAATTATGCTATATCAATATATCTAAGTATACATCAATATACCTAATGATGAATATACATATGTTAATATCCTAATCTGAATAGTTTCAAGAAAAAGTGAAATTCTAGTGCTCTCCAATTCTTAGCCTTCATTTTTATGGTACTACTTTTACATATATTAATTAGCCAAAATTGAATATAAAGAAAAAAATCACAATTGTCATGAAACAAAACCATTCTTGGCTTGCTTTTTTGCCATGGTAAAGTTATACAAATAAAGAAAACTGTTTCCCTAGAAATACAGATACTTAAGCTTCAGCAGGAAGACAAAATATGCTCAAGTGTGAAAATAAGAGAAAAAATGTTGAAGCTTCTAGAAAATTTCTTCCACTATGGTAACCTCTGTATTTTTAAATAGTTTAGTAACTTTTAATAAAAGAATCAATATTTCTGCATAAGAAAAAATACTTGAAGCAAGAATTTAAAACTTTGATTAAAAATTTAAAGGAACAACCTATTTAAAAAAGATTTCTAATTGATTCAATTAAATGACAACATCTTAAGCTAGGAAAAGAAATCTTATATCTAAATATAATTAACATCATTTCTAACTCAATATTTGCTTTATCTTTTGAGAGAGACTATCTTCATCATAAAAATATATACACATGCCACCAAATGACACAAAAATTATATAAAATGCTAATAACTCATATACCCTAATCAGCAATTGTTGATTGAGATAAACAATAGATGTCTGGAAAAGTCCTTCAATTCATCACTCTATAGACTACTCTTTTTCATCATATCCTTGTTCTTGCTCTATAAACCAAACAAAGTCATCAGATTTATTTTTAGATAAAAACAAAAATGTAAACGTAAGGCAGGATGTTAAAATGCTAAAACCTGAAGAATCAAGTTTTTGGGTTTTTTTTTAATATCCTGTACAACACGAAGGGAGATAGCTAGGACTAGAATTAAAGCAGCATTTCCTCTAAACATCATTTCACTATAGCATTATGCTTAACCTCATTATCCAGCAAGAACACGGGTAAACATGCACACAAAGAAACTTACCATTTGCCCAAAATAAACAGGCCTGCAAATACTGAAAATTTGGAAAGTCTTCCAAACTAGCACAATAAAAATGACTAATTAAGAAAAGTGGAAAAATCAAATTGGCAACATGATAAAACACTCACAGAAAAAAGGCAATTACTTTTTCCTAAAAGTGAGTCATGAAAATATAAGCAATATTTTGAGATTAAAAAAAAATTATGTCTTTAGAACTTCAACTTATGAAGGCTTACAAAAGCATCCTCTTTAAAGGATATTAATTATATCTAAAATATAGGTATGTCTAAGTTTATCTCAAAAAAACTTTTTACCTTTTTCTGCTGCTTTTTGAAGGGCTTCTTCAATTCGGGATAGCTCTTTCTGTTTAACATCCTGCAAGGATTTTTCTTCTTTTACAGCATCATACTTAATACCTAAAAATATACAGTCAATTCACACAAAAATAAATGGAATTAATAAATAAACAAACGGAAAAAGTTCAGCCTCATTAGGATTGTGTAAGTGTATAATCCTTCTGCAATACAAAAATACTTTCACATTTTTAGTTTTACGAAACATTTAAACATAAATTATTCCTATTCACTTACAAAAAACTGAAATACAAAAAGAAGGAGGGAAGAAAAGAAATTACAGGTAGAAAGGCAGGTAGGAAAAAGGGAGACAGGAGGAGGGTGAGAACAAAGATAAGAAGTAGAAACAGAAGGAAGACAGCAAGTACACCAGAATACTGCTCTATCAGTGGTAAATCTGGAATAATTTAATATCCAATACTACCTGGGATCAATATACACTGATTTTTTAAACTTTCAGAGAGTAATTCGGAATACATATCAACAATCATAAAATATATAAGCCCTTTTTATCTAGTAATGTCATTTCTGATCATGCAATCTAAGGAAATAACACAAAAGAATAAAAAAGATCTATAATGACATATTTATAGTATTGATTACAATGATGTATTTATAGTACTGACTATAGTATTGACTAGTATTTATAGTATTGACTATAAAGCTAAAAACAGTAGGTAGCCCACAATAGAATACCATACAGCCTTTCAAAACTGTCACTGTCACTGTGAAAACTGTGAAACCTATCAAAAATGTATATAATAAAAGGCCAAGTCAATGTTGTATATATAATGTGGTAACAGCTACTGAAAATCAGGTATGCATAAACTAAAGACTGAAGAGCAAAATGTAAAAATAAAAATTTTATTTGTACAATGGTTAAGAAATTGTAAGTAATTTTTCCCTAAAACATCCAAACTTTTCTTAACATTATATTGTTCTTATAAGTGAAAAAATAATAATAAAGATATTACTTAAACATCACTACTTTAAAACATTAAAAATTAAAATACTATCATTTCGAAGGAAAAAATTACCAATTATACACATTTTTGAAAGAACATTCACTCAAAATCAGAAGCAACAAAATAGGAAAAAAAATAAATTTTTCAATCTTGAAATCTGGAGATTAACACATCAGGATATTTTTAAAGATTTATTTCACTTCATTTATTATCAGTAAATCTGCCTAATGCAGCTCAACAGGAAGCCTTAGTTGCAAAACAAGTACTCTTAGAAAACAGAATAAATTGAAAAAATGAATTAAATTTTCAACAACAACAATACTTTATACACAAATGCGGTAAGATATATGTGCATACATATATAAAAGTATGCATATAAGTGCATCTATGTATGATTCATTTATTTAAATTACCTTCTATCTTAATAAATAAATGTATTAAAATACTTAACTCAGATAACAATTTAATTTCAATGTGATGTTATTGAATGGTTATAACCTAAAATAACATACTTGCTCCAGGGACAACAAGCAGGTATAATCCTTCCAGGGTCGCAACAACTGCTTCTCCATAAAGGTTCTTCCAAGGAATCTTCAAAGTTAATTTATCTAAGGAAACATAATTTCAACCTTAAATTATTATTTGACTGCTCAAGAACACAAAAATTTCTCACTTTCCATTAAGCGAAAAAGCATAAAAAACTCTTCATGGTATGTACATCACTCAGAAAAAATGAAAAAAATCCAACACTAAAGTTTACAAAGGTCTTTTCCACATAAAATTACTATTAAGTGAATAGTCACATTGTAATTTTTATTTTTCAATATAAAATATTTTGATAATCATTATCCATTTAATATTCAAAAACTGTAAAATGAATAAGTCAGCTATTATTTCAATCCTGAAAAAAAGGAAACTCAGCCCTAGTGAAGTTAAATTAATTGCTTAAGTCTATCTAGTGAGTTAAGCAGTGACCAGATTATTAGTAAGGATGCTGGACCAGATTCGGTGCACAACAACAGTTGATAGTCTTAATATTGCACATGCTCTTCTATCCACATCAACAAATAAATCCTTATAGATCAACAGTAAAATAATATCTGCACAAGCTACCAGGAATTGAAGCAGCAACACAGAGAAGAGATGCAAAGGAACTTTGTGCAAATGGAATTTTGACAGCATACCAAATTGTCACAACAGGAAGAGGCTAGCTCTAAAAGCAAGGCATACGGTATTATGAATAGTATTATGAGTCACAGGCAACTCAGACCAGTTATATTCCAAATATCTACTTATAAATCACTTAGAAGACAGAACACATGTTCTCTCTTGGAAACAATGGTATTAATGTCAAGTCCTCCTGAGGTGAGCCCACAAAAAACTTTCACTCATGACACAGATGAACTATGGCCCTAATATTACTGTCCCAATTTTGGGGTTTTATGGGGGAAAAGCCTGTTCAGGGAAGACAAGAGAAGACCAAAAGGGCATGCTCTCAGCTAAATTTTGAAATAGGCAAAATCTGTCAAAATCTTTCCATGTTTCTTTCCCTAATCTCTAGTATCCCCTCGTTCCAGGTCTCCAGGCAGCAAAATGTCCCCAATCTGCCTTACTACAGCAATTCTATCCAAACCTTTCCTACACATAAAGTTTTACATGTTCCAAAATAAAATACCTTCCTTCATCTATAATTTTTAAACTTATATTTAAAATCTATAGGTCTCTCAGAGCTACTAATCAAGATTTTCAGGAGAAAAGAATTTGATTCAACTAAGTCATGCTTGTATGTGAATAATTAAAGTCACTTACACCACCAGAATCACTGGTGGTTTTTCATTTAAAATCATTTTTAAATGAAAATGCTCAAAGTTCAAAGAACTGAAAAACAGTATAACAAACTAAAGAGAAAATAAAATAATGCAATGTAAGACAGAATATTTGGGGTCACCTAGATGGATATGTAGGAAAGCCAGTTTTACCTGGTATCTATTCCCAAGGTTAAAATATCAAATTATTTCTCCATTTAGATTTTCACTTCTCTTCAGCTTGTAAACCTGCTGAATTTCTTAAATGGCTTGCATGTCACGGGAAGTCTACAACGCTCTGGGTCATTTCTAAGTCCAGTGATTTTATATTTACAATAGGTACTGTTACATTTGTAATTATCTCAAAATCTCCTAACAAAATTTATTTGATTGCCTTCTTGGTGAGCATAAGACAGAAAAAGTGGGAAACGTCCCTTTAACTAGCATACAGAAAGGGACTGTCTGTTCCCTAAACCTTTTCTTCTCTACATTTATACTAATTATCCCCCAATCTCTCAGAAAGGTCCTAGAATTGAGTTTTTTATATATTACTCCCTCCTTTTATAGATCAGGAAATTTTTTAAATTTTTAAGAAAACGGGTAACTCAAGGGCACCCACAAATATGTCTAGCTCTTAGAAAACCAAATCACACTTGAGCTTAATTAGCCACACTGACCCTACAGGTTAGGTATAATATTTTAACCTAAGGAGAAATTTAACAACTAATATAAATGCTCTGTAAACCAAAAAAAAAAGATAGTTATAAAGACAATATACTTTGCATACTTATTTGTAAAGGGTCTCTCATAACTCAATGGGTAACAGTGAAGGAAGCCATTAAATCTTTGTGTACTTTAAAAGCAAAAAGAACAAATTCTGAACCATTAGAAAATCTCCTCCATAATGTAAATCTATTATATTGCATAATATAAATATAAATATAATAAATATAATATATAAATATATTATATAATATATTATATATAAATATATATAATATATTTATATATATTATATTATATAATATATTATATATATTATATTATATAATATATATATAAATATATTATATATTATATACATTTATATATAATATATTATATATAAATGTATATAATATATTATATATAAATGTATATAATATATTATATATAAATATATATAATATGTTATATATAAATATAATATATATTAAATAAATATATAAATATAATATAATAAATTTATTATATTGTAAGAATATAATAAATTTATTATATTGTAAGAATATAATAAATAATGCAAAATTTCTTTAGTCAGCTATAATTGATCTAAGACACTGGAAATACAATTTCAATCTATGTTCCAATTTTAGATGTCTATAACTTCCTTGAAGACAAAGATATCACCTTCATCCTTGCATCTCCCATAGCACTTGCATAGTCTTGTACGTAACATGTGCATAAATATTTCAAAAGTAAAGAATAAATGAATGGCTACAACTTCTATATTCTAGGATTTCAGTGAAGCATATAGGGCCACAATACTTCTAGAGCACTGCTACACATAACCACCACATTCAGCCCTATCTAAAAAACAAAAAAGATGACACATGCCTAAAGATGCTTTCAATCTAAGAAAATTTATCCTGTTTCGAGACAAAAACATAAAAATATTCTTGTATGTTAAAAGGAAACATATATGTCATATAAAATGACCCAAACGGAAGTATCCAAATAATTGCTAAGAGATGCTAGAGTAGTGAAAGACAAAGCCTTCCTATAATACAGAATATTGAATAAAGAAAAAAGTGATATAGCGTAATAGCAGGGTGATAAAGTTGGGAGAAAGGATGTAGCATAAGTAAAATTATAGGAGTAAGCCATCTTGGCTTGTAATTTACTTATTTTTTAAAGTAAATCCTAAACATAAAACCTGAAACTATAAAATTCCTAGATGAAAACTGAGGAAAAACTCATCTGGACATCAGCCTAGGCAAAGAATTTATGACAAAGACCCTAAAAGCAAATGCAAGAAAAACAAATTAAACAAATAGGACTTAACTAAGAAGCTTCTAGGCCAAGCGTGGTGACTCACACCTGTAATCCCAGCATTTTGGGAGGCCGAGGCGGATAGATCACTTGAGCCCAGGAGTTCAAGAACAGCATGGGCAACATGATGAAACTGTATCTCTACAAAAAATACAAATATGAGCCAATCATGGTGACACACCCGTCGTTTCAGCAACTTGGGAGGCAAAGGTGGGAGGATCCCTTGAGCCCAGGAAGTTGAGGCTGCAGTAAGCCATGACTGTGCCACTGCATTCCAGGCTGGGCAACAGAGCAAGACTTTGTCTCTAAATTAATTAATTAATTTTTAAAAAGTAAAAATAAAAATCTTCTGCACAGCAAAAGAAATAATCAACACAGTAAACAGACAACCTACAGAAAGGTAGAAAATATTTGCAAATTATGCCTCCAGCAAAGGACAAATATCCAGAATCTACAAGGAACTCAAACAACTGAACAAGAAAAAAACAACCCCATTCAAAACAGCAAAGTACATAAACAAACATTTCTCAGAATAAGAAATACAAGAAGCCAACAAACACATGAAAAAATGTTCAACATAACTAATTATCAGAGAAATACAAATTTAAACCACACTGAGATACCATCTTACACCAGCTAGAATGGCTATTATTAAAAAGTCAAAAAATAACAGATATTGGCATGGATACAGAGGAGAGGGACTACTTGAGTACTGTTGGTGAAAATGTAGACTGGTTTAACCTCTATGGAAAACAGTACGGAGATATCTCAAAGAACTAAAAATAAAAACAGCAATCCCACTACTGAGTACCTAAAAGAAAATAAGTCATTATATAAAAAGACACCTGCACTCATATGTTTATCACAGCACTAACCACAATAGCAAAGTCACACAACCAAACTAAGTGTCCATCAACAGTTGACTGGATAAAGAAAATGTGATACATATATACCATGCAATAGTATGCAGCCATAAAAAAGAATGAAATCATGTCCCCTACAGCAAGATGGATGAAGCTAGAGGCCATTATCTTAAGTAAATCAACTCAAAGGTGGAAAATCTAATATTGTATGTTCTCACTTACAAGTAGGAGCTAAACAATGGGTACAAATAGACATAAATATGCATAATAGCCTTTACAGTACACAGCTCCACAGAGACATTGCCAGGACAAGTAAGAGATAAGGAATTAACAACCAGAATATATAAGGAACTCAAACAACTCTATAGGAAAAAATCTAATAATCTGATTTAAAAATGAGCAAAAGATCTGAATAGACATTTCTCAAAAGAAGACATACAAATGGCAAACAGGTATATGAAAAGGTGCTCAACATCACATCATCACAGAAATGCAAATCAAAACTACAATGATATACCATCTCACCTCAGTAAAAATGGCTTTTATCCAAAAGATAGGCAATAACAAATGTTAGCAAGAATGTGGAGAAAAGGAAGACCTTGTACACTATTGGTGGGAATGTAAATTATTATGGCCACTATGGAGAACAATTTGGGGGTTCCTCAAAAAACTAAAAATAGAACTACCATATGATCCCCCAATCCCACTGCTAGGTATATACCCAAAAGAAAGGAAATCAGTATATTGAAGAGATACCTATACTCTCATGTTTAATGCAGCACTATTCACAATAGCCAAGATTTGGAAGCAACCTAAGTGTCCATCAACAGGTGAATGGTTAAAGAAAATGTGGTAAATATACACAATGGAGTACTATTCAGCCATAAAAAAGAATGAGATCCTGCCATTTGCAACAACATGGATGGAACTGGGGGTCATTATGTTAAGTGAAATAAGCCAGGCACAAATAGACAAGCTTCACATGTTCTCACTTACTTGTGGGAACTAAAATTAAAACAACTGAACTCATGGAGACAGAGAGTAGAACAATGGTTACCAGAAGCTAGGAAGGGTAACAGGGGAGAATGGTTAATGAATACAAAAACAAAGTTAGATAAAATGAATAAGACCCAGTATTTGATGGCACAACAGGGTGACTACATTCAATAATAATTGATTGCACATTTACATATAACTAAGAGTATTAATTACATTATTTGTAACACAAAGAAAGGATAAATACTTTGAGGTGATAGAAACCTCATTTACCCCGATGTGATTATTACACACTGCATGCCTGTATCAAAATATCTCATGTACCCCATAAATATATATACCTACTATGTATCCACAAAAATTAAAAATAAAAAAATTTAATGGAAATAACAGACACTGGGGACTCCAAAAAGGGGTAGGGATTGAAGGAGGGGGGTGGAGGTTCAAAGATTACCTATTGGATACAAAGTTCAATATCTGAGTGACAGATACACTGGAAACGCAATCCCCACCATTACTCAATATATCCATGTAACAAGCATACACATGGACCACCTAAATCCAAAATTTAAAAATGTATAAATTAAATAAATAAATAAAAATAAAAACCAGATAGCATGGACTAGATGGGAAGACTTTGTAGATTAAATTTCCTATTGAAAAAATTTATTCAACAAAGATATATATTTACTTATAGATGGTCTTAGTGTAGGAGTTTAACTGCAGAGAGACTTTGTACTTACCAAAACATATCCTCCATACCACATTGCTGCATAATATATCAAGTGAAAATGGTTGAACAAAACATGAAGGAAATAAGCTACATTTACAGTTTACCTACTGGAGTTTGCAAATTATACTACTTTCACATTTAAAGAAAAAGCACATAAAACTTGGAAATCTAATCTGAAAATGAAGGTATATTTTGTGTGGTGGAACCAAAGCCTGAAGAATGCAATTGCAGTTCAAATAGCCTTCCATTTTCTACCTTTTGTCATAAAAAAAAGAAGTATGTACGTTTTATATATAATATACATTAGGTTCAGAACTCTACGAGCTCTAATTAATGAGGCAAAAAAAAATCTCTCACACTTTTAATCAAAGATTTTTTTAGGTTAAATAACACAAGCAAAATAGAAAACAATAGGACCAAGAATAATTCAAATGAAGACTAAAGTACTTACCAATTTGGCCAGCCTTGACTTTAAAAGGAACATCCAATTCACTCTTCAGAAGAAAGAGAAAATGTAAAGGACATCTTAAATTATGAAGCCAACCCAAAAATCACTTTTGTGTGATCATTTAAATACACATGTCCAAAGAAAAACAAAAACCAAATTTTCTATATTTGAATAACTCATAAAGGACATGTTTTATAGCCAAAAAACGTTTCATAGGCCTGGTGCAGTGGCTCACACCTGTAATCCCAGCACTTTGGGAAGCCGAGGCGGGTGGATCGCCTGAGTTCAGGAGTTCGAGACCAGCCTGGTCAACATGGTGAAATCCAGTCTCTACTAAAAATACAAAAAAATTAGCCTGGTGTGGTGGCAGGTGCCTGTAATCCTAGCTAATCAGGAGGCTGAGGCAGGAGAATCGCCTGAACCCAGGAGGCAGAGGTTGCAGTGAGTCGGGATCGCGCCACTGCACTCCAGCCTGGGTGACAAGACAAAACTCTGTCTCAAAAAAAAAAATTATAACTTAAACTTTGACTTTAAAGAAAGAATTCACAAGAGAAACAAAATGATAAATAGTAAAAATAGAAAAAGTTTGTAAATAGCCAGGTAAACTGGTTACTTGTTTTAAGTAAACCAAATCAAATGGAAATTAAAATCAAACCAAATCAATTTAAACACATAGACAATGTTTATCTGAAATACTAGAACAGAAAAAAGAAGAGTCTTTTTGCATAAATTAGTTGAAAACATTACTGAACAACAGTTCTCTCTCAAATATTTAGTAAATGAATAAACTTAAAAATCTTTAAAAGAAAAGCTAGATTCCCAATATATTATTTACCAAATTAGTATTTCGTTTAGATAAGTTACAGAGAGGTGCCAACAAATAATAATAAACTTTCACTTACCTATATTCCAAACAACTAGAAAGTTCAAATAACTTTTTTTATTCACAGAATACTAAACAACTGATATCCATAATGATAACCTGAGTTTTAGAATTATTAAAAATTAAACCAGTCAGTACAGCCTTTCCGTTAGGTTTGACTTACTATATAATAACACTATAAAAATCTGACCACCAAAATGTAGGTAATAATTAACTAAAATAATCAATTTACCTAATCATCTGATTACGTCTGAATGCTACGTAAACAGGAATTGAACAGAATGCTATTATAATAGCTTTAGTTAAAAAGTCTTTTTTAGACCAAAAAAAAAAAGTCTTTGCTGCCAATAAGAGCAGCTCTGTCCTCCTGGAGGACAGGAAAGATAAATTCAAGGGAATTCGCATTATACAGTATACAAACTGCAAACTACAAAAAGGTGGTCTCATGCTCATTTTAATCCTCCTGAAATAATTTTCACACAAAATAAATGTAAATAACCCATATAAAAGTAAAAATTCATCAATTTGGTTTAACTGGGGAAAGGAGCTACTTTGAATAAAAAATATAAATTACAGGGGGAAGGGATAGCATTAGGAGATATACCTAATGTAAATGACAAGTCAAAGGGTGCAGCACACCAACATGGCACATGTATACATAGGTAACAAACCTGCACATTGGGCACATGTACCCTAGAACTTAAAGTATAATAAAAAATATATATATATAAAAATTACAAAATAGTTTATTATATTTAATTATAACCAAAACTTGAATTAGGCTGAAACAGAGTTCAAATAATTTGTCTCCTTAGTATGTTAGATATATATCCTGTCACTACAATTCTATTTATATTGTCATAAATAGAGAAAAAAACCTCTTTTCCAATCTATAACAACAGAATCAGGTCTACATTTTTGTTTAAAATTTAAAAAGTTGTAGCTTCCTATATAAAAAAGAGAAAAATATTTAAATTTTTGAGCACCTACTAAGTGCCAGGCTCTACTTCTCATCTTATTCAAGCCACAAAGACACAGAGATATTATATTGTTTTATAATTAACTTCACTTTATAGATGATTAAACTCATGCTAAAAGATCAAAGAAATTAAGAAGTTAGGCTGGGCGCAGTGGCTCCATGCCTGTAATCCCAACACTTTGGGAGGCCAAGGCAGGCAGACCACCTGAGGTCAGGAGTTGCAGACCAGCCTGGCCAACATGGCAAAACCCAACCTCTACTAAAAATACAAAAATTACCCAGGCGTGGTGGCACACACCTGTAATCCCAGCTACTAGGGAGGCTGAGGCAGAAGAATTGCTTGAACCTGGGAGGCGGAAGTTGCAGTGAGCCAAGATCATGCCACTGCACTCCAGCCTAGGCAACAGAGTGAGACTGTATCTCAAAAAGAAATAAAAATAAAAATAAAAGGTTGGAAGCCGGAAAAAAATTAATTAAACAATAAACTCATTAAGTGACTTCATAAACTCACATTTAGCCCAACAAGCTAAACAGAAACCTAATTGGGGGATGGAGGGCATTGTTTTGTTTGTTTTCAACTCAACAATAAATGACACAAATTACTTTCTGGAGCTAAAGTCCAGAAAATCCTATTTTACCTCTTAATATTACTATAATAAGGCTAGACCATCAATCTATTTCCAAAATTAGATATGTTATTTAAAATCAAGCCCTCATTTATCTCAAAAATACGTAAAGACACTAGTGAAGGAAAATATTGCTATAAGGAAAAAGTCAACTACAAAACTATACAGTCAAATTAGATCAACGAAAAACACTCCGTTTCCAAGAGATACTATTTTGATTATTAGGGGAAAAAATTTCTAAATCTTTAATCTCAGATTTTCCAACAGCAAATAGTTGAACAAGTAATCCCTTGAGTGATTCCATCACTTTATCTAGTACATGGTATCAGATGCCTAGTAGGCAAAGGTTTCTAAGAACTTACCAAATTAAGTGAGTTATTAGCATAGTTTAAAAAAAACTTACCAGGGCATTTTCTTTTATCTGTAGATTATCTAAAGCCACATTTCCTTTAAAAAAAGAAAACAAAGAAAAATATTACTATAACATACCAATTTTTAAACCTATCACAATGTAGTACCAAGCACTAAGAAACTGGGCTAAGTGCTAAGAATACAATGATAAACAAAGGTGACTTAAGAGGCTACCCGGCACAAAATAGTTGCTACATATGCTCAAGAGTTATTAATTGTAGCATACTATAGGTTAATCCAGTGTAAAAGAAGTTATAACACATTAAACTAGCTAACATTTAAACAAACAATGGGAAAGAAGTTGGAGCTTTTTGGACAGAAGAACTTTAAGACCAAAGAAAGTAGCCATCATTTTGAATGATTAAGCCAAAATCTCAAGATATAAAGAGATGATTACAAGGTCAGATCAATCATCCTGGGTTCTTTAATTACGTTATCAATTAACATTTTCTTCAGAAACATGGTGTTAGTCTTTCATGTCTCCAAACATTCTACCTTCCCAATGATTACTGTATGTGCTTCTAATATTCTTTAATCAGTCCAACTTTTATTATATTCATATGCTAAGTTATAAAAATACTATTACATGACTCAAATCTTAAACACTATCCCTGTATTTGTTGATACACAATAGTCAAATATTCATGCTGACATAAAAATGTAAGGAAAAAGTTTTCATTTCACTTAAATTATGTTAAGGCTAATAAAACTATAGTTTCAACATTAAATGCAGGCGTAAATTACTGTAATATATTTTCTTAATCATTTATGACACATATATTTTTTAAAAACTATAGTAGCTATACTTCCCATTAATATTTTTCAATCAAGTAACTTTTTCTTCCAGGTATTTTTGAGTGAATTTAAAAGTATATTTAATTTGTTTACATCATTTTAGAGATCTGCTTTTCCCAGATCTCAAAAT
This sequence comes from Homo sapiens, assembly GCF_000001405.40. Taxonomy (NCBI): domain Eukaryota; kingdom Metazoa; phylum Chordata; class Mammalia; order Primates; family Hominidae; genus Homo; species Homo sapiens. Next base: position 62,045,145 of record NC_000015.10, read on the forward strand.
TATTAAACATTTATTAAGCACCCATTATATGTTAGGTGCTGGAAAGAGAAAGATTACTAGAACAATATTCATTAAGGCACTCACGGCTTAGCAGAGGGGACTGTGCAAAAGTAACTGCAGTTTTTGCCATTACTTTTAATGGCAAAAATGCAACTACTTTTGCACCAACCTAATAATTTTCTAAAATTTTAGAAATATTCCAATAGAAGCGTACACAAGATGAAAAGGAGGAGTCACCTAATTGCCTAGGGAAATCAAGAACACACATAGGTTTAGGCTGGAAGGTTTAAGTAGTATTTACTGGGTGGATAAGAAAAGAGGGCAAATAGATAAGTGTGAGTAAGGCACATTTTAGAAAGCACATATGGTTTGGTGTAACTGGAGGGTATAAGAAAAGGAAACAAAATAAGGTCAGAAAGGTAGGCAAGGGCCAGACTAATGAAGAGCTTTCAGGATAAAAAATTCCAGACCCACCAAAACAAAGAGATAAAATATATATAACAGAGATTATGTTATTTTAGAATCATTACTCAACTGTCCTAAGGAATAACTATTGATCTGTCCAAACAATTTAGCTACAAGGATATTGCAGTATTGGGAGGGAAAGAAGGAAGGACAGAAGAGGGGAGGAAAGGAAGGAAAGGAGGACCTAAAGATCTAAATGTCCAGGAAGAAGGCATAACTCACAATACATCTGTATTATAAACAAAAAAAAGTAGAAAGACATGGGAAAATGTTCACAGAATATTGAGTTTTTTAAAAAGTAAAAGAATGCCCAGATTGACCTAAATTTAAAAGTATCTATATATGCACAAGTGTGTGTGCATTCCACACATACATAGAAAAAAATAAAAAACTGTAAGATGCCATAATGCTCACAGTGGTTATTTCTATGTAATAAAGTTCATTTTCTGTGTACATACAGTTCTCAAATTTTCTAAAATAAATTGTCGAAAACTATAATAAAGGAAGAAAAGGAGGAAAGAAACTTCACAAATGGTAAGGAAATACTATAGTATATAGTAGGAGGGAAATGAAAGAATACAGGCAGTCAGGAAACTTCTACAACACACTGAAAAGTAAAACCGAAAATAAGGCAGTAACTTCAGGGTGAAAGACGTAGAGTCATAGTAAAGAGTTATTTTGGAGGCAGAATTGACAGGATATCATCACTGTCCAGATGCAGGAGTAATAAAGTAGTCATGGAAGACTAGCATGTTCAGCAACAGGGGGAAAAAAGTCCTTACGTATTATATATGCACTAAAATTACATAAAGACAAATATTCCTAGATTCAAATCTGTCACATGATGAATTACACAAAATTACAATTGGGAAGTCTATTCTAGCCTACAGGGTAATCTGCACAGATGCTAGTGCCTATCTGAAGCCATCCAAACTAGTTTAATAAGATCTAAGGCCCACATGCAGACTTTCAACCCTGCTCATAAATTGTGACTGTTCTACCTAGTCATTCCCAATTGGTGGGCCAAGAGTTACCAGGAGTGATCAGAAATCATCTGCGTTAGAGATGAAGTCTTTATAACAATTGTTAAGGCACTACCATAATGTTTGTAAAAATATAAATATACTTATAAAAAGTGGGCTGTTTCTCCTGCAGTGACACTTTACTTGTTTGATCAAGTAGTAGGATAGCAGGTGGTAGTTAAGATGTGAAATGTTGAAAACTACCAATATGGCTAATAGAGTTAGACAAGTATATTTAGACAGACTGTCAGACAAAAAGAGATTGTACTTATTATTGCTGGGTGGTAGAATTAAAGATAGCTTTTTTATTGATGTTTTTCAGTATTTTCTAGTTTTTATAATAATTAGATTTTTTTATGTGAAATTATTACGGAAATTATAAGAAGGAAAATGGGGAAATAAAACAAAAGTAAATTCACATGTCAATACGATTTAAATATTTTTTATATAAATTTTTTCTATATCTAGTATTACTTTACCCCCAGACACGTAAGAATAACAAAGAAATATTGGCCGGTGTGCAGTGGCTCACACCTGTAATCCCAGCACTTTGAGAGGCCAAGGCAGGTGGATCACAAGTTCAGGAGTTTGCAACCAGCCTGGCCAACATGGTGAAACCCCATCTCTACTAAAAAAAAAATCAAAAATTAGCCGGGCATGGGCATGGTGGCATGAGCCTGTAATCCCAACTACTCAGGAGGCTGAGTGAGGCAGGAGAACTGCTTGAACCTGGGAGGCAGAGGTTGCGGTGAGCTGAGATTGTGCCACTGCACTCCAGCCTGGGTGACAGCAAGACTCCATCTCAAAAAAAAAAACAAAAAAAGCAGTATCTATTTCTGCCACCCAGTCTGACAAATGCATACTTCCTCTTTGAAAATGTGAATGTTATCTAACAAACAGTAACTGTAACAGTGAAATAAGAATAATACATTCTCCAAGTTATTTGCACTGAAGGAGGAGCTCTAGTTCTAATACAAAGAATAGGGGAGGAATAAGCAGTATAATTCAGATTAACACTGGCACCAGTGTAAAGAGGTAAAAGTGCATTCATTCATTCAAGCAGTAGCTGAGTACTTATCTTGGTAAGGCACTGGACTAACAAGTACTCTCCACTAAACTGCATGCTATTCTGACTGATAAATATGCAGCAGTGTCATTACATATCCTATGAATTCCAGAAATCCTGTTTAAAGAAAAAGAATTTATAAGACCAAGATTAAACCAGATCTCCCCTAAAAATCAACCATTTTATATTTAACTGAATACCGATAAAAAAGATTTCATTTTCCTTTTCTACCTTAAAACAACATAATAATTCTATACAATGTAAATAACTTTAGTGCTATAGCCAGATCACCAGGGCTAAGAACACATAGAAGTCATAGAAAGTTCTCAAAAAAACTGAAGGAAGGGTAAATATTTGTTTTTGGTTTTTTGGTTTTTTTTTTTTTCATTTGTTCTCATTTTCTTTTTTTATTTTATTATTATTATACTTTAAGTTTTAGGGTACATGTGCACAATGTGCAGGTTTGTTACATATGTATACATGTGCCATGTTGGTGTGCTGCACCCATTAACTCGTCATTTAGCATTAGATATATCTCCTAATGCTATCCCTCCCCCCACCCCCCCCAACAGGCCCCTGTGTGTGATGATGTTCCCCTTCCTGTGTCCATGTGTTCTCATTGTTCAGTTCCCACCTATGAGTGAGAACATGTGGTGTTTGGTTTTTTGTCCTTGCGATAGTTTACTGAGAATGATGGTTTCCAGTTTCATCCATGTCCCTACAAAGGACATGAACTCATCCTTTTTTACGGCTGCATAGTATTCCATGGTGTATATGTGCCACATTTTCTTAATCCAGTCTATCGTTGTTGGACACTTGGGTTGGTTCCAAGTCTTTGCTATTGTGAATAGTGCCGCAATAAACATATGTGAGCATGTGTCTTTATAGCAGCATGATTTATAATCCTTTGGGTATATACCCAGTAATGGGATGGCTGGGTCAAATGGTATTTCTAGTTCTAGATCCCTGAGGAATCGCCACACTGTCTTCCACAATGGTTGAACTAGTTTACAGTCCCACCAACAGTGTAAAAGTGTTCCTATTTCTCCACATCCTCTCCAGCACCTGTTGTTTCCTGACTTTTTAATGATCGCCATTCTAACTGGTGTGAGATGGTATCTCGTTGTGGTTTTGATTTGCATTTCTCTGATGGCCAGTGATGATGAGCATTTTTTCATGTGTCTTTGGCTGCATAAATGTCTTCTTTTGAGAAGTGTCTGTTCATATCCTTTGCCCACTTTTTGATGGGGTTGTTTGTTTTTTTCTTGTAAATTTGTTTGAGTTCATTGTAGATTCTGGATATTAGCCCTTTGTCAGATGAGTAGGTTGCGAAAATTTTCTCCCATTTTGTAGGTTGCCTGTTCACTCTGATGGTAGTTTCTTTTGCTGTGCAGAAGCTCTTTAGTTTAATTAGATCCCATTTGTCTATTTTGGCTTTTGTTGCCATTGCTTTTGGTGTTTTAGACATGAAGTCCTTGCCCATGCCTATGTCCTGAATGGTATTGCCTAGGTTTTCTTCTAGGGTTTTTATGGTTTTAGGTCTAACATGTAAGTCTTTAGTCCATCTTGAATTAATTTTTGTATAAGGTGTAAGGAAGGGATCCAGTTTCAGCTTTCTACATATGGCTAGCCAGTTTTCCCAGCACCATTTATTACATAGGGAATCCTTTCCCCATTGCTTGTTTTTCTCAGGTTTGTCAAATATCAGATGGTTGTAGATATGCGGCATTATTTCTGAGGGCTCTGTTCTGTTCCATTATCTATATCTCTGTTTTGGTACCAGTACCATGCTGTTTTGGTTACTGTAGCCTTGCAATATAGTTTGAAGTCAGGTAGCGTGATGTCTCCGGCTTTGTTCTTTTGGCTTAGGATTGACTTGGCAACATGGGCTCTTTTTTGGTTCCATATGAACTTTAAAGTAGTTTTTCCAATTCTGTGAAGAAAGTCATTGGTAGCTTGATGGGGATGGCATTGAAACTATAAATTACCTTGGGCAGTATGGCCATTTTCACAATATTGATTCTTCCTACCCATGAGCATGGAATGTTCTTCCATTTGTTTGTATCCTCTTTTATTTCATTGAGCAGTGGTTTGTAGTTCTCCTTGAAGAGGTCCTTCACATCCCTTGTAAGTTGGATTCCTAGGTATTTTATTCTCTTTGAAGCAATTATGAATGGGAGTTCACTCATGATTTGGCTCTCTGTTTGTCTGTTATTGGTATATAAGAATGCTTGTGATTTTTGCACATTGATTTTGTATCCTGAGACTTTGCTGAAGTTGCTTACCAGCTTAAGGAAATTTTGGGCTGAGACGATGGGGTTTTCTAGATATACAATCATGTCATCTGCAAACAGGGACAATTTTACTTCCTCTTTTCCTAACTGAATGCCCTTTATTTCCTTCTCCTGCCTAATTGCCCTGGCCAGAACTTCCAACACTCTATGTGTCTAATCCTTTAAAACAAAAAACAAACAGGGATATGTTAACTAATAATTGGAGATGAATAAACTTAACTCTGCCAGCAAGGAAAGCTCTAAAGCCAATCCCACAATCAAGTGGCTCTAATCCTACCAAGTCTAAACAGACTAAGGTGACAGATAAGGAAATTCTGTGAAGCGATCTCCCTTATGCTGGACTGACAGGCCCATGGGAGGAGGGTAGACAATATACACAGTAAGTAGTCTGTGCTTCAGAAGAGACCCCATATGATTCTCATTAATAAACTACATATATTTTGGATGTGCATACACTGCTAGAAAGTCACCATAGTTTCAAAGCCAATCTTGAAAGATATTTTAAGAAATATACTAAAAGGGCCAGGTGCAGTGAGTGGCTCATGCCTGTAATCCCAACACTTTGGGAGACCAAGGCGATTGGATCACTTGAGCCCAGCAGTTGGAGACCAGCCTTGCCAACATGGCGAAACCCTGTCTCTACCTAAAAAATACAAAAAAATTAGCCAGGCATGGTGGCAGGTGCCTGTCATCTCAGATACTCAGGATTCTGAGGCAGAAGAATCACTCGAACCAGAAGGGCAGAGGTTGCAGTGAGCCAGGATCATGCCACTGCACTCCAGCCTCAGTGACAGCCAGAGCAAGACCCAGTCTCAAAAAAAAAAAAAAAAAAAAGTAAATCCTGGATCAAAACTGGATCAAAATTTAGTATTCTTCAACAGTGAACCAGAAGATGAAAATGGAAGTAAATTAGCAAATGACATGAAGAGTTGGAGTCATCGCAAAAAAAAAAAAGTAGAAATAGTTGCTAGTTATAGAAAACAACCAAGCTAGTGTATTTATGAATAAAAATCAAATGGTACTAGCACAATAAGGAAAAGCCTGCCTAAGTCCAAGAATGGCTTTTTAAATACATAATGGCCTACAAAATAAATGTAAGAAATATAGTCCTATTGTTAAGTACCTCCAACCAGAAATAATCTCTCTAAACTTTTGCAGAAATTTAGGCTATAGCTTTCTTATGGTGCGTAACACTTAACTTTATATAAATCCCCAGTCTGATTATAAACTTCTTACTGATTCTCCTCAGAGTAGGTACTCGATAAATACTGACTTCAGAATGCATATTGTACTGGGGTGGAACCAACTACAATAAGGTCATAAATCTTTATATTTTAGAAAACACTTTCAGATGTATAACATTACTCAATCCTCACAGCCTCCTGGGCAAGAAACAGGTTGTATACATTAAGCAATAGAAGCTGAGGCTTAGAGAGGTTAAATGACTAGCCCAAGAATCCTATGGCAACCTAATAGTAAGTGGCAGTCTCAAGGCTCAAATCTTATAAAACTCAATGCTATCTTCAGAATAACACTGTTCTCCCGAATAGCAGAGCATAAAGCGTATAGGATTTTAATTCAGAAGGTAATTCGACCTCCCTGGACAACAAAAATGCCATAAAAGAATCAGACTCAGCATTCACAGGCCAGCGTGGTTGTCGGTTCCACTTTTGGTCTCTGTATTTGCAAAGAGACGTAAAAAAATCCAAAACAAAAAGGATAACTAAAATTAGTATAACAAGGGCACAGGCAGAACGGTAGGATAGAGTCAAGGGGGTTATGTTCAGAGCATAACCAGAAGAAAACGTAGTGCCACAGGGAAAAACAGATGCAGGAGATGGTATTACAAAATGGTCATTTTAGTACTTTTTAAAAATCTATTTTTTTCCTCAAAAGACAGAAATTCACAAGTTATGATTTAGAACTATTTGGGACCATAAAGATTTTCAAATCTAAGCCCCTCTCACTTTATACATGAAGAAATTAAAGTCTAAAGAGATCTGGTAGTTTATCCAAGGTTATACAATTTTTTTGTGGCAGTACTAAGAATAGAATCTATGTCTCCCAACTCCTAGGTCAACTTTCTTAATATAAAACATAGAGGTTAATCCAAAACTGTGATTAAACACAAAAACCATCCAACAAACAAAAATGCCATGCCATAATCCATGAAACTAGCTTTGCATATAAAGAATAGTGAAATAAAGAATGCTTTGTATTTATTTTTTAAGATTTTGTTTATGTATCTATAACATAAACATTATTTAGTTGAAAGCATATCTGAATGTTCTGACACAATTCATTTTCCAGGGAGGTGAGCTAAAGTAGATGACTGAACAGTTTTTTAAAGCAAAGCATGAATCAAATTATTTTAATGATTTATGTTTTAGTAAAGAATACCAGGCCTGGTGCGGTGACTCACGCCTGTAATCCCAGCACTTTGGAAGGCTGAGGCAGGTGGATCACAAGGTCAGGAGATCAAGACCATCCTGATACGGTGAAACCCCGTCTCTACTAAAAAATACAAAAAAATTAGCCAGGCGTGGTGGCGGGTGCCTGTAGTCCTAGCTACTGTGGAGGCTGAGGCAGGAGAATGGCGTGAACCCAGGAGGCAGAGCTTGCAGTGAGCCGAGATTGTGCCACTGCACTCCAGCCTGGGCGACAAAGCAAGACTCCGTCTCAAAAAAAAAAAAAAAAAAAAAAGAATACCAAAGAAAATATTATAGCTATTCATTTCAAATGAATCTAGCTAGTCAACCCAAATTAACCAATCTAGACTCCTTTTAATGAGTTCACAGTGACTTTGTCTTCAGAGAGGAAGACAGGAAAGAGAAAGGAAACAACTCTCTCACTCTTCCCATTTCCCTACTGAAACAGGAAGTTTTGACAAAGGAAGGTAGAAAGCTGCAACATCACCACTGAACTTTCTCCCTTTCAGTTCACTTCAGGGATCCCATAATATTGAGTAATGTGGTAGAGCTTCCTAGCAGAATGGTTACCAAAATACCAATTCTCAGTTTTAGTTCTAGAAAAGGAGTTAATTTTTAATTAGTAATGCTACTTAAATATGTGAACAGGTGCTTAAATTTAAATTTTTAAGCACCGCTTTAACTGGTAGTAACTGAGCCTAAATATGTATTACACTAATGACCTTTTCATTATTGTTTACTTTTATATGCCATAGGACAAGCTAATGAGAAATGTGGCCTCCACTACACCAAGTGCTGGCTGGGAGGAAAAGACTAAAGAAAATCCCTCTACAGGTTTAGAAATACCTAGATACTGACATCTTTTATGTGTCAAAGCCAAAAAAAGCAAAAAGAGCTGCTTTTTCTTTCATTCTCAAGCTGCCCTACAGGTACCTGTTAAGACAATATATTACAGTATATTACACTTGGACCCACAAATATCAGCATGAGCCTGGAACTTCATTTATCTTGTCACTGTCATTGACTGTGGCTCTTTACTCACCAATATCGGGTGAAGAGCAAAAAGGAAAGATAAAGATACATTATTTAACTACCTTTTCTCTCTATGAATGCGGAGGAAGTGGCAGTACCACTCATCCAATGAAGGATCTCACGTTGTTCTTGCCTTGCTCAAATCACAGAAGTTTAAAGACAGAAGAGATGACCTTGTCTAACCTTTCCACTTACAGATAAGCAACCAATGGTCACTTGTCAGAGACATGCCAAAAGCCACACAACTAGACAGAATCAGAGATGGAATAAGATTAAAGAGGTTTGCTCATTCCCAGTCCAGTGTTCATTCTCCTTTCTTATGCTGCACTGCTCCAACAATATCTGGCAGCTCAAGGGGAAGTGTCAAGAGTGGGATAAACTGTCAGGAGTGGGATAAACAGCACGGGTTCAGTCTGGTTTGCAGGGCCACAGATTCTGAGGGCATTGCACTTGGCTTCTATTCCTGGTCACCAGAGTCACCCTTGTATCTAACACATCACAGTTCCTATGTTGATTCCACCTGTCCAGTGGAATTAAGAACAACAGAGTTCCGAGTACTGGAGGATTTTCCTGCTGACTCTCCACAGTAAATCATTTTGAAAAATCAAATTGACAAAGGTTCTACATTGCAACAATACTACTCAAATCATATTGCAAAAGATGAGGCATTTCAACATACCTTTTCAAATATATGTTACTCTTAAAACAATTATATCCTGGACACATCTCAATAGCTAAGGGCTGTGAAATTTATCTATTGGTACCAGTTTGTGGGGAACAAAAATCTAGATAAACCTTCCTACTTATGTAGGCAGTATGTACCCACCAGGCACTTTTCTGAACCTCTGAAAGCCTGACTTACAAACTAGCTGGCAGGTAATACTGTAAAAGCATAAGCATAAATTCAAAGGCAAATAGAGGTTTTTTTTAAAAGAAATTTGTTTGGAAAATAAGAAATGTTTAGATATGTAATGATAGCTCTACACAAAATTATCACTCAATAGAAGATTGATACCTCTAAGAAAACCAAACAACACATGTTCTCATTCATAAGTGGGATTTGAACAATGACAACACATGGACACAGGGAAGGGAACATCACACACCAGGGCCTGTCAGGAGGTGGGAGGCAAGGGGAGGGAGAGTATTAGGACAAATACATAATGCAGGGCTTAAAACCTAGATGACAGGTTGATAGGTGCAGCAAACCACCATGGCACATGTATACCTATGTAACAAACCTGCACATTCTGCACATGTATCCCAGAACTTAAAGTAGAAGTAAAAAAAAAAAAGAAGAGGAAGAAGAAGAAGAATATTAATACCTCTAAAAGTCTGAAGTTAGAAGAAACATCCTTATGAAAATAAAACAAAGACTGTTTTCCATCACCCAGCCAGGTTTGTTAATCATTATTATTATCAATATTATCAACAATGACAAAGGTTTTTGACATAATCTATCTCAACAATACACTGAAAGTTGTATATCCACTTTACAGATTACGAGAGTGAGAACTGAAATGTTTTGCCCAGGGTCCCACAGCTAATAAATAACCAAGGTCTCAATTATCTACAGTGGCAAGGATTTTTAAAAGGAAATTCTGCTTAAACTACTTTTAAAAATACATAAGAATTGCTTGGCATTAAATAAAATCTTTAAAGAACAGAAACAGAAAGACAATGGTAGGCTGTGTTTGCTTTGCTTCTCAAATTTAAAGGCAACATCTAAAGTATACTTCCTGATTCTGGACATTCCAGTAATTTTCCCCAACCTTCTCAACCTTTTTTTTTTGAGACGGGAGTCTCGCTCTGTCACCTAGGCTGGAGTGCAGCGGTGCAATCTCTGCTCACTGCAACCTCTGCCGCCCAGGTTCACACCATTCTCCTGCCTCAGCCTCCAGAGTAACTGGGACTACAGGCGCCTGCCCCCATGCCCGGCTAATTTTTTGTATTTTTTTTTTTTTTTTTTTAGTGGAGACGGGGTTTCACTGTGTTAGCCAGGATGGTCTCGATCTCCTGACCTCGTGATCTGCCTGCCTCGGCCTCCCAAAGTGCTGGGATTACAGGTGTGAGCCACGGTGCCTGGCCTCTCAACCTTTTTTAATTGTAAATTTCATTATGAACGCCTATATATACATATATGAATATATGCACACTATGATGTTTTCCAAATCATGTTAACACAATATTTCGATCTTAAAACTACTTCCAAAGATCATCCAAGCAAAGATTACGCATTTTTATTGACATGATACCTTTCAGTCACTTAAGATATCAATTTCTCTCTCGAATTACAGATTTCGTTAAGAGTAATCTACTTCTTCCGTGTCCTTTTTAAAACCTTACAATTTTTTCAGCACCCAGTAGGTCCCTTACAAATGCAGAAGACAATCTCAGTCTTCTTCTTAGACTAGGGTTTCTCAACTAACATTTTGAGCTGGACAATTCGCTGCAGGAAGTTGTCCTCTGCATTGTAGAATGTTTAGCAGTACTCCAGGGTCTATCTGCTACATGCCAATAGCACACCTCTTCCCTCAGTGTGGCAACCAAAAAGTCTCAGACACTGTCAAATATACCCTGGGTACAAAGTCACCTCCCACTGAAAATCACTGCTTTAGGCTAGTTAGACATTCCAGTTAAGATGTATCAAAGTAGTTTATCAATTGATTCCAAAGAATAGTAAGATCAGGTATGTGAGGTGGGCGGCAAGCCACCCAGGCGCCAAGGCAAGAGACCAAGGACACGAGCTGTTCCAGTATAATAAAATATAAAACAAGAATAGTTATACCATATAGATCTTAGAGATATATGAATATCATTAATCATTAGTTTGCAGTAATTACTCTTTATCCCAATATTATAATAATCCTCGCTGTACAATCATAACCTAGGAAAAACCAGGCCATACAGAGATAGGAGCTGAGGGGACATAGTGAGGTGTGACCAGAAGACAAGAGTGCGAGCCTTCTGTTATGCCCGGACAGGGCCAGCAGAAGGGCTCCTTGGTCTAGCGGTAACGCCAGCATCTAGGAAGACGCCCGTTGCCGAGCGGAAGGTGGTCTAGCGGTAGCGAAAAGTGTCAAGGAAAAACACCCGCGACTTAGCAGACCAGGGAAGGGAGGCTCCCTTTCCCCGGGGGAGTTTAGATAAGACTCTGCTCCTCCACCTCTTGTGGAGGGCCTGACATCAGTCAGGCTTGCCCGCAGTTATCCGGAGGCCTAACCGTCTCCCTGTGATGCTGTGCTTCAGTGGTCACGCTCCTAGTCCGCCTTCATGTTCCATCCTGTACACCTGGCTCTGCCTTCTAGATAGCAGTAGTCAATTAGTGAAAGTAGTAAAAGTCTCTGATATGCAGAAATAACGGCATAAGCTATCTTTCTCTCTGTCTCCTCTCTCTCTCTGCCTCGGCTGCCAGGCAGGGAAGGGCCCCCTGTCCTGTGGACACGTGACCCACGTGACCTTACCTATCATTGGAGATGACCCACACTCTTTACCCTGCCCCTTTTGCTTTGTATCCAATAAATAACAGCGCAGCCAGACATTCGGGGCCACTACCGGTCTCCGCGCATTGGTGGTAGCGGTCCCCCGGGCCCAGCTGTCTTTTCTTTTATCTCTTTGTCTTGTGTCTTTATTTCTACACTCTCTCGTCGCCGCACACAGGGAGAGACCCACCGACCCTGTGGGGCTGGTCCCTACAGTGAAATATTTACAAGATGAATTCTTCCCTTTCTCAAGACTTGAAAATTCAACAACAACAACAAAAAAAAAACTCTGTGAACTGTAAACCTTATCTGCTAAAGCAAATAGTTGTCAAAGAAGATTATATAGAATTTTCAATTTTTTGTAAAACTTGTCAACATCATGGTTATCATAAAATGTCACCTATTTTATTAAATTAATATTCCCATTTGTTTACCCAAAAAAGTTTAAGACAAATTTCTTTAGCAATATTTTGAAAGAACAGGAAAAATCAACTCAGATATCTTGCCTTCCAATTTTATTGAGAAATTAGGGTTATCAACAACAGACTGTGCAATAATGATAAAAGCTCGTGACTTCTAGCTTTATAGCAACCACAAAAATAAAAGGCAGCAAAGCTTTACAGAGGCAGAGTTGTGAGCTGATAAAGCTAGGAGAATCCCTGATTGGATGTTCACTAGACACAATATGTGAAAGAAATGGGTTTATTTGCTCAGGCCTATTATAAAGTTAATGTTGGCCACTGGCAGAATACCTTATTCTAAAAATTTAAAAATGAGATGAAAGAAAGTCTCCTTTTCTAGATTTCACCAAAAAAAGACAAAAGGGGAAATAACATAAAATTACGACATTTTTAATTTCAGTTGTGAAAAACTTCAAAATCTTCAAGCAGTATACTCCTCAATGTCATGGTAAAACCATTATCAGAAGAACAGAATATTGGCATCACCTTCGATGTTACCTAGTCCAACCTCCAATTTTAAAGATAAAAGAGAGTAACATTTGATGGCAATGGAACCTCTGACTATATCCATACGTTTTATCTTTTTAAAAAGAAAATGTCTAAAGTAAATATGGCATAATATTATAACATTGAAATATGAGTAATTACATGAAAGTATTATATCATCCAGTATGATTTAAACTTTTCAGAATTTAAAAATATTTTTTCTATAAAGTTTAAATTAAGATGAAGAAACTAAGGCCCAATAAGGTAAGTGGCTTGTCCAACACAGCACACCATTCACTAGGCCTATTCAGATTTCAGATTTGCTACTCCGGTGCGTTTTCAAGTTTCAAATGTTTACAAACTATAAGGAATCACTGGAAAGAATATTGCCAGTATTCTGAAGAAATACTTGATTTCTGCAGAAGATGCTGGTCATTTAATTCCTTAAATGTGTCTTTCTTTACTTACCTTTCCTTTACATTGTATTGAGTGTGGTGGGGGGATGTAAACAAAGAATGTACAGTAGGCCCTCCATATTCACGGACTGAACTAACTGCAGACCAAAAATATTTCGGGGGGAAAAAATAAAAAGTATCAATTCAGCAATAAAAAAATGCAAATTAAAAAACAACAGAACAACTATTTACATAGCACTTACTTATTGGGTATTATAAGCAATCCAGAGATGACCAAAAGTATACAGAAGGATATGCATAGGGTACATACAAATACTAGGCCATTTTATTTAAGGGACTTGAGCAACCTCCAATTTTGGTATGGTCAGGGGTACTGAAGCCAATCCCCCATAGATACCAAGGGACTATTGTATTGTTGGGCAAACCACAGTGAACCAATCAAATGATCAGCCACCTATTAAAAACAGGCTCTTGCCAGGCACTATAGCTCACACCTGTAATCCTAGCACTTTGGGAGGCTGAGGCAGGAGGATCACTTCAGCCCAGGAGTTGGAGGCTGCAATGAGCTACGATCTTGCCACTGCACTCCAGCCTTGGCAACAGAGCAAGTCCTTGTCTCAAAAAGACAAGCCAAAAAAAAAAAACAACAACAACAACAACCAGGCTCTTCCGTAATTCAGGGTATAAACAGCATTGCCCAATATATGTTCCATATACGTAATTATAAATTTTAGAAGCCAAGTTTAAAAAGAAAAAAAGTAAAACTAAAAAACACGGGAAATACACTTTAATATTATATTTAATTTAACCCAATATATTCAAATATTATTTCAACACATAAGCAACATAAAAATTATTGAGGTATTATTTTTTTCTCCTACTTCATTAGGAGTAATGCTTATTCAAAACGATGTTTTAATTCATACAGCAAGTCTCAATTAGCACTAACCTCATATCAAGTGCTCCACAGCTACAGTGGCTAGTGGTTACCCTAGTGGACAGGGGAAGTCTATAGCTATTTGTTGTTGCTTGAATTAAAAGCAGATCCATACATTTGAGTCGTTTTTTGAATTTTCCTCCAAAGCTGACAAAGTTCCCAAACCTTTTGTGGAGTGAGAAAGTCCCAAAGTCCTCAAAGCTTAACACGTAATTCATGCAAACGATTAAGCTCGTTGAAGAGTGTATGTTTAAGTACACTATTTCCTGAATACTTTTATACACTTAATCTCCAGGATAAAAACGTTGGCATAAATTCCTGAGCATGCAACCAAGCAGACACCTAATTAATGACGATGCTGGTCGAGGCTTGAATTTCTCTCTATTGCTCCAAAACAAAATTCAAAATCCTCTTCGTATTGACGGAAAAGTAAATATTAAAGGAAGAAATCATTTTCACAGGAGCTGAAAGCATTAAGAGTAAGAATCCCTAAGCACACGCCTATCTTAAAGATCTCCTGCCCGTTCCTCTCCAAACCCGGTAATCCTAAAGAGAAGGAACCCAGTTCTTGCTCCCTGTAAAATGATAGTGAAGATAACTGCGAGATGCAACTTCCTCCTTTTTTCTTAGTGCCACTTCGAGCGTATATGACCAGACAACCATGCTCACTCCACGCGATACCGAAACAGAAAGGGCTCTGTTTTTATGCTGTAGGGCCAAAGGGGCCACCCTGAGTGCAGCGAGAGGACCACAGAAACGGGCAGGGCGGGGACAGCAGGGCCAGGGCTTGGCCTCGGGGGACGAGAAAGGTGGGAACTTTGGCAGCGCGGGCGGGATCCCGCCGCATCTCCCCAGCCGGAGTCGGGACTGGGACCCCGAGAATCCGCGGGCGGCAGAGGCTCCCGCATCTAGCACCTGCCGCACCGGGATGGGGAGTCTCAGGCGGCGCAGGGAGCAGGGCCCGGGCAGAATCCCGGACGGAGCAGCCCTCGGCTGGGCCCTCAGCGCCCGCAGCCCACTGGCCGCGCCCTCTCGCTTACCGCCCCAGATGCCCAGCTTCAGCTGGGACTTGTTCAGGTTCTCCACATAGTCCCCCAGGAAGCGGTTCAGCAAGTCCGCGACCACCGACTCCAGCACCATGGTGGCGCTGAGGCACAAGGAGAGGGAGGAGCCGGAACCGCCCGGCGCAGCTGAGGGCTGCGACCAGCGCTGCAAATGACAGCCCCTCCGGCGCAGGCCCACCCCCGCGCCGCGCGCGTGACCCCGCCGGTGCGCAGGCGCGCTGTCGCCCGGCCGGTAGCTAAGGAGGCCCAGCTGTGATCCCGAGGCTTTGTAGGCGCCGCAGCCCTGGCCCTCTAGAGGCCGACGGAGGAGTGCGGGGGAAGTTAGCTTGCGCCTGTCTCGTCAGCCGTGCACGAGAAAAAAAAGGACCTTCGAGAAGAACAAGGGAGGGCAAGAGTTACCGAGTACAGGGACATCTATGTGGCCGCTCTGCTTTCCCGCCGTCACCTGCTGTTGAACTCCGGCCGCATCGCGGTGTCCGGAGCCGCCTGGCCTGGAGTATGCGCTGAGCGTCACCTAGGCAACCACCCCTGCACCTGTGGATCAGGTGGGGGAAAGGGACCGACCGCGTTCTTGTCCTGCTAGAGTTCGACTCCGCCTGGGGCTTGGTCTCTGCTTCTTGAAAACATTGTTTTTTTATTTTGTTTCTGTTTTGTTTTGTTTTGAGACAGGGTCTCGCTCTGTTGCCAAGGGTAGAATGCAGTGTCGGGATCATAGCTCACTACAGACTTGACATCCTGGACTCAAGAGATCCTCCTGTGTCAGCCTCCCGAGTAGCTGGGACCACTGGCGCGCGACAAATAATTTGAAAGTGGGAGGAGGGGAACAGAACCACATCAAATGGCAGATATCATAGAATGAGAACTGAATATACGCGTTTTGTGGGAAACGCGTTCTTTTCCCCTTTCTCTAAGATTCGCTTTTAATTCACTAGCCACTAACCAGTTACCTATCTCATTACAGATATAAAAAACAAAACGTAGTAGTGCCTTTTTAAGTATGAGTTACTTGTTATTTATATATCACTTTCTTCCATGCTATCGTTGAACTGTCTTTGATGTAGCACGACCTTAAAAGCAGAGCTTTTATACCACAAGATCTTTCAACCCTTGTGAAATTTAACCACCCATTGAGATTCACCTCTTTAGAGAACTAGAAATTTTTTCCTAAAATATATTTCAAAAAGTTGTTGAGATACAGTACACAGGAAGAAACCTAAGAAATGCTGATTATTTGTAGTCACAAGCATTAATAAGTGCTTTGCTACGAGGAAGTGTCTGAGAAACTATTCGTGTATTTTTCTTAAACAACCTAGGCTTGCACAGGATCACAAAGAAAAATCTTAAATTCAAAGTCCGCTGGAGAAGAAAGAAAATCAAAATGGCTACAATTGGTGTTGTGTATTAAATAAAATTAAAAGTACAAAGAAAGACCCAGTCAGTACTAACTAGTACTATCAAGATCACATTCCTCTCCCACTTTTGCACACTCCATTCCTCTTTAAGAAGATAAATCCTTAACCGTCTGTTTTTCCTAGCTGGTCACAAAGACAAAATACTAGTAAGTACTTTGGATTTCTTCACCATCCACAACCAAATAACAGCCTAACCTGTCTATTTTGCTTTTGCCATCTTTCCTAAATTCTCCATGTTTTTCTTCTGGACCATGCCATCCATCTCCTTGAAATTCACTTCCTAGCCTCCAGTTATTCCTTCCTCCAGTCTATTCTCATGAACACCGGATGTGTTTTCCCAAAGCACAGGTGAGCTTAGGTTAGTCACCTGCTCAAAAACATCCAATAACTTCCCAGTGTTTAGAACACTCTCTTCAAACTTTCTCCACGTTCTTTCTAGTCATACACTCTAACAATCCCGCTTCCTTTTTACATTCACACTGACTATGCTCCAAGAGGAATGTAAAGAAGCAATATATGTTCTGGTTGAGATAAGGCATGTACCATAAAAAGTTAAGAAAGAAGCCAATCCAAGGATGTATGAATAACAGTATAAGATGATAGGAAAGATGGCACAGGCAACATAGCTTGGTCAAGCAGGTGGAGCAATAGGCACAATCTCTTGGGAGAAGTGAGTAACACTAATGCTTTGTCTAATAAAGTAATTCCTTACAGTTCTATGGTATAACTTGGTAATTTTGAAAGAATAATGTGTAAATGTGCTTTCATATGCATCATTCAATTTTATTATGTTTCAGTTATACTTTGTAAGGCCTCATGTCATTATTATGCGAAGGTAGGCATTTTTGTGTACTCCTCACAAAAGAGCTGTGAGGTAGCTAATGCAGGTAGTAGTATGGTCCTCATTTTACAGAAAAATTAAGCTCGGGAATGTTAAGTGACTTACCCAAAGTCACACAGCAGATATTAATTTCCTTTGATTCTCTGAGCACTGCCACCCTTTTCTCTTCTGGTAATTATACAATTTAATCAACACTGGGCTATTAGTCATTTTCAGAGATCTTACTTTGAAAGGTTCATGACAGAAAAAATAAATCTCAGAGTGGAAAATTTGGCTCTACATTTTTGGTACAAAAAAATGCTATTATCATGTAGTATAAAAAGCTTTAAATTTTACTATTTTCCATTTTCAGCATGTTTTAAGGGATTGATTATGTGCATTCAGTAATGCCCCAAATCTTCCATTATTTAACAAGTCAGAAATATACAGTCCCAATTTAAAACAAACTATAACCAATGTCAAGAAACACCATTAGCACCCTTATGTATGGCATTATATCAGAAATAATTTGGATAACAGAGGTTAAAGAAAATGAGCATTCTAATTAATTATAGTTCTTGCCTTCATTCTGGCTTAAGAACAATGAGAATGACAACAAAGGAAATTACAAAACTAAACTTCAATGAGGGACTAAACAATAAAAACAGATGAGCAAAGTATTTCTGTTAAAAACAAAAGTATAAGTTAGGGACACTTAAAAATTAACTCAAAAGTGTTTAAAAAAAAAAAAAAAACTTCACACTAACCACCACCCATACCCTATTCCCCAACCCTAGAGTTTTTGGAGAAAAGCAGAAGGAATTTGGGGGAAAGGAAATGGAGGAGAAAGCTGGAGTATAAGCCATGACACCATGGACTGCAGGAAAAGTTAGGGAGGTTAACTAGGAGAAAGCACGGGAGTGGATTTCAGAATGTTAGTGCCAGAGGGAGGATCATCCTGTTAATCCAGCCCCCTCAATTGACAGATGGAGACACTGAGTGCCAGGGAGAATTAAGGGTTTGCCCAAAGTCCCACAAGTTAGTGACTGTCAGAGCAAAAACCCAAACCCAAGTGTCCTGACTCCCTGCTCTGTATTCTTTCCAGTACCCCATACTCTAGTTGTGTTGAACAAGATGCATAAGTCAGAACACTGGTGTTTTATTGGTTGTAATCTCTCTTCTTGCTTTCCTTGACACTCAACCTCCTATATTTTTGTAAGTATGCTTTAAAATGTTTAATTTCCTTTTACTCTTAGAGCACCTCTGGTCTTGATGGTATGTGGTCTATTCATGCTCACTTTACAGAATTGTTTTCCAGCTCCAATACTGGATGTTCCCACAGCTACAGCTGGGAGCTTGGAACAGCCACTGTCTTCCTGTGAGTAGATTTGTGTGTTCCGGGCACCCTGTTACACCATTCTCCCAAGTACTGGGTGGTTGGTTCGTGCTTCCGAGTTAAGTAAAACATAAGGCTTAACAGGGTCACAGGGACCAGCCACGCAATGGCAAATCTCTGCTATTTTCAAAAAATCATGTACAGGAAATGCTATTAAGGTGTTACTAAAGAAGGTGAATCATTAATAAAAACAAAGTAGATCTGCTTTGCTTGCCTGAGGAGAAAAATGTTTTTAAAGGAATCCATGTATGAATCAGCTAATCCCTGCCCAAGCAAACATTCATAATAAAATGATAGTAATAATAATAACTGTTAGCTAGTGTTTAACTGCCAACCAAGCATTTTCATGCATATCTTTTTAACCCCCACAACAATCTTAATGTGGTCGGTATTATTACCCTCATTTTATAACTTGAGCTCAGACAGGTTCATTAACTTGCTTAACAACTTTTCAGCCAACTTCTCAGACTGTAAACTCTGATCTGTGCTCCTAATCACTTTAACCAAGAGCTCTCAACAGGGCTAACAACATTCTTGTCTCCCAGGAAAAGCTGAGTCAGAACACATGCACATGGCCCTCAAGTATATAATTTGATAAAACTTTTCCCATAGATTTAGCCCTGGCCCAAGAATTTTGGCAAAGAGTAGAGGTGATTTCAAGACAAAGAAGTAGGCTGGGCTTAGTGGCTCGCACCTGTAATCCCAACACTTTGGGAAGCCGAGGCTGGGGGATCTCTTGAGCCCAGGAGTTTGAGACCAGCCTGGGCAACATGGCAAAATCCCATGTCTATAAAAAATATAAAAATTAGCCAGGTAGTGGTGCATGCCTGTAGTCCCAGCTACTCAGGAGGGGGACATGGGAAAATCACCTGAGCCTGAGAAGTTGAGGTTGAAGTGCCCTTGATTGCACCACTGCACTCCAGCCTGGGCATCAGAGTGAGCCCCTGTCTCAAAAAAAAAAAAAAAAAATAGCTATTCAAGGACACAGTAAATCCAGAGACCCACCAATCCTGCCCCCTACTAGAAACATATAAGTAATGTTCAGGCCAGGTACAGTGGCTCACACCTATAGTCCTAGCACTTTGGGAGGCTGAGGTGGGCGGATCACTTTGAGCCCAGGAGTTCAAGACCAGCCTGGTCAACATGTTGAAACTCCATCTCTCCAAAAAAAAAAAAAAGTTAGTCGGGCCTGGTGGCTCATGCCTGTAGTCTCAGCTACTTGGGAGGCTGAGGTTGGAGGATTGCTTGAGCCTAGAAAGCAGAGGTTGCAGTGAGCCAAGATTGTACCACTGCACTCCAGCCTGGGCAAGAGAGTAAGACCCTGTCTTAAAAATAAATAACTAAATAAATAATGTTCGGTAGTCTCTTCTCACGCCTGCCTCACCCAGATGGAATTCAAATAGTTTATCCTCATCATTTTACTCCATCATTTATGGATTTACATAGCTGATATGATCTTGTACAGCCAACCTGTATCCACTTGCCTAACATGATGGCTGGAACCTAGAAAACATTCAGTACATGTTACTTTGAATGAATGAACTAATGAGCATTTGCTCTCTTCTGTAATAATAATATTATATCCGACATTGTGTATGTCATGCCCTATGCTGAACTCTTCATATTCACCATCTTACTTTATACTCATGATAACCGTATAGGTTGACACTATTATTAATTTTAAATTTGATACTGTGGCTTAGAACAGTTAACTTGCTCAAGGTCACATAGCAACCATTCTGGCATTAACAGTAGATCCAATTTCAGACCCAATTTTCTTAACCACTATACTTTACAACTTTCCTTCTATCTTTATTAATAATAATCAGTTCTATGTATTTAGCACTTACCATGTTACATGGTGCAAAATATTTTACATTATTATTTCCCCAAACAGCTCATTTATACCCATTAGTAGGTATGATTTCCTCCATTTCCCATCATTATGTGACCTTGGATAAGATACTTGACCTCTGAAACTGAGTTTTCATCTATAAAATAAGGATGATCCGAATATGCAGGGTTTCTGTGACAGTTCTACAGACTATATGTAAATCATCTAGCACAGTGCCTGTGTGTCCTGGAAACAAAATGCACATGCCCTATCCTGAAATCATTTTTGCATGAATTCAATTTAATTCATTAAATATTATTTAGACAAGTGAATAGTTTGCAAGGCAGTATCTTAGGCAGAAATATCTGCCTGAACGCTGAACAAAATGCCTCAGATCTCTTTCAGCCTGAGCTAACTGGAAGCAACTCTCTTACAAAATGAACACAGGTTAGTTTTCAAAAGGAAGGAAAAGGGTCTCTCTGGTGGGCACAGCCTAGAAAGGCCAGATGTAGTCAGGGCGCCTCCAAAGGATGATTCCAACTGCCCAGATGCATGCAAGTGTACATTTTCCCGATAAAAAATCAGCACACATGGCTTAAGAAGTAGATTGTGATTTTTTAAATTGATGTATAACATACAATAAAGTACTCTAATCTTAAGTGTACACTAGTTGATTGTTTTTACATATGGATACACCTCTGTAACTCCACCCTGATCAAGACATGAAATGTTCCCCCTAACCCAGAGGGGTTTATAATCAGAAAAGAACATCTAAAATCAGAACTGAAAACCGGAAAGCAAGTAAAGAACTTCGAAAGCTGGGCAACTGGGAAGCTGGATTTGGGGAAGGGTATTAGGCAAGAATAAGACAAACCGGACTTGTCTTCATTTTAATGGTGAATGTAGAGTACTTCTACGTGCTCACATTCATTACGCCCGTCGATCCTCACAATGACTCTGCGGTATAGTAGAGACTTAATACCATTTTGCATGTGAGGAAACAGAAACTTGTTCGGGGTTTCCGAGGAAAACACCTCCACCTGAAGCCGGAGAGAGAAAGAACTGGGTCTCCAAACCTTGCTCAGCAAATCCAGCCACGTGGCAGAGGGACAGGGAAGAGCCTGGCGTCAGGTTACCAGGCAGCGCCCCTCTGCTCGGCCCACTGGCAAGCGCTCCCAGCGGCAGGTATAAAAGCTCAGGCTGGCAGTCCTTGAACACTGGTGCTGAACCCCGCCGCGCGCGCTTTGAATTTCCCAGCCGCTAAGCGCCTCTCCTGGTCGGTGTCCCAGGCAGAAAGGTGCAGAGACCCATCTGACGCAGGACTCCAGGTATTTTAGGAGGGACCCATCGGCTTGCTTAATTCCCTGGGGGATTCGTCTGAGGCTCTTTGCCTCTGCAAGGGGAGAACCAGCCACAGTTTCCCGGAAGGAATAACAATTACTTTAATTCTAGCTGAGGACTAGACTGCTATGGTCCAAAGAGTCAGGAAACGATTGCAAGGCAATCGTTGGCACAGAGAACAGAGCGACTGAAGTTACAATCCAGCATTTTGTGAATCTCTGCCTTAGGCCAGCCAGGGCGGAGAGGGATTAAAACAAGCTCCGAAGTGTGTATTACAACACAGTTGAGATAGGACAAAAGAAAAACAGTTGTTTTTCGCTCACTGAAAAAATAGTTTGCAATAGCGGCAAGCAAGAGCAGTTTGCCTTGTTTCGGGAAAGGCAGGAAGAAACACCCCGAAAGTATTAATAGGAGAAAAGGAACAGGATTTACTGCACCTTGCGGGACTCGCTCTGACGATCCTTGTGCCTTTGTGCACTGCAGGTAGACAAGCTCCAGCAGAGAGTGGCCAGATGTGGTGCCTGGAGCGACTCCGCTTGGGTCCTGAGTGCCTTCGGCGGAGCGGAGACTGGCTTCTCCCGGGTCGGGCCCGCGGAGCCAAGTCTCGCACCACCGCCGCGTGCGCAAATGTGCTCACTCCGGACCGCATCCCTGAGTTCTGCATCCCGCCACGGCTCATGCCCCGCCTGGCCTTGGCTGCGCTCCGGAATTCTTGGGTCGAAGAAGCAGGGATGGACGAGGGCGCCGGCCGCACAGACTGGGACCCGCGCTCGCAGGCCGCGCTGTCACTGCCGCACCTGCCCCGTGTGCGCACCGCCTACGGCTTCTGCGCGCTGCTCGAGAGCCCGCACACGCGCCGCAAGGAGTCGCTCCTGCTCGGGGGCCCGCCCGCGCCCCGGCCCCGGGCCCACACCTACGGCGGCGGCGGCGGCCCGGACGCCCTCCTGGGGACCCTGCGCGTCCCGCGAGCTCCGGGCCCGGCGACCCCCGCGGCCCCCGGCTGTCCCCGCCCGCCCCAGGACGCGCTCGCCCGGCGGCCCCGCGGCTGCCGCCTCCTGCGCGTCCCCGACGGGCTGCTGAGTCGCGCGCTGCGGGCTGGGAGGAGTCGCCGCCTGACCCGCGTCCGCTCCGTCTCCAGCGGGAACGAGGACAAGGAGCGCCGCGCGGGCTCCCAGTCCCCGGCCCGGGCCCCCTCCACGAGCCCGCCGTCGTCCCGGGTCCCGTTTCCCGAGCGCCTGGAGGCCGAGGGCACCGTGGCTCTGGGCCGCGCCGGCGACGCCCTGCGCCTGGCCGCCGAGTACTGTCCGGGAACCGGGCGGCTCCGCCTCCGGCTGCTCCGCGCCGAGAGCCCGGCCGGAGGCGCCCCCGGGCCCCGAGCCGTCAGCTGTCGCCTCAGCCTCGTCCTGCGGCCGCCGGGCACCGCGCTTCGGCAATGCAGCACTGTGGTGGGGCGCAGCCGCAAGGCCTCCTTTGACCAGGACTTCTGCTTCGACGGCCTCTCGGAGGACGAAGTGCGCCGCCTGGCCGTTCGAGTCAAGGCCCGGGACGAGGGCCGCGGCCGGGAGCGGGGCCGCCTGCTGGGCCAGGGTGAGCTGTCCCTGGGCGCCCTCCTGCTGCTCTGAGGGCCCAGCCCTCCCCGGGGCGCTCTGCCCGGGGGACTCCGGACACTGACAGCCGCGTGGTACAAAATAAACGTGTATTTGTTGTTCTTATCAGTCCCGTTTCAGTACAACACTGGCAGAGATGATTCTAGATTAACTATCCCAGTAAAAGATATGATATTTTCCATAGATACCTCCAGAATTTTTTTCAGCAAATGGAATGGTTCTACAGTGTTTCCCAATATAGACAGCCATTTGCATACCATATGTACCACACACGCCTAGGAAATAATGAATCACATGAAGTGTTAGAACTAGAAAGTGTCTTGGCGATCTGTTTGCTCCAATCACCTCATTTTAAAATTGGTGCTTTCCACAACATGCATGGAGACCATCTTGGAGCATTTACTTTTGAAGCATTTTGTTTAAGACCCCGGATAAGAAAATGAGGGCAAAAGAGGTGAAGTGACTTGTCCAAGATCAACAGTGAATTATTAGTTGGAACGCCAGCCTGATACTCCTAGCTATATCTCACTGGAAAAGCATTGGAGAAAATGAAACCATTTTAATATTCTAAGCTTAAATAATAGTTATAATAGGCTAGGTGTGGCGGCTCACGCCTGTAATCCTGGCACTTTGGGAGGCCGAGGCGGGCAGATGGCTTGAGCCCAGGAATTTGAGACCAGGCTGGGCAACATGGGAAGACCGCGTCTCCATAAAAAATACAAAATTTAGCCGGACGTGGTGGCACGCACCTGTAGTTCCAGCTACTCTGGGGCTGAGGCGCAAGGATCACTTGAGCCTGGGAGGTCAAGGCTGCAGTGAGCCGAGATCGTGCCACTGCACTCCAACCTGGGCAACCGGAGTGAGACCCTGTCTGCAAATAATAATAATAATAATAAATAGTTTTACAAGCGTTAATTTATGTTTTAACCCCCAAAAGGAGGCACTGCTATGCCCATTTTACAGATGAGGATATTGAGGCACAGAATAAAGAGCAGAGCCAGAATTTGAACCTAGACAATCAGCATTTCACTCATTACTCTTATGTAGGTAATACCACAGTGTCTAAAGGGCTCGCTATTAAAGTTGCGAGTATTGTGCAACTTCTCTCTGAAACTGTTGACACTGAAGTTCGTGTCTACTTGTATTCCTCATCCTGCTTTTGGTGAAAAAACAAATTGCTTGAAATGAATAATTTATTATCTCATGCTAATAACTTCAGGCATTGAGATGAGCTGATGGGTCTAAAGCTCTGAGGAGGAAGCTAACCGGCCTCAGAATCATAGAAATGGGTGCCAGCCTTGTTGTAACCAGGTGAGTTTATCTGCTGGAACAGGCAGTGGAGAGTGTACAGATAGCATGGTTTTACCTCTGGCTTCTGATAATAATTCCAGATTTAACAATCCTGTTTTAGAGGACGATTTTCCCTCATCCCTTGAATTCACTGCCAGCAGGGCATTTTTTTCTTTTTTTTATGCAAATAGGAAAATGCATCCTAAATGAGGGTTTAAAAAATTGAAAATATTTAAATATACAGGATGGTGTTAAATATGACTCCATTATCAATCTGGATTCAGAAATGGTTTCTGCTTTATTTTATTTCATTTTATCTTTTAGAAACAAGGCGTCACTCTGTCACCCAGGCTGGAGTGCAGTGGTGTGATCATAGCTCACTGCAGCCTCTACCTCCTGACACAAGCTGTCATCCCGCTTTGGCTTCTCAAAGTGCTAGGATTATAGGCGTGAGCCACCATGCCCGACCAGTTTCTGCTTTTATTAAAATTGTTCACAGTTTTATACATTCATGTTCATTAAAAATGCTATTTAGAAAAGAGTTTGATAAAATAAATATTATACAAAATTCGAAGAAAAAAGAAAAGAGTTTCTGTTTCAGTCACAAATTAGGGTTATTGTGATGTGTATTTATGATGACCATTGAACAAATGTGAAGAATACTGTGAATTCTATGACTTTATCAAAATCAGCCACATCCAGGAGCTTGCAGTTGTTGACCAAATGAATGATGACATAGAGTAGTTCAGATCTATCATGTGCTCTTCTATCTAATCAGTCAATATTTCCTTGGCCCTCAAGCCAACATTCATTTTTTATGTATAACCTTCTTCATGATTTTGAAATTTTGATAGGGTAACTGCTAATGAGTTCACAAATGTAGCACTTTAAAAGGAAAATAAATGGAGAGTGAAAACAACTTGGCTACGTATAATTGTGGGTTTTAATTTTTCTGTTTTTAAAATAAAAAATGGCATTGATAGTTTCAATAGCCCAAGTTTTTATTCCAGAAGATGTTGCAATAACTGTTGTCACTAGATTATATACATGTCATTTTATTAAGTAGATTTTTTTTCGTGAAAGTAAATCAGTGCATTTGAGGGATCTAAATTTTTTATGAAATAGTGGTGGTGATTTCCAAACAGAATCACCATTAATGGCAAGTTATGGTTGATCAAATAACCTGAGTCTAATCAAAAAGGTTTTAAAGGGGCTGAGATAGAATCATAAATGATAAAATCATAAAATTTTAGAGTTGAAAAGAACTTTAATAATCATTTTGTGCCGGGTGCGGTGGCTCATGCCTGTAATCCCAGCACTTTGGGAGGCCGAGGCAGGCCGATCACAAGGTCAAGAGTTTGAGACCAGCCTGACCAACATAGTGAAACCCTGTCTCTACTAAAAATGCAAAAAAATTAGCCGGGTGTGGTGGTGCACACCTGTAATCCCAGCTACTCGGGAGGCTGAAGCAGGAGAATCACTTGAACCCAGGAGGTGGAGGTTGCAGTGAGCCAAGATCGCGCCACTGCACCCCAGCCTGGACAACAAAGCGAAACTGTCTCAATAAATAAATAAACAAATAAATAAGTAAATATTTAAAAATAATCATTTTGTGCAAATCTATATCATAGAAGTGGACCAGAGAAGCAAATTTTAGATTGCCCCAAATCACACAGTCAGTAAAAAGAGCTGAGACTAGAACCAATTTGATTTTCATTTTGCTCTTCAATCTAATGGCTCTTTGACTACTAATTCCAGGAAAAGAGAAACACTGTACATCACTAATCTAATCTAATGTTTTTGCATTCAAGAAATCTTACTTGCAATACAAATGTTTGGGATAACATTAGCCTTTCTGGGGCAAATTTAAATTTCATTTACACTTTACTGCCCTCTAGTGGATCCCTCAAGTGTTTTGTCAATTGGCTCTACCCCTATTATTAGATATTAGACCATTTCAACTAAAGGTCAATCTAATGCCAGGACCCTATTTTCTTGAAGACCTTTGCTAATATTAGATTGTAGTGAAGATTCACATTGCAAAGTAACTTAATACACCTATCTGAGAGCACAAGGTGGCAAAAATATTTTAGATTTAAATAAAGAGGGGAAAACTTTTTCCTTTAATAATGAAGTTGGGAGTGTGTGGCAATAGCATGTTGGTTACAGAAAACTGCTTTTAATAGTTCTCATGTTTCTTCTCATCAAGCTTTAGTACTCACATCTTCTCCATAAATGATATGGCATGATCTTGCTTCTTTGTGGTTTAAATATCTTTTCTTTGAACATATTCAAAGAAAAGCCCTACACAATAAACAGAATATGCCGGTTTAAATAGCATCAGTTGAGTAAAAATTTTAACACTGCATTGTCAGCTGGTTTTACAAAGATAATGTATTCTAACCTAAAATGCTAGCTTCAGTATGGCTCAAATATTCCCAGATGATAATTTCTTTGAATCTGATTTTCTTTTATACACACCTCAACAATTCACATTCTCCCCATATCCATCCCCAGCACTTAGTTTAACCATGGCATTTAAGAAACTGTTCTGCCTCCAGGCTTTTGAGTTCACAGAAAAAACAGATGCACGACAGCCCATGGTGTTTTGAAACCCAAGTTTTACTATTCTGTACATTCACGTAGCAAAATCCCATCAAATTAATGTCATAGACATTATAAGCCCATAATAAAATTCTTAGCTAAGAATTCTCCATAGCCCTACTGATTCTGCCTTCTATTACTGTAGATTAGTTCAATCTGTAGAATTTTATATACATGGAAAAATTAAGTATATATTCTTTTTGGGGGAATCTGGCTCCTTTCACTCAGCATTATTGAGATATATCCATGTTGTTGCCTATATCAATAGTTCATTCTTTATATTGCTGACTGGATGACTATCAAATGTCTAAACCCCAATTATTTTATCCCTTTATCTGTAACTGTTTTCCTTGCACTCATTATTTGTTTCTTTTTTCCCTTCTCCTCTTTTTCTGATTTCTCTGGTTTTAATTGAACATTTCATAGGATTTTACTTTATCCTCTTTCTTAGCATATCAATCATAGTTCTTTTTAAAATTTCTTTAGTGTTTGCCCTAGTGTTTGCATTATGCATTTGCAAGTAATCTAAATCCCTTTCAACTAACACTATACCAAGCTTGTCCAATCTGCAGTCCGTGGACGGCATGCGGCCCAGGATGGCTTTGAATACGGCCCAACACAAATTTGTAAACTTTCTTAAAACATTATACGATTTTTTTTTTGCTTTTTTTTTTTAGCTCATCAGCTATTGTTAGTATATTTTTTGTGGGGCCCAAGACATTCTTCTTCTAATGTGGCCCATGTCAAAAGATTGGGTACCCCTGCACTATATACTGCTTCATGGGCAGGTAGCTATATTATAATAGGGTATTCCCAATTCCTCCCTCCCTTCCCTTAACACATTGTAATTTATTTAATTTATCTGTTCTTTGGTGTCTGTCATTCATTTGGAAAAACTTTCATCCATTTTTACTTCATTTGCTTCATTCTCTCTTTCTTTTCCTCTCAATCACTCATATGTTACATCTTTTGGAATCATCACACAGTCTTGGATATTCTGCTCTTTTTTTTTCTCTTTGCATTGCAGTTTGGGAAATTTCTATGGACATGTCTCCAAGTTCATTGGTTATTTCCTTGGCCATGTCCAATCTATTAATGAAGCCATTTTAAATTTTCAACATTTCCTTTTGATTCATTTTTTAGGTTTTCCTGTCTCTGTTTACATTGCCCACATGTTCTTGCATGTTGTCTGCTTTTCCCATTCTAGCCCTCAACGTATTAATTATAGTTATTTTAAATTCCTGGTCGGACAGTTCTAAAACCTGTGTCGTATCTGAGTCTGGTTCTCTTGCTTTGTCTCTTCAGATCGTTTTTATCTTGTCTCCTAGTGTGCCTTATTGAAAGCTGGGCATGAATAATCAGATACTAGGAACTGAGGTAAATAGTGTGAGGCTTTATGTTTATCTGGAGGAGTTATGCTGTGGTTGCTCTTTGCTATAGCTGTAAGTATCTGCGGCCAGTTTCCCTTAATGTCCATGTTTTTATCTCCTCTGCTGTCTTGAGTATCCCTAAGAGCACCTTCTTACATAAAGCATCTGCCTTGAAACTCTTTCAGCTGTTATCCACTGATGTCCTGACCCCTGTTGATATGGTGGTAAATGTTGGGAAAGGAAAGCAGTCTATAACTCTATGATTAAATCTCAGTCTACTAGTGGACCATTGTCCTTGGGTTGAGACCTTCACAAATGTTTCTTAGCCTTTTTTCTCCAGGTGAGATGGGAAGGCTAGCAGGGCTCAAGTTGAGGAATTGCCCCTCTCCTAAGCTCATAAGACTCTGGTAAGGTCCTTTTCTCAAGAAGAGTAGATTTTTGTTATGGAAAAATGCTTTGAGAGTATTTCAAAATGATTACTGCTAAGTTTTCTCTTAGCTCTTCACCATGAGAACCTGGTGGGGCTTCTGGGAATAACCCATGAAAGTGCGCCACCTACAACACCCTTCCCCCAACCCCAAGACTGTGGATCGCAGGAGTATCTCATGCTCACATTAGTCCATACTCAGCCTCCAGGAATTTGTCAAAATAACCATTTAGTATTCCCATTAGTTTATGGCTCCAGTAGCTTCTGCTCCAGGTAAGCTGATCTTGGCTTGACTCTCCATGTCAGCTTGTTCCTCCAGATTTCAGGGTAGTGGTTTGCCTTGCTACATCTAATCTCTGATAGGTCTAAGAAAAATTATGAATTTTTAGTTTGTTCATTTTTGTTTTCTTATTGTAAGAATGGGAATGACAACTTTCAAGCTCTTTATATGGTGGAGTTCATTATGAGACAAGCTTAAAGGGAGGCTGACCCCATTTGGGAAGTTAGGCTTCCAGAATCAGTATCCATTCTCCTGCTAATAGATATTTAGATTATGTCCAATTTCAAGCTTTTATGAATAAAACTGCTACAAAAATTCATGTACAAGACTTTGCATGGTTGTATGATTTCATTCCTCTTGGGTAAATACCTAGAGTGGAACAGCTGGATCATTATATGGTAGCTGTATATTTAACTTTCTAAGAAACTGACATACTCTTTTCCAGAGTGGTTGTGTCATTTTACTTTCTTACCAACAAGGTGTAAGAGTTCTGGTTGCTCAACACCCTCACCAACACTTGCACAATAAGGAACTTTTGAAGGAAATATATACAGACGGTCCCCGACTTAAAATTGTTCTACTTAACAATTCTTTGACTTCACAATGGTGAGCAAGCGATATGTATTCAATAGAAACTGTACGTTCGAATTTCGATGTAATGTAATCATCATTATCTTGGTATAAGATATTCAGAAAATATGCGGGTCCATTAAAGAAACCTGGAACATCAAGATTTTTAAATATTCAGCGATGATTCCACAGCTTTAGTGTTCAGTAAGAGTTACTGTGTTTCTTTCCAAAACTCATTAATTTAGCCATTTAAAACCAATACAGATAGGCCGGGCACGGTGCCTCACGTCGGTAATCCTAGCACTTTGGGAGGCCGAGGCGGGTGGATCACGAGGTCAGGAGATTGAGACCAGTGTGGCCAACATGGTGAAACCCTGTCTCTACTAAAAACACAAAAATTAACCGGGCATTGTGGCTTGCATGTGTCTGTAGTCCCAGCTTCTCAGGAGGCTGAGGCAGGAAAATAACTTGAGCCCAGGAGGCGGAGGTAGCAGTGAGCCAAGATCGCGCTACTGCACTCCAGCCTGTGCAACAGAGCGAGACTCTGCCAAAAAAAAAAAAAAAAAAAAAAAAAACAGATAAAGAGATCTATCATACAGCAGGATCAAATTTTGTGAGAGTCAATTAAAGGAGATAACAATTACATAATCTGAGAAAAGTCTGACTAGAGATGGGGCTTAGACACTCTCTTGCTTTTCTTTTATGTAGATTGATAAAGTCTACTTTTGTCAAGGAGCCGACAATCCCTCCTTTCCTTTCTTTATTATCCTGCAGCTGGTGGAGCAGAAATATGAACCATGTAGTGACATCAGAGGTAGAATACGGCTGCAGAGCCGGTTTCTAACAGTCATGAGTCAAAGGCACCACTCCACCTACAAATCTGCGGTTGGATTGTGGGCCCTGGGCACTCTGTAGCAACTCTACAAACATCATTGTCAATAACAAATTCATTTCTTAAGCAGAGTTTAAATTCAAAGTCAGAGGAATGTGGGTTACAGATCTCAGCTGTCATTTATTAGCTGTGTCTCTTGGTCATATGAATTAGCCTTTCTAAATGCCATTTCTTCATTAGTAAAGAGGAGTAATAAATATTACCTACCACATGAAATCTTTGTAAAGATTTAAGTAGATAATACATTAGAAGTCCTCAGCACAGTGGCTAATATTTAGAACCACTCAATAAATATTAGCTCTACTTTTTGCTTCATAATAGATGATGTTACTAGATTTCTCTCCAAGCTTCTAGCATGTTCAATGGATGCTTATCTTAGAGCCAGGATCCTATAGCAAAGAGAGTTAGTAGACTAGTTATACTCATATGAGCCATTTGAGAAACATATGTGGTGCCAAAGTAAGTGTTACAAATAGTACTACAGACAGGGAGTCTTAAAAGAGGGAATCAGAAAATGAGAAACATCTCAACATTTTTATTTATTTATTTATTTACTTATTTATTTTTGAGATGGAGTCTCTCTTTGTCACCCAGGCTGGAGTGCAGTGGTGCGATCTCGGCCCACTGCAACCTCGGCATCCCGGGTTCAAGCGATTCTCCTGCCTCAGCCTCCCGAGTAGCTGGGATTACAGGCGCCCACCACCACACCTGGCTAATTTTTGTATTTTTAGTGGAGACAGGGTTTCACTGTGTTGGCCAGGCTGGTGTCAAACTCCTGACTTCAGGCGATCCGCCCACCTCAGCCTCCCAAAGTGCTGGGATTACAGGCATGAGCCACCACGCCTGGCCTCGACATTTATTTAATACTCACCAAATTCCAGGCACTATACCAGGACATTAAGTATTAGGTCTCTGTGCCACAGCTATGTGAGGAAGGGCTTGATAGGTAGATCATGATCCTCAGAGAAGAGCATGGTCACACAGCTGGTGAGGGGGAAGGCAATGATTTCGACCCATGTTGATGTGAGCACAAAGCCTCTGCTAGGCCTTGGATACCCAAAAGGTGGGTTGGACTTGCATCTGCAGAGGAAAGGGAGAAGGGCAGCCTTAGAAAAGGAACTAAGTTTTGGAGCCAAGCTAAGTAAAATGTGTTCTGGAAACAATGATTCTTAGGTCCCCAACAGCTTCCTAGCAGCACCTTTAGGGAAGGTTCTGTTGATGAACATACTGCCACTACTGGGGATCTGTATTTGCTGACTTGTTAGCACATAAAACGAAAATATACGTATCACTGTGTCTTGCAACAATTAGAAGAGAGCAATCAAACTTCCATTTTTTCACTCATACTGTCAGATTGCCCTTGAAAAACACTATTTCTCCATCTTCCAAAGACATTTTTCTGACTGGTTAATTATGTAATCAGTAGCAGGTTAAAAGTATGAGCTTTTCTGAAAAGTGGGTAAATCAAATTCTTAAGCTAAAAAAAAATGAACGGCTTTGAGACAAGACAGATGTATTACTTTTTATTTTATGTAACCCATTTCGCTAAGCTTAAAACTGAAAACTGCAAATTTCTTTACTGGGACCAAGACCCTGAAATTTAACAAATATTTACCATCCTTAAACATTTTCAAACACTTTCAAACAACAACTTAAGGAAGTAAGTAAATCCATGAAAGATGATATAATTTAAAGCTACATAACTTAGAAATAACTTGCTCCTTTTTTTTTTTTTTTTTTTTTTGAGGTGGAGTTTTGCCCTGTCACCCAGGGTGGAGTGCACTGGCATGATCTCGGCTTACTGCAATCTCCACCTCTCGGGTTCAAGCAATTCCCCTGCCTCAGCCTTCCGAGTAGCTGGGACTGCAGGCGCGCACCATCATGCCTAGCTACTTTTTTTTTGTATTTTAGTAGAGATGGAGTTTCACCATGTTGGCCAGGATGGTCTCAGTCTCCTGACCTCGTAATCTGCCTGCCTTGGCCTCCCAAAGTGCTGGGATTACAGGTGTGAGCCACCGCACCCAGCCTAACTTGCTCATTTTATAGATGAAAAACATGATATCAGAGAGCAAAATAATTTTCCAGGTTTACGTTACCAGTTAGTAGCATTTTCTGACTGCCAAACTATTGTTCTTTCTGCTTTTATATACCGTAATACTAACTCTACTGGTATACTACTAATTTTTTGCATTACTAAAGAACACTTTAAAAATGATCACCACCAAAACAGCACCATTCTCCTGCCACTCTGATGTAAATTAATTTTGTCTTTGTTCACTACCTTCCAGTCTTTGCTCATATCTATATTTATATGGGTCAAATAATAATATACATATATATACTATTTTTTCTATTTTTTATTTATGATTGTAATGTAAGAGCTGTTTATGTTGCTATTAGTCTGGTATCACAGCCCTTCAGGTAGACATATAATGATTAATTATTTTCCTATTGTTGAATGTTTTGTCACTTTCCCAATTTTTTTTTTCATTTTTTTTTGAGTTTTTTCTTTTCTTTTCTTTTCTTTCTTTTTTTTTTTTTTTTCCTGAGACAGAGTCTCACTCTGTAGCCCAGGTTGAAGTGCAGTGGCCTGATCTCAGCTCATTGCAACCTCTGCCTCTCGGATTCAAGTGATTCTCATGCCTCAGCCTCCCAAGTAGCTGGGATTACAGGTGTGCACCACCATGCCTGGCTAATTTTTTGTATTTTCAGTAGAGACAGGGTTTCGCCATGTTGCCCAGGCTGGTCTTGAACTCCTGAGCTCAGAAGATCCGCCCACCTCAGCCTCCCAAAGTGCTAGGATTGCAGGTGTCAGCCACCGTGCCCAGCCTGAATTTTTTCTTAGAATAAATTCTAGGAGGTGAAATTTCAGCCTCAAACCCTATAAACATTACTACAGCCCCTATGAATGTTACTATTAGAATTATTCATAAATTGACTTTCCTGATTGGTCACATTTTCTTTTACGAAATGAAATGGGGTAAGAAAGGACTTGTGGGAGTAGGGGGTACAATTCTAAATTTCACAGGCCTGAACCTGTCTGTAGAAGTCACAATACCCACTATTTTCCCAGAGTTAACATAGGAAGTCAAAGAGAGTGAGGATGGCTTGGTTACAATGGTACGTAACAGCTATTATTGCTATGGATTAATACATATTAGGGACTCTATCTGAAGGAATTTCATGGTCTGGACTTTTACTGAGCAAAGACCCTTTCTCAAGACATTGAGATTTAGTTTACAACAACTACCTCCAAACAGCAAAAATGCTATTGGTATTGGGGTTTAAAAAACATACTGCCTTTAATAATTGGTTTGTTAGGTGCCAAGTTAAGTGCCAGGAGAGAGAACTGAGAGGAAAATTTCACTCAGATGCATCAAACTCAGTCTTAAATTACTGAGAGGAGAATAAACTAATTTCATGCAAATACATTTTTAGACTTATGCTTTTTACATTGAATTTTCATTATGAATGTGATTAATGTATAATTCACAATCATGAATTAAGCTGCCACCGAGGCAGACCCAACAATATTAAATTACAATGTCAACAGTATCGTGGAAACGCTCTGCTTTCCAAATACCTGAGTAAAAGCCCTAAGAAAGACAGCCACAGGTGTTTATTGAGCACTCAGTATGACCTCAGCCACTGTGTCAGGCACCTTGGGGATATTGACAAGCAGCATGTGGCATGATGTTGAAGAAAGAGTGATGACAAGGAATAGGAGACATGAGTTCTCATTCTGACTTTGTGCTCCATGAGTAAATCACTTCCTCTTTGGGTCTTAATTTCCTCTTTCGGAAAATGAGAAGATTAGCATAGATCCACCATAGCCAGTAGGTTTTATCTCAGGTATAATACCACTGAACTTATAGTGGCTGCCTGGAGTGCTATGATAGAAATAATCCTAAGGCAATGTGTGGACTTAGGGAGACAACACTCTTCAATAACATAGCTATGTCTCTGTAGGTTCACAATGGAGCAGGAGTACGTGTGCTATTACTTATTGACCTTGGTCTCATGAGCTCTGCAGCTCTGATATTTATTGATGTTAATGAAGACAAAATTCTTGCCTAAAGTAAGCTAAAATCGGTTGGGAGATAAGATCAACAACCACAATTACAGTGAATAATCAAGATAGAATAAGTATAAGGGCTAATTTTTTCAGTAAATATGATAAATATCAAAACCCAGAAAAAAAGAAGATCAATAAAGACTTGAGTAGTTAAGGATACTTTCTTGGAGAAAAAAAACACTTCAGCTGAGACTTAAAGACCAGGGTATGATAATAATATAAGCACTAAAACAATACTAAATACTAAAAAGATAATATAAATATTTATAATTATATAGTGCTTTAGAGTTTACGCACCATTTTGGCATATTGTCAAATTTTAAGAGGATTTCAAATGTGTTTTACGCTTTCAGAATGTTTTATAATTTACAGTGTTCACAATCATTATAACATTTAATCTCAGAATAATCCGAGAGGAAGGCATCACTAGCCCTATCTGATAAATGAGGAGTTTAGTAAAGTTAAGTGATTTATTCAAGAAATGTCACAAAGTTAATAAGGGACATAGTTTGAAAAAGATCTAGAGTCCAAACCTAGACTAAGGTAGGTCTATCAGTCAGGGTTGAACATAAAAACAAAGTAAGTGTTCAGTAATCTAGAAAGAGTGATTGTTATATAACCATGGTAACAAGAAGTCACCAAAACTGATTTTAAACCTGTTCTATTGATCAACAACTTGTTTCAGTGACTGCTTTTGAAAGCCAACCAATCAGTGTCAATCCTCACTTCTACAAGTCGGCCAGGCAGGATGGACTCATTTCAATAAACATGCCTCTGAGTGCCAATCAACAAGTCTCAGAGAGTGCTTCTACAGATATTAACACACTTATGTCTCTAAATGTCCTCCTATCCCTGAAACCCATGCTTCCCCAGAGCCTTATATAATATTAGCAGAAAGTTCTGCTCAGAGAGAATGTGCCTAACAAAGCTCTCCCTTTCAATAGTAAGCAATAAATTTACTTCCCACTCACCCCAGATATTGAGTGTTGGTCTCATCACCCTTTGACAAGGTCGAGTCATGAAAACAGAAACCACTCTGGGTATTTCAAACAGAATTAATAGAATGAATTGCTTACACAGGGTTGGAAGGACTGTGACAGCACAAAAGGGACAGTGAGGCAACCCACAGATTAATAGCTCTAGGTGAGCAAAAAGCTTATCAACTATTGGTGAAATGAAAATGTCTACTCAACTCATGACAAGCCTTCTTCCAGGCACACTGCTATACAGCAAGGAACAACATAAATGAGGTCCTGGCTTTCATGGGGTCAACATTCTAGGTGGAGTTAAAGATAGACAGTCTAGACCAGGCATGATGACTCATGCCTGTAATCCCAGCACTGTGGGAGGCCAAGGCAGGTGGATTACCTGAAGTCAGGAGTTTGAGACCAGCCTGGCCAACATGGTGAAACCCCATCTCTACTAAAAATACAAAAATTTGCTGGGCATGGTGGTGCATGACTGTAATCCCAGCTACTCGGGGGCTGAGGCAGTAGAATCCTTGAATCCGGGGGGCAGAGGTTGCTGTGAGCCAAGATCGTGCCATTGCACTCCAGCCTGGGTGAAAAGAGTGAAACTCTATCTCAAAAAAAAAAAAAAAAGATGAACAGTCTAAAAAATTAGATGAACAAGGTAAATTCACATGCAGTCACATGACGATAATACAACAGAGTAAGATGATGGAGACTGGGGATCAGGCAAGGCCTGTCTCAGCAAATGGAGCTCATGCTAGGCAGCTCAGGGCCACCCTGCCAGGCCTGGGGTGAGAGCATCTGGGCAGAGGAAATCGTCGCTATGAATACCCTGACACTGGTACCAGAAAAGGTTTTGTGCTCGTCCCTGTCACCAGTCCTTCTGTGTCAAACTGTTCATTCCTAAACACCAATCTCACTGAAATAAACATTAGCTACATCTTTTCTTTTTTCTTCAAATACTGGGTTTATTCCACATGTTTATTTTGTCTTCTCACCATTTCCATGTCTGACCATCGCTACTACTATGTCCCATAGTGATATTTCACACATACTTAAAGCCAAGCAAAGGGCAGAGTTCTATCTTTAAATACTAAACAAGTGTTTCAGGCAACACATTCTTGGCAATGGAGTCCAGACATTTCTCAAACATGGTAGGGAAAGTTCTCACTCTGCATTGTAAAAAGGACAGCCAGATATCAACTGCTACACAAATGAAATAAGATGAAACATTTTAACAACGTGTTTAAACTATTCTTAAAGAGGCTTCCTCCACTGCCAGAGATCTGGAATAGCCTCCTAGTCAGTCACCCGGAAGCAATTCTTCACAAAATTGATGAACATGGCCTCCACTTTGGGAAGAAAACCACCTTTATCTATTCTTGCTTGCATTTTTGCTTTAATGTCTTCTACAGAGCTAGGTCCTTTTGGTGTTTTAAAAGTTTTTTCTCGTGCTTTGAAGGATTCTTGACCTTTTAATCTTGTGTTGATGGTTTTGAGTCTTTTCCACTCTGATTTTGTTGTTTTGTATTTTGGGTTGAAATACCTCCTGTAGTTTTCTTCCCTGAAGATTTTTCTTCAGTTTCCTCTTCAGCAAAATCATCGTCATTATCACCTTCTTCATCATCACCATCCTTTGTCAGCAGCACTTTTTACTTTTTTCTGTGGAAGCTTGCTACCACCTGCAGGGGCAGATCAATTTCCAGATATACTTAAGAGTTTCCCATCCTCATCCTCTTTGTCTTCTGACTCTGCAGCTTCCTGCACAGCTCCTAAGTGTTGTCCACTCATATGCACCGGCCCTGAAACATATTTCAATGGTAAGAACATGGGTGGTGTTATTTCAAAGCCCCAAAGGGAAACTGTTGGCTATACAGATGTTTTCAAAGTTGCCAGTGTTACCTTAATTGGACTGCCTTCATTATTCATTATCTCTGCTTCAACAACGTGCAATTCATCCTTTGCACCAGCTCCTGAACTGGTGGTTCTTAAAGATAACTGGCGCTCATTTGTATCATTATCCATCTG
This sequence comes from Homo sapiens, assembly GCF_000001405.40. Taxonomy (NCBI): domain Eukaryota; kingdom Metazoa; phylum Chordata; class Mammalia; order Primates; family Hominidae; genus Homo; species Homo sapiens. Next base: position 62,083,216 of record NC_000015.10, read on the forward strand.
AAAGTGACAACCTTTGTCACCCTTTAGCTCGCAACTGAGAAGATAGTTCTGGGCCTTAGGAGGCTTAAGTACATGTCCATCAAATCTTCCATAGGGTGGCGGCACACACTTAGATGGGAGAGGAGGTGGGTGATGATAAAGGATTGCTGCTCCAGAGAACAGCTGCACAGGATGGAATCACACCGGTTTCTTTTTCTTTCTTATTTAAATCTGGAAACAGGACAAAGTCCATAAAGTGTGTCTGTGACTCTGGCTGGACGATTGGCCAACTGTTTCCTCCATAATATACCATAAAGGGGAAAAGAAAAGGGGAAAAAAATACCTGCTGGGGAGGAAAATACAGAACAGATGGTGATGTTTACCCCTTCATTCACCTTTGCATATGTGAGAAATGCTTGCAAAACTTCTAGGAACTGGGTGTTGCCAGAAGGAAAAAAACACATAAAAGCTAATTACTAGTAATAACAGCATCAGTAAACCTAATCACACCTGGGGTGGTTGAGCTGGAAATAGAAAACCCAGCTTATCACATTCTTACAAGCCTGTCACTTGTGGTAGTCAGAGCTTAAAAAGGGAGAGGGGCTTTTCAGGGTACTGTCGTGTTATTAGTTCTTAGCCGTGATGGTCTTGTTTAGGCTAATTGTGAAATACTGCTTCTTTAAAAGCAGATGTTAAGCTTTATGGCAGGAAAAGAGAAAGACATTTAAGTAGGGAGGGTGAGTGTGAAACAGACTGAAGAAGGCTGAGCATAATCAGGTGAGATAGGTTATCTTTCAGTTCTGCTTTAACCAGATGTGTGAATCCTCTGGGCCCACGCTCTCCCCATCTGTGGAAAGGGAGGTATCAGGTGAAATTCACCCCTGATATTTCACGTAGGTTCTTTTCTAGTTTCCCTAAGTGTCGGCTGGTCTGAGAAATAAAGGGACAGAGTACAAAAGAGAGAAATTTTAAAGCTGGGTGTCCAGGGGAGACATCACATGTCGGCAGGTTCCGCAATGCCCTCTGAGCCGTAAAATCAGCAAGTTTTTATTAGTGATTTTCAAAAGGGGAGGGAGTGTATGAACAGGGTGTGGGTCACAGAGATCACATGCTTCACAAGGTAATAAGATATCACGAGGTAAATGGAGGCAGGGCGAGATCACAGGACCACAGGACTGGGGTGAAATTAAAATTGCTAATGAAGTTTCAGGCACGCATTGTCATTGATAACATCTTATCAGGAGACAGGGTTTGAGAGCAGACAACCAGTCTGACCAAAATTTATTAGGTGGGAATTTCCTCGTCCTAATAAGCCTGGGAGCACTATGGGAGACTGGGGCTTATTTCATCCCTGCAGCTGCAACCATAAAAGACAGCCGCCCCCAAAAGGGGCCATTTCAGAGGCCTACCCTCAGGGACACATTCCCTTCTCAGGGATGTTCCTTGCTGAGAAAAAGAATTCAGCGATATTTCTCTCATTTGCTTTTGAAAGAAGAGAAATATGACTCTGTTCTGCCTGGCTCACTGGCAGTCAGAGTTTAAGGTTATCTCTCTTGTTCCTTGAACATTGCTGTTATCCTGTTCTTTTTTCAAGATGCCCAGATTTCATATTGTTCAAACACACATACTCTACAATTTGTGCAGTTAACGCAATCATCACAGGGTCCTGAGGCGACATACATCCTCCTCAGTTTATGAAGATGACGGGATTAAGAGATTAAAGTAAAGACAGGCATAGGAAATCACAAGGGTATTGATTGGGGAAGTGATAAGTGTCCATGAAATCTTTACAATTTATGTTCAGAGACTGCAGTAAAGACAGGCATAAGAAATTATAAAAGTATTAATTTGGGGAACTAATAAATGTCCATGAAATCTTCACAATTTATGTTCTTCTGCCATGGCTTCAGCCAGTCCCTCCGTTCGGGGTCCCTGACTTCCCACAACAGGAGCATTGGACCAGAGTGGTGGTTTATAGTGATTTTCAATTTGTTGCTGAATCTTTTCTTTAAGTGGTGTCTTATACAGAAACCCTACATCGAAGGTAATTTTATTTTTTTAAAGGTGGTGTCTTGCAATATTGCCCAGGCTGGGGTGCATTGTCTATTCACAGGCCTGATCATAGCTCACTGCAGCCTCAAACTTCCTGAGTTCAAGCGACCTTCCTGCCTCAGGTCTCCTGAGTAGCTAGGATTACACATGAGCGTCACTGCACCACACAATAATCTTAAAGATGAAGTTGCTCTGATTGATGATGGGGTGGCAGACCCAGAAACTTATTTACTCATTCACAGATACACCAAGACAACAAATTTTTTTTTGAAATTTTTTTTAGTATTCTTACTGCCTGGGAAACATGGTGGGGGGGGCAGATGATAAATAAACATAGTAAGTCAACAAATTCTATGATACGTTAGAAGGTGATAAATATAACAGAATAAAGAAAATAAGTTAGGGGAAGGGAAGTCCACAGTGTCCAGTTGATGTGGAGGTAAATGCTATAGAGAAAGGAGTCTGGGAAGGCCTCAGGGAGAAAGTGAGGTTTAAGCAAAAACCTGAAAAGTGGCTGAGGGAACTACCAAGCACATATCTGGGAGACAAGTGTCCCAGGCAGAGGATGCAGCTGAAGCAAAGGCTCTCCACGTGAACATGTCTGTGCACTGGAGGAACAGCAAGGAAGTCAGGATGGCGGGAGTGTAGTGAACCAGGAAGTCAGTCATGGGAGATGAGTAGAGGGGAACCGGGGGCTGGATGATGCAAGGCCTTGCAGAGTCTTGCCAGGAATTTGGCTTTTAGGCTCAGTGACATGGAGAACACCGCATAGTTCTGAGCAGGGGAGAGATCTGATGTGACTTCTGTTTTTACAGGCTCACTTTTGCTGCTGTATTGAGAATAGACCAGACAGTTATAAGAATGGAAACAAAGAGGCCAGTTAAGAGGCTAGTGTCTGATTCAGGCCAGAAATGAGGTTGCTCAGACCAGGGTAGTAGCAGTAACAGGCAGTGAGAAATGTGTCCAGGGTCTGGATAGTTTCCAGGCCCACCCCTCAGCCTCTTCCTCATTCCCATAGCTGCTTCTGGGGACCTCCCGGAATCCCTGAGACTTCCAGGAGCACAGTTTGCAAATCCATGGGTCTGATGACCTGCAAGTCTCCCTTCTGGTTCTGGACTCCAGCTCCAGGGGAGCCAGAGCACTAGTGTTCAAGGAGCTACACGAGGGACGGTGTGATCTGCTGGGCCTAATTTTTCTTTCCAACCAAAACATTTACATTTTGAATAATCAGAAATATTTTGGCTTATAAATCATCATCAGTTTCTAGCCCAAGCCCATTTTCACATCAGCCGTTCTGGCCTCACGTTTTGGCTGCAGGCAAGAAGTCCAGTGAAGGCCTCAAATGTGCAGTCATTTCCTTATGCCCATGTTCAACTCTCTTCTCTGGATGACAGAAAGAGACGAGAGACCACTTGGGACCCCAACACCCAAATCCCTCCACAAGATGACCTCTGTGCTGTCTGCACTGTGATATTCATAACTTAGGATTTTACACACAGTGGGTTCTCAAAGGAAATAGGTAGCGTTGATTCAAATCTATGACAATAACTCCACATAAAAACAATATTATAAACAGCAAAATTGCAAAGAGTTGCAAGGTGGATGTATGTTTCTATTCACTTTAGCCAAACCTTATAGGCAGCTGCCCGTGATATGATCTGAGGGGCACAGAGGGCCCACCTACCTAAATTATCTCCTCCTATAGTCTTCTATGGCCAGGATGCTGGATAGGATTTATCTCAAATACCAAATGTGATCAATTAGTAAAGTCTGTCTGGAACAGTGTGTTGAGGATGGAAAAGCCACATCCAAAATCAACATAACAAAAAAGAACTGTATTTGATTAGTAATGTCTGCTATGGCCACAGGGTGAGAAAATATTGTTATATATTTTATCCTTATTTTAAGCTTTTATTTTATGTTAAAAGTCCCTGTATTCAGAAGGTACCAGTTAAAATACAAACATGAACAGGAAGAGTTCCAGTAATGAAGCAAGTTGAATATCCATTCACATGTTCTGTATGTCTCAAAGAGTAAACTCTATTTCTTAAGTATGTACCTGAATCTTTAATTGGAGGTAGCCTGGCCCAAATCTGCTTTGTTAGGAATTGTTATATGCAAATCTGGTAACATTCAACCCAGCTGTTTTGTCTGTTGCTTGTTGGCATCTTAGAAGTTATTTTTGAGCACCCACTATTTGCAAGGCACAATTAGGTGCTTTCCATATAATATCTCAAATTCTCACCACAACCCAGCAAGTAGGTATGATTTATCTCCATTTTCCAGATAAGGGACTGGGATGTCACACTGCTATATGTGGCAGACAGAGGTTCTGAATCCAGTTCTGCCACCTTCAACACCTGGCTCTTCCCCTCTTTTAAACATTTGCAATGGGACCTCTGAGCTCAAGCACAGCCTCCTGTAAAGGGGAGATTACCAGCAAATGGCTGTTACCAGCTGACAAATGATGAAGCTGTTCATCTCAAAGATGACACCAGCCTAAGCCTGGTGATCTTTGTGATTTCACTAAGTAAAGCCCCAAGGGCAATTAACACTGATTCAATAAAGGCCAAAGCCCTTACCCAATCATTTGTTTGCATCCCTTCAATAAAATAGAAATGTCAGCTGGATGTGACGTGCCTCATACTGCCAGTGATATTTTGAAAGAAATGACTGTTTTCTCAGAGCTCACATTTCCTCTCCAGCCTCCTCCCGTCCCTGTTGCTCCCCAAGCCACCTCCTGTCAGAGTGGTTGCTGGGAAAAACATCAGGTTTCCAAATGCTGAGTCAGGAGTGGAAAGTTTCCCAGAAAACGTACCAAATTTTTAGATTTGCATTTCTGATCTTTATAGGGAAGAAATATTTAGTTGCTGGTTTCCACTGGCACACATATGATGAATTTAGGGTGTAAGAAGCAAAATTTCAAATAAGCATTGTTGCCTGATACATCATTTGTAAAGCTCGCGAGAGGAGACACTGACAGGTTTCACCCACAAGTTTTTAACCCACAGTACCTATTGTGCACACAGGGAGATCAATATAGCCTGTGTAATGAAGGAGGGTGCTATGGAGGAGGCATGAATTCCTGTGTTTGCATCTCTCTCTCATTGAAAGTTTGGAAACCTGACTGAGGCTCTGGGATCAGACTTTCTCAGCTTGAATCCCAGATTTACCTCTTGCTAGCTTTGTGACCTTGGACATATTTTTTTAACCTCTCTGTACTTCAGTTTCCTCAACTATAAACCGGGTATTGTAATTGAGCCTACAAAAATCCTGGAGTGGTTGTAAAAACAAAATATGACACTGGGGATAAAAGGTTTAGCATAGCTTAGTATTGTATAAGCTCAGTAAGAAGTTGCTTTTATTATTATTACTGTTATTGTTTACATTTGGGTATAGGATATGGACAACTGTCACCTTCACACTTGCAAGAGGGGTGCACAAGGGTATTGTCAAGCAGGGGAAGAAGTTGGATCTTTAAAATGTGCTTGGCCATAGCAAGTCCCTGGTTCTCTCTCTCTCTCTCTCTCTCTCTCTCTCTCTCTCTCTCTCCAGTCTACTCTCATCAGACGTCTTCTGTGAAGTGGAGGGACTATTAGGCAGAGGCCACGCTGCAAACCTTTCCAACTTATATCAAACTAGCCTAAGTGACCTCAGAGGAAGGAAAAGCAACAGAATCTCTAGGGAAGCCTCGACTGGCCCAGCTTGATCATGGGACCCTCCCCGGGCCAATCACAGTGGCAAAGGGAAGAGGGTACTTCTGTTGGCTATTGAACAAAACCTCACTGGGCAGTGGAGGGGAGCTCTTCAGGGGATGGGAATGCTGTCCTGGAAGAGAGAGGACAGGTATGCTGCCAAGACAAAAACAACAGATGTTGGTCCTCCAACACTCACCCTCAGTACATAAAAATAAGCTGCTTTGGCCACACATGAGTACATCACTTTATTAATAACCAAATAACATTCTCTGTGATTAAAAAAATTGTTATATAAACCAACTTGGAAGCTTAAAACCAAAAGCAACAAAAAAGCATAGATATATATGCCTTATATATATATATTCTGCCAATAGGTATAAAACAAATTATATTTTAAAATATTAATCAGATCATTGTTAATTTTATAACTTTATTTTTTCAGCTTCATAGGCTTTTATTCTAAGTTGTGGTCATGTTAAATTTTCTTGTCCTATGGAGTTCCTTAAGCCGTTTTGTTTTTATGTGGGAAGGGAGAAAACATTCCGCTACAGATATGGGATGCAAGTTGACAGAAACAAAATTTGTAAAGAGTGTGCTTCCATTTCTTGGTATACAATGCTTTCATAGCAAATTTGCAAATAATTTAATTTATCTTTTTGATGATTTGGGGTAAGGTGGTCATGTAATCCAGGCAACATGAGAATATTTCTTGTACCCTCTGTCAAATATTTATTAGTTGATTCCCTAAATATTTCTTGAGGTTCTACTATGTTATTTTTACCCATTTGAATGAAAGCTGTTGGAGTAGGAAGTACAAACAAGTCGGCACTGTTCCCAGTCTTGGAACTCTGATGACTCATTGGGTGGTCTCTTGACTTAAAACTTAATTCCAGACACCTGATGGCAATCAGACTGGATTTAAGCCAAAAAGCCAAACAGGTGAAGTAAGACATTTAAACTGTCGATGAATAAATGATGACCTCTTCAGGCAGAGGAGAGGCAGTATCTGGGAAGGGGAACAGCAAGGCTTTGGGGTGCTGGCCATGTCCTATTTCTTTTCTTTTAATTTAATTTTAAAAACTATCTTACAGTCAAATTGACTTTTTTTCTTTCTTTTCTCCTTACTTTCCTTACAGTTCTATGAATTTCAACACATGTATTGCAGTGGTCTGGATCTGTGTCCCCGCCGAAATCTCATACCAAATTGTAATCCCCAGTGTTGGAGGTGGGGCTTGGTGGGAGGTGACTGGGTGATAGGGGTGGTTTCTCATGAACATTTTAGCACTATCCCTCTTGGTGCTCTCATGATAGTGAGTTCCCATAAGCTCCGGTTGTCTAAAGTGTGTAGCACCTCCCTGCTCTCTCTTTCTTCTTCCTGCTCCAGCCATGTGAAGTGCCTCGCTCCCCCTTTGCCTTCCGTCATGATTGGAAGCTTCCTGAGGCCTCCCCAGAAGCAGAAGCCACTATGCTTCCCATATGGCCTGCAAAACTATGAGCCAATTAAACCTATTTTCTTTCTACCTTACCCAGTCTCAGGTATTTCTTTACAGCAGTGTGAGAATGGACTAATACATATATATATTTGTATCATCATCACCCACACACAGGGGTTTTGGGTTCCATCAGCCAAAGAAATTCCCTCCTGCTGGCCTTTACAACACACCCTCTCCCACCCCTTAACCCCGGCAATTACTGATCTTTTCTCCACCACTAGAGTTTTGTCTTTTCAAGAACATCACTTAAATGGAATCCTATGGTGTGTGACCTTTTGAGACAGGCTTCTTTCACCTCCCATAATCACTTTAATATTCTTCCAATATTAACAGTTTGTTCAGTTTTATCACTGAGCAGTGTTCCATGGTATGGACATACCACAGCTTGTTTATTCATGCAGTAGTTGAAGAACATTGGTGATCACGAAGAGCTACTATAAGTAAGCACGTATTAGTTTTTGTGAAAACATGTTCCATTTCTTGAGCTGGGTAGTGGGTAGACATGTAAGTTTGCCTTGTGATTAGTCATTGAGCTGTACCTTTTTGTCCTCTTGCCCTTTTCCCTATGCATGTTGTATTTTACAGTAAAAGGGGTTTTTAAATATTGAGTCTGGTAAATAGGAGAAAATTTTCTGTTGTAGGAAACGTTTGAAAAATAAACTTTCATTTGACCTTAGAATAGCCTCGTAGACTTATATAATTCTGACAAAGACCTTCCCATCCTCTTGACTAAAAAGAAGACAGATGTGAAAGGACTATCAGTTATTATGACAGGTCTTTATCTTTGCTGATTGTGACAGAAGCTTCTGAGGCCTCTGCTGAAAAGACTGACAATGATCAAAGCTTTTTTTTTTGAGATGAAGTTTCATTCTGTCACCCAGGCTGAAGTGCAACGGCACGATCTCGGCTCACGGCAACCTCCGCCCCCTGGGTTCAAGTAATTCTCCTGCCTCAGCCTCCTGAGTAGCTGGGATTACAGGCAATCGCCACCACACCTGGTTAATGTTTGTATTTTCAGTACAGATGAGGTTTCACCATGTTGGCCAGGCTGGTCTCAAACTCCTGACCTCAGGTGATCCGCCCGCCTCAGCCTCCCAAAAGTGCTGGGATTACAGATGTGAGCCACTGCCCCAGACTGATCAAAGCACTTTCATAGCAGCTCTGGACTTACCGGTAAAACTGATGTATGATCTCTTTGAGCATTATAATTACCCAAATGGGCTATATTCTATTCCAATAACCTGAGAAGTAATTAATAAAAGAGGGACAGCTTTTGGCAGAAGTAGAGGAAATATGAATTGTATGAAGTAATACAGTGACCCATGACCATATTAACTTTTTAATTAGTGGTGTATAATTTGATCTTACAACTGCTCAGCCATTTAGGAATTAGGGAGGAAGGACTTAGGTTACCATGCAACTGACTGGATGATTTATTTCCTGTAGGCCATTGGAGTAGAGCATAGATGTCCTTTCACATTTATGGTATTTGCCCCACTCCATTGTCATAAAAGAACAAAGCCAAGTCAAAATGTGTTTAATAGGGCCATGATGCCATACCAGATATTAAAGAAAATCTAACTTAAGTTGTTATCTATTCAAGTACGATTTTGTTTCTGAACTAATATAATGAATACCATACTCACCCCAAAATGCAATAACCTATTCAGTGGTTGTGACTTATACAATTGAAATGTCCAGATCACCTTTCTCAGCCCACAGGCCAAAGCCTACATGTTGGCTATGCTAGCTTCAAGTCACTTCTGTGGCCAGCTTCCTTTTGGGGACATGCAGAGGAAAGCTACTGTAGAGTTCCCTGAAGAAGTCACCTCTTCAGCATCTGAAGACGGGTTTAATGGCGCAAGAGTCACTGACAGACTGGCAAGTTTCCATGCATTTGGGGGCAGAGTGGCCTGTTGAGACTGGGTGCTCATTGCAAAGAGATGGGAGGAGCTGAGACTCACCATTGGTGGCAATAGAGGTCACTTTAAGTTCTTGACCAGGGGGAATAAAATGATGAAAGACATAGAATGTCAATAAGAAACCCTTTGTCTCAAGTAATCTTGGCTTCTTAAGCAAGGGAAGAAAGATATTTGTTTCCAAATGCAAGCCCTTGTATTTGGTATAGTGAAATGCTACTTGGATTTTTTTTTCATTTTTTTGAAAAAAGGGGATGAAGATTTTAAAAGTGAGATACTGGTTAAGTAAGATGAAATCTATGTTTTGTTTGTCTCCCTTAGTCATTCCATGGAAGAAATGAATGTTTGCCTGTCTGTAACCACCTGGCATCCAAACTGTATTTCTATGTTTCAGAATTTCTTTGAGTCTGAGATTTAGCAGGACTCAAAGCTCAGCTCTCCTCACAGAAGCTGAAAAGGCCAAACTCATTTCCCTGTTACTAGTGCAGGAGCCCAGGACCTAGCTTGGCCAATCAAATGTCCACAGATATAAACTCAGAGAAGTAGGGGCAGTGGCAGTGGTATGAGACTTCGTGCTTAATGTTAGCTGCATCCATCAGCATCCTCCATTCAGCAGTCAACGATCCATGGGGCTGGCTGACTGCTAAATGTGCTCTCGTTCCAACTACATAGACTCCCATTGTTTCCCCCATTTTCCAAGCCTGGTCCTCCAGCCTTCTTAGAGATCCCATAAGAAACTAAAATCTTGTCAATAAATTTCTTTTCTGCTTAAATGACTAGAATCAGTTTCAATTGCTTACAATCAAGAACCTTGACTAGTACAGTGAAAGATCCCACACCAACCCTCCTAAGGGCTTCTGCATGTTTTGCTCATCTTTCTGTGATGGGGACAACTTTATTAGTGTACTTTAATCATGAGACTAGTGTTGAAGAGCTCCTAGAGAAAAATATGATGATTGCATTTATGTTAAAGGACTAATTAAAGCTATCAATTTTTTTCTTATTACAAGTTTATAGTCTTCCCCTAAGAAGGGCACATCCTGTGTGCACTATCAGCTGAAAAATAAAAAGAGCTCACCAGGAAATTACTTGGAGAAAATGCTCAGTAGACACTCTAAAAAATAATGTATCTTCCAACTGGCCTCCAGATAACACTGAGTCTCTTAAATGCAAGAGGTTACAACATCCCTGCAAGATGCAGATTCCAAAGCTGTTATGTTATGTAGAAGGAAATAATGCAAAGCCGTATTTTTTAAGTGTCTAAGTTGCCTGTATCTCTCTTCAAATCCTCATATCTCATACAATTATGAGAAGTACATAATTGGAGATTTATGTACTTCAGTTGAAGTACACAACTGAAGAACAGTTCAATCCCTATTGTAAAACCATCTGCATTAAGGTTAGGCACATTATCTAACCTTAAGTTATTGATGCAAAAGCAGAAGTCAGGGTAACTTAAATTATGAGTTTCTCAAGTGGTCATTTCTCAATCCTTTTATATTTTCCTCTCAGTGGGGAACATCGAGCCCTACATGTAATAGGTGATTAATGAGTACTTATTAATTTAATTTAGAGTCAAACTGATTAGTCATCAACGATCAGGATATAGCATTGGCCTGAATTATATCATACGAATAGACATGGTCAGGGCTGCCTTTATGGTTGGGCAGATTGTGCAGTGGGGGAAGAGGAGTGGGGCAAGGATACTCACAGTATAGGCAGGATAAATCTGTCGACTTCTTATGACAGTATCAGTGTATTATGGTATTTTCCTGCAGAAGTGTCTAGGATGGAATACCTTTTAGTATTTCACATGAAGGCACTGTCACCACGTAGGGGCTGACAGAAGCCTGGGTAGCACCTGGATAAAGGAATTGATGGACAGGCACTGAATCTTAAAGAGATCTTGAGCCCTTAAATTACTGGCAGGGGGGCAGGGCAGCAAGAAAATTCCTGCTTTAATAAACTTGTAAACCTGTGATGAAAGGTTGAGGAGTCAACATGTTACATCAGCTCAATGGGATACATGATAAAAACAAAACAAAAACCTCTGCTTCTGATTCTCTCTAGCTCATGTTCTTGTCAGTGAACTCCGTGCTACTTGATACTAAAGGGAGGGGGTAGGTGATTAAGTGCGCTGTTAAGGACGTGCAGAACCACAGCAGCAGAGTCACGTCCCAGGAAAGCCATATCAGCAAGGCCCAGGGCAACAGCCATCAGCTCAGCCCCGGGGTTGTACATGGCATGAGAGAATGGAGGGGAGAGGGACTGTGTATGGAACAGTTGATTAGATAATGTTGTGGCTTAAAGCAATGATTCTCAATGGACCGATATCCTGTCTCAGAGGGCCTCTTGGTAATCTGAGGGGGAGTTTTTGTTCAGCACAATGATTATAGGAACACTGCGCACATTTGGTGGGTAGACTAAGGATGCCGAACAACCTGCGGTGGGCAGGACAGTTCCGTACAGCAAAGGATTTTCTCAAGTCTGGCATGACTTTCGAATGTTCAAGCAGGTATTCACATGGTGGAAAAACCTTTTTTATAATTATTTATGAGCCTAGAATTGAACTCTGTTTCATGTATCACATGAAGTAGTTTTTGCATTGTTTTAATATATATGCTGATTTTCCAAGAATGTAACTACCATGCCAATCTAGGGAAGTCTGTTCTTTGTTTGAAAATGTATGAAGAGTTGTTCATCATAGCCAAGAATCATGCCATGTGTTTTGGGCTGCACACACCTGTGTTAGTTTGTACGTGTAGCTGTCCCATGTAAAAATGTAGCAAATGTTTGAGTCACCTTTTAGCAAATTCTTTAGCAGATTTAGATCCAGCTATTATTAAAATACAGATGTACAATAAGTGTAAGAATCTTATTGCATTTCATTAATAAAATCTTTTTTGGCTGGGCTCAGTGGCTCAGGCCTGTAATCCCAGCACTTTGGGAGGCCGAGGCAGGTGGATCACATTAGGCTAGGAGTTCGAAACCAGCCTGGCCAACATGGCGAAACACCATCTCTACTAAAAATACAAAAATTAGCCAGGGGTGGTAGTGCATGCCTGTAATCCCAGCTACTCTGGGGCTGAGGCATGAGAATCACTTGAGCCCGGGAGGCAGAGGTTGTAGTGAGCCGAGATCGTGCCACTGCCCTCCAGCCTGAGACAGTCTTGCTCTGTCTCAAAAAAAAAAAGCTTTTTATATCTAAAATTTTGCTATGACTTTTTTCTAATTTTTAGAACAATGATAAGAAATTTAGCATTGAAATCATACATTTATTTAAGGGTTGCCTGTCATTTTTCCATCTTTTTCTACTAATGATGTTTGATGTCTACTCCATGCCCTTATGAGTGATTGTTCCTTTCTAGCCAATCCCTAATTCTGCATAATGTACTGAAATATATATGTGCGTGTGTTTCAACATAAGAAATGTGTTTCCATAAAATTTTGTTGCTCCTTAGTACATGTTATAACAAAGGCAACAATGGACACTGCACTTATAAATCAGTCCCAGCTCATTAGTGAGAATATGTCACGCTTTCTCATTTTCTCCACTCTATCAGTATGTAGTTTATCTTGGTATGTTATCCCTCCTTCAATTAAGTACTTCCCACTTTCTCTTATGATGCATAAAATAACTGGTTATCACTCATCCTAACACTAGTTTCTATTTTCGTGTCCTCCCTGGGTACCATTGATGTTTCATCTTTCTCATCTCTTTTTTTTTTTTTTTTTTTTTTTGAGACAGAGTCTTGCTCTGTTGCCCAGGCTGGAGTGCAGTGGCGCAATCTCAGCTCACTGTAAGCTCCGTCTCCCGGGTTCACGCCATTCTCCTGCCTCAGCCTCATGAGTAGCTGGGACTACAGGCGCCTGCCACCACGCCCAGCTAATTTTTTTGTATTTTTAGTAGAGATGGAGTTTCACTGTGTTAGCCAGGATGGTCTCAATCTCCTGACCTCGTGGTCTGCCCACCTTGGCCTCCCAAAGGGCTGGGATTACAGGCCTGAGCCACTGTGCCTGGCCCTCATCTTTTTTATTTTATTTTTTTTTGCTTAAAGCCCAACTTATTTATTATGCACAGCTGCAACCATCTGACCAATTCATTATGTCTTCTAGTGAAATCATACTTTATCATTTAAATATTGGGTTAAACTTTATCATTATTACCTTTATCTTATTTCTCCACTACATTATAGCTATGGTATTATATTGATTTTTAAAAAGTTACGTGTGCGTGTAGGCTTTCTTATCTATGAATTTTTTTTTTTTTTAGAAGGAGGCTTGCTCTGTCACCAGGCTGGAGTGCAGTAGCGCGATCTTGGCTGACTGCAACCTCCACCTCCTGGGTTCAAGCGATTCTCCTACCTCAGCCTCCCGAGTAGCTGGGACTACAGGCACGCACCACCATGCCCAGTTAATTTTTGTATTTTTAGTAAAGACTGGGTTTCACCATGTTGGCCAGAATGGTCTCAATCTCTTGACTTGCGATCTGCCCGCCTCAGCCTCCCAAATTGCTGGGATTACAGTCGTGAGCCACCGCGCCCAGACGACTATCTATGAATTTTCTTTCAGGATGTGTTTCATTTGCTATAAAATCAAGACAAACTGCCAAAGGCTAGGTGAAAAATACACTTTGACTGGAAACCCCTGGCTGTCTTGGGTCCTTCCCCTTGTCCTTCTGAGAGTCACAAGAAGACAAGGCTCTTTATTTGGCCTCCAGTCACTGGGCAGGAATTTTTGGACATGGGAGAAGTGTGAGTGGTGGTAGAGGGTTTTCTTCCTTCCCCATTGTAGAAAGGTGAGCTAGCTCTGCGCTCTAGGCAGAGCCTGAGTTCACTGCACAGTGTCAGACCTGAAAAGGAGTCATGATGCTGCTGTAGACAAAGATCACTCAAGATCCAGAGCCTTTATTCTATATCACACCTGCCTGTCAGTGGCTTCTCCCTTTATTGATTGTTTCCCTTGCACTCTGCCATAGCTATCTGTCTTCAGGTAAACACGTAGGAAGGTGTTCAGCTGCACCTAACTGGGATTCAGAGAATGGCTCTGGGCAGGTGTCCCACCACCCCACTGTATTAACCAGGGTCTAACCAGGAAAATAGAAATGATTCTGAGTATTTAAAACCAAGAGAACTTACTACAGGGGACAAATTACTTAGGTGTTGGGAAAGCAAGGAGCCAATAGGGTGTGAGGAGGCAACTCAGAGATTAGCAGCAGCAGACAACCAGTATTCCCCCAGACCATGGACAAAAGGGAGAAATTGGAACTGTAGGGGGCCTGTGCCACAGGAGCTGGAGCCACAGAAAAAATATAGCTGCTGCTGGAGATGCCCACTGACCCATCAGTAGCAACCAGCAGACGTGGAAGCCTGGGAAACATGTCCTGTAGGATCAGCTTCCCTTCCCTGTCCCCCTATGCTGATCCCTACACCCCTTCTCCCTGATACAGAGCTGTGAAGAAGAAGAGGACCAGCAAACCCAGGAGGGGTAAACCCTCCCTGCTATCCTGTTGCATTTGCTGATAACCATTGGGGGAAGGAATTCTGGGAGAAGGAGGAAGAGAGGAGACAACAGTTGGAGATGGCAAGTTATCAACCCTTTAATTTTCTTAATTTTTTATAGAGATGTACATGGTCTTGCTAAGTTGCCCAGGCTGGCCTTGAACGCCTGGCCTTCAGCAATCCTCCCACCTCAGCCTCCAGAGTAGCTGGGACTACAGGTGTGAGCCACTGCACTCAGCAGTTTACCAACTCTTTAAATTATGGAATGTATATGCCAGGGAGGGGATTTGGCTTAGATTTTCTATGACTTGGTGTTACTTTCTCAGAAAACAGAGCTATGGATTGGCCCTTGTTGACTATATTTGATGGAATTTCCTCCAAGCCTGCAAAATAGAGGACACCTTTCTCTGGTTTCAGAGCTGGTGCAGATTGTCTATTTTTGTCTTCTTTAGATCATTTGAGTTCGTTTCCGGGCAGCATGGGCAGTGGCACATCTATTCTTTTACATCTTTCTTTTCTAGTTTTCTTCCAAAAGATCCAGCTCTTTGTGTGTGTAGGACAAATTTCCAAACAACCACGTCCAAAAGGCTCAAATCTCTTGCAAACCTAAATCAACAGATTTTTAAGAGCACCCTAACTATTCTTTTGTTAAAATGCTGTGCTTTTACTTTGTTAGTAAAATGTTTGGCATAAGGAAAACATAGTTAGGTCTAGAGTTAGATATTTGCATCATATTTGGTATGATGATGAACATACCGATGAATAGTTTTAAACCTTAGATTCCTCAAGGCTAAAATAGGGATATTAAAGCTTACCTTGAAACAAACTATGTGAAGCATCTTCCACCCCATCAGGGATGAAATAAGTATCCAACAAATAGTAAGCATTATTACCAAAATGAGCCATGGACCGTATTTAATTTTCACTGAAATATTTATGACAATTGATGAAGACAAACATATAGCAAAACCATCTTAAAAACAGAGGAGTCCTCAAACTCAGTAGCTTTTTATTTTTTTCTTACTGTAATCCACAGTAAGTATTATATCACAATACATTTCATATGTGAGACTAAAACAAAAGTTACTAAAAACATCCCTTACCCTTACTGGATAAGATGGACATATATTTTTTTTCTATGCCATTATGCTCCCTTTTACTTAAAAAAAATTCTGCTCATGATCCAATATGCTCCATATGAGTGGAAAATTCCAACTCATTAGATTCTTTTTATAAAATGTGTTTAGAAGAAAGTCTGCCTAATTCACTGACGTCAGAGGAAGTCAGGCAGCCGTGGACAGCTCAAAAAGAAGTGATTGCTCTCCAGGAGCTTAAGATGAATGTAAACCCCAACCTTAGCTACACTTATGGGGTTTTACCACCAGAACACACGTTCTAAATTACCCTTTACAACTTCTTGCCATGTGGTAACATTTCGGAAACCTCTGAGGAGTCCCACTGACACAGACTTGTCTCCGACTGAGTCATTAAAAGTGGCATATGTCCCAACTTCTCTACTGACGACATCCAGGAAAGCATTAGTGATTTTTCCATTTTAAGCCATGAAGGATGTGCCTTTGCATTCTGAGGCTATTTCTGAGCCATCTAATCGCCAGTGGGTTTGGTGCAATAGGTAGGCACTTAGTGAAATCACATTATAAAGTGAGTTACTCAAATATTTAATCAGCTGTGCATACAGTCCAGCCACATGGTTCCTTCTGTATAGAGTTTTATCCCCCAGGGCTAGGAGTTGCTATGTGTCACAGCTTTCCTGTCAAACATGAAAAAAACTGGGTTTGGGAGACGAACATGGGTTCCAGAAATGTCCTCCTCTTAACATACAAAACATTGACACATAAGATTCTTGGGCCAAGACATACTGCCCAAGGTAATTTATAGATTCAATGCCATCCCCATCAAGCTACCAATGACTTTCTTCACAGAATTGGAAAAAACTACTTTAAAGTTCATATGGAACCAAAAAAGAGCCCGCATTGCCAAGTCAATCCTAAGCCAAAAGAACAAAGCTGGAGGCATCATGCTACCTGACTTCAAACTATACTCCAAGGCTACAGTAACCAAAACAACATGGTACTGGTACCAAAATAGAGATATAGACCAAGGGAACAGAACAGAGCCCTCAGAAATAATGCCACATATCTACAACTATTTGATCTTTGACAAACCTGAGAAAAACAAGCAATGGGGAAAGGATTCCCTATGTAATAAATGGTGCTGGGAAAACTGGCTAGCCATATGTAGAAAGCTGAAACTGGATCCCTTCCTTACACCTTATACAAAAATTAATTCAAGATGGATTAAAGACTTACATGTTAGACCTAAAACTATAAAAACCCTAGAAGAAAACCTAGGCAATACCATTCAGGACATAGGCATGGGCAAGGATTTCATGTCTAAAACTCGAAAAGCAATGGCAACAAAAGCCAAAATTAACAAATGGGATCTAATTAAATGAAAGAGCTTTGCACAGCAAAAGAAACTATCATCAGAGTGAACAGGCAACCTACAGAATGGGAGAAAATTTTTGCAATCTACTCATCTGACAAAGGGCTAATATCCAGAATCTACAATGAACTCAAACAAATTTACAAGAAAAAAACAAACAACCCCATCAAAAAGTGGGCAAAGGACATGAACAGACACTTCTCAAAAGAAGGCATTTATGCAGCCAAAAGACACATGAAAAAATGCTCATCATCACTGGCCATCAGAGAAATGCAAATCAAAACCACAATGAGATACCATCTCACACCAGTTAGAATGGCGATCATTAAAAAGTCATGAAACAACAGATGCTGGAGAGGATGTGGAGAAATAGGAACACTTTTACACTGTTGGTGGGAATGTAAAGAAGTTCAACCATTGTGGAAGTCAGTGTGGCGATTCCTCAGGGATCTAGAACTAGAAATATCGTTTGACCCAGCCATCCCATTACTGGGTATATACCCAAAGGATTATAAATCATGCTGCTATAAAGACACATGCACACATATGTTTATTGCGGCACTATTCGCAGTAGCAAAGACTTGGAACCAACCCAAATGTCCAACAACGATAGACTGGATTAAGAAAATGTGGCACATATACATCATGGAATACTATGCAGCTGTAAAAAATGATGAGTTCATGTCCTTTGTAGGGACGTGGATGAAGCTGGAAACCATCATTCTCAGCAAACTATCACAAGGACTAAAAACCAAACACTGCATGTTCTCACTCATAGGTGGGAATTGAACAATGAGAACACATGGACACAGGAAGTGGAACATCACACACTGGAGCCTGTTGTGGGGTCAGGGGAGGGGGGAGGGATAGCATTAGGAGATATACCTAATGTTAAATGAAGAGTTAATGGGTGTAGCACACCAACATGGCACATGTATACATATGTAACAAACCTGCACGTTGTGCACATGTACCCTAAAACTTAAAGTATAATAAAAAATAACAAATAAAAGATTCTTGGGCCAAGAGTCCAAAAGTCATGAATTCTTGCCATACCTGTCCTGAACAGTTTGCTGGGAAATGTCAATCTTTTCCTTTGAATCACTTATTCAGAGGGAAGAGCACATACTCTGCACCAAGCATGTGTTAAGAGCTTTCATAAAAAGTAAAATAATTTTTCCAAAGATATCCAGTCAGCCAGTGAAAGAACTGAGATTCCAAACCTAAGTCTGTCTAGCTTACTTTAAGTGCCTGTTATATGCCAGACATTAATGGGGGGAATGCAATATAAGCAATACCTTTTGAAGTAGTTTGAAGTCTATTTGGGAAATAGATCTATAAATATGTACTGACAGAGACTGAGAAAAGGGTTATCGTGATTGGAATGTACAAAGTACCATGAGAGCTCATAAGACTGAATGATCAAGTGTGTCTTTTTATGATATCCATACATAGATGGGGATTCCCAGTTTCATAAAGGTTTAAGAAGCAGAATCTATAAAAATTATAAGTCAAACACCCATTGAATATACAATTTTTTTTTTGGTAATGAAATCCTAGTATTTTAAAACCTTGCCTTTTAAGAAGAATCTTCCTAACTCAAATATTCTATGCACTAAATGTGACTTGAAGTAATGGGCCATTGGTTCATGTTTCTAAGTCTTTTTGGTTATAGAGAGACCTGGTTGTTTTGCCCTTGGCTGGATCTATCATTTACTCTTAAAGGCCAAGAAACTGGATGGCTTCCCCTTTCTAAGAGAATCAAATTCTGCTTTTCATGCATCTTCCTTGGTTCTCCTCTATTTCCTTTGGTGCTGACTTTGACATCTGTCAACCTAATAATGGGACATAAATTCCCTTCCCACATACATTACAAAGATAGCTAAATTTAGCCCAATTTTCTCCTTCTCTCCAAAACAGCTCTTATAGTCCCTTAAACACTTTTTATACTTTATCAGACCTCACACCTTCTCGGGAGAGAGCAAGTGTCTCTTCTCCAAAAATTTCAGCAAAAGACGAATTGAGTATCCTGGACTCTAACTGAATCCCATGGCCATTCTAGAACCAACCATCATAGCCAGGAGGGATGTAACATATCACTGGTCTTGGGTATGGGACATGTGCTCCCACCTGAATTTCAGAGGTCAGTCCTACCCAACTGTCTGGGCTAACAATGGAGGATAAGAGCAAAGACTGAAACTACTGTCACCTGAAATAGAATGAATAGATGCTGGCTGCTCCAAAGCTATTATCATGAGAACGGAAGACCCTTCCTAGGAATTGCAGAAATCTTGTGGAGGGTATTTTATTTTTTACATGACCTAGAACAGGAATTTGAGCCAAAATCTCATATAGACCTTGAGAGGCATGGAAGTATCATCTAATATGTAGCTTACATAGGGGAACTACATGAAATGAAAATGAGATAAGAAGTAGATTTACCATGAAGATAATGAAGCCTACACTTCCCTTATTTGACAGCAATCCTAAAAATGTTACATGGCATTACCAATAATGAGTTATGATACTGAGAGTTTTCTAAACTATAAATAACAAAAAAATTTTGGCCAGGCCCAGTGGCTCACGCCTGTAATCCCAGCACTTTGGGAGGCCGAGGTGGGTGGATAACCTGAGGTCAGGAGTTTGAAACCAGCCTGACCAACATGGAGAAACCTCGTCTCTACTAAAAATGCAAAATTAGGTGGGTGTGGTGGCGCATGCCTGTAATCCCAGCTACGGCTGAGGCAGGAGAATTGCTTGAACCCAGGACGTGGGGGTTGTGGTGAGCTGAGATCGTGTCATTGCATTCCAGTCTGAGCAACAAGTGTGAAACTCTGTCTCAAAAAAATAATAATAATTTTTTTCCAATCATTCCTACCAAAGGAAAGACTATCTTTTTATCCTCTCTTTCAAAAACAACATTATAAAATCATTGTCATATAAGAATGTAATCAAATAATATGCAGCCAAAAATGGGGAAAGTACCACAGAGGTGCTAATTAATTAATAAAAATGTGCTATTTTCCTAAATTTTGTCATGTTTGTGGTATTTCTCAGCTCTTTCTAATCTGTAATTTATGACCTCTTTTCTCATTCTAACTAAATATTCACATTTGTACTTAATTTTGTATGTGTAATTCTGTGTGTTTTATTGTTGCTGTTATTTTTAGAGAGACAACCAAAATTGTATAAGCTGTAGGCCTTACAAAACCCGCAGGCATCCCTGGATTCTACCTTTTTGGCAGTGCCCAGGAGGTGGCCTGAAGCTTTAAGCTTACTTCTTGTGGTCTCAGCAGTTCCCGGTCATATATCCTCACACCACAAACCCAGGGAGGAGAAAGCGTCTGTGGCTCAGCATTCCCAGCTTAAGTCTCAAGTTCACTCTTCTTGGACCAGCTTAATTGCCCACCGCTTGAATCAACCATCCTGTTGGGGACGGGATATTTTGGAACGGATAAGCCAATCAGGGAATTGGAGGTGGGGCCGCTCCCACAGAAGCCACATAACTAAGAAAAAAGATGGAGGGATAGTTTTCAAAGGCAACTTGGCGTACTTGGTGTACTGGGACCAGAGAGGAGGGGCACCAGTGCTGGATGAAAAGCAATAGGTATCTTGGAGCTGAGGCTAGGGCAGGTCAAGTGAGCACTTGCCTCAGGTGCAGAATTTCAGAGGGCACCAAAACCTCAACAACAAGATGAATAATATTTTGATGTGATACTTCAAAAACATTGAAGTGACAAACTACAGTCTGCAGGCCAGCTGCCTATTTTTATAACTCGTAAGTTTTTATAACTTTTGTTATAATGGCTGGGCTACCTCCTTTGGGAGATAGGTTCTGCCCTGTCACTGTCTACAAAATTGTTAATATTCCCAAAGAAACTGTCTGGGCCCCCAAGCCCTCTTTTAAGCCAGGAATTGTGACATTTTCATATCTTATGACTCAGCTCTTCATTGGTCTCCTGATTCTGTGAAGTGTGGAGAAGGCAGAGGAAGCCCCATTTCACTAACAATTAAGATCTTCTACCATATTAATAACACAGCTGTTGACTAACAAATGATTTAGAAGAAACAGGAATAGTGGTGGTCCTTGGACTCAGGCTAAGCCTCTGCCAATATTTCCAGCCTCACATTCATGCAGCTCCACTGCAAGCTGATGAAGCCCTGCCCAGCCAAATTCCTGGGGAGGACACATGAGATCTGCTGGGGATAGATGGATGAAGAGGCAGCCCCCAGCTGCCAGCCCAAGGCAGCCCTTGCCATCCTGTGAGGATGTGTTCTGGCTTCAGTTGCTGAGCCAGGCTTTACCCTCTGTGGCAGCTGCCAAAAAGTTTCAACCCACTCTCATGCTATCAGGGGTTTGCGGTGCCTAGAAATAGCCCCAGGCATTGGTGAAAGGTGAAAGGCATCTTTCCAACTCACGTATGTGACCATATAGCCAGTATTTCATTAACAGGAGCCAGAGGTAACTGAAAGACGTGACTAGTAACTCATAGGCTATCCAAACACATCATTTCAATTAACAGTTTCTATATCCTTCTACGAAGTACATCCCTGGATTGCCAGTAAGAGCCACTTGTTGGTTCTGTGACCCTGGGCGAGTCACTTGGACATCTAACTATTCGGGTGTTCAGTCTCTCCATGTGTGAGGTGAGGGGGTGGGCTTGAGTGATCATCTCTGAGGTCCTTTCCAACTCTGGCAGGCTATAATTCCGCCAGCAGAGGTGTCATTTCCTCTTCTTCCCTTTAGCCCCAAGACAGCTGTAGAGGGCCCAGAGGGGCAGGGCAGGAAACACAACTTCATCCGTCTATACTGGCAAGTGAAACATAAATCCAAAATAAATTTGGGCTTATTTTTCAAGAACTCTGTCACCTAGTGTTAGAATTTATTTTTTAATAATCTCAGAAATATATTGCATCTCCAAATAAAATTGTTTCTTCATGTTTGCGATAGTTTGGGTCCTCTGAGATGCAGACGCCAAAAGAGATTAGCACACAAGAGATTTTCAGAGGGAAACACCTGTGAGGGAGAAGGAGCAGGTGGCAGGGGAGCCAGAGGAGCTGAAGAGACCCTTCAGATCACAGGTGGCAGGTCGGCCACCTGTGACGGGAGAGGTGGAAGAAAGGAGGGCTGAGTAGGAAGAACCTCAGACTAAAGCACAGCTCTAAGAACAGTTGCGTGAGGCTGTGTGTTACTCTGCTAGGGCTGCCGTAACAGAGGTACATAGACTGGGTGACCTCAACAACGGAAACGTATTTTCTTGCCGTTTCAGAGGCTACACGTTCCAGATCAAAGTGTTGTCAGGGCTGGTTTCTTCTGCCACCTCTCTCCTTGGCGTGTAGATGGCCATATTCTCCCTGGGTGTCTTCACGTGGTCTCCCTTTCGTCCATGTCTGTGTCACAGTCCCCTTTTCTGATTGGGACACCAGTCAATTGGATTAAGGCCCATCTCAAAGACCTTCTTTTAACTTCGTTATCTCTTTAATGACCCTAGCTGTGAATACAGTGCAGGCATACCTCATCTTACTGTGCGTCACTTTATTGCACTTCACAGACATTGTGTGTGTTTCTGTTGTTGTTGTTGTTCTTTACAAATCAAAGGTTTGTGGCAATCCTATGTCAAGCACGTCTTTCGGCACCATTTTTTCCCAACAGCATGTACTCATTTCATGCCTATGTGTCACATTTAGGTAATTCTCATAATATTTTAAACTTTTTCATTATTATGTCTGTGAAGGTAATCTGTGATCAATGATCCTTGATGTTACTGTTGTAATTGTTTTGGGGCACCATGAAGCACATATAAGATGGTAAACTTAATCTATCGATGTGCTATGTGTTCTGACTGCTCCGCCAACTGGCCATTCCTCATCTCTCTCCCTTTCCTTGGGCCTCGCTATTCCCTGAGACACACCACATTGAAATTAGTTGTTATTAGCCAAGCTTAATAGGGCATGTCCAAAGCCAAGACAGGCTGAAAGCTAAGCCTCTTGCACCAAACAGTTAGACAAGTTGTAAATGTGAAGGAAATATTCTTGAAGGAAATTAAATGTGCTGCTCCAGTGAACACACAAATGATAAGAAAGCAAAACAGCCTTACTGCTGCTGATATGGAGAAAGTTTTAGTGGTCTTGATAGAAGATCAAACCAGCCACAACATTCCCTTATTCCAAGGCCTGACCTAGAGCAAGGCCCTAAATCTATTCAGTTCTATGAAGACTGAGAGAGGTCAGGAAGCTGCAGAAGAAAAGTTGGAAAGTAACAGAAATTGGTCTGTGACGTTCAAGGAAAGAATCTGTCTCCGTAACATAAAAATGCAAAGTGAAGAAGCAAGTGCTGATGGAGAAGCTGCAGCAAGTTATCTAGAAGATCTAGCTACGATAATCAATGAAAGTGGCTATACTTAACGACAGATTTTCAGTGTAGATGAAACAGCCCTCTATTTGAAAAAGATGCCATCCAGCGGTGGCTCACGCCTATAATCCCAGCACTTTGGGAGGCCAAGGCGGGTGAATCACCTGAGGTTAGGAGTTTGAGAACAGCTTGGCCAACATGGCGAAACCCCTTCTCTAATAAAAATACCAAAAAATCAGCCAAGCATTGGGGCAGGGGCCTGTAATCCCAGGTACTCAAGAGGCTGAGGTAGGAGAATCACTTGAACCGGGGAGGTAGAGGTTGCAGTGAGCCAAGATTGCACCACTATACTCCAGCCTGGGTGACAGAGCAAAACTCTGTCTCAAAAAAAAAAAAAAAAAGAAAAGAAAAGAAAAAAGAAAAAGATGCCATCCAGAACTTGCATAGGTAGGGAGGAACAGTCAATTCCTGGCTTCCAAGCATCCAAACACCAGCTGACATTCTGGTTAGGGGCTAATGCAGCTGGTGACTTTAAGTTGATATAAATGCTCACTTACCATTCTGAAAATTTTAGAGCCCTTAGAATTATGCTAAATCTATTCTGTCTGTGCTCTATAAATGGAAGAACAAAATCAGGATGACAGCACATCTGTTTACAGCATGCTTTACTAAATATTTTAAGCCTACTACTGAGAACCACTGCTCAGAAAAAAAAAATCCCTTTCAAAATATTACTGCTCATTGACAATGCACCTGGTCATCCAAGAGCTCTGATAGAGATGTACAAGAAGATTAATGTTGTTTTCATGTCTGCTAACACAACATCCATTGTGTAGCCCATGGATAAGGAAGTCATTTTGACTTTTATGACTTATTATTTAAGAAACACATTTTATGAGGCTACAGTAGCCATAGATAGTGATTTATCTGATGGATCTGGACAAAGTAAATTGAAAACTTTCTGGAAAGTTTTCACATTCTCGATCGAGTGAATATCAGGAACTCCAGGCTGGGGGATAGAAATGATGTCTTCAAAAGCCTCATGCACAAAATGACAGCCACATAACATTATCACACCCTGGTTAAATCATTAACTAGGATCAGCTGGATGCAAGAAGGAGTTGTTGTGACTGTTGTCAGTCAGTAATAAATACAAAGTTTCAAGAGGATGGGTTCACAGATGCAGATTCCTCCTGCTTTTCCCTCATTTCCTCCTTGCCAGGAATTTAATCTACACTTCTTCAGGCTAAAAACAAGAGACATGACTCAGCTCAGACTGCAGTAGCATACTCTGCAAAGGCCAAACCTACATACTTACTAAACAGTCCAGTCTTCTAGTTCATACCTGCTGACCTCCAGTTTTACCTGGTAGCTCTGCCTGGTAGTTTTGCCTGGTAGTTTTTACCTGGTAGTTTTGCCTGGTAGCTCTGCCATCTCTGCCTTGGCTGAGCACACAAACCTCGTGTACTACGGCAAGCACAATCCCCTTCTCCTTGTAGCAAAACGAAGAAAGGCTATAGGCTCTGTCCTCCCCACAAGTGTGACTGTGAAGGAAAGACCAGGCTTTCAATACCAATTTGCCTTTTACTAGGCATACCACTTTGAGTAAATTATTCAATATCTCAATGTCTCAATTTCCCTATCCTTAATTTGTAAATAAGAGGAACTACCTTGCAAAGTTGTTATGAAAACAGAGATCACAATGCAAGAATGTCTCCTAGCATGGCGGTTTCATAGCTGGTAGTCTACAGATAATGAGCCCTCCACCCCATCCCCAATTGCCAGAATATTATTTTTCCCTACAGTCAGAACAAAAATTCTATTGTCAAAACCGTTGATAAAATCAACAAATTCCTGTTTCTATTGTCCTTGAATTTCCTCATTTCCACCCCATTTATATGGCCAGAGCCTGTCACTGAGGCCAAAACCCACTCTCTGGGAAGGTTCCAATATCAGTCTTTCCCACTTCAGTGTGAATTTCTACATCTCTAGGCATTTCTCCCGGAAGCATGACATGGTAACTGTCCAACTTCATTGAGGAAAGAAAGGCTTTACCTCTTGGTAAAGTAAACCACATCAATAGCAAGGATTCTTCTGGTGGCCCCAAATCACACCAAATAGCTATCCCCCTTTCACAAGGGCGGCTCCAGCTGAAACAGCATCTTCCCAGGGGACTGCAAACATTTTTAGTAGAAGACATCTCTTCTTTCAAATTAAATTTTGTCCTGGATCCCAGTATTTACAAAACAAATACAAATTTTACTAATATAAATTCATTTTACTTGAAATTTATAAAGTTTGCCAATTATAACCCAAAATAGTATAAGTAAGAGATAAATAAAAGACTCTCTTAAAAATGAAACTTTACTATTTAAAAAGTATAGGAGATGATGGAATTGTTAACTAGCCTGGTTTAACCATTCTACATTGCAAACATATATCAAAACATCATATTATACCCCAGAAATATATACAGTTATAATTTATCAATTAGAAATAAAAAAGAAATGTTGACATTAGATGACAGTTAAATTTTTTATCATCTTTAGTAACATGTTGTTGATGTTGTTTTATTGTTTTGGCTACTCAGTATCAGGAAATCCTTACCACACAGATAAGTAATGCTTAATGGTTCCCAGATTTTTTAATAGGTCTCTGTCAACCTCATGGGACATATTGATAAAACTGTCATTTAAACTTGAGAGATCATATTACACACACACATATATATATATATATATACAAAGATTACATGTTTGTATATAAACACTTAGGTGTGTATGCATGTAAATATCTCATAATAAATCACCCAGAAAAAACACAATAATTGCTTAAATGATCTACAATATGATACTTTCACATTGCGATATGTTTGGCATTTATTGGTTATTGCACAAGTGAGAACTGGTCTGTAATGAGAGTGTGTGCCAAGCAGATGCATCTGAGCTTGGCATGGCCTTTAATCTGGTGTGACCCACAGAAGCTATGCTAATGCACATGCACAGCCCTGATTTTAAGACAAGACCAGTGGCAACCTTCCAGGTCAACACACATGTATAAAATATTTAAATATATGTACAAGAGATATCCAGATAATTTTTTTCCAAGACCACAGAATAAACTCACAATAAATGTGCTCATGTATTCTAACAGTTAAAATTAAAATATTATCTATTTGATTATTCTGACTGTCTTTTATCATGATTTAAATATGCTTTACTTTTTCAATAAAATTTGACCCAAGAGTTTGCAGATCCCCTGAAGCAACTCTGCAGAACAATTTGAAAGCCCCTGATTCTAGTCCAAACAGATGGAGAAACCAGGTCTAGAGAATTACAGGGTCTTGTTCCGGCTCACATAGCCCATTAGTGACAGAACCACAACAAGAACCTTAAACCTCAGCCTCCCAGGTCAGTGCTCTGACCAATGCCCCAAAGTGCTGGGAGACTCCTGGGCCCCACAGTATGGGGCGTGACAGATATCAGTTGGTAGCCTAGCATGAAATCCTTTTCCCACGTGGGAGAGAAAAGTCCCGAAGTGACCAGTGACATTTATGACTCAGCCTGTGCTGAAGAGCTTGGAAAAATAATGTTTGTTAGGTTTGGTTTGGTTTTTGAGAAAGAGAGAAGCCAAGGTACATCACACTTAAGTGTAGAGGTGCTGGGTGTGCACTGGGGAAGCCTCTCAATAAACATGGAGAGGGGAGCGATGCCTGCCATGGACTAGGGTGGAAAGGGGTGGGTTGGGGGGCTGGGTTTGAATCTGGGCCAAGAGAAGAAGGGTGAGTCCAGGAGGCCTGCAACAGCAGTCTCTCCATCTGCCAGACAATTGCAACAGCTATTCTAAGCACTGGCCTGAGGCCAGACTTTATTGATTTCAGCAATAAAATTACATGTTCCAGAGCTCATCTGTTTTGGACCATAAATGACAAAAAGAGCTATTATAGAGTGTCAGATTTGTCCCTCTGTTTGGTATGATGTCTCCTATATAATACTTGTTTGGCCTCTACAAATGATTCATTTAGGACAGCAGAATTTCTGAGTCACTGGCAGAATAATTGACTCACATTTCTCTCATCATTATTGTGTGTTCTTTCTTGCTGGAGCCAAATACTATTCATGTTTCCCTTCGTACATGTTAATATTAATGTCACCAGTGGGCTGTGCTTTCTTTTTGCCAAGCAAAGACATAGTAAACATGATAATAAAACAAAAGGCATTTTCAATGTTGGTGAAGTCCTGTTTTGAAAGGGTACAACCACATTTTCTGATCATGGAACAAAAGAACAATTATCCAACTTTGAATTATCAAATGACTCCTCCTCCCATCCTAATGCCTACTTAAATCCCTACTTAAAATGCCTTTCTAGCGTTGCCTCAGTGAAGCCAATTTCCCCTTCCTACCCATACGCACTTACCTTCTGTCTAGGGCTCAGGAAGCAATGCTACACCTTCCTCTTTGCGCAGACTCCCTCCTTCCTGCAGACAAACGCTGTCATTTTATCCCTGTGTAATGTGAGGGTCTTTTTCAGGGAGAAGAGAACAGAAACCCTTCAAACTAGCTCAACAAATCACAGGGACTGTGTTGAAAGGAAACAGGTGTATCTCAGAGTAATCAAGGAAAGGCAGAAAGCGGGGCTGAGCCCATGAGGAGATGGGGCATACCTGTGGGAGCAGAGCAGGTGGTCACACCCCTTGGGCTCCTTCTCTAAAGAGGTTCATTTTCTTTCTTCTTTTTCTTTTTACTTTTTTTGAGACAAGGTCTTGCTCTGTCACTGATGCTGGAGTGCAGTGGTGTAATCATGGCTCACTGCAGCCTCTACCTCCTGGGCTCAAGTGATCCTCCCGCCTCAGCCCCCGAAGTAGCTGGGACTATGGGCACACACCACCATGCCCGGCTAATTGTTTTGTTTGTTTGTAGAGATGGGGTCTCCCTATGTTGCCTAGGCTGGTCTCAAACTGCTGGGCTCAAGCAATCTTCCCACCTCGGCATCCCAAAGTGCTGGGATTACAGGCATGAGCAACCGCGCCCAGCCAACAAGTGCATTTTCAACAATTTAAGGAGGCACGTTGGTAAGAAAGTTATGCCCCCAGTGTTGTAAAGTCAGAGGAAGAAGTGCGATAAGGGGTGGATGCGTCTAGCCATAATTGATACACCAAAGGTCAACCCTGTGACTTATAGAGAAGGTGGTCCAACAGCACCACACACAATGTACATATACCCATCAGCTAGTAATTCAGGTCTCACCCTTGACCCAGCCCAAGTTCATCCTCAGACAATTAGGGTGAGGCTCACTGATTTGTGGGGGCTCCCCAGAGTTAGACCATGGCTATGCTCTTGGCTCCAGGAACCCCCAAACTCCCTGAAATCCAATCAGCTTCTCTCTTTTCTTTTCTAAATATCTTTTCAAGTCCTGATCATTTGGGGTGGGGGCAATTTTATGTCCTCATGTGCAAGTAATCTCTGCTCTACATTGCCCCCCAAATGGAAGACCTGAAGCTTGTGTACGATGAGAAGGAAGCTTTCCATCATTAACGCAGTGCATACCTGTGCTGTGATGATGTGTTCCCTCATGCTGGCAAGGTGACAACCCCCAAGTGTACTTCCGATTTAAAGTTTTGTTTCTTCATCATTTAAAAGGAGTGTTTATTTATTTTGAAAAGGGGTGTGTATTTTTGCAGCACCTTCCTAAAATTATAAACCCTAGACGTTTGTGAATGGAGGAGGGTAGAGCAGATAACTGCCTGTCTACTGAGCAAAGGATATGGGAATAGACTGAGAAGAAAGGGAAGAGGGGAAAGACAGGGAAACTGGCCTGCATAGTTGCTATCATGAGGAAGTGAGTCTGAAGATGCATTGGCATGGGAATAGGAAAGACAGAAAAATCCCATTGAAACTAACTCCCCTGGAGCTACAGGTGGTTTTTCTTGACAGACAGAAGAGTTACTAGCTACAACCACCATGTTGCTGGAGACTGCATTCCATCCTTGGACAAGGGGATATTCAACCCTGGAAGGAGATGGCCCTGGAAGGAGATGGCCCTGGAAGGACAACGCTAGTGGCATTGACTTGCCTGCCATGGAGCTACTGACTCCAGTCTCTCCCAGTTTGTCAGGTTTTTCTACAGGAGTGTTTGCCTTGACCCTGCTTAGAAACAGGGCATGGCTCCAGCTTCTGCCAGCCTATCACAGTTGAAAAAATAAGAGAAAAAGAAGAAAGGAAAACATGAAAGCAAAGGAAGGGAAAATAGCCCGTTCTAACTTCCTTTGCCTTTGGGGCACCCGAGAGCCACTCCTGCCTACCACATGAGAGTTTGTATTATTGTCCCCTTTAGACTGGAGAGGACACAGAGACTCCAGGAGTTAAATGCCCGAGGACACGTGGTTGATGAGTGTCAGAGCCAGGATTTAAACCTGAGTCACTCTGACTTCTAGGCTTGTGTGCACAGGCACTGCTTGTACTCCCTGGGATGATCTCATTTCACTTGTCTGACTGTCGAGGAGTAATTAAAGTTCAACCCCTTTCCGTTACCGTCACTCACACACATTAACACAAACCAAGGCCCTGCTGTCCCTTGGTCAGCAGCACTGTCTCCCTGCAGAAGTCTGTCCACCTACTGGCCCTTTAGTCTAACCCCCCACCCCATCCATGTGTCCTACCCATTCAGCCCATAAAGGTGGCCCAGGCCGTTCCTATATCCTGTCGGCTCCCACTCCTCTTGCTCTGGTCCCATCTTTACTAGACTCCCAACTCTTGGCTCTACAGCCTACCCCACAGCCTCTCACCAGCAAACCCCTCCAAATTTGGTATTTTTTCTGATGTCCTGGAGTTCAGAGCCAGTGTCTTCTCCAGACTTCAGCTTGGTCCGTGTCTCTGGTCTTTGACTCTCTGCTGCCATGGAACCTGATCATGGTTGCCTGGCCAGCTCCCTGCCCTGGAAGGAGCAATGCTGCTTAGCTAGAGACTCTTGGCATCTCAAGCAAGTCCTCACTGCCCTGACACCCACTGTTCTCTCTCAGGTTCAGGGATCAATGGGTCCAAGAACAGATAGACAAGCAGTAACAAAGGCCAGGGGAGCCAGGGAGGCCCACTGTTCCTACAGATGGCCAAAGAAGACAGCTGTAGGGACGAGACATGCACAGTGAGCAAAGCCATCAGCCCCTCCAGAAATCCATGGGAACTAAAGGCAACCCCATGTCAGGCTGGAGGAGAGCCCGCAGCGAGGGGACAGCAAGGAAGCCACATGATCTGCTCTCCTCCCCATGGAAGAAGCCCCCTCCACCTGCCCTCAGGGCAGGACAGAACCCTGCGTCTCCACAACCTGGCACTGGAGAGGCCCTTAGAAACCACCAAGCACAACACTTACCCTGTCTATGAAATCATTTTGCCTAATCCTCTGTAAGGGGTGATCCAGCCTTGTTCATCTGATAGTTCCAGTGCCAGGGAGCTTACTGCATACCTCCTTTCATTTTCAGATAGCTCTGACCGTCAGAAAGTTCTTCTTTTCTTATGCAGTTCTCACTTACTTCTAGTTATTTTTTAAATTATTTTTATTTTTTGAGGCAGGGTCTCGCTCTGTCACCAAGGCTGGAGTGCAGCAGCTCAATCATGGCCCATAGCAGCCTCGACCTCCGCGGGCTCAGGTGATCCTTCCGCCTCAGCCTCCCTAGTAGCTGAGACTACAGGTGCATGCCACCACATTTGGCTAATTTTTGTCTTTTTTTTTATAGAGGCAGGGTCTCCCTATGTTGCCCAGGCTGGTCTTTAACTCCCGGGTTCAAATGATTCGCACACCTCAGTCTCCCAAAGTGCTGGGATTACAGGCGTGAGTCATAGCAGCCAGCGGTCTCACCTCTGGTTCTTACCGACTTCCTCAGATTTATGAAAATGTCTCTCACTTTCCCACAGGTTTTCTCATTTTAAGGCTAAACATTCCCAGGACCTTCCATAATTCCTCATAGGGTGTTTTTGGTGCTCCAGGCCATCCTAGTGTCTGTGTCTATGATACACTCCAGTGCATCAAAGTCCCTTTGGGACCCTTGCAGCACCTAAACCTCCTCCAGCGCCCTACATGCTATCTGCTCTGTAAAAAGCAGGGTGGAATGTTTCACCATCCAGGCACCATACTCCTACTTTTTAAACTATCGTTAATTGCTTTCTGGCTATGGGATACTAAATCTTCCAACAACGATCTGAGGTTTAAATTTAGTTTTCTCGTAGCCCAGAACATACTGTTGGCTCTCACAGAGCTACTTGTCAATTAAACTCCTAGGTCGCTTGTGTGTGGACTGCTGTTGGGCCTCATGTCTCTCTCTCTCTATTGGACAGTTCATGTTTAAAGCCTAAATGCAAAACTTTATATATCCATGACACTCTACCTTGCTAAAATCAGTTCACTATTCACCTTGCTGAAATCATTTTATGTCCTAATGCTGACATCAAACTCAGTATCATACATTTCTTAATAAATCTCTGCAGCCAAGTCATTGACATAAATATTGAACATGACCATTCAAGATTAAAAATCTACAGTATGCAACCGTATGCATCTAGAAATCGTCTTCCAATCATTAATTGATAATGTTTTAGGTTCCACCTTTTAAAAGGTTACAGATTAACTCTCTAGTAATTCAATCAGCATTTCTCCAACTTGCTCCATACTATCACGAAAGAGTCTAATACCTTCTTGCAATCCAGATACACTATGTTCATTGTACACTTCTGCTTCTGATCTGACCTGCAAATAGTCCTATTTAAAAGAGAAATAGTCCGGGCGCGGTGGCTCACACCTGTAATCCCAGCACTTTGGGAGGCCGAGGCGGGCAGATCACCTGAGGTCAGGAGTTCGAGACCAGCCTGACCAACATGGAGAAACCCCGTCTCTACTAAAAATACAAAACTAGCCAGGCATGGTGGCCCATGCCTGTAATCCCAGCTACTCAGGAGGCTGAGGCAGGAGAATCGCTTGAGCCTGGAGGCGGAGGTTGCGGTGAGCCGAGATCGCGCCATTGCACTCCAGCCTGGCCAACAGGAAAAAAAGAGAGAGAGAAGTAAAGGGCATGATTTACAGTGAACTGTTCTTGGCTTCTGGTGAATTTCTACTCACTAGACTGAGAGTTCACAAAACTTTCATTTAACAATTAGTTGTAGAGTTTCTAGACTCCAGCTTCTTTCCTTTTTTGACAATTGGGGCAGTGTTTTCCTCTCTCCAATCTTTTAGATTTTTCCTGTTTTCCATAATTCTTCAGATGACTGACAGGCATGCCAATCTCATTTACATGCAATTTGCCTGAACCAGGATATGAAGCTGTTCAAAACAATCAGGTGGTGGTGGTGTTTTGCCATTCCTTTCTGCTATCTTGAGGTTCAATTTCCTGGTCTCCACGTTTTTTTCTTTCTGTAAATCATTAACATTGATAGGTGAGTGAAGTTAAAAAACAGTTGTGCTTTCTCTTTGTCTCCCATAAACATTAATTACACCACCTACCCTAAATAATAGGCTTGCACCTTTGCAGTTCCTCCTGCTCTGAACCAAATAAAAACAGTTCTTACTACAGTTCTATATATATATATTTTTTTTTTTTTTTTTTGAGACACAGTTTTGCTCTTACTGCCCAGGCTGGAGTGCAATGGCGTGATCTCAGCTCACTGCAACCTCTGCCTCCCAGGGTTTAAGAGATTCTCCTGCCTCAGCCTCTCAGGTAGCTGGGATTACAGGTGCCCGCCACCACAACTGGCTAATTTTTGTATTTTTAGTAGAGACAGGGTTTCACCGTGCTGGCCAGGCTGGTCTTGAACTCCTGACCTCAGGTGATCCACCCGCCTCGGCCTCCCAAAGTGCTGGGATTACAGGCGTGAGCCACTGTGCCTGGCCTTACTACAGTTCTTACAATTGTCTTTAATTCTAAGTTCATCCTGGGCTTTAGCCATCCTGACTTCATCTTTACCTGCTCATTCATCCCTTCGGCAAATTTTTTTTTTTTTTTTTGAGATGGAGTTTCACTCTTGTTGCCCAGGCTAAAGTGCAGTGGCGCAATCTCGGCTCACTGCAACTTCCACCTACCGGGTTCAAGCAATTCTCCTGCCTCAGCCACCCAAGTAGCTGGGATTACAGGCATGGGCCACCATGCCCGGCTAATTTTGTATTTTCAGTAGAGACGGGGTTTCACCATGTTGGTCAGGCTGGTCTCGAACTGCTGACCTCAGGTGATCTGCTCACCTCGGCCTCCCAAAGTGCTGGGATTACAGGTGTGAGCCACTGCACCCAGCCCTGGGAAAACTTTTATTAGAGAATCTGTAATGACTGCACTGGAGATACGGAGCTGGATTAATTATAGCCCTATTCTCAAAGAGCAAACACCTCATGGGTAGGGAAATAGATTCTGGGTTTTTTGTTTTTTTTTTTTTTTGAGACGTAGTTTTGCTCTTGTTGCCCAGGCTGGAGTGCAGTGGCGCGATCTTGGCTCACTGCAACCTCCGCCTCCCGCCTGCCTCAGCTTCCCGAGTAGCTAGGATTACAGGCATGCTCCACCATGCCCGGTTAATTTTGTATTTTTAGTAGAGATGGGGTTTCTCCATGTTGGTCAGGCTGATCTCGAGCTCCCGACCTCAGGTGATCCGCCCACCTCGGCCTCTCAAAGTGCTGGGATCACAAGCATGAGCCACTGTGCCCAGCCTAGGGAAATAGATTCTTACATTCAACCTCCTCATAATTCAATCAGCATTTCTCCATCTTGTCACCGATTAAGATAATGCAATTGCTTCCTAGTCATGTATTCTCTTTTTGCTAAATGCTGGTGTTTGTGTATTTGCTTCCACACACCTTCTCAGCAAGCAGAGCATCACATGTCACTTCTTTGAATATACAATCATGGATTGAATGACAATGTTTCGGTCAACAATGGACCGCATATGCAGCAGTGGTCTCATAAGAGTGGAATATGTAATTTCACTGTACCTTTTCTATGTTTAGATATGCTTAGATACATAGATACTTACTACTGTGTTACAATTGCCTGCAATATTCAGTACGGTAACATGTTGTACAGGTTTGTAGCCTAGGAGCAATAGGCTATACCCTACAGCCTGGGTGTGTAGTAGGCTATACCATCTAGGCTTATGTAAATACACTGTATGTGTGCATATACATAGCTCCTAGGCAATAGGCTATACTATTAATATGTAGCCTCGGTGTATAGTAGGCTATACTACACACCTAGACTGATGAAATCGTCCAAAGAAGCAACACATGACTTTAATTAGAAAACAAACAAAAAAAAAGGTATCTGGGGGAAAAAAGGATGGTAGCTGGTAGCCTGTATGTCAGGACACAAGTAAAGGTATTTACAGTGCATGCTGCAGAAGAGAAAGAACAAGGAACAGAAAACCTTGGCATTATAACTGCATTTCCCTATTGGTCATAAGGCAAAGAATTAAGGCATGCATTTAAGTGGGTTTTTGGGACAAGATGCAAGTGGCAGACAAGAGTCACCAGCTTCAAGTCAAAATTGACAAGCAAGCAGAATATCTCTTGGCATACATCTAACCAGCCATAAAATAAATGCCTATACAAGCCTATCATTTAAATTGCAGGGGAGGCAGACCCTGAAACATTTCTAAGGGATTACACTGACTTAATACTCACAAAAAGTTTAAAAGTAAAAATAAGGGTATTTTGTAAATCTGTGACCTCAGAGTCTCCAATTCTGTGTTTCTCATAAGGCTTTAAGTTATTTAACTGCAAAATTCTCCCGTCCCAGGGGTTTCAGGGCTTAAGAAGGAGTCAGTGATGTGTTAAAGCAGAGGAGCCATGGAGCAGGGCTCGCTGCGCGCAGAAGCTTCTGGGGCAGCAGCTTTTGAAATAGACTTTTGAGGATGAGTGGGCAATGACAGGTTAGAGGACAGGGGCATCTGGGCAGAGGGCCAGGAGCTGACCAAGGGAAGGAGCAGTGGGAGGGGAGGCCAGCAGTGGTCAAGCCAGTCTCCAAAGGGCCTCATCCATTACATCAGGGAGCCTGGGATTCTCCTGAAAGGAAAGGGGAACTACTACAGTTTGTGAGCAGGGTGGTGTGTCATAAGCCAGCTTGTGATTTTCGGACAAGGCAGGAGACAGGTCGCAACAAGGTCTCCCTAGAGAGCAGCTCTGGGAGCTTCCATACTGTGCTTTGGTTTTATGTGCCTCTTTTGTATATTATCCTTAAGACAAGCAGTCTATTAGCTAAGTGATGAAACAGGGATTAATTCCGTTCTTCCCTTAAGAAGCTGTGAAACATTTTTTCCGGCCGCTATTTTTCTGTTAAATCAGGACATAATACCTCCCCTAGCTGCCTGATAGCCAAGAAGAGCTACTATATTTGGACATCTTACTGTGAACCAGACAGTGTGCATATGCAGCCTCTCATTTAATCCTCATAATGTCTTTACCCGGAATGAACTATTAATATTCTCACTATACACATGAAAAAACAGAGGGTTAGGAAGGGGATGTGATTCTCCTTAGATCTTATAAGTGACGTAGCCAGGAGATTCCTTTGCTGAATTTCCCAGTAATTCCAAAGGTAAACCGTGTGAGGCTCCCATTGGATTCTAGCTATTACTGCAGTCATAGGAAGTAGTGGGAAAACCCTTTCATCCTGCTCAACTAAAGTTTCACTTTCCACACAATGTGCTTCCCTTCCCTCTCCTATCAAGCTGGTGCTGCCGACATGTGTTTAGAATATGGGGTTACTGCTTTTAATTGCAGTCCCACTCATGCCTTTTCAAAAGACAGAGGTTAGGGCAGCTCAATTCAGGTCTCAGCTTCAGCAATACCGTAACCCGACTTGCCTTCTTTTCACTTACTCATCATGCCATGATTCAGAAGCCTGTTGTTCTCAGGGTAACTCACATTCATGCTGTTGCATACAGGCATTGGTCCTGACTTCCTGTTATTGCATCACTCTTATTTTTAACTGCACTGGGATTAGATGACAGAGCCTAAAGTAAAAGTAGAACCAGAAATTCCCAGAAACTCTGGGGCAGAATTGGTCACACGGTTTTGATTTTATGGTGTTTTTCCCTTGATGGAAGATAAGATTAACATAAATAATATAATTAAGGTGGCTGGAGTGTGATGAAAATAATCTAAGAGCCGAAGTCAGAAGAAGAATTCCCCGTTTCCTTTTTTCTGCTAAATTTAGAGTTGTTTTTGTTAATTGAGACATAATTCACATACTACAAAATTCCCCCTTGGAAAGGGTACCACTCAATGGTTTTTAGTATATTCACAAAGTTGTACAACTATAACTCTAATTTCAGAATGTTTACATCACCCCCCAAAAAGAGTCACTGTCCCCATGAGCAGTCCTTCCCATGCCCGTTTACTGTGTGCCAACATCATCTAGACTGTTTGCTCCTCCTCATCTTTCTCTCTCCTCTCCCTGGAATCCTCCAGCTGTCACCAGCCTGGTCACCAGAGATGAAGTCCCTCTGGCTGAGCACAGGGCCAGGGTCATTGCCATTTCACTGACCATAAACGGATGGCTGTGCCGCCCTACACAATGTTGTCTCTGACAATGAAGGAACCCCATGATCTTGCTATAACTGATAGAGAGAGTGAAAGGGTATATATGCAGTCAGAGAGGGAGGCGAAGCTGCCCCTCCCTCCTCGCATGGTTTCTGGGGCCCAACCATGCTTGAGAAATGGGCCCTCCAGGATACACAATATCAGACTGATGGATTAGGAACACTGCAGCATGCTCTGAAATCACCCACATAATTCCCGCCTCTTGCATCACGCCCATTGAAGGGAACACATATTCCTCACCCTAAGTTTTCAGGAAGAAGAGAGACTTCATTCTCTGAACCCCAAAAGGTGATGTGTACAAGGGACACCCCTCTCTGGCCCCTCATTCCCTCCTTCCCAAGGGAGGGAGACTTAGCACCACTTTATGTAACATGTAGTTTTGTCTTAATTATTGTCTGATCCTCCACTAGAACATAGTGTCCCAGAAAGACAGACAGTTGGTTTATCCTTTCCACTGCTGCACCTCCAGTGCCTACAACTGCATCTGACACAGAGTAGATGTTCTGGAAACATGAATGAAGGAGAGGGTCATAAAGTGCAAAAGTGGCATGAAGTCAGCAGTCAAACCTGAACATGGCAGTCTGTCCGCCACTAATGTGAAAAGCTCTGAATGTTGAGGCTCGCATTTCTTTACAAATTATGTTTTATCATATTTAAAAATTGTGTGTTTCACAGGCACTTAGAAAAACAGGCCCATTGTTTGGCAAGCACAGGCCCACAGCTAGAGTTGGCTACTACAACTTCCTGGCCACTCTTCTGTTCTCAGGCCTCAATTTCCAGCCCTGTCCATCCATACTCAGCTGGAATCCTGGCTCGGTGGCTGAGGCATACTCAGAGCAGGCTGCTGGTTTTCCTCCTCCGGCACGACTGCCTCTCTTCTCAGCACATCCCTGAAGCCCCACTAGAAATGCAGTGATGTGGAGAACATCCTAGTTAAGGCAACACCTCTCAGAGCTGTATGTAGTCATGTTACCAAAAAGTGGTCCCGACCTAGACCCCAAGAGAGGGTTCTTGGATCTCAAGCAAAAAAGAATGGGGGCGAGTCCACAGAATAAAGTGAAAGTGAGTTTACTAGAGAAGTAAAGAAACAAAAGAATGGCTACTCCATAGAAAGAGCAGCCCTGAGGGCTGCCATTTGACTATGTTTATGGTTATTTCTTGATCATATGCCAAACAAGGGGTGGAATATTCACAAGTTTTCCGGGAAAGGGCCGGGGATTTCCCAGAACTGAGGGTTCCTCCCATTTTAGACCATATGGGAAGTTGCCATGGCATTTGCAAAATGTCATGGGAGTGTCTTTTAACATGCTAATACATTGTAATTAGTGTATAATGAGCAGTGAGGACGACCAGAGGTCACCACCTTGTTTTTGGTGGGGTTTGGCTGTTTTTTTTTTTTTCTACCACATCTCATTTTATCAGCAGGGTCTTCATGACCTGTAGTTTGCAAAACCAATCCTGCAGATTCCTATCTCACTTATTCGAACACCTGTGACAATTATAAGCTGCTTGACTTGGGGTGTAAAACGCCAAGGGATGTGCTCTGGTAACAACAGGTAATAAATACCTTGGCTGCCTTTGGAGTTTCACTTTGCTGAGTGGAGTGTACATATTTGGATCCACAGCCGAATTGCCCAGACCACAGAGAGGACAGGCTCTTAGTGGTGACATGCCTGTTGCACTGCTCTTCCCCCAGGCAGGTGCTCCTCTAAATAAATGTTCTGCATTTCTTTGAAGGGGCTCTAAACTGTTATCCCGCCCAGGGTGCCCATGCATGTCAGCCCACTCCCCTCAACCCCATGCTGTACCCCACAATTTACCATTCCTACCAATCCATTTTACCTTCCAACCTTGCCCCCACCCCATGGTGGTCTCAGCCACCACCACTAGGCAATAAGAGCTACCACTGGGTTAAAATGACAATTGTTTTAGCCAAATTTCCTCAAAATAAACAGAGTCCAATCTATGTTCAGTGCTATCCAAGATCATCCCAGACTCACTTCTAAATTTCGTTTCAATGGTTTCCTAATGGAGCTTCAAGACAATTCACACTAAGTCTTTTACCCAATGGAACCCTTGTCTCTTAGCTTCTGCAGTAACCTAGCAATCCAAATTCAAAAAGAGGAAGTGAAGGGCTTGTGGAAACTGGGTCAGCATCTCTTAATGGTGTTGATTCAGCAGAGAATCTAGGCCAGTGACATTTTGTCATGACCTACATTGCGGTAGAACCTTTCATTATACATGGAACTTGAGGCAAGGTTGATTATCTTGGCCTGTAAATGAAGGCACTTCCCCCTCATTCTTGCCAAAGAGAGTGGAAAAACACTTTTAAAAGTCACTCTACCAACTTTAGCCTTAAGATATTGGGTAAGCTACTTGGCTCTGGGTTTCAATGACTACCAGTTGCCCAACGGCATCTGGATGGCTGCTCTGCAGCCACTGTGGGTTTGTTTATAACCCGGGTTTTCAGGATAGAGGCTTTTTATCTTCTTCCCTAAGCAGAGAACAATAACCAGAGTGTGTTTAACCATGAAAGAATAAGGGTAAGCAAATTTGACTTTAAGGCCATGACGTCAAGTGGGGTAAAGAGTCAGTCTCGTTTTGCAGGTAGTTTCACGCAGGTTTGGGCCATATGAGGTCCACCCAGGGTCAGACCGTGAACTCCCTGACATCAGTCCTACAGACACACAAGGAGAGCCTGTTAGACCCGGAAGTATATTTGTCCCTCACTCAGATATACAAAATAATCTGCTCCCAAAAATGTGATTATGGTAAATATTACTTATTTTGTTAGTCTTAGAGCAGGCAGCGACACTTTCTATGCCCTGCCATTGACAAAACCATATGGCCTACTAAGACCAATTTTTAGTGAAGTAAATTCAAGTCCATAAATATTTTATCATTCAAAAATACAATTCCTAACTTGTCAGTAATGGTTACTAACATTTTCTAGAATCTCTTGATTGTAAGGTTAATTTTCATTGAATGTTTCAAGCTCAAGCAGCCTTCACTGCTTTTTATCACTCTGGGTAGAATGGACCACTTTGTTCCCACAGTCCCCTCTACATGCCTTTATTGAAGTGCACATCACTGATGCTTCCAGTTTTGTTCATGTCTGTCTCCATATTGTCTCTCGATGTTATTAAGGGTCAAGGTCATATTTTGATCATCTGTATCTTCTCAGTGCTTAGTATAGTGCCCGGTACAAAGCTGACATCAAATATATATCAGTTGCATAAGTAAATGGATGAAATCTCTTAGAACAGTGCAAAATGTACGGTTTCTGCAGTCAGCTTAGTTTCTTTCATTAGCCAAATCATGACCAATAAGCAAGATTGAAGAGTTAAAATATGGACAAGAATAATTTCTCATTTTCCATTTTCTTCATTTCATAAAGTTTTCTTCCAACTATCCCGTTTCTTCAAAAAAGGATATTTGTATTTTAAGGATATTTTTATTTCTTTTAAGAGTTTATATTATGTAAAGCTGTAAATTCTGCACAGAGATGAGTATAATCCACTATGTAACAAGAGACTGGATTTTTGTCCAGGCTCTAACAATAATCAACTGTGTCACATTAGGAAAGTCACTTCCTTATCTGTTGAGAACAGCTAGAGGTGGCAGATGAGTTTCATCTCAAGGATCAACTCCAATCAATTAGTAGTGACCAGATAAAATACTGTATTGAGGATTCTAAAATCCTATTGACATCAGTGGGAAAGAATGCTGGGATCAATTAGTGAGGTCTATAATGAATATGGTGGGAAAGAATGATGGAAAATAAGCCAGATATTAGCCAACCTAGTATAAATGATCTCACCAGTCCCCTTCAAGCTCTAAAATCCTGATTTGTCTTTTATTAATTCACAGATTACCCAGAATATTTTTAACATTTATAACATACACATATATATATGGCCAGGATATATTCAGTATTTACTAAATCCTGGCACTATGCAAAGTACTTTGCATGGGTTGTCTCATTTCCTCCTCACAACACTGCTAAGAGGCCCACACTATTATTATTCACATCATACAGGATGAGGAAACTGAATCCAGAGAAGT
Source organism: Homo sapiens (assembly GCF_000001405.40). Taxonomy (NCBI): domain Eukaryota; kingdom Metazoa; phylum Chordata; class Mammalia; order Primates; family Hominidae; genus Homo; species Homo sapiens. Next base: position 62,124,305 of record NC_000015.10, read on the forward strand.
TGAATGGCTTGCAAGTTCACACGGCTATTAACAGTGAAATCGAGACTCACATCCTGAGCACCTTTCTCCCGGAACTATGCTCTTAATCGTTATGTTGGGTTAGATAGTCTACTTTGGCTTCCTTCTAAACAAAACAAAACAAAGAAAACCTAAGATAATGTCTGCAATAGAAAAAAGAAGCATATTCAGCTGACAGGAAATTGCTTGTATTCCACTCTGACAGACAATGATTTGCAACGTTAAGTAACAAAGGGCAGTACAAATATTGACTGTTCCTGAATCACTGATACTGTAAGCAAGTTGTTTGAAATACACATGTTCTTGGGAAAATTCAGACACGTAATCATTTTTCAGTAGTACTATAGAGTTCATGAAGTTAAGATATTTTATGTAAAATAAAACAGGAAATTAAGAAGTTAAGAACATCCTTTGAGGCCTTGATGCTAACAGATATTCTTTTAGATAGGTGGTCAGCAACTTTTCCTATCACATATCATCCTCAGCCCCCTCTCAGCTCCACTGACTTCCCTGACACTCAGCAGATGAGCTCCTCTCTCATTTTTCCTTTTAGGCCAGGTAGACTCATCCATTACACCCCTGCCAGGTCATAATGGCAAGCTACCCTGCAAAAGCTTTTCTAGGTTCAGATTAGAAGAGGTGCTCTAATTCACAGATTGTGGCATGATAGCTTCCTAGAAATGGCTACACACAGCCAGAAATGGCTAAACAAATTTAATTTACCAATAGGTGGAGCATGAGACCTGGCCACACTTCCTTTCACTAAAACCTCAGAAGCACTACCAACCCTCAACGTTAGAAAAGGTCATTTACATGGATGCCCAGAGGGTGGGAGAATGTGCATACTACTTCACAGAGGAGGACGCTACATTTTGCTGCATTTTGTACATGCATTTTCTTGTGTCTTTACTCTCATTTCCCTACTCACTCCTCTCTATTCAAGACTATTCCTTATGTCATCTAGGCTCTGATCTCATCATTTATAACTTTCTTCTTTCCTACATTGGGTTTAAATTAATTTCCAATTACTCATTAAATACACTAATGGATTCTCCTTTTAAGAAATTCAGACATTACAGATAAGGCTAAAGTCCCATAGGCAGTTGAAAATATAGATCTTGAAGGAGAGGTCTAGGACTAGTAGCTTAAATGTAACTGAAGCTTACCATTGGTCATCATGATGGACAGAATTTTCTCCTCTGTATTAAACTTTAAAAAAAAAAAAGTAGTTCCCTCCTCCTCAGCATAAGTTGCCTCAAATCACTTTTACTTTCAGAAACAAAACAAACAAAACCAAAAAACCCTCTCTTTTTCCTAAATCTTCCTCTAGCTACCATCTCTTTTCCTCCTCTCCTTCCAGTCACTTCTTTTAAGGTTTTCTCTGTATCTTTCCGTTTATGCAGTTTCATTACAATGTATCTTCTTCCTGTTTACATTGGGTTAGACCTAATGACAATGAACATAAATTTATATCAAGAGCAAAACAAAACAAAAAAACACCCAAGTTTATTTAATTGCTGCCTTCTGCTACCCCTTGGCCCAGAGAGCTGGGAGTAGGGATGGGGAAGCCAGAAGGCAGTGCACGATTAGACCCATCTGGTATATTCTCAGACAGACAGACAGAGGGCCCCCTAACGGTAAGCAGCTGCTTCTTCCAGTTATAGGACAATATTTGCATCCTGGAATTCCCAGCACACTGTTAAGTACTTGGCACAGCTGGAGAGCAGGTTATTGCTAAGTTAAGCACTTCCTTTCACAAAAGCTTATCTAGGTGTAAGTGATTATTACCAGAAGTGTCCAGCTCACTTCTCTACTTCATCCCTGTCAGTCAATCATACTCATATGTTTACTCTCATATATTTACTCTCATATCATCACATATCATCATAATAAATTTGTTTATGCTTTTAAGCCTAAGATCCTTCTAATTTTTTCTGGCAACACTCCAAAAAGAGTCTCAATACATGAGGTATTAAGCTATTAAATCCATGGATCAAAAGGGAAGGCCCAAAATTTTCTCTTACTATAACATTCCATATGTACACAAACAAACCAGAAATAAATTCTCTTCATAAAAGGACAGCTAGTTGTCTTGATAAAATTTAATAAGTAGTATCCATTCTTTCCCCAAAGATTTAAAACCACTTTTACCATATGGATTAGTCCATTTTCATGCTGCTGATAAAGACATATCTGAGACTGGGCAATTAACAAAAGAAAGGTTTATTGGACTTCCAGTTCCACGTGGCTGGGGAGGCCTCACAATCATGGCAGAAGGCAAGGAGGAGTAAGTCATATCTTATGTGGATGGCAACAGGCAAAGAGAGAGCTTGTGCGGGGAAGCTCCCCCTTATAATACTGTCAGATCTCGTGAGACTCACTCTCTATCACAAGAACAGCATGGGAGAGACCTGCCCCCATGATTCAATTACCTTTCACCAGGTCTCTCCCACAACACATGGGAATTCAAGATGAGATTTAGGTGGGGTCACAGCCAAACCATATCACCATAAACTTCATTTTTAACTATACAGGGCTCTGTTTTCTTTCTTTTTTTTTAATGGTTCTTTGATCTTTAATTCTAGTCCAATGTCAGTACTATGCTGTTCTAATTGCTGCAGTTTCTCATTATATTTTGATATTTGGTAGGGTAAGTGCCCTTTTATTGTTATTTTCAGCAAAAATATTTTGGAGGGGGATCTAGTCTATACACTTGGTCTTCCATGTGAACTTCAGAATCAGCTTGTTATTTTCTATTAAATATTATTTTTGAATTGGTATAGGGGCATATTAAATCAGTGAGAATGAGCTGGACTTTATAATATTCCAGTATTGGAGATAACCAGATAACTACATGGAAAAAAGATAAAATCATATTTACTATTGTCACAATTTATCAAGATATTTTCAACATGGACAAGATATTAATGCAAAAATAAAACGACAAAAATACTTAAAGAAAATGTGAGTGAATTCCTCTATAAGCTGTGAATGTGGAAAATCTTTATATGACTCAATATCCAGACAAGGTAAGGAAGATTGATAAAGCTGACCACATTAAAAAAAATTAATGGTAAAAGACTCCAACAAATGACAAAGTAGACACATGACAACTGGAAAAAATATTAGCAACTTGTATCATAGGTAAAGAGTTGATACCCTTAATATACAAAGAGTTTCTAAAAACAATCAATAACCCTATGGAAAAATAGGCAAGAGATAAAAGCAAAATAATAAGAGAAATGCAACTTAAAGTTTTTTTCAAATCTGCTCCCCAAATATCACCAACTGATAATACAAAGCCAAGTTTCTTGCTTTCATTCATAAGGGAGAATATCACTTCAACAGAGCTTTCATAGCGTCTTGGAGGGAAAAGTAATGTAAGATTTTATTAAGAATAGGAAAGTTGGGGCCGGGTGTGGTGGCTCACGCCTGTAATTCCAGCACTTTGGGAGGCAGAGGCAGGCAGATCATGAGGTCAGGAGATCGAAACCATCCTGGCTAATACGGTGAAACCCCATCTCTACTAAAAATACAAAAAATTAGCCAGGCGTGGTGGTGGGTGCCCGTATTCCCAGCTACTTGGGAGGCTGAGGAAGGAGAATGGTGTGAACCCGGGAGGCAGAGCTTGCAGTGAGCCAAGATCGCGCCAGTGCACTCCAGCTTGGGTGGCAGAGCAAGACTCCATCTCAAAAAAAAAAAAAAAAAAAAAGAATAGGAAAGTTGGATTCCAGTAGGTCTTTCAAAGTAGGGTCGGGGAAAGGCTTGATTAAAATTGGGGAAGGATCCCGATATACACTTGAGGATCATGACAGACTAGTGGAAACCACAAGGTAAGGATTTTGAGGTGAGGGATTCAGAATCTTAGGGCATCAACTGTCTTTCGATGCTTTCTACTGAAGAGTTGATGGAATTTTCAGGAAGTACCCGTAATGAAAAATCAAGTTTTTTGTCTGGGCAAGAGTATTTTGGAATAATAAAGTTATGCTAATAAAGACAATAAAATATAAAGCCATGTCATGCAGACAATAGGTTGTGTGGAGGATAAGTAGTTTCAGTCGTCAGTGTCCACACTATGCAGTGGGGGGCGAGGAGTAGGTGGTTTCAATTCTTACAACACTGAGACCTCCAGTTTCAGCTTAGAGATATAGAGAGCTAAAAAAATAAATAAAAGGATGTTCTCCCTTTTACTAACGAGGAAAAAGATGGACACGCTGCAAACTAATGACTTTTCTTGAACCGGCAGAGAATTAAAATTGCAGGGCAAATAATTAACCTAAAAAGTAGAGAGACAATTACCTGTAGGGAGAAACAAGACCTAAGCATTTGTTACCTGGAATAAATGCTCTCAAATGTCGTATAAAACAGAGGACATTCAACTAGAAATTTTTAACAAATTGTGGGTCGGTATGAGTGTGAAGCCCTTGGAGACAAAGATGGGGGGTGATATTCCAACTTTTTGCTGGTCTCTCTTCCAGGAACTCCACTAGGCTCTCACAGAGGAGACGGGGAGAAGCATGAGAAAGTCCATCTTCTAGGGTTGGAGGGCAACAGCAGCCACTGCAGAAGCTCCACCTAGACTATCTTCCCTACTTTTGCAAAAGAAGGAAAGTCTCAGTCTATATGGGGAAGGTCATCAAAACCTGTATCTGAGGGCACTGGTGGAAACCCACTTCAGCTAGGGGAGGCAAGCATGCGAGTAAGGATAGAACAGTAATACAAGATAGGCCCAGCTTTATGTCTGGAGGAGAGGCAGGAACACCTGTGAAAGCCACAGTTTGGAAACCCACAGGTTTCCTGTTCACAGTACCTGTGGTTCACAGATTTAGTCTCAGCTTCACAGACTAGGCTTAATCAGATCATCGGGGTATACCTTCTTCCCTGCCCCTTAACTCCACACCAACAAGCATCAAGTAGAAATAACAGAAGAATGCAGCTGGGAGAGCTGCAGCAGCACACACTTAACTAGGGAATGGTGTAGAAGAAAGATTCAAAGACAAGCAAAGAGACTAAAATAAGGTATCACTAGAGGAATTTGAAGCCGCTGATGCACAGAGGTAACCCAGGCAACAACAGTTTTTAAATCCAGCCCAATTCCTTACTAGAGTAACACAAGGCTCCACACTAACGGCTAAGCAAAAGGAAAAGTATACTGATCTCCAAGCATAAAAGTTATTTACATCAGTGCCTAATGTTCTATTCAACATGTCTGGATTTCGACAAGAATATAGGAGCATACAAAAAGGCAAGAAAAAAGAATCTGAAGAGACAAAGCAATCATCAGAACCAGGCTCCAATATGATACAGAAAATGTTAAATTAACTATGATTAATATGTTAAAGATGCTAACTTAAAAGGTAGATAGCATGCAAGATCAGATAGGTAATTTCAGGAGAGACAGAAACTGTAAGAAGGAATCACATGAAAATGTTAGAAATCACAAACGCAGGGATTAAACTGAAGAACACTTTTGATGGTTCATTGTTAGACTCAACACAACCAAGAAAAAAACCCTATCCATTTGAAAACATATCAAAAAATTATGCAAACTGAAATACAAGGAGAAAAAAAAGAGTGAACAAAAAGAATAGAGTACCCAAGAGTTCTGGACAACATAAAGTGGTCGGACATGCACATAAAAACTCTAGAAGAAAAAATAGTGAATGTGGCAAAACAAATATTTGAAATAATAATAGCTATGAATTTTCCAAATTTAATAACAGACAGCAAAACACAGATCCAAAAAGCTCAAAAAACATCAAGCAAGATTTTTTTTTAAAAGACACACACACCTCACACCTAAGAATATCATATCCAAACTACTGAAAACCAAAGAAAAAGAGAAAAAAAATTAACACATCCTGAGAAAAAGATACAGGATAGAGAAACAAAGAAAAAAATGGAGCAGACATCTTATCAGACCATTCAAACAAAAAGACAATGAGATGACATCTTTGAAATGCTGAAGAAAAAAAATCTGTTAACCTAAAATTCTTTATCCAGTGAAACTATCCTTCAGCATGAAAGAAAAATAAACTTTCTCAGATAAACAACAACTGAGAGAATTCATTTTTAGCAGACCTACACTACCAAAAATATCAAAGGAAATTCTTCAAGGAGGAAGAATGTGATACAGTTAAAAACTTGAGTGCTCGGCCAGGCGCAATGACTCATGCCTGTAATCCCAGAACTTTGGGAGGCCGAGACGGGCAGATCACCTGAGGTCAGGAGTTCGAGATCAGCCTGGACAACATGGTGAAACCCTGTCTTTACTAAAAATACAAAAATTAGCCTGGTGTGGTGGCACACACCTGTAATCCCAGCTACTCGGGAGACTGAGGCAGGAGAATCGCTTGAACCTGGGAGGCAGAGGTTGCAGTGAGCTGAGATCATGCCACTGCGCTCCAGCCTGAGTGACAGAGCGAGACTCCATCTCAAAAACAACAATAACAACAACGAAAACCTTGGAGCTACACAAAGAAATGAAGAACATCAAAAATGTAGTAAATGAAGGTAAAATAAAATATTTTCCTTATCTTTAATTGCTCTAAAAATTTGACCATTTAAAGCACTAACAATAACAATGTAGTTTGTGTTAAGAGAAAGGAGAATATGTAAAAGTGAAATGTATGATGACAGTGGCACAAGGGATGGGAGGTGGGAACAATGGAATTTTAAAATGTTCAGTTAAACCCAGAGAAGGCAAAAAAAACTTGGGGGAAAAATAAGCAAATGAAACAAATTGAAAATAGCTAGCAAGATAGTAATTTTTAACCCAGTCGCATCAATAATCACTTGAGATGTGAATAATTTAAACACACATGTTAATCTCTGATAAGAGATTGTCAGAGTAGATTTAAAAAGCAAGAGCTAACCATATTCCAGTTGCAAGAAATCTGCTTTAAATATAAGGATACAGGTTAATAAAAGGATGCACAGCAATATACCATATAAACACTAACCAAGAGAAAGCTGGAGTTGCTATGTTAATTTCAGATCAAGTAGACTTCAGAACAAGGAATATTATCAAGATAATATTATAAGATTATAAAGGGGTCAATTATCCAAAAAGACATAATATGCACATAACAAAAGTACTTTACATGAGCCAAACACTGAAAGATCTGTGGATATGAATACACAAATCTGTAAGTCTAGTTGAACATTCAGTAATGGATAGAAAATCAGCAAGAATGTAGATTATCTGAAAAACACTATCAACCAACTTGATCTGATTCATACTGACAGAACACCCCAGTATGGGTGAATGTACCAGACAGTCCAGATTTCAAGTTTTAGTTTGAACAGTGGGGATTGGCTCCCGCAGCTTTCCTTGCTGGTTGACAGAAGCCTGGACTCACTTGTGGCCTTTATTAAATCAAGTTGAGTTGCCAACACTTCCTTTATAAAATACAGAAGGAAGAATCCAAAGGCTTAGGGGAAAAGTAAAGTAAGAATGAATTTACTATGGGGGATCTGCTCAGCCACCCCCTCATTATGACCCCTGGAGGTCCCAGAGGGCACTGTCATCAGCAAAGCCATTCATTGGTGAGGAGTGTCTGGCATCCATTAAAGGACCTATGGTCACTGTCATCCACACCTGGGAGGATGAAAGTAGGAGGTGCTCTGTTGACATGGACCTCCTGATTTCAGTGAGCTCAGTGGGCGTGATGGGATCTCAGAGTGGCAGAGGCAAGCTCTGCATGGTCACCAGACTGGGCAGCAGGGAGGGAGTGGAAATCAAGAGGGCTGACCCTGCAGGAACTTTGGTGGTGGCTAGTTGGTCATGTGTTCCCTAAGACTGAAAAGATGGGAAGCTGCAAAAGCTACACTTGACCTGTATAATAATACAAAAAAAATCTAGATTTTATGATCAGTCATATGGTTGACCCATGACTGTGAAAAGTTATGGGTCAATTCCCAGACTTTATCCCAGGGATCAGCAAACCTTTTCTGTAAAGGGTCAGATAGTAAATAGTTTAGGCTCTGAGGGCCAAATGTCTCCATCATAGCTACTCAGCTCTGATGCTGTAGTATAAAATCAGCCTTAGATAGCGTGGAAAGGAATAAGTGTGGCTGTGTTCCTATGAAACTTTATCTGTGGTCACCGAAATGTAGATTTCATGTCATGAAATATTATTATTATTTTGATTTTTTTCAACCATTTAAAAATGTAAAAATTATCTTTAACTTGCAGGCCATATGAAAACAGGAAGCAGGTCAGATTTGGTCTGTGAGCCGTAGTTTGCCAGACGCTGTATTAGTGGTCCACAGACTTGATACCCCTTGGATACTAACCACAGCTGGAATCAATCCTGGATTTGCCAAGTCCCTTTAGATGCCATATTTTCAACTGCCAGCCCTTCATTAATGGCCTCTTCCTCTCTCCCAAGAATCCCAATGATGTGCCCAAATGAATCACAGCTGTGCTTCGAGTTCTAGGTGTTCCTCCAGCCCAATGACCCTATTACTTACCTCCAGTGATACCCTTTCCCGTACTTTTCCCTGTCCATGAAACCTTTTCCTCCCTTCCCACCTAGTCGTTATGCCACAGCTGTGCTCTGCCATAACCTTAAATGAGCATTAAGAGAGAGGGGCTTACAAAAGGGTAAAGTTGTTTTAGTCTCCTGCTATGATTGATTTGTCCTGGTAATTTGCAGCACTATGATTTCTCCTTAGCCAGGAAGCAGTAGCCTTACTTAGCAGAGTTTAGGGAAAAAACCCCACACAATGTAATACATATTGTTACTTCTGGCTTTGCTGATTTTGCTTCTCTGCTCTTCACAGTCTGTCCTTCCTGTACAACAACTATGCAACCTCAGAAAAACTAGTCTTGGGCCCCAAAGATTACTTGTCTGGTTTATCCTACCTGATTTTGTAGCATATTTGCATAATCAGTATTTCTGTACGCCCACTGCTGGATATAAGTACATAGATGAGCATTAAAAATCTGACTGGCTGTCTCTCTTTTGTTTTTTTCTCTCTCACATGGTTTTATTTTTATTTATTTATTTATTTATTTATTTATTTATTTATTTATTTTATGTAATGTTACTTTAAGTTCTGGGATACATGTGCAGAACGTAAAGGTTTGTTGCATAGGTATACATGTACCATGGTGGTTTGCTGCACCTATCAACCCGTCATCTAGGTTTGAAGCCCCACATGCATTAGGAATTTGTCCTAATGCTCTCCCTCTCCTTGCTCCCCACCCCTCAACAGGCCCTGGTGTGTGATGTTCCCCTCCCTGTGTCCATATGTTCTCATTGTTCAACTCCCACTTATGAGTGAGAACATGCAGTGTTTGGTTTTCTGTTGTTGTGTTAGTTTGCTGAGAGTGATGGCTTTCAGCTTCATCCATGTCCCTGCAAAAGACAGGAACTCATTCTTTTTATGGCTGTATAGTATTCCATGGTGTATATGTGCCACATTTTCTTTATCCAGTCTATCACTAATGGGCATTTGGGTTGGTTCCAAGTTTTTGCTATTGTAAATAGTGCTGCAATAAACATACGTGTGCATGTGTCTTTATAGTAGAATGATTTTTATAATCCTTTGGTTATATACCCAGTAATGTGATTGTTGGGTCAAATGGTATTTCTGGGTCTAGATCCTTGAGGAATCGCCACACTGCCTTCCACAATGGTTGAACTAATTTACATTCCCACCAACAGTGTAAAAGTGTTCCTATTTCTCTACAGCCTCACCAGCATCTGTTGTTTCCTGACTTTTTAATGATCGCCATTCTGACTGGCGTGAGATGGTATCTCATTGTGGTTTTGATTTGCATTTGTCTAATGTCCAGTGACGATGAGCTTTTTTTCATATGTTTGTTGGCTCCATAAATATCTTCTTTTAAGAAGTGTCTGTTCATATTCTTCACCCACATTTTGATGGGGTTGTTTGTTTTTTTCTTGAAATTTTGTTTAAGTTCCTTATAGATTCTGGATATTAGACCTTTTCCAGATGGGTAGATTGCAAAAAATTTTCTCCCATTCTGTAGGTTGCCTACTCACTCTGATGATAGTTTCTTTTGCTGTGCAGAAGCTATTTAGTTTAATTAGATCCCATTTGTCAATTTTGGCTTTAGTTGCCATTGCTTTTGGTATTTTGGTCGTGAAGTCCTTGCCCATGCCTATGTCCTGAGTGGTATTGCCTAGGTTTTCTTCTAGGGTTTTTATGGTTTTGGGTTTTACATTTAAGTCTTTAATCCATCTTGAGTTCATTTTTGTATAAGGTGTAAGGAAGTGGTCCAGTTTCTGTTTTCTGCATATGGTTAGCCAGTTTTCCCAGCGCCATTTATTGAATAGGGAATCCTTTCCCCATTGCTTGTTTTTGTCAGGTTTGTCAAAGATCAGATGGTTGTAGACGTGTGGTGTTACTTCTGAGATCTCTGTTCTGTTCCATTGGTCTATATCTCTGTTTTGGTACCAGTACCATGCTGTTTTGGTTACTGTGTTGGCTCTCTTTTAACACATGCTTCCACAATTGTAATTCTACGTCTCCATTAGAATCTTCTTTCTTAACTTTTCGGTTTGTTTTGCTTACATGAGGCAAAAACATCTTTTTCTTCCAACCTGCCACACAGCTGTGGTCCTGATTTCACCCATTTATTCTTCTGAGTTTCTTGACCATCATTTCTGTTTATTTCTATTGCTACCATCTTGATTTCACTTCTCCACTCTTCTGCACACTGTAGTACACATGATACGAAGTGCACAGATTAGGAAAGAAAAGATCTATTGAGTTCTAGTCCTGGCTTAGTTATTTGGTATCTATGCAATCTTAGCAAATCATGCACCTCTCTGAAATTCAGTTTATCAGCTGAAAAATGGGCTAATACTATCCCTGCCTATTTCACTGGATTGTAGTGAGAATCAAATGAGGCAACACATGTCCAGGTGTTTCCTAAAACACTATTTATTTTTTTCTTCCCAACTTTTATTTCAGGTTCAAGGGTTACATGTGGAGTGAGAAAGAAAGGCGTAGAGTCTGCATGTTGGGATTCCCTCTCCAGGCCTTGGGGCCGTAGGAAATTCTTTCCTATTCTGCTGATTAACTAATGCAACTAGTTCACTCCAGACCAGGGAGAGGAATAGACCTCCACACTGACACTCCCAGGTCTCCTCTTGGTTTTATTTTAGCAGAAGCCAAACAGAAGTGGCAGCACCTTTGCAGCCTCCCTGTGACCTCTCTGGTTGGGCCCAGTCTGGTCTGAGAGTGTGTTCTGCCAACTTGAGCACTCTAGCAAGAATCAGGAGACTTCGGGGATTTTCCACTGGGTTGAAAACACTTCAGTGTTACCTAGTGCCAGCACTGCCAGGTCTCAAAGTCTGGAGCCATCTATAAACAAGTTCTAGCCAGATAACTGCCACGAGCCCCCACCCCACTTAAACTAACAAAAACACTCTTATCTCCCAGCCAAAAAAGAAAAAAATCCCCATCATCGTCCAAATGCACCAACTTCCTATTTTTCCTGGCTGGCTGCCCTTTCTTCTTCATTGCCTCCTCTTCGTTTCCCAGCAGCAGCCAACATTCCCCGCAACTTGATCAGCAGGGCAGGGCGGGTTCTACCCAGTAGTGTGCAGGACATAATGTGTGGGAGGAGACGCTGGAGGGGGCATAGCAGGTCTCCCCCAGTTCTCCAAGAGCCAGAGGCATTTACAAGGCTGGCCTGGGGAAAGAGCCCATGGCCTACTCTAAATAAACACTTTAGATCCTGGATGGAGTCATTGGAAGTCACATGTGTTCGGTGCTTCAGAGCTTACAAAGCTATTTCATACATATTACCTGGCCCCATGAGGTCGGATCTTATCTTCAATTCAAAGATGAGGAAACTCAAGCTCAGATAATTTAAATGGCTTTTCTAAGATTATCTAGCAGAGTCTGGAACTGAATTTTGGACTTCTGAGTAAACCCTGTGGACTTGGCCTTACATTTGGCATCACAGAAAGGATAGATGGTTTTGAGAAGTCTCAGGAGACAGGTGTTAGTGAGCGTATGCACACACACAACTCATGGTGCCAATTCCACTTTAAGAAACTCATATTGAATAAGACAAAGCACTCAACAAAGTACCTGACATCATACATTGTCTCACCTGTGGGCAAGACCACCTTAAGATCAACATCAGTTTGTATCAGTGAATCATTTCTTTACAAACTGCTGTCAGGTTCATTTCCCCTAGGAAATTCAGAGCCCTCATTAGTCTATGAATTACTCAGGAGACTGCACAGAGCCCACTGCACCACTGATCCTAAACACATTTTTTGTGTGTTTGTAAATTATGAGAATCATGAGGACAGATAAACTGCCACTTCTGTCACCTTGCTCAAATATTATGCTTATATTAATTATGCTCATGATTCCCCAGGTCAGGCCCAACAGGATGAGGGTGCATGGAGCTGGTGGGCCAGAGACACAGTGAGGTGCATTGGGAATAACAGGAGACCAGGGAAACTTGGCTAAGTGTGAAGCCAGTATTGAGACAGGTAGCTAAACAGGAGATGTCTTGGAGTGAACAGAGGAACGCCCAGACTAAAAACTGGCAGAGCTGATGGGCAATGGGAAGCAGGCAGCAGTGTTACAGCACCTATCCTGGAAAAGGAATGTGCTAGGTAGTTGGCCCCAGTTCACTAATTCCCCTACATGCCTCTTCTGGGCAGGGGTAGTTCTATCTGCCCCTTTCTACTGTGCATCATCTTGAAGGTGCCCTGCTTCCTCCAGCCCACAGCTGCAAGAGCAAATCTGTATGTGCAATGCAGATAATTCCTTTAAGTTACCCTTTGCACTGGGGACTGTCCTATCTCCTCATTGGAGTTGTGGCAGCAACAAGTCACTGGGAAACAAAACAATTTTTAAAAAATCAACAGGGAGCAAAGTAGAATAGAAATCAGTGCCACCCTATTGGGCAACTAGGAAACTCATTGCTTTTCTCTTGGGCTCTGGGTTTTGGTGGTGATGGTGGTGGTGATTTGTTTTGTCTTGTTTTTAATGTCTCTGTAGTTAAAAAGTCTTGGAGACACTTGCAATAAACACCTCAGACAAAGGCCTCTTATCAGATCCCAGGACCCAGCAGGGCATAACCTGTGAGAACATCCCCGTGAGCACCGAAGGGAGGCATTGTCTGGTGAGCAGGCATGCTGTTCACCTGGCACAGCCCAGGCAAATGCTGGCAGTGGAGGAGACGTGAGGATGCTCATGTGAAACTCTCAGGGCATCCCAACCAGTAAGCAGAGCCTGGGGAGGTGGAGGCCCAAATCTGAGAAAGGGAAAAGAGGTCTGTCCTCAAGTTCTGGGTCAGAGCCCCTTGAAGACAACAGGAATCTGGGCAGCTCACTAAAAGAGGGGTTCAGAGGTCCAAGGTCAAAGTTCAGTGATAAGAACAGAAAGCACCAGAGGGGAAAGGCACTTTCTCAGCAAAGAAATCTCAATGCCCAGAATGCAGGGCTGAAGCTGATTGAAAACCAACTATATCCACCTAGATTGGACCAGGTCATTAGGATGGGTGATTCTTATCTGTGGGTAAGAATGAAGTGACACCCCCACCCCACCCACCAGCTATGGAAGAAGAAGGAATTACAGAGACTGGAACCCAGGTAGGACCTGACCATTGAATTATCTCATAGTTAACCATTGAGCTAAAACTCATTTGTAAAACAAGGTTAATGATGACTTACTTTTCTTTCCAGAATTAAATGTCTTCCATGTCAACACTCATGCCAGGATTATACAGACACTGGGACAACCTCCTCCCACAACCAGCCTCCTTCCTTGAGGTGACCTAGGGGAAATGAAGGCATTCGTGACAATACTTTCCATCACACCAGAAGAGATGAGAGTTTAAACACCATTAGACTGAGAAGAGAAACTCGGGGGGCTTTTAACTTCAGTCCAACCAGGGAACCACACTGTGGTAGAAATAGAACTTGCTTCAAACTTCCTGGCTTTGAATCCCAGTTCTGCACCTGACTTGTGAGTCAGCACTGACAATGTAATGATTTCAGCCTGTTTTGGCCGAAGACTCCAAAACAGTAAGTGCCCATCACTCCCACATACCGAAGTGAAATACTAGACTGCCTATGCAGGATTTGAGAACGGAAGATTGAGAGACAAAAGCACTTAGGAAAGAAAAGAAATTTACTCTCAAAAGAGCTCAAGGGAGTTAAACTTCAGACAGCTTGGCTTACAAATAAATAAATAAGTAAATAAATAAATAAATAAATACATAAATAAGTCTATGATAGCTATTTAAAGGGAAAATCCCTTAACATTAGCAAGGTTAGCTAGTTTACATTAGCCTGTTCTGGTGGATTTTCTCATATGTTTATCATATCCTCAAAAGTCATGACATATGGTCAGATATCGGTACTACAAAAGCCAGGATAAAGGTTTTTGTTAGAGTCAGGTAAGAATCAAATAACACCCCCAACCCCATCAGGAAAGGAAGGAGTTACAGAGGCCGGAGACCTAGCTTTACTGGAGAAGCTAAAGGCTTGCTAATTTCGGACACAAGAAGCAGAAATGGTGAGTTTATTATTTGTGGTTTATCTCCCAGTGCAACTTGGTTTTATTTTGTTTTCCTCCCTGGTTGTGAAAAATGGTGTTCAGATTATTCATGTTAAATAAAAATTATAGGAGGCCACTGTTTTGGACTAAGCTCTTGCACCAGGCCCCAACAGATCAGACTAAAAACCAAAATGGAGTCACCCATGCTAAAGTCCCACATCACCAAGGTGAAACCGAGTTGTCATCTGGCCTTCCAAGAAATCAGGAGAGAAAGATAATAGCCAAATTGCTGAGCCAAAGTGGACCACAGCAGTGTTGCTCCCACTGTAGGTCCTTGGCTGGGGAAAGGGAGATGCTTTATGATTAAAGTTTAGGGATTTTTTTGGTTTTGCATAGCATTGGACATATTAATTATTGATGTGAGACTATTCTGAGGATGAAAGTAACTGGGAACTTTTTTTTTTTTTGAGACGGAGTCTCGCTCTCACGCCCAGGCTGGAGTGCAGTGGCGTGATCTTAGCTCACTGCTACCTCTGCCTCCCAGGTTCAAGCAATTCTCCTGTCTCAGCCTCCCAAGTAGCTGGGACTACAGGCGCCAGCCACCATGCCTGGCTAATTTTTGTATTTTTAGTAGAGACGGGGTTTCACCATATTGGTCAGGCTGGTCTCGAACTCCTGACCTCAGGTGATCCACCTGCCTTGGCCTCCCAAAGTGCTGGGATTATAGGCATGAGCCACCATGCCTGGCCAACTGGAGACTTTTATTATTATACATGGGAGAAGCTATGAGGTCTGCCTGAGAAAAAGCTGGGGAAGAACCACCCCACAGCAGGAGTGAAGAGGTAGTGGTAAAATAAAGACTAACTTGCTGTAAGATTGTTCTTATGAGTCCTGCCCTTTCAAATACCAGTTATGGGAGTTTACTAGTTCTCTCTGTAGCTGCTGTAACAAATGACTGCAAATTTAGTGGCTTACAGCAACATAAATTTGCTACAGATTTGCTCTCTTACCATTCTGGAGATCAGAAGTCCAAAGTGGGTTTTACAGGCTGCAGTCAAGATGTGGGCAGGATGCATTCCGCTTGGCAGCTGTGGGGAACAATCCATTATCCTTGCCTTTTCTAGCTTCCGGAGGCCACCTGCATTCATTCCTTCCCCTCAGCATTTGTCTTCACCTTGCCTTCCTCTATCCAGCTGACCCCTCTGCCCCACTTCTATGAGAACCCTCGTGATTACACTGGGCTCGCCCCAATAATCCAGGATAATCTTCCCATCTCAACAGCCTTAATTTACCACATCTGCAAAGCTCCTTTTGCCACATAAGGTAACATATCTGTGGGTTCTAGAGATTAGGATGTGGATATCATTGGTGAGGGTCGGGGTGGGGGGGATTATACAGGCTACCACAAGTGGATAGGTAAACCTGAAAAAAGTCACTTTGTTCCCTGAGCCTTCATTTTTTCCTCTGTAAAATGGGCATAATAATATATACTTTACAACATTACAGGATTTAAAGGAAGTCTGATGTGAAACACTTTCTATAGCATCTCAGTAATTTGTTTTGTAAGAATTCATTCTTTTCATCCATTCACTTGATAAATTTATTGAATACCTACTATGTACCAGGTTAGCGTTCAGAGTGCTGAGCTACACATTGCCAAAAAGAGGGAAGACAGATGAGAGCAAGAACTTTGACTGCCCTCAAGGGGGAAGGAAGGGGTGAATGGCACAGTTGAAGACATGGTTTAGAAAAGTGAAGCGACCGCCTGGTTGATTCTGTCAAGTTCTGACAGTCCTTTATCTGAAAGGTGGAGGGACCTAGTCAAAATACTTTAATCATGTCTGCTTTTTTGCTTAAGAAATATTGGTCTGCTAACACGATGCAGAAATAAAAATGCACAATATTATCTTGCCTCAGATAGTTGAGATTAATTCAGAGGGCTAAAGTAACTCAGGCAGACCAATAACTGCAGTATGGAAGTGATTTAGTATATAGAAGTATAGTACTAAGGATGAGTTCTAGCTTCAGGTCTAAGGTGTGTATCAATCCTTCCTTGAGTCCTTTACATGGGTAGCTATTAGATATTGAACTAGAAAGTCAGCTATGACTTCACAGAGCTGACTCCTAGGGCAGAACATGAAAATAATTTTTTATTAGATTAAGAAATATGGAGAAGACAAGAGTTCCCGGGGAAAAGAGAAAGCTGCCAAAGAATTGCTAAAAAGATCACAAAAGCTTTGCTGTTGGTAGAATGACAACCTTTCCTAACTAGAGGAGTCTCAAAAATCAATACTTGCTCTAATCAAAGAAGATACCTGACTTCTAAGGGGCAAGTATCATTCCACATACATTTTTTCCCCTCTGAGCCTTGCTTTTTTTCACTTGGCAATATAGATCAAACCTTTCTATTTAAAATAAAGAACTAAAAAAGACTTTTTTTTTTTTAACAAAGAAAAATTCTGAATAATATGTTGTGGGACAAGAGGAAGATGCCAGTGAAGAAAGCAAGAAAGCCACATATGTGCATTAAAAGCCATGATCATGGCCAGGCAGAGTGGCTCACACCTGTAACCCCAGTGCTTTGGGAAGCTGTGGCAGGAAGATTGCTTGAGGCCAGGTGTGCAAGGCTGCAGTGAGCTATGATCACACCACTGCACTCTAGCCTGCGGGTCAGAGAAAGACCCTCTCTTAAAAAAAAAAAAAAAAAGTGAATGAAAAACTCCCCCATTTACTATATAGACTGTAACAATATGAAAATGCATAACATTGTACGAAGTATACAGTTGTAACTTTGAAAAGTAACTAAATATATACAAGGGCAAAATAATTACCCCCAGAGGTTCTTAGTTGAAAAGGACCCTTGTTACAAAAGACAGATTAACAAGAGAAAAATAAACCAAAGTTTATGAGCATGTATGTTTCATAAATACATAGGAGACGCCCAGGAAATGAGTAGTTCTGAAAGAGTGGCCTTCAAATTCAGCTTACGTAGCATCTTCAACAAAGAACAATAAAATTTTAGAGAAGTGATAAGATAAGACCAAGGAAAAGGACTTTGAGTCTCTACGGGCAGCAACTTGGAGGAAGGCAAATAGCTGGCAGATGTTAAAAGAAAAACTTAGACAAATTAAATTTAACAGAGTTTAATTGAGCAAAGAATGATTCGTGAATTGGCCAGCCCTCAAACCAAAACAGGTTCAGAGAGACTCTGGCCTGCCTCATGGTAGAAAAAGATTTATAGACAGAAAAAGGAAAGTGATGTACAGAAAACAGAAATGAGGTACAGAAACAGCTGAATTGGTTACTGCTTGGTGTTTGCTTTTTTTTTTTTTTTTTTTTTTAATATGGTTTGAACAGTTGGCTGCCTTTCATTGGCTGAAACTCAGTGATTGGCCTGAGTAGATTACATCCAGTTAGGTTCACACACCCAGTTAGGTTACAGTTCACTAAGTTTGGAGTTCAGCCTGTAGGCTGAACTTAAAATACATAAAGAGGCAGCATTGGGCTAAACTTAATTTAACACACTAAAGGGTACTTAGCAAACCTTGTTCTTGTAGCTTCCTCTGGTACCATCTCCAGGCAGAGAAGCGAGATGCATCTAAAGCTGTCTGCAGTGGTTAACCTTCATTCTCCTTGGCAGAAGATGGGACAGGACACATTCTTTGGAAATCTATGTCCTGCTCTTAGGCAAATAGAGAGAAGAGAGCTTTCCTGCATCTGCTTCTTAATTGTCCTCAGCTCAACAATCCTTCATATTTGGGGGCAGCCTATTCTGGTCTCCCACATAGACAAAGGTGGCAGAAAATGTGAAAAGATTTTAACAGTTGTGAACAGGTGGTAGGATTGTGGCTTCTCCTTTTGGGTCTCTAACTGTCTAAAAAGTTAGCACAGTCTTCATACTAAAATAATTTCAGTACGTTTTTCTGATAAAATGGTACAAATATAGGCATATTGTTTAATCTGCAGACCCTGAAACTTCCAATTCCAATTCCGAAGCTTTTCTACTAGATACCATATCCACTATTGCTATCTTAATTCTTTAAAATTGTACTAGAACTCCTGTTGCTTTTATTAGATCTCCCCCTGGTGTCACCTTTAAAAACTTTTGTCATTCAGGTGAACCTAGTTCTTTAGGAACTATTCTTATTTTAATTAGTAGACATCTCCTTTCACTGTTTTTAGCATTTTGACGGTTTATAAGGAAGCCCTGAAACCCCTATTCAGTCAGAAAACCCCACTTGGAAACAAGGCCACCCTGTTAATATGGCTGTGCAACTATGTCATCAGAATTCTTTTAAACATTTGTAGTTCAAAATATCCCATGAAGATACTATTATATTTACAAAACACTAAAAGAAGTGGAATTGTGATAGGATTATCAAGGGAATTTAGCAAAAACCAATAGCAACAGCAATCTTGTTTTTCTGGGTAAGCAGAAACACAGTTGGTTAAGAAATGTAGTTCTTTTGGCTTAGGATTGAC
Source organism: Homo sapiens (assembly GCF_000001405.40). Lineage (NCBI taxonomy): Eukaryota > Metazoa > Chordata > Mammalia > Primates > Hominidae > Homo > Homo sapiens. The sequence goes on from NC_000015.10 coordinate 62,143,313, forward strand.
GTGGCGATGCAGGCTCTTTTTTGGTTCCATATGAACTTTAAAGTAGTTTTTACCAATTCTGTGAAGAAAGTCATTGGTAGCTTGATGAAGATGGCATTGAATCTATAAATTATTTTGGGCAGTACGGCCATTTTCACGATATTGATTCTTCCTACCCATGAGCATGGAATGTTCTTCCATTTGTTTGTATCCTCTTTTATTTCCTTGAGCAGTGGTTTGTAGTTCTCCTTGAAGAGGTCCTTCACATCCCTTGTAAGTTGGATTCCTAGGTATTTTATTCTCTTTGAAGCAATTGTGAATGGGAGTTCACTCATGATTTGGCTCTCACGCTACCTGACTTCAAACTATACTACAAGGCTACAGTAACCAAAACAGCATGGTACTGGTACCAAAACAGAGATATAGATCAATGGAACAGAACAGAGCCCTCAGAAATAACGCCGCATATCTACAACTATCTGATCTTTGACAAAGCTGAGAAAAACAAGCAATGGGGAAAGGTTTCCCTATCTAATAAATGGTGCTGGGAAAACTGGCTAGCCATATGTAGAAAGCTGAAACTGGATCCCTTCCTTACACCTTATACAAAAATCAATTCAAGATGGATTAAAGACTTAAACGTTAGACCTAAAACCATAAAAACCCTAGAAGAAAACCTAGGCATTACCATTCAGGACATAGGCATGGGCAAGGACTTCATGTCTAAAACACCAAAAGCAATGGCAACAAAAGACAAAATTGACAAATGGGATCTAATTAAACTAAAGAGCTTCTGCACAGCAAAAGAAACTACCATCAGAGTGAACAGGCAACCTACAAATGGGAGAAAATTTTCGCAACCTACTCATCTGACAAAGGGCTAATATCCAGAATCTACAATGAACTCAAACAAATTTACAAGAAAAAAACAACCCCATCAAACAGTGGGCGAAGGACATGAACAGACACTTCTCAAAAGAAGACATTTACGCAGCCAAAAAACACATGAAAAAATGCTCATCATCACTGGCCATCAGAGAAATGCAAATCAAAACCACAATGAGATACCATCTCACACCAGTTAGAATGGCGATCATTAAAAAGTCAGGAAACAACAGGTGCTGGAGAGGATGTGGAGAAATAGGAACACTTTTACACTGTTGGTGGGACTGTAAACTAGTTCAACCATTGTGGAAGTCAGTGTGGCGATTCCTCAGGGATCTAGAACTGGAAATACCATTTGACCCAGCCATCCCATTACTGGGTATATACCCAAAGGACTATAAATCATGCTGCTATAAAGACACATGCACACGTATGTTTATCGCGGCATTATTCACAATAGCAAAGACTTGGAACCAACCCAAATGTCCAACAATGATAGACTGGATTAAGAAAATGTGGCACATATACACCATGGAATACTATGCAGCCATAAAAAATGATGAGTTCATGTCCTTTGTAGGGACATGGGTGAAATTGGAAATCATCATTCTCAGTAAACTATCGCAAGAACAAAAAACCAGACACCGCATATTCTCACTCATAGGTGGGAATTGAACAATGAGATCACATGGACACAGGAAGGGGAATATCACACTCTGGGGACTGTTGTGGGGTGGGGGGAGGGGGGAGGGATAGCACTGGGAGATACACCTAATGCTAGATGACGAGTTAGTGGGTGCAGCGCATCAGCATGGCACATGTATACATATGTAACTAACCTGCACAATGTGCACATGTACCCTAAAACTTAAAGTATAATAATTAAAAAAAAAAGAAAAAAAAAAAAAAAAAAAAGAAATGTAGTTCAAGTAGCCTGTTATCAAGACCCGGTAAGCCTTTTCTGTCTATTTAATATCCAGTCTTACATCAGTATTTACTCTTAGTATCAACAGTAAGTGGAAATGTAAATATCTTACCGGGAGACTAGGTCCTGCTCACAGTCTAGCAGACGTTTTATTTATTTATTTTTATTTATTTATTTTTTGGAGCCGGAGTCTCACTCTGTAGCCCAGGCTGAAGTGCACTGGTGCAATCCTGGCTCACTGCAATCCCTGCCTCCCGGGTTCAAGCGATTCCCTTGTCTCAGCTTCCCAAGTAACTGGGATTACAAGCTCCTGCCACCATGCCCGACTAATTTTTGTATTTTTCGGAGGGACAGGGTTTCACCATGTTGCCCAGGCTTGTCTTGTACTCCTGATCTCAGGTGATCCACCCACCTCGGCCTCCCGAAGTGCTGGGATTACAGGTGTGAGTCACCATGCCTGGCCTAACAGACATTTTATTGATGTCTTCCTTTAGCTTTCTCAACTTGGCTTCAGAGTCCCCTATTATTTGAAGCAAAAGAGAAAAAAAATGTGAAATAAATTTAAGACATCAGTGTTTTTTGCACATTCTCAGTGCATAACAACCCCTCCTGCAGCTAAAGAAATAAAGAATTATGACTCATTCTCTCAAGTGGTTTTGGCTCTTAAGCTTCTAAAAAATATATCTTTAAATACATTATTTCATCCAATCTCACAAGCACATTTAGGGCATTGTTATTGTCCTGTTTTACAGATAAGTATACTGAGGCTCAGAGAGTTAAGTGTCTTTCCAGTGTAGAGCCCAGGGGCCCCTCAAATCCTAGCTAGGACTCTTTCCATGTTGCCACACTAGGCATAGACAGGTGTCATCACTATAATAACATGGAGGCTACAAAGAGTAAAGAGCTATGCAGGTGTGAATCTCAGCTGTTCCTTCAGATTCTCCACTGGAACTTTCATATAGGCTCTTTCTACCTTCCAAGGACATAACTACTTCAAAAGTGAACTGTGATCTTCTCAGAGCTTTGGTGTCTCTCAGGACTTTATGCCTTTGAATTGAGCCAACCGACCTGGCCAATTCCACCCTCCTTCCCTACCCTCACCCTGATTTTGTTCTGGCCTCAGGCTCCCCTTAGGATCTACATCCCTTCTCTGATTCCCTCTGCCTCTAGTACTTGGATGCCCATCAGCTCTTCTTGACATCCTCCTGCTGCTCAGGACCTCCTGCCTGTGACCTCCACAGAGCTTCAGAGTGGAGGCCAGCACCACGTCCTTTGGCCTTCCCAGGCACAAATGAAGAATCTCTACTTCTCTCCCATTATCTCTGAATCATGCCAAGCCAAAGTCCAGCCCTCCCCAACAGTGACAACCAGGGACAACCAAGAAGGAGATCCAGGCCTTGTCCTATGCATCCTGAGTCCTGGTGGGACTCAGGAGTTCAAGAGGCGGATTCAGGTGAAGACAGGGGTTCCTTGAGCATAAGGTTTCTGGGAACAGAGGACATGGAGTATTTGGTGAGCAAAACCTAAAGTGTGCATATGCATGACTATAAATGTTGGTGGCCTGAGAAGTGGTGCAAAGCCCAGAGTCCAGCTCTACCTTTAGATCCATCTTCCAGAGACATCCAAACCCATGGGAGTCTGTGGCAGGGAAGAGCAAGAGCATCTCTACAGTGCTCCTCATGCTTCCTGACTGGACCATGACCCCTGATCCCATACACCTTCCCTTCCCAGTGAGACCCCCTAGATCATGCTTCCAGCTCCATGATTCTTCTCTTGTCATTTTCCTTGCTGGAAAATGCATGGGAAATGCATTTAAATTCTAATGCATCATGACATACAAAAACAGGATCATATTTCACAACAAAACCTGAACTTATTTTGATTCTCACATGCAGGGAACCAGGACAATAACTTTTTTTCATATAGCAAACTACCTAAAAAGTGATTTTTTATCTTTTTTGGAAAACTGATGGAACCAAGACCCATCAATCCATAGCATATATTTATTGAGCATCAACAAAAGGTCAGGTGGTATGCTTCATGGGAAGAAGCGTGCAACATTGGCCTGCCTTTCAGTCTAGTTGTAGTAATAGGATACAGAGGCATGTGGGACCCTTATCACACTGTTACTTTGCAATTCAAGGCAGCAGACACTTCTATGGACCCGCCAACCCAGGCTGCTTCTGTTCAAGGCATCCAGAATCTGCCCCAGCAGTGTTGCCCTTGCTCCCAGTTCTCAGGCCCCATCTTGATCTGATGCAAAAGTATGTAACAAATCAGCCATATATGGTGAGGCTCAGCATCTAGTCTGCTTAGCAGTGAGGTTAGTCCAAGGTCTGATAACTGGGTTTCTACTAATGGCTCAGGCCTTGTTCCTTGCATATTGTCCATCCCACTCTGAGGTCTAGAAGTTTTCCCCAACCCCAGTCTTTTATTCATACCACGTACATGTCCTCCTGAACTTCTGAGTGTCCCTCAACCCAGATCGCAAGTTGACAGTCTCTGCCTACACCAGCACGATCCATCTTATGGTGCTTGTGGAAAACCAAGGACAATCAAAACGATAAGGTACAACATCCATTGAGAGCCAAGGGTCTCCTAGTGTCACGTGAGCATCATGAACCTGCCTGAAGTATCACCTGCAGCAGCTGCAAGTCACTGCCCTCAAAGTTGTAACACCCTACTGAGAACAAAGCCAGATGCTGGCTAGGTTTTCACCTCAGCTACCTGCTTCTCTAGAAACTGCCAACTCGGACCAAAGTTCAACCTGGTCATGATTCTGACAAGCAGCTACATTTCTGATAAATAATTAGTTATTAAATTAACTGTGACCTTCATAGCTGCCAGAGAAAACCAATTTACAAAGATTTTTAGAGAGCAGATGTTTTAAGATTTTGTTTTGTTACTCATGTTATTTTCGAAATCATATGATTTTAAGCACTTGATTTTAGATATCATAAAACCTTTCTGTCTGGTGAGATTCCTGGGTAAAGTTGTGTGTGTGTGTGTGTGTGTGTGTGTGTGTGTGTATGTGTGTGGAGGGTGGTCTAAGATAAACTCAGTAATTCCATATTTAAATATAGTGAATTCAGAATTTAAACTCAGTGAATTCAAGAGTTTCCACCTCTATCTACTTTCACTCTTCTTTCCAATGAGGAGGTACTGGACCAAGATCCATTGCCTGGGGTGACTGGCTCTGCTGAGCAGTGGCTTAGTGGCCTTCATCTGGTCCCTGTGCCTATGAACTGGCCTCACTGTTGATGCTCATATCCTGCCATGGCCTCTGGTCACTGGGCCCCCATCTGCTTCTTCTTGGTTCTGATGCCAAGCTTTTCTGGATGGGCCAGCGCATTCTCAGTCCCCTCTGAGCCACTCTCAGGGTGCCATGGAGGAATTCTCAGGCAATTTCTCATGCCTCTTGGAGCACGTTACACATAGTGTGCCTCCCCCAAGTCCACAGGCTGGCACTCCTCCATCAGCCATTGTGATCTTTCCATGCAGGCCCCGAGAGGGGGCATTCATCTATTCACACTTTTTTAAATTACCAATGTAGTCAGAAATCCAGAAAGAAAGGATATACAGATAACATAGATATAAACAGAGGTCTACTTGCCTCCTTAAACAATTTACTGGAAATAATATGATTATACATGTTTTACTCTGGAAATATTTATTGAGTCCTACTATGTGCCAAGTACTGTTCCAGAGAATGGGGATACAGTAAAAAGCAAGACAAGACAAGAATCCTGAGCTCACGAGAATTAGATTCCAATGCATTAAGACACACAGAAAACAGGATCTCATTTCACAATGAAAACTAAGCTTATTTTGATTCTCACTCCAACAACCCATGAAATATTAAATTTCCCCCAAAAGAGGAAAGGCTTGCAAGCTGTGTAAGTTCTAAGCCAATTCTCATGATGTAAGAGTTACACATTCCCAGGACTGTGCTGTGGGTTGCTTTCAGAGTTTTGAAAAGTGCAGAAATGACCTCTTTTAAGACAATATGAATAGTTATCCATTATTTGATTTTAGATATCATAAAAGCTTTCTGTCTGGTGGGATTCCTGGGTGTGTATATGTGTTTTGGGTCTAAGGTAACTTGGTAATTCCATATTGAAACATAGTGAATTCAGAATTTAAACTCATTTCAAGAATTTCCACCTCTATCTACTTTCACTCCTCTTTCCAATGAAGAGGTGCCTGGACCAAGAGCCATTACCAGGCACCAGGCCAGGGTCTTTGCATATATTATCTCTAATTCCTAGTGCAACTCTAAGTAAGGTGAGTTTCATTATTATCAGCCCTACTTTGCAAATGGGAAAACAGAGGCTGATTGAATTTAAGTAAGTTGCTTGAAGTCACCCTGGTATGAAGTGGATGAGCCTTAATGGAACATAGATGGCCTGATTTCACTCTGCCTTCCCACAATTAGTAGGCAAATCCATTAAAAATTTTAAGTAGAAATTTTTCGAGTGTTCCTTTAAACAAAAACTTTGCCCTTTATATTTAAGAGTATATATGTGTGAGCTGGAGGAATGAGGCTTGGGGAGGAGAGGATGAAATAGACAAAGTTAGTGAACACTAAAGTTTGTGAAAACACTCACAATTGAGGATCAGTGAAAATGATAAAGCATGTCAGAAAGCATAATGTTAGGAAGACGTAAAAACAGAATCCATTTTGCAAATGTTTGGTTCCAGCTAAGCCTCTGGGAACAGATCTTGAGGAGGCAGGGAGGAGACAGGAAGGCAGGCCCAGGGCAACTGTGCTGTGGACACTCATCCAACACCATCCTTAACCCATCCCTCCTCCTCACTGTGTGCCTTCTTCTCTTGTTCCCCATGGCCCAACACTGAACGTGTCTTCCACAGTCCCCATTTAGCCAGCCTTCCTACAGGACTGCAACCTCTTTTCTTGGATCCTCAATCTTGGTCCCGGACCCAATCTCCTAGGAACATGCACGTTACCCCCGGACCATTCCATCTGTCCAGGTTTCACCACGTATGCATTAGGCCCACACCTCTGGGTTTATCTCAACGAAAATCATATTATCCACCTGAGCCATCTTCCCTCATGGAGCGCTCAAAGTGTGCAAAAGGAAAGCTGCCTGCAAGCCAGACTTCATCGGGGAGGGTCCCAGGGAACCAAGAGAGAGAAAGCAGTTGGTAAGAACAGCAGGGTCTGCCCCGCCCATAAGGGGGCCCTTGAAAGCTAGATCTAATCAGAGCTTCATCTTTGCATCTGCCTCTGTTGGGCATCTCTCACTTTGTCCTGCTTTGTAGACATGTCTTTCTCTTTCATAAGATTATAAGTTCCTTGAAGTACTTACTTACACAGTAAGTGCTCCCTAAACCTTCTTTAATACTCCATTAATATTCTCTCCTCTTGAGAAGAGGAGGCACTCCAGAGTGGCCTATTGTACAAGGAAAATGCAGTCTGGATAAACAGCAGCAGAATATCAGTAAACCTCCCTCCTCTCCTCCAACCAGCCTCACCTGATCCTTTCCCTTTCTGGATTTCTGTTCATTGGAACAAAAGTGATATCATGACCATGACCACATTATGGTGAATGGAAACACAAAGAACAGAACTGATTAGGCTGTTTGGAGTTTCCTGTCACATGATCTATATGGAAACAAAGCCACATCAGATGTTCCATTCACAGCTCTTAAATTTTCCTATGCTTTTATCTCAAGTTATTTGTCTTACAAATTATTTTTATTTGTTCCCTTTCTAAGGGAAAATGTACTTACTATTTTATTTTTTAACAGCATCCTTATAATATCCATCTTTGGAAAAAAATTCTGGAATATGGGCAGATATATTTGATTCCTGGTATAGTTACAGCACTAATACCTCATAGTAAACTGCATTAGGACATTTTCTCTAAGCCTTGATTTATGCAGAATTTACATTTTCAGGCTAATGCCTGGAAAAAAATTGTGAGATGAGTGAAGTTTGTTCTTAATATCCTTCCTACTCTACCACCCCACTGTTCCTCAAACCCCCACCTCCACCCATTTCTGCCTGCAGCAGGTACCTCAGCTCTCATGCCCGGAGTCTTCTACAGGGGAGAAAAAGTGTTAAGAGCTTGATCTCTGCGGCCAGCCTGCCTGGGTTCAAATCCAAGTTCTAACCTCTCACTAATTGTTGAATGGTCTCAGCAACACTAGACCTTTCTGTCGCTTACTTTATTCATCTGCAAAGCAGGAATAGTAATAGGCTACCTCAAGGATCAAATGTCTTAATAGATGTAAAGCACTTAGAACCATGCCTTGCACTTAGAATGCACTGATTAATAATGTTACACTCTTATCCTTCCTGTTCTCATCCCTGATTCCTATGATACTGTTTGACAGCTGCACTGACACACTGTGGCATGGACCTCTTCTGACAGCCAGCCCCTCCTCTTTTCACTTGCCTGTCCACTTGCACCAACCACCCCTTTGCCAATGACCTTGACTCCCTTGCCCCTTGCCTATCTTTGCTCCAATGCAGCTGTGGATATGGGCTGCACCCGCCAGCTGCAACTTGACCTCCCCTGCCCTGCTTACTGGGAAGCCTGCAGCCTATCCCAAAAGGTGCCTACCGCAGAAAGCCTTCAGCCCCAAGTAGTTTTGATGGGCCTCAGTATAGGCTTCCCACCTGGCAGAGAGAGTAACATAAGTTGTAAGCCTGATCCTGCAAAGCCAAGAGTGGTTCTGCTCTGGAGCCAAGAGACACCCTAGCACTGTCCTTTTTCTCTCTTTCAGAGGACCTCAATTCCAGAGGCAAATCTTCGGCCTTTGTCACATGGGACAGAGTCCAAAGCCTCCTTGCTGAGATTCTGGGGAGAAACTAGCTCATACCAGTGTATGAGTTCCTCCATTACAAATTCTTCTCCCCTTGCTTTGAGGAGGGGCACAGCCCAGGACATCTCAAAGGGCTGAAGTTTCCTTATCTGTTAATCACGCCCTTCCATAGAGTAGAATCTGCCCCTCACCTGGCTCCTAGGGTCCCTGCAGCAACAACCTCTCCATTCCCAGCATTGCTCCACAAACTTCCCCCAGCACCCAGCGGCCCAAGGTTCTGATGCAAAGGACCTGGGCCTCGCACAGAGGCCCTCTCCCTCACATTCTGTTCTCCCAGAGATAGGAACATTCACATAAATGAGACTTGCAGTCCCTGGCACAAGCCATCACTCCAAGGCCAGGGCATTGAGAGGATGTGCAGAATTAGCCTCAGGACCTCATAGCAGGTCAAGATCAGGCAAGGTGAACTCAGAATTATCTGAGCCAGAGAATGGGGTCAACACTGCGATGGGGTCAGGAGCCAGGACATAGTCCCCCTCAGGCAAAGTCAGCCAGAAGACCCTGGTTTCTAGACATCTGGCTAAGAATGGGGCCCCACTCAGATTCTGAATTCTTCAGATGTCCCTTCAGGTATCATGGAAACAACTTGACTGAGTGCTTGATATATGTTGAAAGGTTTGGAATAGGCCAGTATTTTATATAATAATTTGTATGATTCTTAGAAAAACTCCCCAAAACACATGATATTACATCCCTATTCCAAAATGAGGAAACAGAGGCACAGAGAAAAAAAGTAAACCCTTGAAGGTCACATGGCTCATAAGTAAAGAAAAAACAGTTGGATTCCAAAATCCATGCTCTCAACCACTACCTTGCACAACCTGGGTTGCAGGAGCAGCTCTGCAATTGCTTAGCTTGAAAATCTAGGCTTATTTCTGAGTTTCGGTTTTCTCTTTGTACTTCCCTCCCAGGTAGAAGATTATGAGAAATAAATAAATAAATTGGTGCATAAACTCCTTACCATGATACCTTAATAGCAAACATGCAATAAATGTTATCAACCCCAACAACATCATATAATTACTATTACTTGTGCCAAATACCCACAGATGGATTCTTGTCAGAGTTTGCCTGCCTCACCCTTTCCTCTGCCTGTTTCCCTGCACTAGTGTAGACCCCTGACAGCTCCCAGTTACTCCCAGGCTGCCTCCACCCCAGTTTCTAGTCTTTATTAAAGACAGACCTCTTTTGATCTGTAAAATAATCCTATGATGTAAATAGAGCTAAGATTTAGCAAGATTAAGCGCCTTGCCCAAGGATAATTGTTTCTGATTCTAAAACAATCTCTATAAAATCAAGTACAGTGTTTTAATTATTTTTTCAATTGGAAACTCAGCTTTGAAAAAAAATTATGAATAAAGAAAAGCTTTGCCGTGGGTCCCACCATCCTACCACAGTAGTCATACTCATGTTTCTGTATTACTCACCAGGCTTTGCCCACGTCTGAAGAGGCTGACTTCTCTTCTGCAGATTCACTGCCTGCAGAAGACAGCTGATAGCACAGCTCACTCGAGTGAGGACTGGCCCCAAAATCCCACCGAGAGATTCTAGAGTGATGATGAGAGAGATCCAGAATGACTCTAATTTAACCTGAGCAGAAAAATATAACTAAACTAGAATAGATAGTAAGTCAAAACAAGCATCCCTTTAGAAGCAAATCAGAGTCTCTTTGTGCCATTATTTCCTCCTAAATTACACTATATCAAATTCTCTCCTATGAGCTGTTAAAATTATGTAGGCATATAACCTAGTCATATATTTATTAATTATTCAGTAAGCCAAAACCAAGGAAGAAATATGAACTTTAATCCTGTCCTTTTCTTTTTCCCCCATATCATTGACATTAAGTCTGTTTTTTCAAATTTGTCTTTTTTTTTTTAGTTAGGAGAGTTTTGGAAATAAGGATCTCCTACAATAAATTTTACATAGAGTGGTAGAAATTTGTGACCATCTACTGTCAGTGTAGGGACTGACACCCTTTGAACATCTTCTTATGGAATACGGGTTAAGGTAGAAGAAAAATGGGGAAGGGAGTTAGAGATGATAAAACTCTAGGTTGGCCTGAGTGTCCTCTCACTTCTTGCCGACTACCTGAAGCTAGGTACAGGTGATCTTCCTCCATTTTGTCCATTTTTGATCTGATGACCAATTGCCCAACACTGATGCATTTCATGTATATTCATGGCAGGCCTACCTCCTATACATACAGCTTGGTTAGAGGGTATTAACAGGAATACATAAAGAGGTGTAAGAAATGCACCCTGATTCAAGGAGCTTACAGTTCAACTGGGACCAGAAGACCTGGGATTGATTCCCAGCTCCTTCACTTACTACCTGGGTTAGCATGAGCAGTTGATTAAAATTCATTTTCTGTAAAATAGAGCAAACAATAAAAATAGTGTCTATACCTGACAAAGGGTTGCTGCTAGGATCAAAAGGGGTATATTTTGTGGAAGCACTTTACACATAGGAAGTGATATTCAGAAAATTATTATTAATATGTACAGAAGGTGTATATACCAGTCAAAACAGCACCTCTCAGGCTGTCATCATTTTACAAGTTTGGATCTTCTAAGATGATCCTTTCAGAGACATATTTCCTGCAAGATGTGATGCGTGCAATTCAGGTTAGCTGCCGTCAGGTACACGGTCTTACCTGAAAAAGTGGTTGACATTTTGACACAGTTTGCAGGCCAACCAAATGATCTGTGTCAAAATTAACGCACCAGGCAGGAAGAATGGCAGCCTGGTCTGAGCAGCAGAAAGTGATTAACCTTGCCAAATATTTATTGAGTGACTTCTATGCATCATGCACTGCTCTGGGAATGAGAAGACAAAAGGCGTGATCCCTGCCCTCAAGGAACTTACAGTTTAGTAAGGCAAACTGACAATTACAATAGGACAGTTGTACAATAGGGTTGTATACAGTCTGATGGGCCCAAAGGGGAAGAGTCCCTGCCTTGGAGACTTGGGGTGGGAGGGACCTTTCCAGGGAGGTTGCTGTTTGAGCTGGAACCTGCAGAATAAGCAGGAGTTTTGAGGCAGATTAATTGTGGACTGACACTCCCAGAAGAAGCTTCACAAACTCCAAGCTTTTCTAGTGTGTTTTCCCCTAGATGAGCCTTTTCCAATTAGGAGAAGACTTCTTATATGAGTACCTCTACTCTTAGCTATCTGCTCTGTGTATAACATTTTTGCATCAAATACGTTTGTTGATTAGCTGTGTCTTTTAGCAGTTCTGTAAGTTTAATGGCTTGTGTGTAAATATATTTTCAATAATGTTTCATCTTATGCTCATGGTGAAAAATTCAAACAGCACAAATTTGTTTGGGATACAGTAAAGAGATATATTCATGGCACAGCAGGTGGACCTCCTCCTTGCAGCAGAGGAATACTGGAGACGGGGGATCCCAGAGGATAAGGTTGGAGGAGTTGGGCTGAAGAGAGACTAGAATGGATCTTAAATTTTAACGTTAAGAATTCTGGGTGATGTTAGATATAGAAGGATTTTGTTTGTGATAAAAGCAGAGTGTTAGGAAATTAAATCTGATGATAGTACAGTTTAAATTCATTTTTCAAAGGATAGATTATAGATAGAAAAGGGTAATGAGAAAAATATTATGGTAAAATGTTAATATTTGGAAATGGCTGAAGGATATATGGGAGTTCTAGTAACAGTTTTAGCAACTGTTCTATAAACCTGAATTACTTAAAAATAGTGACTTAAAAAAAAAAAACATAATAATAATGGTGAAGAGGGAAGCCCAGAGCAGAACAAGTAAAGGAAGAAGATGCGGTGGCTCTGATCCAGGTAGCTAGAAGGAGGTGTGGAGCACTGTATGAACAGTTCTGACAGATGAGGCACCATCTCCTGACAGACAGACAGAGACAGGGGATATCCATTCTTTTGTAAATCAGAAACTGGTCACCAATCTGCAAAATACATCCTGTTCTGTTGCCAGATAAAATAAAATATGGATTTTTCCCTATTAGGGTAAATATTAGTGTTTGGTTACATATGGATATTTTGACAAAGCCTTGTTATTCCCAAATGATGAAACCTCCTAGTGATGGCTGGATTTTAGAAGCACACATCAGCTGAACTGTTGTTTCTCTCTCTAGTACATGGCAGATGGAGTCTGAAGTGTACAACCAGTGGAATGGAAAGATGTAATTTTTTGTGTTTTTGTTATTTAGTGCACTCACCCAGACATGTTCCCAGTAGACTACCCTTTGTACAGACTGAAGACCAGAACTAGAGATGTGCATAAAGCCATGCTGCAAAATTACAATCATTTACATGAGCTAAAGAGGAGGTGTTCAAATTACATTTGAAAATGAAAAGCTGTTTACCTATTACTATGAATTTGCTATGAATAAACACAACAATCTCATTTAACCCTTCTCATCTTCATGCTCAATATTTTAGAAAAGACAAAACCTTAGTTCAAAGAAATTAAGCATTTCAAAGGCCATGCAGAGTATAGATTTGTCTTTCTGGCCTTTCTCTTTCTTTTCTTTTCCTTTTCTCTCTCTCTCTCTCTTTCCTTTTTTGTATGCAGGACGTTTATTGGGTGTTGCTCTTGGGATCAATGCCTGTGGGGAAGTGAAAGAAGCAGGATTGCTCAGAGAACAATTTCCAGAGGGGATCTGAGCATCTGAGCTACGAGCTGTCAATAGCCAAACCTCTCAGTAGCTACAGGAGTGAGTACTTCAGTCCTGGGAGGGGAGTGAGTAGATGTGGGAGGCATACCATAGTACCCACTACAGACTTAAATATTTTTTCCCATAAATATTTCTCTCTATATATATATCTAAAGGACAAAGGCATTTTTTAAAAACATATTTCTAATGCCATTACCATACCCTAATTTAGTTATCAATAATTCATTAATATCCAATCTGTATTCAGCATTCAAGTTTCCAACTGTCTGATAAATATAACTATATATTATTTATTTATTTATTTATTTATTTATTTATTTATAGTTTGCTTGATTTGGGGTTCAAGTAAGGTCCATAAATTACAATCAATTAATATATCTTTTTGTTTATTTTATTTTATCTTTAAAATGACACATAACTGTACATATTTATGGGGTACCTGGTGATGTTTTGATACATAAAATGTATAGTTATTATATCAGGTTAATTAGCATAGCCATCATCTCAAACATTTACCTAATAAGCAACCTCAACTCTTCTTTCTTACTTCCTAAAAGGAAGAAGCATTTGCCTCATCAGGAGCTGACCTCACACTCAGCTACTCAGATAGGCTCAATAATCCTAAAGCTAAAATCCTTCCTCTTGCAGGAATTGGTTCAGGATTGGGATTGCAACCCAAGCTGGCCATTAAAACACATACAGACATTCTTCCTTAGTCTTATGGGTATGCTTTTAAAAGCAAGGCCTTCTCATCAGCCTGGTCCTCAAAGAGAAATTATGGAGTAGTTCCTGGTGGTTACTGGCCAACATCCTAGGTCTCTAAGTGTGGTCTGCCTCAGGATAGAATGATCCTGTCTCACAAGGAATGCTGAAGGGAGTTCATCATACTGAAGGAAAAGGATGCTAACATGTAACAAGAAAACATCTGAAGCCACAAAAGTCACTGACAAAAGTAAGCACACAGACAAATTCAGAATACTCTCATACCGTAATCATAGTATATAAACCATGTATATCTTTAGTATGAAGATTAAAAGACAAAAACCATTAAAGATAATTATAACTACAGTAATTTATTCAGAGATCGAGAATATAAAAATTTAAATTGTGGCATCAAAAATTTTAAATGTGGGCAGGGAAAGGAGTTAAAGTGTACGGTTTTATTTGTTTCTTTTCTTTGCAATGAAAGCTAAGTTGTTACCAGTTTAAAATAATTTGTTTTAACTACAGGATGTTTTTTGTAAACCTCATGGTAGCCACAAAGCAAAATCTTATAATACATATACTAAAAATGAAAAGCAGGAAACATACTACTAGAGAAAAATCATTTCACCACAAAGGAAGACAGTAAGAGAGAAAAAAAGAAAGAAGGGATCTACAAAACAACTAGAAAACAAGTAACAAAATGGCATTAGTAAGTCCTTACCTATCAATAATAACCTTGAATGTAAATGAATTAAATTATCAAATAAAAGACATAGAATGGCTAAAAGGATTTAAAACAACAAGACCCAACTATATGCTGCTTACAAGAGACTCACTTCACCTGTAAGGACAAACTGAAAGTGAAAGACATAAAGATATTCTATGCAAACGGAAAATAACAAACAGCAGGAGTAGCTACAGTTATACCAAATAAAAGAAAGTCAAAAAGTATAAAAAAAGACAAAGAAGCCCATTATACAATGATAAAGAAGTCAATATTGTAAGAGGATATGACAATTGTAAATAAATTTATTAATATAAATATATATATGTATCCAACAACGGAGCACCTAAATATATAAAGCAAAAATTAATAGGCCTAAAATGAGACATAGGCTGAAATACAATAATAATAGGGGACTTCAACAACACATTTGTAGCATTTGACAGACCATTGAGACAAAAATCAACCAAGAAACATCACAGTTAAATGGCACTGTAGAGCAAATGGACCTAACAGGCAGTTACAGAACATTCCATCCAACAGCTGCAGAATACATATTCTTCTCAACAGCACATGGAACATCTAAGATAGATCATATATGATACCACAAAAAAAGTCTTGGTGATTTTTTAAAAATCAAAATTATATTAAGTATCTTTTCTGACCACAATGGAATAAAACTAGAAATCAACAGAAGGAACTTTGAAAACTGTACAAATACATGAAAATTAAACAACCATGCTACTGAATGACTAATGGATCAATGAAGAAATTAAAAAGAAAAATTTAAAAATTATTCTGATAAAGGGAAATGAAAACACAACTTTTCAAAACCTATACATACAACAAAAGCAGTTCTAAGAGGCAAGTTTATAGCAATAAATACCTACGTCTAAAAGGTGGAAAGATCTCAAAACAAAAAAAACTACTCTAACATTGCACCTCAAGGAACTAGAAAAATGAGAACAACCGAAATCCCAAATTAGTAGAATAAAGGAAATAATAAAAATCAGGCAGAAATAAGTGAAATAGAGACAAAAAATCAACACAAAAGATCAATAAAACAAAGAGTTGGTTTTTTGAAAAGATAAAAATTGATGAACATGTAACTAGACTAACTACTATGGTTTGAATGTGTCCCCCAAATTTCATGTGTTTGAAAATTTACCCCTAAATTCATACTTGATGGGCTATTTGGGAGGTAATTAAGATTAGACGAGGTCATCAAGGTGGGGCCCCATAATAAGATTAGTGGCTCTATAAGAAGAGAAAGAGGAACATAACCTAGTATGTTCTAGTCCTCTTGCCATGTGATACCCTCCACCATGTTATGATGCAACAAGAAAACCCTAATCAGATAGAGCTACTTGATCTTGAACTTCTTGGCTTCCAGAAATGTCAGAAATAAATTTCTTTTGTAAATAAATTAACTAGCATGTGGTTTTCTGTTATAGCAATAAAAAATGGACTAAGATACTATGAAAAAAAAAGATACATGACTCAAATAAATAAAATCAGAGATAAAAAAAGAAGACATTACAACTCATACCACAGAAACACAAAGGATCATAAGAGACTATTATGAATGACTATATGTTAATGGATTGGAAGACCTAGAAGAAATGAATTAACTCCTGGACACATGCAACCTACTAAGACTGAATCATGAAGAAATAGAAAACCTAATCAGACCAATGATGAGTAATAAGATTGAATCAGTAATAAAATGTCTCCCATCAAAAAAAAAGCTGAGGACCTAATGGATTCACTGCTGAATTTTACCAAACATTTAAAGAAGAACTAACCATTTCTTCTCAAGCTATTCTCAAAAAATGGAAGGGGAGGGAATTCTTCCAAACTCATTCTTTGAGGCCAGAATTACCCTGACATCAAAATTAGAAAAAAAATACAACAAAAAAGAAAACTATAGGCCAATATCCCTGAAGAACACAAATACAAAAGTCTTCAACAAATTACTGGTAAACTGAATTCAACAGCATAGTGAAAAGATCCTTCACCATGATACAGTGGGATTCATCCCAGAGACACAAGGACAGTTCAACATATACAAATCAATAAACAAGTAAACTATCCCTTTTTTGATAGCTACAAAAAATAAAATTAAAAAACTCTGAATAATTTTTTTATTTCAATAGGTTTCTGGGGAACAGGTGGTGTTTCCTTACATGAATAAATTATTTAGTGGTGATTTGTAAGATTTTGGTGCACCCATCACCCGAGCAGTATACACTGTACCCAATGTGTAGTCTTTTATTCCTCACCCAGCTCCGAGTCCCCCAAAGTCCATTGTATCATTTTTACGTCTTTGCGTCCTCATAGCTTAGCTCCCACTTATGAGTGAGAACTTATATGATGCTTGAAAACCTCAGAATAAATTCAACCAAGGAGGTAAAAGATCTCCACAATGAAAACTATAAAACATTGATGAAAGAAATTGAAAAGGACACAAAGAAATGAAAACATATCCTGTGTTCATGGATTGGAAGAATTAATATTGTTAAAATGCCCACACTGTCCAAAGCAATCTACAGATTCAATGCAATCCCTATCAAGATACCAATGACATTCTCCACAGAAATGGAAAAAAAATCCTTATATTTGTGTAGAGCCGCAGAAGACCCTGAATAGCCAGAGCAATTTTGAGGCAACAGGATAAAGCTGAAGGAATCACACTACATGACTTCAAAATACACTACAAAGTTTTAACAACCGAAACATCATAGTATTGGCATAAAAACCCGACACATAGACCAATGGAGCAGAACAGGCAATCGATAAATAGATCCAAACATTTACAACTGATTTTCAATGAAGGTGCCAAGAAGACACATTGGGAAAGGACAGTGTCTTTAATAAATGATGCTAGGAAAACTGGATATGAACATGCAGAAGAATGAAGCTAGACCCCTATCTTTCACCACATACAAAAATTAAACTCAAAATGGATTACTAACTTAAATGTAAGATCTCAAACTGTGAAACTACAAGAAGAAAACATAAGGGAAAAACTTCATGACATTGGTCTGGGCAAGAATTATTTAGATAGGACCTCAAAAACCTAGGCAACAAAAGAAAAGATAGACAAATGAAATTACATCACACTAAAAAGCTTCTGCACAGCAAAGGAAACAATCAACAGAATGAAGAGACAACCTACAGAATGGGAGAAAATTTTGAAAGCTATGCATCAGGCAAGGGGTTAATATCCAGAATACATAATAAATTCAGACAACTCAATAGCAAACAAACAAATTTAAAAATCCAAATAATCTGATTTTAAAATGGGTAAAAGAAGACATACAAACAGCCAACAGGTAGATAAAAAAGTGCTCAGCATTACTAATCAGGAAAGTGAAAATTGAAATCACAATAAAGTACCACCTCACCTCAGCTAATGTGGCTTTCATCAAAAAGACAAAAACAAAAAACAAATCCTAGCAACAATGTAGAGAGGGCAGAACTCTTAAACACTGTTGGTGGGAATGTAAATTAATACACCCATTATGAAGATGACAAACATTTTTCAAAAATTTGAAAATAGAACTACCATAGGCTCCAGCAATTTCACTAGTGGGTATATATTCAAAGGAAAGGAAATCAGTATGCTGAAAAGATATCTTTACTCTTATCTTAATTGGTGCACTATTCACACTAGCTAAGATATGGAATCAACTTGTGTCTATCAAGGAATGAATGGATCAAATAATTTAGTATTTATACACAATGGATTACTATTCAGCCATAAAAAATGAAATCCTATCATTTGCAACAAGGTGGATGAACCTAGTGAAAATGATGTTAAATGAAATAAGCCCAGCACAGGAGAAATACTGTATGCTACTTCTAGTCAGCCATCTTGCTGATGTCACTCTCAGATTTCAGTGATCTTAACATTATATTTTTATATTTATATAAATATATAAATTTATATAAATATATAATCAGTCACAAGCAAATGTATTTCATCAAGTGCTCATTCCAGATTCTTTACCTATTTTAAGAAGTCAATGTTTTACATGAAGTTTCATTTTTGTTAAATTGAGCCCTCTGAAAAGGAATAAGCCTTTATGTATATGTCATCTTCATTATGTTCTCTGAAGTCTACAGAATGAAGCTAATTCCATTTCTACTAAATAAATAAATGAATACATAGGTTGAACAGCCTCTTCTTGGAATACTTCCCTCCAACACACTGGCCTCACCTCCTCTGACCCACAGGGGTGGGTCAGTCTTCTGGAGAAGTCAGAACACTTGGTTCTTGTTTGAATTCAGCTATGCACATTAGCTGTATAGCTTTGGGCAAGTCATCTCTGTGATGTTTTCTCAATATCAAAAGTAGTTTGATGAGATTATTTTTAAAGGCTAATTTGTTCACTTTGAAATAATATTTCAAATCCAGGATTTTTATTTAGTCTGATCAAATTTGTACCCAGACTTCATTATTATAACAACAATGCAGAAGGAATTTCTGATGTAGAATGACGGCAAACTGTTGCTTATGGGGAAATTTACCATGGGGATACTGAAGGGTTCTACATTCCCACTCCTGGCTCTTCTAAGTCCTCAGTCACAGGTAGCCCTACCTTTTCCAAGCTCCACTCCAGGAGCAGGGAGAAACAACTGGAAAGAAAGAAGACCTGAAGGAGTTCATTCTCTGCAACATTATTGAGCACTATTCAACAGTACAGTGCAAGCATTTCAGGTTTGCTCTCATATTTCACATGTATTCAAGGGTTATTTGGATATTAAGGTATATCTTCACAAAACCCTGTGAGGTAGATATTACTCCCTTTTCACTGATGGAGAAAATGAGGCTCAGGGAGAGTAACTGATTTGCCCTAGTCCAGAAAAGTGGCAGAAAAAAAATTGAACTCTCTATTTGTCTCCAACTCCATTGTGCTTTCCACTACATGGTGGATTCCCGTGGCCCAGGGCAAATTCTCTTGGGTATAATCAGTTTCCAGTGGACTTAGGTTTATTTGTTGAATTAACAAATGAAAATCAATTGGATTTTTAAAAACACTCTCTAGAACCCAGTGTTCAAGAAACTGACTACTTACTTTTTAACTCATCTAGGAAATCCTACCGCAAAGCTAATTAGTGTGTAATTAGATACATAGCTAGGTGAGAAAATGCCACAAAAAGTATCATCTTGTTTACAGAGGCAAGAAAGATTTCTAAGATTTCCTAGGTAAGGAAGAGAGAGACCCCAGGAATAGCTATTCCCTAGATAACCCATCTATTGGAAGGTCCTCCACTTCCCTGTTTTCCTCACCAATTTTTGAAAAACTCACTTCCAAAAGAAAACTTTCTACAAAAAAATTTTCTTCCCACCAGGGTATATACATCCTTATAATACAAGTGTCTCACTCTGATGTGTGCGCGTGCGCAAACACAAATTAGGATATTACCTATGCCGCATCAATATGTAAAGCTGTGTATATGAATCGTAACGTTGGGCATGACTCTGAATGAATAACTTGCTTTATTAAAAAAAAACTGTAACATTGATAGAAAACCGGAAGGAATTAAAAACAATGCAGATGGGTGTACTTCCTTTCTCTCCCAGTCCCAAGCCAACCCATTTTTCCTTGGAATGCAAAAATGGTCTGGAAAGAGATATGGGGGTCCTGTGAACAGAACAGGGAGTCATTATCTTTTTCTTCTTTACCAATAGACGATGACAAATGTGGATGGTGAGGAAGTAAAACGTCAATAAAGCAGTATCATAAATAAAAAAATAAATAACGTTTATTCTGTACCACGCGGCTGTCAGTGTCCGGAGTCTCCAGGGCAGAGCGCCCCGGGGAGGGCTGGGCCCTCAGAGCAGCAGGAGGGCGCCCAGGGACAGCTCACCCTGGCCCAGCAGGCGGCCCCGATCCCGGCCGCGACCCTCATCCCGGGCCTTGACGCGAACGGCCAGGCGGCGCACCTCGTCTTCCGAGAGGCCGTCGAAGCAAAAGTCCTGGTCAAAGGAGGCCTTGCGGCTGCGCCCCACCACAGCGCTGCATTGCCAACGCGCAGTGCCCGGCGGCCGCAGGACGAGGCTGAGGCGGCAGCGGACGGCGCGGGGCCCGGGGGCGCCTCCGAACAGGCTCTCCGCGCGGAGCAGCCGGAGGCGGAGACGCCGGGTTCCCGGACAGTACTCAGCAGCCAGGCGCAGGGCGTCGCCGGCGCGGCCCAGAGCCACGGTGCCCTTGGCCTCCAGGCGCTCAGGAAGCGGGGCCCTGGATGACAGCGGGCTCGAGGAGGGGGCCCGGGCCGGGGACTCGGATCCCGCGCGGCGCTCCTCGTCCTCGTTCCCGCTGGAGACGGAGCGGACGCGGGCCAGGCGGCGACTCCTTCCAGCCCGCAGCGCGCGACTCAGCAGCCCGTCGGGGACGCGCAGGAGGCGGCAGCGGCGGGGCCCCGCAGCGAGCGCGTCCTGGGGCAGGCGGGGACCGCCGGGGGCCGCGGGGGTGGCCGGGCCCGGACCTCGCGGGCCGCACAGGGTCCCCAGGGGGGCGTCCGGGCCTCCGCCGCCGCCGCAGCTGTGGGCCCGGGGCCGGGGCGCGGGCGGGCCCCCGAGCAGGAGCGACTCCTTGCGGCGCGTGTGCGGGCTCTCGAGCAGCGCGCAGAAGCCGTAGGTGGTGCGCACACGGGGCAGGTGCGGCAGTGACAGCGCTGCCTGCGAGCGCGGGTCCCAGTCCGTGCGGCCGGCGTCCTCGTCTGCCGCGCGGGGCCACAGGTCGCTTTCAGCGGCGCAGCGCCGGGGCACGGCGGCGGCCCGGATTGGAGACTCGAGCGTGCAAGGGGCCGGCAGCCGCGGCGGGATGCAGAATTCGGGGATGCGATTCGGCGTGAGCACTTTGGCGAAGGCGGGCTTCGGCGCGGAGCTGCCTGCGGCCGAGGAACAGAGTTTCTCGAGGAGCCGCATCCTTGGAGGCTGGGGCTAGGAGTGGCGGGAAGAGGTGCGCCTGCGGGGGAGAGAAGCTGCTGAGTTTGGGCGCCTGGAGCTGCTGCAGCCCCTCGACGCGGCTGGATCCCTCCCCCAGACCCTGTAAACGTCCCCCACGTGTTTAAGACCCCAGACCAGTTCCAGCCTTCCTCTCCCCTGCACCCACAACAAATCAGCCCCGCTTCAGACCTTTCTCTCTTCTTCAGTGTCTCTGGATCTGGTTGCAAGCTCAGTGCCAGTGGCCTCTAGCCCGCTGCCGAGGCGCCACCTTCAGTACTGCGGCCAGGAGAGTGGCGCTCCCCTCTTATACCGTAGGCTGAGTCCCGCCCAGCCGCCAGCGGCCCAACCCGGAGGTGCTGCACAGCCCGCCTTCCCGCCACCCTCTCCCACGACGCCGGGAGGTCTGCATGCACTGGGCGCTCAGGTCTGCGCGAAGCTGTCGCGGGAGCAGGCACCTTGTGGTCAGCTCTGGGACCCGCATTTGCAGTGAGTGCGTGGAGCCCCAGGCAAGGCCTGGGAAAGGTTGCAGGTGAAGAGAGGGCACCCTGTCGTCCTGCCAAGGAAAAATTGGCGGCTGAAAATGTTTCTGGCTTCTTGGAGAAGGTGAGGCTGGACGAGGAAACAGGAAGTTAATTTGGCTAGGAGATAAACCGTCACTCACCCTGCATGTAACCTGGACGTGACCTGCACGTCCTGGGAGCTTCTGTTTTCCTGTCCCCACGCACTCGCAGCGTGCAGACCAATATGGTTTCCAGTTATTTATATACTTATTTACTGTCTGTCTCCCTCTGCTAGACTGTGCTCTTTTTGATAGCATAGGCCCTGGCTCAGTCCATGCCCTAAGTACTGGTGAAGTGGGTAAATTAATCGTTGAGAAAATTTCTGATCGCTTCTTGGTCTTTTGGCTAAGATCAAGTGGAGAAAGCCTCTGAATGGCTGCAGGCTCTGCCTGTCATCTTGATAGTTACAAAACATGGGGCTTCTGGCTCCTGCCCTAAAATAACACTTGACGTTTTTAAAACTACCCCTTTTTTTTTGCTCTAGCACGGAGGTATCCAGTTAGAAAGCACCTTCCCGAAATATAGATTCCTTCTTTCCACCCCCGACCTTCATTTTCTGAGATGTGAAGACTGAAATCCCAGAGGGACCTGAGGAAATTCCAGAAAGGTTAAAAAGAGCCAGTTAATGGCAGAAGCTGGAACTAGCAATTTCCTGTTTCTTTGGCTTTGCATGTGATGCTTCCTGTGATCTGAAATGCCTTTTCTCTGCTTTTTCTTTATATAGGAATTCCTGTTTATTTTCTGTAATTCAGCCCACGCATCGTCCCTTTCAGGTGCCTTCACCCACCCAGCCGCCGCGGAACTCCCCTGCTCCAGTTCCTCAGTCCCTCCTCATTTCCTTCCTACATCTAGGGGCCACCATTGTTGCGGTTCGCATGCTGCTTTGGAATTTTCGGTTTACAGTTTTGTCTCCCCCTAATAGCCTTGTGGGTTTTCAGTGGGCAAGGACTGGGGCAGCTCAACCAGAAGGGGATTTCGGGAGTCTATTATGAATAAATGAAAAATAAAAGTCCTAAGATCAAGAACTGGGATTGCCTCCATCCCGGTTGCCTTATCCAGGCTACAAGCCTGGCTGTCTTATTCGTCTCTACGTAATTCTAGCACCCAGGATACAATGCCAGGCAAATAGTAAGGGCTTAGTAAATATTTGATGAATTGTATTGAATTGATACTGATCTGCAGGTCTTATGACTGTCAGGTGCTATCAACCACATATCTCTCTACGTAATTTGATTTCTTTCTCACAGAAAACCAATAAGGAAGACATTTTTTCTGTTTCCCAGATGAGAAACTGAGGGACTTGTCTAGGGTCATTCAAGCTATGATCATAGCGTACATAGAGCCTAAGTCCTAGCTTTTTGGCTAATTTCTTCTAATTCATTCCGTCTTTCCTTTCTTCCTTTTTTCTGTTCTTCCATCCTTCCTCCATCTATTCACTCAGTTCAATATAATGCAGAGTCTACTGTGTGATTTGTATCGCCCTTTACACCCAGAATGTTAATTCTTACAGCATCTCAGTCTACTGTTAAGTAGTATTTTCCACTATACTTGCTTTGGAATAAGCCCCACTATTTTTAAATCCTTAAAGGTGAAAAGAGTAAGTGTTTCTCTGGGCTAATAATACTTTACTGCTTAATTGACCCACAGGTTCCGCATCCCCCAATTCAACCAACCACGGATGGAAAATATTTGGAAAAAATAATAATACAAAAGAAATGAAGCAATAAAATAACTATTCACATAGCATTTACATTGTAGTAGGTGTTAGAAGTAATCTAGAGATGACTTAAAGTATATGAGAGGATATTCATAGGTTACGTGCAAATACTATGCCTTTTTATATAAGGAAATTGAACATCTGAGGATTTTGGTATCTTGAGGGACCTTGGAACCAATCCCCCTCAGACACTGAGGGACACTTGTATGCTTTTTTAATGGGGCAAGTATCGATCAATATGCAGCCACTGGGGCCAGGGAGCAGTAGCCATTCCTGCTAAAGCCAGATTTTCAGGCACAAACATCCCGAGGGGTGTCTGACAGGATCATTTCCCTGTGATTCTTCAGGCCAATGTGCTGATTCATGGGCAAACGGTCTCTCTAAAGTGGAGCACACCTGCATTATGTCCTGCAGTAGATGCAGCTCGTTTCAAATGAAACCTCAGTGAAAATGGCCTTGGTGACAATGAACACTCAGACATCATATCGGTGGGTGAAAGATGCTGAAAGCAGGACATGGGATTTGAGTGATTGCACTCCCAGCACGTCCATGTTTACAGAGCAACGCAAACGTGGCTATTAACACAATCCCTATCTAGAGGGTTTTCCAGAACTGTTATCTTCCCATGAATCAATATTCTATAGAAGAGAAAGTAAGATACAGGGAAATTAAATTACTTACCCAGGGATCCTTTTCAGATAGTCACTTATTCAACCACAGCTATAGGCTGGAACCCACAGTTGGAGGCCTGGCTTCCTTCCATATTCTTAAATCACACTGGGAGAAAATAAAAAACAGCTCCTCAGTGGAAACTTCGATCGCTCCAGTTGTTTCAGTTTTGTGCCTAATAACCACATAAAGGCCACTATCATCTTGTATTCAAACCTTGAAATTGTTATTTTAAAGAAATGATCTCTTTAATAACAATAATGTTTACTGACTATGTAGTAGGTGGAAGTCATGTTAAATGCTTCATATACTTTATCTTATCTAATCAACCCTATAAAGAAGGTAGAGATGCAGAAACAGGCTCACAAAGGGAAAAAAACAGAATAAAACTTCTCATAAATCTCACATACAGTAAAAGCAGGGCTGGAACTCAAATCCAGATCCATCTGGCTCATGGTCCTGTGTGCTTATAACCCCTTCCCTACAGTGCCTCTCTCAAAGCCATTTCTCCTGAACCCAGCTCCTCTCTAGGTAGCTAGATAATAGAGAAAGAGACCCTTGTTCCAAGGCCTTGAATTGAAACTTACACACCTTATTGATTATACCAGTACCTCATATATTAAAGCATGACATTGTCATAAGCAGGAAAGCATGCGTTATGCACAGTAGTGCTGTGCCATTTGTAGACAGAATCCTTGTCCCCCCAGGAAGTATAGTCGTTCTCTTTATGTTATACCTACTTCCAAAAAAAGGATTGGGGTTGTTTACATAACAAGGACCCAGGGAATTTATCAGCTGCTGGAAACTGATATGATGAAAATGGAAAAGACATGCAATTAACTGAATGACAAACCTTGAATGAGGTCACAAATTGACATATGTCAACACCTATGCCCCGAGGGTGGGAAGGGTAAGGTGTAAAGGCAGTTAAAGAGTCTCTAGTGGAAAGGCTTGGAACGGTGAGAAGTTCTAAAGGAGCCTCATGGTCCACTAGCCTTGGAAGGCCATGGAAGAACCAGTCTGAATGTTTAGCAGTGTGGGAATGGCTGTGTCCCTTTACGGAACAAAACACAGTCATGGGAAATCATTATCTAGAAGACTGTAGCAACAGTCTGCATTCTGTTCATGAGATTCACTTATGTTACATGTATAGCGCTAGTTCATTCGCTTTCACTGACTTACAGTATTCCATCATTTAATGTACTCTGTTTTCTCGCTGACAGATATTTTGATTGTTTCTGATTCTTCCAATGCTGGTATGATCATTTGTGTACCTGTCTTCTTAATCATCTATGCAAAAGTTATCTAGAGTACATCTCTAGGAATATAATAGCTGGTAATAGGATATTTGCATCTTCAATTTTAATGCAAAATCAGTTTCCTCGTCATCAATATATAAGATTTCCTATGGCTTCACATCCTCAACTATACTATTATTATCAGAGAGTTATGGACTGAATGTGTATGTCTCCACCACCAAATTCCTATGTTGAAATCCTAACCCCCAATGTGACAGTATTAAGAAATGGGTGAGGTGATTAGGTTATGAGCCCTGATGAATGGGATTAGAGCCTTTATAAAAGAGTCCTCAAAGAGCCCTCACACCTTTCCACCATGTGAGGACACAGCTAGAGGGGAACCCTCACCAGACACTGAATCTGCCAATGCCTTGATCTTGTACTTTCTATCCCCAAAACTGTGAGAAATAGATGTTGTTGAAACCGTCCATCTGAGTAGCTAGGACCACAGATACTTGCCACCAGGCCTGGCTAATTTTTGTATTTTTTGTAGAGTCAGGGTTTCACCATGTTGCCCAGGCTGGTCTGGTACTCCTGAGCTCAAGCAATCCACCCACCTCGGCCTCCCAAAGTATTGGGATTAGAGGTGTGAGCCACTGCACGCAGCCCAGATGTTTAGTAAATACCGCTACTATGGTGAGTGTTACGTGTTGAACTGTGTCCCCACCTATTCATATGTTGAAGTCCTGAACTGAAGTACCTCAGGATGTAACCATATTTGGAGATCAGGTCTTTAAAGAGGTATTTAAGGTTAAATGAAATCATTAGGGTGGGCCATGTAACTGTCTGTGTCTTGCTTTTTGTATTTTTATGAAGTCTTTGGAGAAATAAAAGTTTTTAATTTTAATGTAATCAGATGTCTCAATCTTTTCCTTTGTAATTTTGCTTAAAAAATAATCTTTTCCCCTGAAATAATAAAGATTTTTTTTCTGTGTAGTAATAAAGGTATTTTTTCTATACAGACAGTTCCTGATCTATGATGGTTCTGCTCAACGATCTTTTGATTTTATGATGGTACAAAAGTAATATGCATCCAGTGGAAACCATAATTCAAGTACCCATATGACCATTCTGTCTTTCACTTTCAGTATA
Organism: Homo sapiens; assembly: GCF_000001405.40. Taxonomy (NCBI): domain Eukaryota; kingdom Metazoa; phylum Chordata; class Mammalia; order Primates; family Hominidae; genus Homo; species Homo sapiens. Next base: position 62,170,342 of record NC_000015.10, read on the forward strand.
ATATTCAATAAATTACATGAAATATTCAACACATTATTACAAAATAGGCTTTGTGTTAGATGACTTTGCCCAACTTCAGGCTAATGTGTATGTTCTGAGCATGTTTAAGGTAGGCTAGGCTGGGCTATGATGTTTGGTAGGTTAGGTTACTAAATGCATTTTGGACTTACAATATTTTCAACTTAGGATGGGTTTATTGGGATGTAACCCTATCACGAATTGAGGAGCACTGGTATTCTGATATTTTGAAAGTTTTGCTTTTTTTACATTTAGATCTTTAAACCACTACTGGAGAGAATTTTCAGTGTTCTCTAAAGATGAAAAGAGCTTCTGTAAGAGGTGGTATGCTCATTTTGGGAGGTGTTCAAGTAGTCTGGACAATCATGAGGTAGGGATGTTATTAAAAAAATTCAAAAACCATATGGATATATAGACTCTAGTCTATTTGGTCATGGATTTGAGTACAATAGATGGTGTTGCTAGAAAATAGTCCAATATTTCAAATATTAATCAGAATACTTAATTTTCCTATCTTGGCTACACTTGGCTTGCTGATTCATATTTAAAAGGCAGAACTAACTCTAAGTCATTTAAGTTTACGTACATACCAACGATGTTGTAAACTGACAAACCGCCACCTTTGGTAATTGCGAAGAATTAAACAAACTATAGCTTCCTGCCTTGCAACATGACTGTTCTCATTTCATGGTGGAGTCTGGGGACTAAATGTTGCTCTTATTTTTCATATTTGTCACAGAAAACACAGGCTGCCTAGGTTCCTGTTCCAGCTCCACCCCTATCTAGCTATGTGAGCTTCATCAAGTTCCTTAGTTTTTGGGTTTTTTGTTTTTTGGGGGGTTTTTTGTTTGTTCTTTTTTTTTTTTTTTTTTTTTTGAGATAGAGTCTCCCTTTTGTCACCCAGGCTGGAGTGCGGCTGCATGATCTCAGCTCACTGCAACCTCCACCTCCCAGGCTCAAGCAATTCTTCTGTCTGCCTCAGCCTCCTGAGTAGCCGGGATTACAGGTGCCCGCCACCACTCCCGCTAATGTTTTTTGTATTTTTAGTAGAGACAGGGTTTCACCATGTTGTCCAAACTGGTCTCGAACTCCTGACCTCCAGTGATCTGACCATCTCAGCCTCCCAAAGTGCTGAGATTACAGGTATGAGCCACCGTGTCCGGCCAGTTCCTTAGTTTTTTAAGCCTACGTTTTTCATCTATAGAATGAGGTTAATAATTATAACTATATCCTAGGCTTATGGTCATTAGTAACCCATTTAAAGTCATTGTGATATAGTGTCTGGGATTTGCTTAGTAAACCTTATCGATTTTTTAGTAGTAGTAACAAAGGAAATAGTGTGTCACAACTATACTCATTATTATATCAGATTAAATTTTTAGGACACAGATGAGAATTTGAAAAAGAACTAAGGAAAGAAAGACAACTAACCTTAATGGGCACCTATTCTAAGTTAAGCCTTTTACAAACAAGTAAGTTTTACTAAAGTAAGTTTTACTAAAGTTACTTGGCCTATAACCACAGAGCTGGGATATAACGCCATTATCTTACGCAAAAGTCTAAACCGTTCATGATCTTAACACTGCTTTTCAGATGTTACCTGCAGTTCAAACAAGTTGCCAGGCCCATTCCTCAAAGCTCATTCTGCTTACCTCATTATTTTTGAGAAGTCAGTATAGAACTTCCTCAGAGCGGCTTCCTGACTTTGTGCAACTCTTTGCCAGGCCAAGGGAGTTCAGAGCTGGGAAAAGCACATTGTCCTGCATCTTAGGATGCTTAGGGCCCCCGTCCTGGCCCCACCGTTTACCAGCTGGGCCTGGTAAGCCACTTAACCTTCCCAGATCTTGGTTTCCTCCACATGAAACGAGACACTGAATAGTACCTGGTAATCTTCAAATTTCTTTCTAGAGCTTCTTTCTCTGTGCAGAGGTTTTTAATGAACTCCCTCCTGGACCCATGCCTATGAAGATTTCCCAGGTCCCTGAACCCTGTGAGCTTTTCTTTCAGCTTCAGTAATTTCCCTGAGCTAGAAACAGACTTCTCAGCAACTAAATCTTGTTCATGGTACTCAACTATTAGAGCTACAATAATGCTTGTCACCAAGAGGATCTAAATAAACAGTCTGCCTAAGCATTTAGAAGTTGGCTACCTTGGGAATAGCGCCTGGGTCAATTTCTGAACTAGAAGACAGAACACCAAGTCTATTTCTGGTTTCACTAGTTAAACGTTTTGTGATAATGGCTGTATTCATTTCCTAGGGCTGCCGCAGCAGAATACCACAAACCAAACAGCTTCCAATAACAGATCTTTATGTTCTCACCACTGTGGAGCCAGGACTCCAAAACGAAGGTGTCGGCAAGGCCATGCCCACCTTGAAACCTGTAGGGGAGCATCCTTTCTCGCCTCTTTCTAGCTTCTGGTGGTTTGCTAGCAATCCTGGGCGTTTCCTGGCTCACAGCTGCAGGATTTCAAACTCTGCCTCCATTGTCGCATGATGTTCTCCCCTCCTATATCTGTATCTCTGGATCTCTTCTTTTAAGGACATGAGTTATATTGGATTAAAGGCCCACCCTACTTCAGTATGACCTCATCTTAACTTATAACCTCTGCAAAGACCGTTTCCAAATAACATCACATCTTCTGGCACTGAGGATTATGTCTTCAACATGTCATTTGGAGAGACACAATGCAACTCGTAACAATGGCTCAATCACATCTTCTCTGCTCCCTCTTTCAACAATGGCTTCCCCACCCAACTTAATATAGGGTGGACAGGGGCAACTTCAGGACCTAAACCAGGGAAAAAGATAGGAGCCTTCATAAAAATGGAACCATCTATCCCCAGCACAGGAACCAGAGGGCACTTCTCTACCTCTGCTTTTGAAATAAAGAATATTATCATTGTTTCCTCCCCTGAGGAAATAGAAGAGTAGCCAGCTCAGCTAGGGCTGTCACCTTCCTGAGGTTGCTCCACACTGGCTGACAGCCAACAGCTGCTGCTTAAAAAATAAAATACCCTCATCATAAATAAGGAAATTACTGAATAAGGCTGGAATTTCAAGAGAGGAAATAGGTTGTACTCATTTTCCTGCTCCATAAGAAAGAGGACACGTGTGACTTCAGGGAGAGGCTGTGGACCAAGTGCGTCAGTACTGAGAGTGGTAGTGAGGGTCCCAGGCTGGTGCAGCATGAAGAGTACCACAAGAAATGCCCACCTGTGAGACCGCTGAGGCCGGGCAGCGCCTATCCACCTCCCCACCCACTTTTTCTCAGATCACAGGCCTGGGATCTTGGTACAGTCCAAATGGTGGGGAAAGAGCATGGAGAATAACAAATACAGAACACTTCTTGTTGACTTCTTCAGGTGAGAGCTCCAGGCGAGATTTGATTTAAATTAGAAAGAAAATGTTACATTAGTAGCAACACCAGTATTATGGAGAAATCTGTAAAACTATTGAACTTAGAACTAAGTATTATTTAACTTGCACAGTCTCTGTAAGACATATCATGCACTTAAACTCTTGTCAGACCAGTAAAGTAAAGTTTATTTTAGTGCTTGTCACGGATTGGATTCCCTGGGAAGCAGATGCTGTGTTGGAGATGTGCACATCACAATGTTATTGCAGGAGCATGTTCTTGGGAATACAAATGTGGGGGAGTGAAGAGAAGAAAGCAGGATGAAGCAGAAGGAAAAGAGGAGCTGCAATCCAGTGCCCAAAGAGCTGTAGAACTGAGATCACTCTGAAGAACTGTCCCAAACTGGAAGAAGAGGGGCAAGTAATTATAATACCCTATTGATAATCATTGGATGAGAGCTTCCCTGGGGAAGGAGGCATTACTTTGTTCATGGTGGGTCCCTTAAGCTAACGCAGTTTCATCACAACGATGCTCTCAATCTGGAGTACACACATCAAGAGATGGGCAGACCCTTCAGGAGAGGTTTAATGCATCCAGTACACATCGTGGTCGCTCCGCACATGCTGGTACCCCCTGCTCCATTAGCAGAAATTGCTAATTCTGAAGGTCTCCCCATTTAATGTAATCCACCTCTCCCTCATTTAATCACAAATACATTCACGCCCTTCCCAGCAGGAGACAACTGAATATCACGTTGTGGGCTGTTCTTCAGGTACGTTCAGGTGATATCCATTCCTCTTCTAGGTGCAGGTTCTCAAGGTCTACTAGCCTGTGGGCAATGGGAGATTGGTTAAACGAATTGAGACACACTCATATGGTAGATCATTAAAACTAAAGTTGTAGAAGATAATCATTATAAGAGAAAAAGCTTCTGGGATGTTGTTAAGGGGAAGAAGATAATAAAACAATGTATACCATATAATTCCACTTCTGGGGAAAAAACATACATATGAGAAAAATCTGTAAGAAGGTACATTAAAATCCAGTAGTTACTTCTGGGGTGGTAGGATTATTGGTTATTCTACTCTTTCTCCTTTTCTTTAAATATGTTTTCTAGATCAGACAAAAATAATGTTACTTTTGAAATACTGAAAATATTATTTTTCCTCTAAAAATTATAGATGTCTTATGAGGAGTATGTTTGTGGCTACATTAGTCAATTAATGATTGCTTGACCACTAGTTGGAGAAATCAGGAATGAGACTTTAAGTGGAGCTCGTATGTTAACAGTGGCGGCTTCAGAGCCTGGAAGATTTAGGAAAGGACTAGTCTGGGTAAAAGGAGAAGGTTTAGACCTATGCTGTTCAAGACAGAGGCCACTAGCCACATGTGACCACTGAGCACTTGAAATATGGCTAGTTCAAATTGAGATGTGCTTTAAGTGTAAAAAAAAAATAAGATTTCAAAGATTTAGTATTAAAAATATTTTAAAATCCTCAAAAATTTTTAATATTACATCTTGAAATAATTATATTTTGTATATATTGGGTAAATAAAATATAATATTAAAAATGATTCACATCTTTGTTTTGTACCGTGCTGATTTAGATACTTGTCAGGAAATGTAAGTTCTCTGAAACACCCCCCAAAGGGAAAAGAATATGAAAAAGCATTTGCCTCACAGGAAACCTGCCAACCTTTCTGTTTTACTTGGTGCTTTAGTAGGACAACCACTGGAAAGGGCAGTTTGTTGTCAAATGAGCATGTCAAATGAACTCCAACCACTGCAAGGCAAAATGAAACCCACGCTACCTAAAAGGTGTAGATATCAGTCCATGTAATTGAAATCTGTCGACTTGGGGGTAAGTTAAAGAAACACCGTGTTGTTGTAGAAGGCCATTGACATCTTCTCCTGGTAAAACCCCCAGAGGGTGCTGTCTTAAGGTGTTGGACAGAAACTGCCCCATGGCATCTACACACTGGATGTTGATTTGAGTTAAACTGAGCATTTGACAGAAGGATTCTGACCCATTCCCTGGAGTGATTTGGGAAGGTATTTATAAAAAGGAATGATGTGCTCCAGTGATTTACAATAATGGCATATATTGTTTTGTCTTTGGTTTGTTTCTTGATTGTAAATATTGGTCAGTGTCCAAAATTAAGATGCAATCACTGGTTACCCCAACCTGGGATGTTTATTTGGAAAAACACAAAGTGGTTTAAAATTCATACAAATCACTCTAAACCTGGGTACACTCTTTTTCTTTAAATCTTAGATTCTGCTGTCAGATCAAGAGAAAAAGGGAAAGCTTTCATATTGCTCAAAATGATTTTTTAAAATTTCCTTCATTTCTTACTTCCTTCTCAACTCTTTTCCACTCTAAAACATTCTCAACTCCCTAACTCATTAAGATATTTTATTCATAAAGAGAACTTAAATTAAGATTTAAATAAATATTTATTAAACTGTTTTCCAGATTTACAAAATCCAGCTGGGTAACTCATTGAAAATAAGTACTGTGTAATCTGTTGTCTAGTAAAAAGGGTTTGAACAGGATGTTTAGGCCACATCTCAGCTCCATCATTCCTTCTGGTATCCTGGCATCACTGGGTAAGTTCACAGTTTAAGGAAGGAATCTGAGGTGGTAGAACCAGGTGTGCTGGAGAGGCAGCCTAGGTCAGTGGCTAAGAGTGAAATTCTGGCTTCACCACTTTCTAGCTCTTACAACCTTAGGAAGGTTATGTAATTTCATATTATTATTATTATTAAAGCCTTATGATATAGTTATTATTATTATCTCCATTTTAAAGATGAGAAAACACAGAGCACAAAACCATAAAGACTGTGTCTGGGATGCAGTAAGTGTTATGTAAGGGTGTTAAGCAAGTAAGCATACAAAATGCAGGACCAAAAGAAGCAACACCAGCCCCCAAACTACACCATGTGAATTTCCAAAGAACCAAGTGTTCACACTACATCAAAACGAGCCTGTTGAATCTTTTGGACTCTGAGAAATAAAGCATAGTTATTATCAAATTAAGATTTAAATTCAATTCCTCAGCTGCGTCTTGATCACTGGATACCACTTTAATAATCACATTATTAAAGAAAGTTCCAAGTTTGGGGTGGAATACTGCAGATGAGGAAAGTAGAAATTACTGCTATATTATGATCTACACTTTGTCTTAATATGATCTGGCCCATATAAAAATGCTCCAGAACAGTTGCAAAATATGGATATTTTTCTTTGAAAACCAGCCTTTTGTCTTTATAACTTACAAAGCCATTTTTCCCAGTCCACAAAGCTATTTGGTCACAAATTTAAGAAACCAGTGATTCCTGAGATATATGTGCTTTCACACTTCAGGAAATAATTTCAAAATGATTTTGGCAGTCTACCCATTTTTATAAAGATAAAAAACTAAAATATTATTTTGTCTTAGAAATAAGTATTAATAGAGACATTATTATATCTTTGCCCCTAGAGCTTTAGAAGCAAAGATTTGTCTTTCTCTTCCTCTCTCTCTCACTCTTCCCTATTTCCTCCTTCCTGGTGAGTCTTACTTCTGTATACTAGAGTAATTATATCTATTTTTTTGAATGCTTTTGTATGTATATTATAAAGTGTTTCCTTTCTTGTTCTCAATTCAAATGGAATACTGAACTGTGCTCTCTGTATACTAAGTTAACTGGGGCCTGTCGGGGGGGTGGGGGGAGGGGGGAGGGATAGCATTAGGAGGAAAACCTAATGTAAATGATGAGTTAATGGGTCCAGCAAACCAACATGGCACATGTATACATATGTAACAAACCTGCACGTTGTGCACATGTACCCTAGAACTTAAAGTATAATAAAAAAAAAAATTTAAAAAAAAATTTTGCCCAGCTCGTTTTTTTTCTTTAACTAGAATACTAAAGAGATACAATGATCTATTTTAAACAAAGCTATTTGTCTTAGTATTTTTTAAAATAGTACAAGGTGGAAAACAAGCTCAGGGTCTATCCCTATCAGAATAGTCAAACAACCAGAGTTCATGCATACTCTAGTATAATCTGCATCTGCTTAAAAATTTGAAGTCACATATACTAATTTTAAAAAGCCAATTCCGACACATTTTAAGAGGGAAACGATGCAGATTTTCCGCTCTAGCTCTGCTATGGTTTGATTCTTTGTCTCTTCCAAAACTCATGTTGAAATTTTATCCCCAGTGTGGCAGTATTGAGAGGTTAGGCCTTTAAGAGGTGATTGGATTGTGAGGGTTCTGACACGAATAGATTGATCCATTTGTGGATTAATGGGCTATCACAGGAGTGGAAAGAGAGGAAGAGAGATCTGAGCTAGCACACTTAGAAAGCTTGCCATGTGATACCCTGTGCCACCTTGGAACTCTATAGAGAATCCCCACCAGCAAGAAGGCCCTCACTAGATGCAGACCCTCGACCCTGGACCTCTCTCAGCCTCCTTAACTGTAAGAAATATATTCTTTTCTTTATAAATTACCCAGTTTCGGGTATTTTGTTGTAAGCAACAGAAAACTAAGACAAGCTCTCTTTATATATGTGTGTGTATATATATATATATATATATATATGTATTTTTTTTCTGTGTAGCAAAATCCCATTTATGTTTTTTCTCAATGAATAGAAGGCCTGAGAAGAGTTAACCTTTCTGAAGATACAGCTATGAGTGTGCCAGTAGTAATGGGATAACCTTTTACTCTGTATTGCCAGAATCTTTCAAAAGGACAAATTCATGTATATTTTGTATTATTATTTCTTAAGTCTGTGGTCTGCAACAGAGAATAAAAAGCTGTTTCATATCTTCTGTGTGTGCAAGGAACACAGCAGGATTCTGAAGAGGAAGTTTGCCATTCTCTGCTTGTCAAGGCTCCTCTCCAAGCCCATGATCACCCTTCCTTTTTAGCAGCATTCTGAAGACCCCTGCTGGGATGGTCTACCGTGGAGAGAGCACCGTCCACCATTCCAAATTTATTGCTGCCTTTCGTCTATCAGAATTTATCTGCCCCATTCCCTTTTTGTTTGCCTTGCTTTCTTCCCCAAAAGGTGAAAGTTGATACTAATTAAGTGCTATCTCCAAAGGCCTCTAAAAATAGAGCATAAAGCAATAAATAACATCATACAAGAATAAATCAACAGAGTTGATAAGTCATTTTCTGCTAAGAAATATGAACTGGCTCAATGTACATAAAAATTAGATGTAAGAGTATCTGTTTTGGGTTGCTTCAGGTGTGAGATAGGGATGATGCTCCAGTAGCCAATACCACCCCAAAAACACAGGTATGAAAGATCTCTCCATACTTTTTCTCTACTGTGCTGACAGTCCCTTTAGACTTACTTGTATATCAAGGTGTTTTAAAGACAGTATATTCTTGAAGTGGCCAAGCCACAGGGTTGGGAAGACATGAAGCATTTGCTCCTGAGATGACTGGAAGGTCCAGAACTCTGAGTGTAGGCAAGACCACTAACATCTTTGGCTCATGAGAGGCAGCCAGTCCTGGCAAGTCACTTCATATGTGGGTAGAGGTTGCATCTCTGGTCCAGCGGAGCCCCTAGTGCCAACTCCTCAGATGCACTGTCCTTCCTCCTCACTCTATCACACTCCTTCGTCATCCTTCCTGTAAGCTTGACACCTACCGAACTACCCTTTTAATGTCACACTGTCCCAAGATTTACCCTCAAGAAATAACGCCAGAAAGTCCACAGTTGGAATTTCTTTCTTTTGGGCTAGGAACTAATGGCCTTCCTGAAGGAGAGCTAAATACAGGAATGTAGAGGTCAACACTGTAAGGAAAGGCATAAAAATGAAAAAGTAAATGTCCCTATTTCATCAATAAGTGGAATGCAATCCTCAGGAAGATTTCTGACAGGCCCTAAGGCAGCCACCCTAACAGAGGGAGGAATGTCTCAAAGGAGGCAGGTTGAGAACTCAGACTCTATAGATCAGCCAGAGATTATAGAAATGTAAAGATAATACTGGTTATTTCTTATCCCAAACAAGGGAAATCTGCAATCCTCATCTCCACCCCCATACCTAAGACTACATTTCCGACGACCACAGAAACTTTTCCTTAGTTATCTGCTAAGGAAGTTAACAATTGTAGTTGGCCTCAGTAGCTGGGCTGAGCTAGGTTAGTGGATTCAGGAGGTAAGAACAAGGATTGAGGCAATTGGTCCATAGCAAAATGGAAAAAAAATAACTTTTCTATAAAAGTAATTCTATTTTAGAAAAAATAATCTCAAAACTGTTCCATTCCTAAAATGGAACCACAAAAGTCACCAGAGAGAAAAAGCAATCCTGAGCCAAAAGAACAAAACTGGAAGCATCACATTACCTGATCTCAAATTATACGACAAGGCTACAGTAACCAAAACAGCATGGTACTGACATAAAAATAGGCTCATAGACGAATGGAACAGAATAGAGAACCCAGAAATAAATCTACACACTTACAGCCAATTCGTTTTCAACAAGGGCACCAAGAACATACACTGGGGAAAGGACAGTCTCTTTAATAACTTGTGCCAGGAAAACTGGATATATACGCAGAAGAATGAAACTAGACCCCCATCTTTCACCATATACAAATTTAAACTCAAAATAGATCAAATCCCCATGCTCATTGCAGCACTGATTTGGAATAGTCAATATTTGGAATCAATCTAGGTATCTAACAAAAAATGAATGGATAAAGAAAATGTGGTATATATGCACAATGGCATACTATCCAGTCATAAAAAAGAATGAAATCCTGTCATTCACAGCAACATGGATGGAACTGAAGGACATATTAAGAAATAAACCAGAAACAGAAAGTTAAACACCACCTGTTCTTATTCATATATGGAAGCTAAAAAATGTTGCTCACACAGATATAAAAAGTAGAACAGAAAACACTAGAGGCTGAGTAGGATAGGAGGAAGAAAAGGATAGGGAAAGATTTGTTAAAGGATACAAAATGATAGCTAGATAGGAGGAATAACTTCTAGTGTTCTACATCACTGTAGAATGACTACAGTTAACAATAACATAAAGTTTCTAATAGCTAGAGGAAGGAAGTTAAGTGTTTCCAACACGAAGAAATTATAAATGTTTTTGAGACGTTAGATATGCTAATTACCCTGATCTGTTCACTATACATTATATGCATAGAAACATCACTACGTACCCCATAAATAAATGCAATTATTTTATGTCAACTGAAATAATAAAAAGAGGCAAGGCATGGTGGCTCACACCTGTAGAGATGAGGTCACACCTCTTTTGTAGAGATGAGGTCTCCTGTGTTGCCCAGGCTGGTCTCAAACTCCTGGCCTCAAGTGGTCTGCCTGCCTTGGCCTCCGTGGGAGGCCTCATCTCTACAAAACATTAAAAATGATAATAATAAAAAAGAAAAGAAAACTGAATTGGATCAAAGGCTTAAATGTAAGATATGAAACCATCAAAAGAAAACATTGGGAAAATGCTGTGGGAAATTGGTCTGGGTAAAGACTTTTTGGGTAAAACCTCAAAAGCACAGGCAACAAAAGCAAAAATAGACAAATGGGATTACATAAAGCTAAGAAGCTTCTGCATAATAAAGGAAACAATCAACAAAGTGAAGAGACAGCCTAAAGAATGGGGAAAATATTTGCAAACTCTCCATCTGAAAAGAAATTAATAATAAGAATATATAGGAAACTCAACTCAATAGCCAAAAAAAAAAAAATCTAATTTTTAAATGGGCAAAAGCCTCGGTGTGGTGGCTTGCACCTGTAATCGCAACACTTTGGGAGGCTGAGGCAGGAGGAAAGCTCAAGGTGAAGAGTTTGAGACCAGCCTGATCAACATAGTAAGATTCTGTCTCTACAAAATAAAAATAAAAATTAGTTGGGCATGGTGTCACCCACCTGTAGTCCCAGCTACTCAGGAGGCTGAGGCGGGAGGATTGCTTGAGCCCAGGAGTTTGAGGCTGCAGTGAGCTATAATTGTGCCACTGCACTATAGCCTTGGTGACAGAGACTTTGTCTAAAAAAAAATTAATTAAAATGGGCAAAAGACCTAAATAGACATTTTTCAAAAGAAGACATACAAATCACCAACAGGTATGTGAAAAAATGCTCAACATCATTAATACACAGGGAAATGCAAATCAAAACCACAATGAGATATTATCTCACCCCAGTTAGAATGGCTACTACCAAAAACACAAAAAATAACAAATGCTGGTACGACATGGAGAAAGGGGAATGCTCTTATGGTGTTGGTCGGTATGTGAAGTAGAACAGCTGTATGGAAAACAGTATGGAAGTTCCTTAAAAAACTAAAACTAAAACTACCATGTGATCCAGCAATACCAATGCTGGGTATATACCCTACAAAAAGGAAATCAGTGTATCGAAGAGATATCTGCACTCCCGTGTTCTTTGCAGTGCTATTCACAATAGCCAAGATTTGGAAGCAACATAAGTGTCCATCAATGGATGAAGAAAATGTGGTATATATACACAATGGAATGCTATTCACCCATTAAAAAAGAATGAAATCCTGTCATTTGCGGCAACATGGATAAAACTGGAGGTCATCATGTTAAGTGAAATAAGTCTGGCATAGAAAAACAAATATCAAATGTTCTCACTCTTATGTGGCAGCTAAAAAAAAAAAATGGATCTCATGTACGTAGAAAGTAGGATGGTGGCTTCCAGAAGCTGGGAAAGGAACGGACAGGGGTAAAGAGAAATTGGTTAGGGGGATGCAAAAATACAGTTAGATAGGAGTAAGTTCTAGTATTTAATAGTACAGTAGAGAAACTATAGTTAACAATAGTTTATTGTATGTTTCAAGTTTGCCAGAAGATAATTTGAATGTTCCCAACACAAAAAATAGATAAATATTTGAGGTGATGGATATCCCAATAACCCTGATTTGATCACTACACACTGTATACTGGTATCAAAATATCACATGTACCCCAAAACATGTATAACTATTATATATATATAAAATTATAAAGAGAAAAAACATATTAACTATTTTAGAAAAATTACCACATTTTTTAAAGAGTAATTCTATTTAATTCAAAGCACAGTCCTGTACTCTAAAATTCTGCCCTTCCTACATTTTTGCTTTGTAAATGTCCCCTTTGGAAACATCCAGCCCCAACCATGGCCTACTTCCCAAACCTAAATCTGGACAGAGGGTAATCCTTGGCCTTCCTCTGATGGCTCAACTGCCAGAAACTTCCTTCATTTGAACCCATCCAAATGCTGTGGAAGGATGTGGACTTCTCCTAGGACCACATAAGACCACCCAACAGTCCTCCTGGGGCTTCTTCCATAGGCAATGAAACCCAGGACCTTGGTCCCAACCCAATTCCACTTAAAGAGTTACACTCTCAGCTTTGTATGAAACTGTCTCTTCCTCTGGAACAGGAATCTTATCTGTGATGCAAATTAGGCACATGAAAATGTTTCTTTCAACTTCCTTTCTGTCACTTTAAGAGGATTTCTAGTTATACACAATTTTTCTTTCTTCCCTTCCTTCTTTCCTTCCTCCCCTCCCTCTCTTCTCTTTCTTCCTTTCTTTCTCTTTCCTTTCTTTTCTTTCTCTCCTTCTCCCTTTCTTCCTTTCTCCCTTCCCTCCTTCCTTCCTTTCTTTCTATCATCCTCTTTCTCTTTTCTTTCATTCACAAGGTCTTGCTCTGTCTCCCAGGCTGAAGTTCAGTGGTGGAATCATAGCTCACTGTACCTCAAATTCCTGGACTCAGGTGATCCTCCCACCTCAGCCTCCCTAGTAGCTGGGACTACAGGCATGCACTACCATACCTGGCTAATTAAAAAAAAAAAAAAATGTTGTAGAAACAGGGGTTTCATTTTGTGCCCAGGCAGGTCTCAAACTCCTGACTTCAAGCAATCCTCCCGCCTTGGCCTTCCAAAGTGTTGGGATTACAGATGTGAGCCACCACACCTGGCCTTTTACACAATTTTCTCAAATTTTCTTCCCCCTTTATTTTATCTCTGTGTGGCAAAAAAGAGGAGCAAGTGCCAAGAAAGAGACATAATCTGACCACCCTCAATTGTATGAACTGACTGAGGACAGAGGGAGGCAAAACTTCACCTGATCAATCCCTTGTTCTGTCTTTGGATATGGGCAGGAGGGATCAGAGGGCCCCCTGCCTAGTAAAACCCACTACCATCAATATGGTTGCCAGCACCTTGAAGATCTGAGTCCTCAGCCAACCTGGTTACCTCTTGACCCTTTGCCCTTGGCAGCTTATCAACCAGTAAGACAACCTGGGCTCAGCATGAGATCTTCAAGTCTCTTAGCCCTCCCCTTGTTCCTGCATAAATGAAAAAAACTTTGGGAAAAGTGTACCCACCAACATAACCTTGTACTCAAGTCTTCATAGATTAGAATTATCTCTGCATTCTATTGTATTTTACTTGTGGCTCCTAGCCCTGCATATATTAGGCATGCAATGGCTACAAAAAGAGAAAGAAAATAAGGAAGGAAGGAGAAAGAGAGGAAGTAAGATATAGTTTGGTGTTCATGGTCATCCTACAGATTTGAATCTGTGCCTTTCTCTCTCTGAGTCATTTATTCTTTTACTCTTTCACAGACCGTAATCTGTACCCAAGTTTGGCCTAGTACACCTGTCCACCTATTTCTGTGGCTGCATTTTTAAACTTTTTTCTTTTTTTCTTTCCAGCAGCTGCCTCAATTCTAGTTATTTGATGCTTCTCTCTGTGTGTCTAAGTCTTGTTCTGTCTCATCCAATATTTTATTTTTTTATGCTGTGAATCAGAAATCTGAGTGGCCAAGGGGCAATGCTGTGGCAACACAAGGGAAGAGCACCACTAACCACTTCCCCCATGGGGCAGATAGAAGGAGTTAGTTCCTTCTTCCTGGCACCATCCAAGTCTCATCCTACCATAATTTCATTTTAGTTTTCTCCAGAGTCTCCCTTAAATTCTTCTAACTACCATCAATAAGCTAACAGCTTCAGGAGTACAGATCTTCACTCAGTGTGAACCCCAAGTGGTTTGTCCTTAGGAATGAAGTCTTACCCTACTGCAATTTCACTCTCAGTAGGCTTCTGGCTTACCACATCCTACAGATTTCTAATGCTATGTGCCTTAGTCTCCCCGCCCCTCCTTCTTTCTGTTTTCTAGTAATCGAAAGTCAAGACTGCCTCCCAACATTTGATTACTCTGTGTTCTCCAAAGTCTATACTCCAAATATATCCTGCAAGTACAAAAGCCTCAAAAACTTCATCCCTTTCTACTACCCCCTTTGTCCTTAGCTGGCTCCTTTAGGCACTACTTGCATGGGTACTGAGTGCTGACACGAAATCTGGAACTTCCTCGTGCCGTTCCGGGAAAGCCACCTGATGAAAATTGAGAACATTTGAAATATAATTCATTAGATTATAAGTGACCTATGACATGATTTTGTTTATTCTAGGAAGGCCTTGCCCAGGAACGATGTCTGTAAACCAATAAATAACTACATTGTTTGTTACTGGAAATTCCTCACAATCAACTTATTGGAGGCAACAGTCTACTTATCTGAGCAACAGGCATTTCAGACAACAGCTTACTTACAAAGACTTATTTGAAGACCCTGGCTTCTCTGTGTCCACCAATCCTGAACTATTCTGTGGCAAACTTAGCCCAGTCCCATCAGTTCCCTAAAATGAAAGCCCTAAAAATACCCAACTCCTGACTTTCTCCTCCTAAGACACTTGCTAACCTTGTCAAAGTAGAATTCTCCCCCACTGCAGCAAATTTTTTATAAATTTAGATTTTCCTAATAATGAGTTGTCTTGTGATATCATCAGTTCAATTCTAAGCAGCTCAGCTCTCAGTGGGAAAAAAACAAAAAACAAAAACTCTGTTGATTTGCTGACCAGCAATTGCTTGCCACAGGTTGGGGCTGGCAACTCTCTCCCTGCTTAACTACACCATGTCCAGCATTTCGGTTGTCTTTACCCTGACTGCCCTGCACAGCCCTCAAGCAGAGCACACACAGCGTTTCTTGACAGCCCAGACTACTGTGTCCCGAATTGGTGGGTTCTTGGTCTCCCCGACTTCAAGAATGAAGCCGCGGACCCTCGCAGTGAGTGTTACAGTTCTTAAAGGCGGCGGGTCCGGGGTTTCTTACTTCTGATGTTCGGATGTGCTCGGAGTTTCTTCCTTCTGGTGGGGCTCGTGGTCTGGCTGGCTCAGGAGTGAAGCTGCGGACCTTCGCAGTGAGTGTTACAGCTCATAAAGGCACTGTGGACCCAAAGAGTGAGCAGCAGCAGCAAGATTTATTGCAAAGAGCGAAAGAACAAAACTTCCACAGAGTGGAGGAAAACCCGAGTGGGTTGCCACTGCTGGCTAGGGCAGCCTGCTTTTATTCTCTTATCTGGCCCCACCCACATCCTGCTGATTGGTAGAGCTGAGTGGTCTGTTTTGACAGGGCACTGATTGGTGCGTCTACAATCCCTGAGCTAGACGCAAAGGTTCTCCACGTCCCCACTAGATTAGCTAGATACAGAGTGTGGATTGGTGTGTTTACAATTCCTGAGCTAGACATAAAAGTTCTGCAAGGCCCCACCAGAGTAGCTAGATACAGAGTGTGGATTGGTGCATTCACAAACCCTGAGCTAGACACAGGGTGCTGATTGGTGTGTTTGCAAACCTTGAGCTAGATACAGAGTGCCAATTGGTGCATTTACAATCCCTTAGCTAGACATAAAGGTTCTCCATGTCCCCACCAGACTCAGGAGCCCAGCTGGCTTCACCCAGTGGATCCTGCACCAGGGCTGCAGGTGGAGCTGCCTGCCAGTCCTGTGCTGTGCGCCCGCACTCCTCAGCCCTTGGGTAGTCAATGGAACTGGGCACCGTGGAGCAGGGGTGGGCGTTCGTCGGGGAGGCTCGGGCCGCACAAGAGCCCACGGAAGCGGGGAGGCTCAGGCATGGCAGGCTGCAGGTCCCAAGCCTTGCCCCTGGGGGAGGCAGCTAAGGCCCGGCAGGAAATCGAGCACGGCGCCGGTGGGCCAGCACTGCTGGGGGACCCAGCACACCCTCTGCAGCCACTGGCTCTGGGTGCTAAGCCCCTCATTGCCCGGGGCGGCAGGGCCAGCGGGCTGCTCCGAGTGCGGGCCCGCCAAGCCCACGCCCACTGGGAACTCTAGCTGGCCCGCAAGCGCTGCGCGCAGCCCCGGTTCCCGCTTGCGCCTCTCCCTCCACACCTCTCTGCAAGCTGAGGGAGCTGGCTCCGGCCTTGGCCAGCCCAGAAAGGGGCTCCCACAGTACAGCAGCGGGCTGAAGAGCTCCTCAAGTGCCGCCAAAGTGGGAGTCCAGACAGAGGAGGCGCCAAGAGCGAGCGAGGCCTGCAAGGGCTGCCAGCATGCTGTCACCTCTCACTACAGGCACCTGGAAATCTGGGGGAGATCACAAAGGTAAAGGGTCTCCTACAGAAGCCACAGCCACAGCAGCACATGAGGAAGCCCCTCTGGCACCTGACTGAAGAGCTGGCTTTTGCCTTGCCCATGCTTTAAGCTCTATCACCGTTACATTAATTGTGAAAAGAACACTTTTCAACTAATTCAGTCTTTGCTATGAATCTCCTCTCCCCTGCCTCCAAAGCTCTCTCTGTGTCTGGTTCAGGCCAGTGACTTCTTGCTTCTCATACCTCAAACAGCTTAACGTTTCTTAATTGATTCTTTTTCTTCCTCTACAATTAACAATTGATTAAAAAAAAAAAAAAGTAACTTTTCTCCCAACCCATTGTCCCAGTAAGATGTGGAGAGGAAGGGCCATCCGGAAATAAAAGCCTGATGCTTTTCTTAGCCTCAAAGTATCCTGTTTCCAGCGTTTGTCCAACGCTTAAGCAAGAGTTCCTGGGTTCTCAGTCACGGATTCTCTAACTTCCAGGCAGGGGCTTCCCCAGCCTCTTGGCAAAGGTGCTGGAGCTTCAGGTCAGGGATTCCCTCAGGGACCCCTTGAGTTGCAGCCACTCATGGATTAGGGAAATGCCTAAGTGACACATTCAGCCGCTGCTTTTCTCCAGTAGCCAGCTTGGTTAATTCTTTCCAGAAAGTATTTAAGGGGACTCTAACATGTGTCAAGTACCCTGTCAGCAAGTCAAAAATGTATGAGACTTTGATATATCAGTCCCTAAACTCCTGAGATTCCAATCTGGCAGGTGTATCTCCTTTAAGAATTGGTTTATTACACATAGGCCTGTCTTCAGTTCTCAGGGAGTTTAAAGCCTCTTTGGCTCATGACATCCTATCAGACCCAATAGCTCAGTATTACATGCTGAGCTATAGAGTCTGGGGCAGGTCCTAGCAGAGTCCCTGGCAGTAGTCCTATTCCAAGCCCTTTCACAATGCTGGTTCAACCTCCTTGGGAGTGGCATTAGGGGAACAGGTGTCTCACAACCAACAACCACAAGTCTAGGCAGCCTTTAAGCTTTCCACTTGTTGCTCTCAGAGCTGCATAAAAAGACCTAAATTATCATCGACCACAGAAGAGATCTCCTTTTCACTCCCTCAGGGTGGAGATCAGATAATTTGAAAAGAATGATAAAATCCACAGGCCTAAAATGAACTCCAAAGTATTAAAAACTTGAAGATGACTTGGTCCCATGGCCAACCTCACCCAGCTCTAACTTCTGGGGCTCAGGATACTACACTTTATGTAGAAGTCCACAGGAAACCACCATAATATAGGTGGGACCTTTGAAAGACATTTTATTACCCAGGATATTCTCCATTGCATCATAGCTTTGTAGTAACATGGAAACTTGATTTTCATATTGCATTCAATGGACAAAAAGGAAAACAGAACATTACATCTACACCTGACATCATGCCTGGGTGAAAATGTGGATGCTTTGGACCAGAAGTGGAATATAAACCTAGTAACAGTGGATATGTTTGTTTCTGAGGTAAGCTTTTGAGTGCTTTTTCTATTGTGTGTGTACACACACACACACACACACACGTGTTTTAATGTATACCCAGCTTTGGTGGAAAATGCTTTAAGCTAGCTTATAAAAATATATACAACATAAGTCAAAAAAAAATGGGTGTAAGCCAGGGAGGGAATTGGAAGAGAAGGAAAGGAGGGCAAGAAAGACATGAAGAAAGAAAAGTAAGCGTAGTGTGCCACAGCCCTGCTCGCAGAGTCGAGCAGAGAAGGAGGAACACAGGATCTGGCATCAGAAGGCTGAGCTCAGCAATTTTCTTGATCTGTGTACCTGGGTACAGCATTTAACCTTGCTGTGATCTTGTTTTCATCGACACAAGGGGGAAGATAATAAAATCCCTGTGTTGAATATGGAAGGAAAACTTGCAGCTAAAAGCATTTTGTAAGCCTCAAAGTGCCCTTGATTCTCAGTCCCTGAAGCGTTATATTCTCTTACTCATAACTTACATTTGCGGTTCCTTGTGCCTGAAAAGTCCTTTCGTGTCCCAGCTTTCTTCAAAATCCCTGTCCATCCCTTGTTATTCTGTTCAAGAGTTGCCTCCTTACGGAAGGATTTCAGGGCCTCCCTAAGATAGAATATGTGCCCTTTTATGAGTTTCCTCTAAACCGAAGAAAGATGGAAGCAGGGTAGTGTGGCGGGGAAGAGTGTGAATTTGAACTCTCTCACACTTGACTTCCCAATTCTGGCTCTACCACTTTCTACTCTAGTTACTTGGGGCAACTTAATTAAAACTCTTCAAGCCTCAATCTTCTCATCTAAAAACTGGGCTTATAGCTTCTCTAGTGTCCATCTTATGAGAATTAGACGTAAGTATGTAAAACACCTGACAAATAGGGCTAAAGAAGTGCTAGCAATTATTATTACTTATTTCTTTTGATTACGTTTCTCACATTAAACTTTGAAAAAGATTTAATTTGCTAAAGTATACTAAGTATATAAAGTATATTTGAAAGCATGGCTCTTTAAAAACTTTATGAAACAAGTTTTCTTAAAAAAACAAACAAACAAAAAATTCCTCTTTTAGGCCACATACTCCTCCCAGGTTGTTTTTCTATCTTAATAATGAGACTTCTCTGCTTTTGTCCACCCTGAGAAAGGCCTGGCATCATGAGTGGGATCAGTGCAGCTGGACAGGGACCTCACTTAGAAGGGTTTAATGCTTGGTGCCACAGCACTTTTCACAAAGGACTCAGCAGGGGACAAGCTTTTCACTGGCTCTTGTGCACACAGTGCATTCGGAAAAGAGGCTGCTACACCTATAGGGATTGTCTATTCACCATGAATTGGGGACAACAAGTCATGGGAAGGGGAGATGTCTGACTCTACTTCTCCACCCCTGGCTGGGGCACAGCACATCAGTCCAGTGGCTGACTGAACGGGGATGGACAGCACATGAGGCAGGAGCTCATGCCAAGTCTAGGGTGAATCCGCAGGTACCTGTGAGGGTCTGTACTCATCCCACCAGTATCCCCATCTTCAAGAGAGCATCCCATTAAATAACAAGTAAAAAAAGAGTATGACAGGTTGAGAGTGAGACAGCAGGAGAAAGAAAAACACTTTAACTTTAACAATATACTTATTTTGCCTTTGAGAAAAGGGGCTCCATTTTGTGCCAGACCCATCCATTGGGTAGCCAGTCCTGCCCTGAGATGCTGCTGTTACCTAGAGTTCTTCCCTCAGTCCCCTTTTCTCACTCTGTCCGGCTTCCCTGAGGGAAACATTCCATTCCCATGGCTTGAATTTCCTTGTCTGTGTGCCTGCCTCTTGGTGCTGCCTTAGTCAGCCTCCACTCCCATCTCTCATCACCATTGCTTCTAGAAGGAGCTAAAACACAAACCTGACCACATCACTCACTCCCCCTCTTCACAGCCTTCTGTGGCTCCCCATTGCCTTCAGGATAAAGCCCAAACCCCTTTGCCTAGTGTACGAGAATCCTGTGATCTGACTCCTCCCTACCAATATCTCCAGCTTCATTTGCCATACCCACTAGGTTTGTTAGTTCTGTCACTGTGCTGGCCATTCCCAGAAAGTCCATATTCTTTCATCTGTATGCCTTTGCATATGCTGCTTCCTCTCCCTGTAATGCTCGTTCTTTATCTGTGTCATAACTCATTCATTTCCTAATGAAGTTCAAGTATCACCTCTTTCTGAAAGCCTTCCCTAATCTCCTCAGGCTAGAGCATGTGCCTATTCTCTGCGCTACTATAGCCTCACACCCTGCTATTCCAGCACTTTGCATACTCTATGCCAATTGCTTATTTCTTACCCCTGCCTATCTTTCTTACTGGACTCACTGAAGAAGGGAAATTTTGATTTTCATCTCCACCTGAGCACCTTGTTCAATACTAGCACATAGGAGACAATCAAATGTCTGCTAGAATTGGATTTGTCTCACATAGCTTTTCCATGTATAGGTTTACATGTCAAGTCTCTTAAATCAGCATTTAGGTAAATTGAGGTCAAGAACTATCTGTAATCCTCATCTGCATAACAAGTGAAAAATAAGTATTTATTGAATGAACAGGTTACGCATTTAAATTTACTTTCCTTTGAGAATATATTTTAATTATCCATATTCTTGTTTAAAAGGAAATATGGTAAGAAACCAGTACATGTTTTTTAAAACTTCATTCTATATAACTGAATATATTCTTACTGTGTGATCTGTCTTAACATAACTATTGTTGCCTTAATTCTTGTTATAGATGCTGTAGTCATTATTGCTTAAATCTCCTTAAGTCAAAGAAATTGTCTTTTAGTATTTCAAATTTACAGACTGATTTGTCTTGTAAGAGTAATTTTTTTTTTGAGACAGGATCTCGCTCTGTCGCCCAGGCTGGAGTGAATCAGCATGATCACAGCTCACTGCAGTCTCAACCTCCTGGACTCAAGTGTTCATCCCACCTCAGCCTCCTAAGTAGTTGGGAACACAGGCACATGCCACCACACTTGGCTAGTTTTTAAAAATTTTTTGTAGAGATGGGGACTCATTATGTTGCCCAGTCTGGTCTTGAACTTCTAGGCTCAAGTGATCCTCCCGCCTCAGCCTCCCAAAGTGCTGGGATTACAGGCATTGACTACAGCACCTAGCCATACAAGTAATTTATTATCATGCTTTTATCTTAATCCAAGTAATTGATGAGACTTTTGTTCAATTTGATGCATATGCAAGCCTAAGGTAAAAGTTACTTTTATCTCTATCATGTTACTGTATAAAAACAATTTGTTTTATTTGATCCCTAAACAACTTCTTGATTGTAGTTGGTCCATTATATATTTTAATATTTTATTTTAGACTTGGAATTAAATATTATCTTACTTTTATAAGATAAATAGGTCTTTAAGTTTGAAATATTGAAGGACAAAAGACTAGGAACAGCAGCCCATCTTACAAGTATTCTATTTTCTTACTCATCATTGGCACCAAAATGTTGACCTAGGAGCTATTCCAATTGTAAAATCCTTCCTGAAGACATACTTTTGCTTTTCCATCACATTATATCGCTTTCACATTTTCCTTTTTTCAGTATTTGAATTATATAATATTTTATGCATGCAATCATATGCATAATGTAAGATATAATGTAACAAACTCATTTACCAATTACCCAGCTAAAAAGAGAGAGTATTTGCCATGCAATTGCAGACACATGTATTACCCTCCCTCATGACATGTCCCTTCCTCTCTTCTCCCTCCTCCCCACCAGAGTTAACTACATCCTGAGTTTTCAGTTTATTATTCTCTTGCTTATCTTTGTAATTTTAATGTGTGTGTGCGTATTCCTACATAATATATTATTTGGTCCTATATGTTTTTACACTTCACATTAATAGTAACATACTGTATATATTCTTTGACAACTTCCTTTTTAATTAAACCTGATGTGAGATTCATTCATAAACGTAGATGAAGCCCCACTTTGTTCACTTCCATTGTTGTATAACATTTCTTTATATATCACAAGAATGAATAAGAAAAAAAAAGAAGTTAGCTAGCAAGTGGGGGCTATTTCTCTTGGTTAAATACACAGTTAAAACTAACACCTTGGAAATATAAAAACTTAACTCTAGGGGAAGTATATTCAATTAAGGAGATGGGTTTTTCTTAAAATAAAACAGGTAGGTTGACAATATTTCCATCTATTATTTTAGGATCATCATGAACTAAGACAATAATATTAGATAATGTGTACAGAATTTCAGAGAACGCTAAATACATCTCAGTTATAATCCTCTTCTCAGCAGTCTATAATATATTGTCAGCAATTAACAATAGAGTGAAGCTTGTGTTACAAACCAACTCCAAAGTCCCTGTCAGTAACAACTTTTGGTTAGGCAGAATAAGATACAACTAATAAGGTGATTCCCTCCAAATTCTCTCTTGTTTCCCAGATTTCAGAAATCCTTCCTCGTAGAGTGCCATCTGATGCCATCGTAGGAAGGCACTCACATGGGCTGTAATCAGCTCATAGTTATTAACTGCTTAGCACCATGATTCTCAAACTACTCTCTTTGGGACTATGAAACTATGTAAAATTTTCAGAAGTTTTATGGGAAAATGTATTACATGTAGTAGAACATACAAAAAATTTAGATTAATGTTTTAGAGGAAGTATGAAACTCCAATAAATCTCAGTTCACACCAGATCTCCAGATATTGAGGGGTGCGCTTTAACAAGCATTTGATATTTCTGATGTTTCCATTGGAAGTCTGAGAAACATTGCCTAAGGGAAAACAAAGAATCCAGAAGCAGATGGCCACAGGCATTAAGAGGACAGAAAACAAGGTAAAGGGTAGTCTTGGAGGAACTGAGGCTAAAAAACAAAACAAAACACAAAAATCAGATGTCACTTATGTTAGCATCATCCTTGGTATTAGACATATATTTCAACAATTTAGTTCCTAAATTGCCAGCAAGTACTGCAAAATCAGAGATAAATCTTAGTTGTTGCTCTCAAAAAGCTCAGTTTAGGAGAGAATATAGACCTATTAAATCAAAACATGGGAGTGTGTGACAAGTGTTTTGGGAAACTCAAGAGTGTCAATTTTGTCTCGGAAAGACAGGAAACACTACAGGAAATAGTGGTATTTAACCTGGGACGTTAGAGATAAATCACATTAACTTGGTTGATTAACATGGCAAGCAAAGGTATGACAATATTCCTATTGTTGTTGCTACTGCCAGCAATGTCCATTCAACTCAGTTTGATAAGATGGGGCAACATTCATGATGGACGTAGACAGGAATCATCATAGGATCTGAGTCAACTGTTCACAGCACAGCATCCAGAGGTTGCCTCTATACCTCTGCTCTGGATTAGAGTATTCTTCCAAGTCTGTTTCCATCCCTGGGAGTTATGAAAGTTCCCCAGTTGAGCTAGAGCTCTGCTTCATCCCTTAGGCTTTCCAAGAGTTGCTAAAGAACAACAGTTGCTGCTTAAAGAAATTGAGAAAAAGAGCTATGAAATATTTTTTATGAAAATGTTTTTTTCTTCTCCACAATAAATATTGTAAATGACAAAACTTGGTTTAGCTTAGAAAAATGTTTTCTCTTAAAATGTCAATTTTCTCTGCGGTTTGCATTTCCTTTAAATGCAATTTCTTCAAAGACTGCTAGCACAATCTGCCAAGTCCCTGTGCCTTCTAGTCTTCAGAGTTCTATGTGCTGTAAAGATGCTCCCTTTGAGAGAGTAGTAGGCAAGGAAGGGGATTCCCAGAAAGCAGTGACAAAAAATAAATAAATAAATAAATCAACAACTCCATCAAGAAGGCGAAACCAAGATTATAAACGTTGCTCTTTGAGGAGGAAAGCTATCTTCTCCATGTTTTGCAAAACATTTGTATCACTTCCAAGTTCTATCAAAGCCAAAATTTTGAAGTTATGCTGAAGTTATATTCTTTGTCCCACCTCGTTCTTACGGACCCACACCAAACAGATAAACATTAAAACCTTAATTATTGAAGATTGTAACAGGGGTACTAAATGTCAAGCTTTTTCTCAGACATTTCCAACTGTATTATTTCTTTCATGACACAAAATAGTTTTGTGTAACTATATGTTCCTGGGCAAATAATGTAAACTCTCAGTGCCTCAGTTTCATAATTTGTAATAATGTGGGTGGAATACTGGGGCCATGAGAATTAAATGAATAAAAAACAGAAAATCATTTAGAATAATGTTGTCTGGGGTGTAGAAAGGTTTGCATAAATGGAAGCTCCTGTCTGTGATGGACAAACACTGGATACAGTAACACATGTGACAGGGTAAGTTGTTCATTTTCACTGATTGGGGTGCTTTAACAAAAGAAAAGTTAAAAATCTCCCTTTCTTTATAGAAAGGCAGTCAGATATTTGTCTTGAGTTATATTTTTCTCGCTCCTCGGTGAAAGGTGACACCACTTGTGCGTTTCGAAGCAGGTAGGATGAGCTAATCTGAAGAATCTCCTTCTCTCCCACTGCCATCGATTGGGTGACAGGGGCCCAACAAGGTTCTAAGGATGAATTATCCAAGTTGAGGAAAAGATGGAGTTTGGCAGCTGGGACTTCCAGTTCTGACAGTAGCTAACAATGCCAGCCTATTCACATTGGGCATCCCTGAGGCAGGGGCATCTTGGAAAGGGGAAAGCATCATGATCCAGTGAGTAGGCTGTGGCCGTGCACAGAACTACTGAGAGCAGCAGTGAAGTACGTTCACTGTAGCCAGCCCAGCCCTGCCCCGGGGGAGTGGAGCCACAGGTGGGGTTGGCTGAATTAAAACTACACGGCCACCTGTAATCCCAGCACTTTGGGAGGCCAAGGCGGGTGGATCACGAAGTCAGGAGATCGAGACCATCCTGGCTAACACGGTGAAACCCCATCTCTACTAAAAATACAAAAAATTAGCCGGGCGTGGTGGCAGGCGCCTGTAGTCCCAGCTACTCGGGAGGCTGAGGCAGGAGAATGGCGTGAACCTGGGAGGCAGAGATTGCAGTGAGCCGAGATTGCGCCACTGCACTCCAGCCTGGGCGACAGAGGGAGACTCCATCTCAAAAAAAAAAAAAAAAAAAAACTACAGGGCCTGGACAGGGGCATCTTCCAAACAACCCAATGGACTAAGACCAAAGATGACCACATTCCCTTTACCCTTTTCTCAGAGTTCAGACCCGAGGCCCTGGTACAGTCTAAACAGTGAAAGATCCTCCAATAGTAACACAAAATATAATACTTCTTGCAGCCCTTTACAAGTGAGGGCTCGAAATCACATGACATTTTTGCATCCTAGATAGTAAGAAGAAATCTTTACTACATATAGAACTAAATAGTCTTTAATTTGTATTGTGTTTGAAAGACATTTCACACAAATAAGTGCTTTGTCAGATCATATGTCATCATAAGTACACTTTATTATAGCTCCTTGGCATCACTTTGAAATAAATACATTGTGAGATGGCAAACACCTCAAGAAGGTTTTCTTTTTTTTTTTTTTTTTTTTTTTTGAGATGGAGTCTCACTCTGTTGCCTAGGCTGGAGTGCAGTGGCACAATCTCGGCTCACTGCAACCTCCGCCTCCCATGTTTAAGTGATTCTCCTGCCTCAGCCTCCCGAGTAGCGGGATTATAGGCACCCGCCACCATGCCTGGCTAATTTTTGTATTTTTAGTACAGACGGGGTTTCATCATGTTGGTCTGGCTGGTCTCGAACTCCTGACCTTGTGATCTGCCTGTCTTGGCCTCTCAAAGTGCTGGGATTACAGGTGTGAGCCACTGCGCCCGGCCACCTCAAGAAGGTTTTAATGCAACATTTACATACCTTCGTGCTGGGCACATAATAGCACCACTAGTTACATAAGTGGAAATCCACAATTTCGAAGAAAACTCCTCATGATACTACACTTGATCTTAGCCAAAAGGCTGAGAAGCAATATCCTCCACATGATAGAATCCACCTATCTCATACTTGTACACAAAAGCACACTTTCCCTCCCCCATCAAGAGACAACCAAATGTCACACTGTGGGGCCCTTGCTCCAGTGTCTCTAGTTGGTGTCCACTCATCTTCTATATGAAAAGCCTCCTGGAATGGGACCTGTGGACAACAGTAGATTTGTTAAATAAAGAAAAACACACCTCTGTAATAAAATCATTAAAATCAGTGTCGTAGAAGATTAGAAACTCAGAAAAAATAAAAGAAAAAGATTACAAGACAGTATTGTACTAAGTATCCAATTTTTGAAAAAAAAAAAAAACTATACATGGGTAAACAGTATGAGAATATCCAGGAAAATGACACCAGCAAGTTAACTCCGGATGACTGGGATTAGAGGTGATTCTAATATTTCTTTATTTGCTGATCTGAATTTTCTGGTTTTACTAAAATGAAGATGTATTTCTTTTATAGTAGAACCTCTCTCTTCTGCTCTAAGAAGTAAGGTAAGAGAGAGAACTAAAGCTACTTTAGACAATGCATTTGAGTGATCAATAGCTAAAGACATCAGGGATGGAACTTTTAAATGGAGGTAGTGTATTACGAGTTGCCATTTCAGAGCCTGGGTACCTGGAAAAGCACAAGTGTGGGTAAAGGCGGTTTAGATGCTTGGTAGGTTATATTGCATGAGTTCTCTAAAAGCCCAAGAAAAAATGAAAAGGCGTAGTTTTCCCTAGTTACCTTATATGTCAAATGCTAGTATAATAAGTAAAGCCGTATAAATAAGGGCTTGATAAGAAAGCATTGCATTTATAAAGAGTGGGGAAAACAAGAACCATGAGTCTGTGGGAGAATAAAATCAGGCCCGGTCCAGAGTGGTGCACGGAACGAGCCACAGGAGTAACGTAGTGGTATGGATCTGTGTGGCACTGAGCATTGGACAGATGGGTCCCTGCCCATTTCCCAGGAAGAAAATCAAGTGTCTCAGGTGATGTGCACATTAGGGGGAATGAATGTGCGGAGGTAGTTTACACTGAATGACATGTTTTGATTTTGGTTATTTTGCTTCTTGACCTTTAAAAGTACTCAGTATCATAATTAATATGCAGTCAATGGTTACCTAGAGAGGTTCATTTGGAAAAAACACAAACAGCTTAAAATGGATTCAGATGAATCCAAACTAAGGAAAGCTCTTTGGCTACTTCCAAATTTCAAGTTTGTTTTCAGGTCAGAGGAAAACAAAAGAGTAAAAGCTTTCTTCACTCTCAGTTTCTTTTTTTTCTGTTTTTTGTTTTGTTTTGTTTTTTAAGAGACAGAATCTCGCTCTGTCACCCAGGCTGGAGTGCAGTGGCATGATCTCAGATCACTGCAACCTCTGCCTCCCGGGTTCTAGCAATCCTCCTGCCTCAGCCTCCCCAGTAGATGGGATTACAGGCACATGCCAACATGTCCAGCTAATTTTCTGTATTTTTAGTAGAGACGGGGTTTCGCCGGGTTACCTAGGCTGGTCTCGAACTTCTGAGCTCAGGCAATCCACCTGCCTCAGCCTCCCAAAGTGCTAGGATTATAGGCGTGAGCCACCACACCTGGCCCACTCTTAGTTTGTTTAGTTTTATATTCTTGTCTCACTATCTCTGTGTCTTCCTCTGTCTTTCTCTAAAACATTCGGGCCCTCCTCACTCATAAGGTTTTGAATTCTTGAAGAGATACTAAATCAATATTTAAATGAACACTGATCAAACATTATTCTGTACCACAAATTAAAATTGAATGTTGCTTTACAAGTGCTATAAATCTTGTAGTTTGCTAAAAAGGGAGTCAAATGGGACTTTTTGGTTACATCTCACCTCTATCAGTATTTGTGGACCACTAAAAGGCTTGGAGAGGAAGACCAGAGGGAAAGGGCAGAAGCTGAGAAAGGGGCACTGAATGTATTGGAGAAATAGCATGGTACTGAGTTAGGAACCAGATTCTGGCCCCAGCACTGCATGACAAGTTAACCACATTTACTACATATATGCATTACAAGTTAACCATATGTAATCCCCTCAGCAACCCCATGACAGGGCTATTATTAGTATCATTGTCATCCTCCTTGTATAGAACAGGAGACAGGCCCAGAGCATAAAACCCTTAGAATAATGCCTGGAATATCATTACTGCTATTTAAGTGTTGGTTTAAAGACTCAAGTCAAGACTATACCTTGTGTATTTCCAAAGAACTAAGTTTCAGCCAGTACTGCTTCTAAACCAAGGAGCCAAGTTTTTCAGTCTCTGAGAAATCAGAGTTACCATGAATTAATTTCAAACTAATAAATTGAGATACTCAGCTGCTTATTCACATTTCATGCTTTTAATAATCACACCCTCGTTTAAAAATTTCCCAGTTTGGAGACTAGTACCACAGATGAGAAAAAGCTGCCACTGATTATCTGACTTATACCTTGGCTTAATTTAATCCAGCCCATATGCAGAAAACCACTGTTTCTCCAATGAATTGCTCTTGAAAAATATGAAAATGTTAATATCCTTTCAAAGTATTTTGTGACTATATTTTAGAACAGAGAGTTGGTAAACTTTTTCTATAAAGAGCCAGATAGTAGATATTTTAGGCTTTGCTGGCTACATAATGCGTCTTTTTTTCAACTATAAAACCAACTCTTTAATAATGTAAAAGACATTTTCATCTCAAGTGGCCAGACCTAAATTTTTTAATGTGAGCTAAGAATAGGTTTTTAAAAAATTGTTAAAGGTATATTTAAAAAATAAACAAAACAAAGGAGTATAAGTGACAGATACTGTATGAGTCCTGCAAAGCCAAAAATATTATCTGAAATATTTACTACAAGAAATATGTACTATGGAAAAATTTTGCTGACCCCTATTCTGGAGAATCATAAGTTAAGGGTATTATTATAAATAATTTAACTTCTGTTCCCATTTTTTGTAGTCTACAAAGCTAGCTTGTTTCTTCAAACAACACAATCATCTCCAAGGATGCAGAAAAAGCATTTGATATTGACAAAATTCAATATCCATCCCTGACTAAAACTCTCCAGCAAACTAGTAAGAGAACTACCTTAACCTGATAAAAGACATCTACAAAAAACCTATAGCTAATATCATTTTTAATTATTAAAAACTGAATGATTTCCCCCTAAGTTCAGGAAGAAGTAAAATATGTTTGCTTTCACCATTTCAATTCACCACTGTACTGAAGATTCTAACCAGTGCAGTAAGGCAAGAAAAAGAAAAGCCATCTACATTATATCAAAAAGACACCCGCACTCATATGTTTATCACAGCACAATTCATAATAGCTAAGTCATGGAAGTGGCCTAAGTGTCCATCAATGGACAACTGGATAAAAAAAATGTGGTGGCCGGGCACAGTGGCTCACACCTGTAATCCCAGCACTTTGAGAGGCTGAGTCGGGTGAATCACAAGGTCAGGAGTTCAAGACCTGCCTGGCCAACATGGTGAAACTCCATCTCTACTAAAAATACAACAAATTAGCTGGGCATGGTGGCAGATGCCTGTAATCGGAGCTACTTGGGAGGCTGAGGCAGGAGAATCACTTGAACCGGGGAGGCAGAGGTTGCAGTGAGCCTAGGTCGTGCCACTGCACTTCAGCCGGGTGACAGTGTGACACTCCATCTAAAAAAGAAAAAAAGAAAAAAGAAAAGAAAGAAAGAAAATGTGATATATTTATATGTATCCCTTGGAATGCTACTCAGCCATAAAAAATAATGAAATAATGCCTTCTGCAGCAACATGGATAGAACTGGAGGCCATTATCCTAAGTGAAATAACTTGAAAACAGAAAGTTTCTAAATTATATATTCTCACTTATAAATGGGAGCTAAATGATAAACACACACAGACATACAGAATGGAATAATAGACATTGGAGACTCCAAAAGTGGGAGGGAGGTAGGGAGATGAAAAATTACCTACTGAATGTAGTGTATACTATTCAGGTGATGGGTACGCTCCAAGCCCAGACTTCGCCACTACCTTAATATACCTATTTAACAAAACCATGCTTGTACCCTCTAAATCTATAAAAATAAAATTATAAAAGAAAAGTCATCTAGATTGGAAAGCAGATAAAACTATCTTTACTCACAAACAACAGGATTAGCTATGTAGAAAATGTCATGGAGTCTTCAAAAAAGCAGCTAACATTAAGAAATTTAGCAAATTTGCACAATACAAGGCAGTATACAAAAATCAACTGAATTGGCAAATATTAACAATTACCCAGAAAATGAAATTTTAAAAACAATACCATTACAACAGCATTAAAAAACAAACTACTTAGTATCCTAAGACAAAGATGTTCTGTACTTGACAAAAGATATGCAAGATCTGTAACTGAAAACTACATTGTTGAGAGAAATATAAGAAAACCAAACTAAATGGAGAGCTATTCCATGGCTCATGGTTCAAAAGACTCAGTATTGTTAAGATAGCAATTTGCCTAAAATTGAGCTACAAATTCAGTGCAATCCTAATCAAAATCCCAGCAAGCACTTTTGGAGAAATTGACAAGCTTACTCTAAAATTCATAGGAAAGTACAAAGGACGTAGAATAGTCAAAATTACCTTAAAAAGAAGTCAGAAGATAAATAAAAGCCACCTGATTTTATGACTTATTTTTTCTTGCCTTTTTCTTGTCTTTCTACAGTAAAGACAGCATAATGTTGGCATAAAGATCAACAATTAAATCAATGGAACACAATAGACAATCCAGGAAAAAAAAACACACATGTATGGACAAATGATCTTTGACATAGTTGCAAAAGCAATGCAGTGGAGAAACAATGGTCTTCTCAACAAATAATGTTGGAACAATTGGATATCCATGTACAAAAAATGAACTTTGAGCCATACCTGAAGTGCCCTATACAAATCTTGATACCATACACAAAAATGAACTCAAAATGGATCATGGAGCTAATATATAATCTAAAACCATAAAACTTCTAGGAGAGTTCAGGCACGGTGGCTCACACCTGTAATCCCAGCACTTTGGGAGGCCGAGGCAGGTGGATCATATGAGGTCAGGAGCTCGAGACCAGCCTGGCCAACATGGTTAAAACCCTGTCTCTACTAAAAATACAAAAAAATTAGCTGGATGTGGTGGCACATGCCTGTAATCCCAGATATTCAGGAGGCTGAGGCAAGAGAATCGCTTGAACCTGGGAGGTGGAGGATGCGGTGAGCTGAGATCGCGCCATTGCACTCCAGCCTGGGCAACGAGAGTGAAACTCTGTCTCAAAAAAACAAAGAAACAAAAAAACAAAACACCAAAACTTCTAGAAGAAAACAGAAGAAACCCTTGTGATCTTCAGTTAGGCAAAGATTTTTTAAAATACTGCACCAAAAATGCAATCCATAAAAGAACAAATTGATAGACTGGACTTTATAAAAATTAAAAATTTCTGCTCCTTAAAATACACTGTTAAAGACAAGCCATATGTTGGGAGAAAATATTTGCATATGATATACTTGATAAAGGGCTTGTATCTAGAATATTTTTAAAGAACTCAAACTCAATTTTACAAAGGGGCATGGCAACAGATTTGATCAGACATTTCACCCAAGAAAATATGTGAATGGCAAATAAGCATAAGAAAAGATGCTCCACATCACTATTCATTTAGGAAATTGAAAATTTAAACCACAATGACACAAATACTCAACTCTGATGTACAAAATAGTTTATAATAATGTATCAATAGTGGTTTAAAATTTTTTATGCTGACAGTTATTGTTGTGGGGTGGGATTCCAATATATCCTAAAGTACAGGTAAGCTGTTCTCTTACCCCTCCAAACAGCTTCACCCTAGGACTTACTTGTGCCTTCAGGCACTTGGAGAGCAGCATTTTCCAGACACAGCCAAGCCAGCTGATGTGGAAAGTGGGAAGACCCAAAGCATTTTCTCCTATGAGAATCAGAAGTTCTTAGTGCAGGCGAGATGGTGTATTCACTCACTGAGGGACAACTTGTGTTCTGGCAAGTCAGTCCCAGGGTGAAAAGTAGAGGTTGAGCCTCTGTTCCCTCAGAGTCCTGGATGTTAAAAAGTGTCACAGTAGCCCTCATCCTGCCCTGATTACACTGGCTCTTTGCCACAGCAGGCTTGTGTTTCCCATTTATGGAGGAAGAGGCTTCTTGGATCCTCTGGGCCTCTTCCTCATTTGGACACTCTGTCTTTTTCCTTCTATGCAAAGCCTGGTTCATTTCTGCCACAAAAGGGCTCCATCCAAGTCCAGCATTGATCTCACTTTTCTAGAGAATCCAAACTAGGAGTTTTGGAAATCTTCAAGGTCACATTCCTCCTTTTAAAAATGTCTTATAAATGAGGTAACAGATCCCATGAGATAAGGTGACTTTCTTAGGGCCATGCAGTTAATAATTTGCTTTATGCTCACCTTAACACTAATGGCAATTAGATAATCTAATGGCTACCGAGGGACATATGTCCAAGATTTTCAGTCCCAATCTCAAATGTTCTGTACAGCTATCAGGCCACATTAAGAATTTTACTACACAAAGAAGCACAGCAATTACTATTCAGACATATTAAGAGAACCCTTTTGGAAACAATCAATCTATTCCCATCATTGAATCCAACTTTTCAACTCTAAAGTACTGGCTTTCAACTTTTTAGCATCATCAACCCCATTTAGGAGGCTAGTGAAAGCTATGGACCCTTTCCACGCACAAAAATTTACACAAAAACAAAATTTCACTGCAGTGATTTAATATGCAATATATGACAGCGAAAACACTTGGTCTGATGGTAGAAATGTCAGCATATCTGCTATGTGGCCAGGGCATTTTTTTACTTTTAGTTTAGATTCAGGGTGTACATGTGCAGATGAGTTACATGGATATATTGCATGATGCTGAGGGTTGGGCTTCTATTGACCTTATCACCCAATTAGTGAGCATAGTACCTAATATGTAGGGTTGTTTTTGTTTTTGTTTTGAGACGGAGTCTCGCTCTGTTGCCCAGGCTGGAGTGCAGTGGTGCGATCTCAGCTCACTGCAACCTCCGCCTCCCAGGTTCAAGCAATTCTCCTGCCTCAGCTTCCCGAGTAGCTGGGATTACAGGTGCCAACCACCACGCCTGGCTAATTTTCATATTTTTAGTAGAGACGGGATTTCACCATGTTGGCCAAGCTGGTCTCAAACTCCTGACCTCAGGTGATCCACCAGCCTCGGCTTCGCAAAGTGCTGGGATTACAGGCATGAGCCACCGTGCCCGACCTATTTTTTAAAACGCTTCCCCTCTCCTTCTCTTCCCCCTTTTGAAGTCCCCAGTGTCTACTGTTCCCATCTTTCTGTCCATGTGTACTCAATATTTAGCTCCCACTTTTGAGAAAATGCAGTATTTGATTTTCTTTTTCTGTGATAATTCACTTAGGATAATGGCTTCCAGCTGCATCCATGTTGCTGCAAAGGACATCATTTCATTCTTTTTATGGCTGCGTGGTATTCCATGGTGCATATGTACCAACTTCCTTTATCCGGTCCACTGTTGATGGGCATTTAGGTTGATTCTATGTCTTTCCTATTGTGAATATTGCTGCGATAAACTAATGGGTACAGGTGTCTTTTGTAGAATGATTTCTTTTCCTTTAGGTATATATCCAGTAATGGGATTGCTGGGCTGAATCGTAGTTCTATTTTTAGTTCTCTAAGAAATTTCCAAACTGCTTTCCACAGGAACTAAACTAACTTACATTCCCACCAATAGTGTATAAGCTTCCCCTGTTCACCAAAAGACCAGGGAGAAAAGTAGGTTACAGATCATTCTCTCTTCCCTCCCAACAGTGCAGGTGGATGCAATTAGCCAATTAGCTGGGTCTGGCAGGAGGATGAAGACATATCCAAATGGTGGATGGTAAACACACATATATTTCAGTCAGGAAGGAAACCTCACCAACACTTGCGATTTTTTGACTTTATTATAGCCATTCTGACTGGTGTAAGGTGATATCTCATTGTGGTTTTTATTTGCATTTTTCTGATGATTAGCAATGAGCATTTCTTTATATGTTGGCTGGCCATTTGTATATCTTCTTTTGAGAAATGTCTGTTCATGTTCTTTGCCCACTTTTAAATGGGGTTATTTGGTTTTGTTTGTTTGTTTTTTGAGACGGAGTCCTGCTCTGTCGCCAAGGCTGGAGTGCAGTGGCACAATCTCGAAGTAGCTGGGACTACAGCGCACGCCATCATGTCTGGCTAATTTTTTTTATTGTTTGTATTTTTAGTAGAGACAGGGTTTTGCCATGTTGGTCAGGCATGTTTCAAACTCCTGACCTCAAGTGATACCCCTGCCTCAGCCTCCCAAATTGCTGGAATTACAGGTGTGAGCCACCACACCCAGCCTGGTTATTTGTTTTTTCTTGTTCAGTTATTTATAGATTCTGGATATGAGTCCTTCGTTGGATGCATAGATTGCAAATATTTTCTCCCATTCTGTAGGTTGTCTGTTTACTCTGTTGATAGTTTCTTTTGCTGTGCAGAAGCTCTTTAGTTTAATTAGGTCTCGCTTGTCAATTTTTGTTTTGTTGGTTTTGTTGTGTTTGTTTCTGAGGTCTTAGTCAGAAATTCTTTGCCTAGCCCAATATCCAGAAGAGTTTTCTTCTAGGATTTTTATAGTTTGAGGTCTTAACATTTAAGGCTTTAGTCCATCTTTAGTTTTATTCTTCTGCATATGGTTAGCCAGCTATCCCAACACCATTTAGTAAATAGACTGTCCCTTCCCAATTGTTTCTTTTTGTCAATTTTGTAAAAGACTAGTTGGTTGTAGGTGTGCAGCTTTATTTCTGGGTTTTCCACTTTGTTCTGATTGTCAGTTTTGAACCACTAGCCACTAACCATGCTGTTTTGGTTACTGTAGCCTTGTAGTATGGTTTGAAGTCAAGTAATGTGATGCTTCCAGCTTTGTTCTTTTTGCTTAGGATTGGTTCAGCTATTCAGGCTCTTTTTTGGTTCTATATGAATTTTAGAATCTTTTTTTCTAATTCTGTGAAAAAATGATATTGGTAGTTTGATAGGAATTGCATTGAATCTGTAGAATGTTTTAAGCAAAGTGGGCATTTTAATGAGATTGATTCTTCCAACCCATGAGCATGGAATGAATGCTTTTTCCATTGGTTTGTGTCATGTATGATTTTTTTCATCAGTGTTTTGTAGTTAGTTCGCCTTGTAGAAATCTTTCACCTCCTTGGTTAGACATGTTCCTAGGTATTTTTGTGTGTGTCTCCTGTAAATGGAATTGCATTCTTGATTTGGTTCTCAGCTTGAACATTATTGGTGTATAGAAATGCTACCAATTTTTGTACATTGATTTTGTATTCTGAGGCTTTCCTGAAGTCATTTATCAGGACTAGGAGTCTTTTGGTGAAACCTTTAGAGTTTTCTAGACATAGAGCCACACTGTCAGTGAAGAGAAGTAATTTGACTTTTTTTTTTTATGAAGACTTGCTTTATAACCAAGGCTGTGGCCGACCTTAGAGTATGTTACATGTGCAGATAAGAAGAATCTATATTCTGTGGTCGTTGGGTGGAGTATTCTGCAGTTGTCTGTTAGGTCCAGTTGGTCAAGTGTCCAATTTAAGCCCAGAATTTGTTAGTTTTCCACCTTGATGATCTATCTAATGCTGTTAGTGGGGTGGGGTGTTGAAATCCTTCACTATTATTGTGTGGCTATTTTCTTAGGTTTAGGAGTAATTGTTTCATAAATCTGGGTGCTCTAATGTTAGGTGTGTGCATGTATTTAAGACAGTTAAATATTCTTGTTGAGTTGAACCTTTTATCATTATGTAATGCGCTTGTCCTTTTTAACTCCCTGTTTGGGGGTCTTCTACTTTCCTTGAGGTGTTTCAAGAATCATGGGAAAGTTCCTCTCAGGTCTAAAACACTGTCCTCTTTTGTATTGCACTACTTGGTCCCCTTGGCTTTTAGGGTTACCAGAGATTACTTGGTACTGTGAGAGGACTAGACCTTGGTGTGTGTGATGGCTAGAAGTTATGAGCAACTGTTTATAGTGTTAGATGGCTAACAGCAGTGTTGTTTACAGGAAATAGTTATTATTACAGGGGACTACTTGGTTCTTTGTGTTTGGATAAGAAAAGCATGGTTTAGTCCTAAAAACTGCTTACTTCCTTTTGATTTTTGTAAAATGGGATCTCATTATGTTGCCCAGGCCAGTCTCAAACTCTTGGCCTCAAGCAATCCTCCCACCTCGGCCTTTCAAAGTCCTAAGATGACAGTGTGAGTCACTGCACCCATTGGCCCTGTTTCTTAAAGGGCTCTACCCTAAAGCCAGTAATCTGGCTCTAGAATTAAGAGACAAGCTAAGTTAAAAAACAAAACAAAACAAAAAAAACCTATCAAACTAAATTAGTCTTGTGAAACTCTTTGTAAAAAGAAATTTATATCTTTAAAGGAAACTTCCATTTGTAAGGGCATCTCTGTCTCTGCACCTAAACCACTAGGCACTTTAACTATGGGGAAGACAACGAACTAAAATTTATATAATAAATCTTATCTTTGTTTAGATCTACGTTTGTGCCTTTGAGACATACCTTTTCTACCGGTTTCACCTAACTCATGTCTTTGGAGATGCAAATTTACAGTGGTATAGCTAACAGTTGTTTACGGTATGTAACAGGCATTCAAGTTATTAATAGTCTTTAAAGTAGGGGAGAAGCTTTGAAAACTGCAAATGCAGGATCTTATTGAGAGGTGACAACGTGCTAGCAGCCCTCGCTAGCTCTTGGCACCTTCTCTGCCTCGGCATCCACTCTGGCGGTACTGGAGGAGCCCTTCAGCCTGCCACTACGCTGTATGGGCCCCTCTCTGGGGCTGGCCTATGCCGGAGCCCTCTCCCTCTGCTCGTGGGAAGGTGTAGAGGGAGAGACGCCAGCGGGAGCCGGGGCTGCGCGTGGTGCTCGCCGGCCGGGGCAGGTTCCTGGTGGGCACGGGCTGGGCAGGCCCCGCACTTGGCGCGCTGGCCGGCACCTGCTGGGCTTGATGGGTGATGAGCTCACTCTGGACTGCGGGAGAGCCCAGGCTAGGTGCCAAGCAAAGTCCCGCGGCGAATGCCATTCAGAGTCAAAGCCGGCTGGGCTTCTGCGTCCCTGCGACTTGGAGAACTTTTCTGTCTAGCTAAAGGATTGTAAATGCACCAATCAGTGCTCTCTGTCTAGCTAAAGATTTGTAAACCCACCAATCAGCGCTCTGTGTCTAGCTAAAGGTTTGTAAATGCACCAATCAGCACTCTGTCAAAATGGACCAATCAGGACTCTGCAAAACGGACCAATCAGCTCCCTGTAAAATGGACCAATCAGCAGGATGTGGGTGGGGCCAGATAAGGGAATAAAAGCAGGCCACCCCCTACAAGCAGTGGCAGTGGGCTCCAGTGCTCTTCCACTTTGGGGAAGCTTTGTTAGCTGACTGTTGGCAATAAATTTTACTGTTGTTCATTCTTTCTGTCCACGTTGCCTTCAAGAGCTGTAACACTCACTGTGAAGGTATGCAATTTCACTCTTGAGGCCAGTGAGACCACGAATCAGCCAGAAGGAACAAACAACTCTGGATGTGCCACCTTTAAGAGCTGTAACACTCCCCATGAAGGTTTGCAGTTTCACTCCTGAAGTCAGCAAGACCACAAACCCACCAGAAGAAACTTCGGACATATGTGAATCTCTGAAGGAACAAACTGTGGACACACCACCTTTTAAGAACTGTAACACTCACCATAAGGGTGCCC
This sequence comes from Homo sapiens, assembly GCF_000001405.40. Classification (NCBI taxonomy): domain Eukaryota; kingdom Metazoa; phylum Chordata; class Mammalia; order Primates; family Hominidae; genus Homo; species Homo sapiens. The sequence goes on from NC_000015.10 coordinate 62,208,396, forward strand.
GGCTTCATTCTCAACGTTAGTGAGACTGAGACCCCAGCAATTCTGGACACATAAATGTATAAGGTGTGCTTCTGTCTGTGTGTTTGTATGTCTATTTTTTTGTTTGTTTGAGACGGAGTTTCACTGTTGTTGCCCAGGCTGGAGTGCTATGGCGCAATCTTAGCTTACCATAACCTCCGCATCCCGGGTACAAGCGATTCTCTTGGCTCAGCCTCCTGCATAGCTGGGATTACAGGAATGTGCCTCCACGCCTGGCTAGTTTTATATTTTTTTCAGTAGAGATGGGGTTTCTCCACGTTGGTCAAGGTGGTCTTGAACTCCTGATCTCAGGTGATTTCCCTCCCTCAGGCTCCCAAAGTGCTGGGGTTACAGGCATGAGCCACCATGCCTGGCCATGTGTATATGTTTCTAGTATCATTTAGATATAGTTCACTACCGAGTTATATGAAAGAGCTCTAATCAATTGGCTTAAAGAAAAGTAAGTGCTTCAATGAAATATTTTCTCAGGAAAATAGAAGCTAGTTCAAATGCCATTAATTCATGTGACTTCAATGATCTTTGTTAAATAAAACTAGTCTCTAAATTCTCTTCAGTAATTTAATTTTTAAAGTCATGTTATTGATAGCAACAGGAGACAGACAAATTCCTAGGCAGACAGGGACGGGTTGCTGGTAAGGCTCGACCTTCAACCTGAGGACTGAGCAGCTAGTTCTGGATAGAGTCCACGACTGGAGTGAAAACTTCTGTCCCCATCTTATCCACTTTCTCTCAATTGGTTCCTTCTGGATGATGCCTTTTAACCAATCAAATGGTGCTCTCTCCAAGCCCACCTGTGGACCAATCAGCATGCATTCCCCCATTCTAAGCCCATAAAAACCACAGACTCAGCCTCATAAACAGCTACCTGCTTTCTTGGTCACGTCTCACAGCTGAGACCTTTCCTTCTGTAGCTCAATAAAATTCTTCTCTGCCTTACTCGCTCTCCAGTGTTTGCATACCTTATTCTTCTTGGAACCCAGAACTTGCTAAGCTGCAGGGAGCAGGAGTGAAAAAGAGCTATAACCCTCCCTCCTGCTTGCAAAACAACAGGTGAGAAGAAGCCATAGGGTGCCACTCCCTCCTGCTCACTGAATTACAGGAGCAAAAGAGCTGTGACACACCTGGCTGGCTCACTGAGCTGCAGATGGTGCAAGTAAAAGAGCTGTAACACTCCCTCCTGTTCACCAAACTATGGAAGCAAAAAATCCACTGGGTGCTGCTCCCTCCCACTTGCTGAACTACTGGAGAGAAGAAGCCACAACAGTAGGTTAAATTAAGTTACCAAGACCACCTCAGTCATGGAGACCCCAACCCAGCGGTGCTAAAGAATTGAAGACAAAGACACAGAAATAGAGTACAAAGTGGGATCGGGGCTGACGGCCTTCAGAACTGAGAGCCACAAACAGAGTTTGACCCACATATTTATTGACAGCAAGCCAGTGATAAGCATTGTTTCTATAGGTTATAGATTAGCTAAAAGCATTCCTTACGGGAAACAAAGCATTCTTAGCAAGGAGTAGAGAAACAGGTTCTGGCTGATTATCAGCAGCAAAAACATGTTAAGGCACAGCCTGCTCCTGCTATTGTTTGTGGTTTGAGCAGTTTCCCACTTTAGGTGGCCAGGCGTTCCTTGCCCTGCTCCAGTAAACCAACAACTTCTAGCCATGTGCATCACAGCCATCACGAGCATGTCGCGTTGCTGCAGAAATCCTGTTTATGGCCAGTTTCTTTAAGGCCTATTTATGACAGGCTTAGGGCTTGTTCCCAGCATTAAGTAATCCTAGGTTTTTCAACAGAAATGAGGGTTACTAAGAGAATAGTAGTTAATATATGTGATTAAAACTAGTAGATATAAGAGAAAAAAAATTCTACATACAGGGTGTATAAAGTAAGATGTTGATGTAGTTTGGATGTTGTTTCCTCTAAGCTTCATGTTGAATTGTAATCTCCCATGTTGGAGGTGGGTCTGGTGGGAGGTGATTGGATCATGAGAACGAATACCTGATGAGTAGTTTAATGCCATCCCCTTGGTGCTGTCCTCACAATGGTGAGTTTTCACAAGATCTGGTTGTTTAAAAAGGGTGTGGCACCTCCCCCCCCCCCCATGGCTCCTGCTATCACTGTGCGTGACATTTGCTCCCTCTTCAGCTTCTGCCATGATTGCAAGCTTCCTGAGGCCTCCCTAGAAGCTGAACAGATGCCAGCACGATGCTTCCTATAAAGCCTACAGAACCATGAGCCAATTAAACACCTTTGCTTTATAAATTACCCAGACTTTGATGTTTATAGAAATGTAAGAACAGCCTAGTACAGAAAATTGGTACCAAGGAGTGGGGCACTGCTATAAAAATACCTGAAAATATGAAAGAAACTTTGGAATTGGGTGGCAGGTTGAAAGACTTCGGATGGCTTAGAAGAAGAAAGGAAAATGAGGGAAAGTTTGGAGCTTCTTAGAGACCAAAAACCACTTGTACCCCAAAAGGTATTGAAATATATATATACACCACAAAGGTTTTAATACAACACTATTGAAGGTTGGGTAGACCAAAGGGAGAACTTGCTGGTCCTTCAAAATTAAAAATCCCCAAACTAGTTTTTGGTATTTGCCCCAGATTGGAGAAATTTCTTCAATCAGAAGGCAAAGGTTACAATGAGAAAGCTGATTAACAATTGCCTGGGAAAATGTTGAGGCAAATTAGTCAAGATTGACAAAAGAGCCTTGGTCCCCTGGCTCAAGTCACTGCTGAGAACCCAAATCCTTTTTTACCAGAGAGGGTGAAATGGTCTGGGAGTGGAAAAGAAAAAGTTTCCTGGGACCAGAACATAAAAATGTAAGGGCTGATATGATTATGAAGGTTGGAATGTTTAAATAGGCTTTATGTAAAGTACTCATGTCTCTTTTACCTAAATGTCTTATGGAAAATGGGTATTGTGTCTGACTGAGGAATGTTTTCCCTAACTAGTAAGGAAGGAGACCACCTATCCCATTGTCTCCTGTTTCAAAAAGGCAGCAAAAAGTTAAAAAGTAGCAGAAGTGAGATCAATAGCCAGACGGCTTGGCACCAAGAACCAGGTCTGGTAGTTAAAGATCAACTCCTGACCTAACCACTTGTGTTATCTATAGATTCCAGACATTGTTTGAGGAAGACTTGTGAAACCTTCTGTTCTGTTCTGCTAGCCCCCATCACTGATGCAGGTAGCCCTCAGTCACATAGCCCCCACTTGTGCAATGTATCACGACCTTTTCACATGGACCCCTTAGAGTTGTAAGCCCTTATAAAAGGGACATGAGTCTTTACTTTGGGAAGCTTGGATCTTGAGACGTGAGTCTACCTATGCACCCAGCTGATTAAAGCCTCTTCCTTCCTAAAACCGGTGTCCAAGAAGTTTTGTCTGCGACTGGTCCTGCTACACTAGTACTATAAAACAGAAGGCATGTAAATCTGCCCTTCCAGCAATATGAACTGGACATGCTAGGTGGGAAGTGGTGTATCAAGTGAATGAGCTACAGCTGTGACAGTTTAGCATTTTTCTTTGAAACATATGGCTACTTGAGATCATGGGAGTGCTAGAAGCAAGGGGCCAGCAAGTCTGGACACATTCCAAAGGCCAGGAGGGGTTTTACCTTGGACCCTGGACATGTTCGAAGCCCTGCCTCAGCTTCTCTCCCAACACTTAGTGTTTCTCCCAACATGTCCCCCTTTTCTTTTTTGTAAAACTGCCACAGCTATCATTGCTTGTTCTCAATGGCGGCTTTCTCTCCAGCAGTGGCTTCTGCATCTGCAGACTAAAAGAAGACAGCACAAGCACATAATTATTAGAATAAAATCTGCAAGTGTAGAGCTTCCAATGGCCTTAATCCATTTAAGAGGATTGATTGTAGACAACCCATTGGCTGTCTTGTTCAAAGTATCAGTTCCAGGGAGCAGGGCTAAGTGAGCCTGAGAGGCTTCAAAAACCTGCTCTTTTAGTTTTACTATCTTTAGGATGAGATTTTCATCTCTGCCCTCCAGATGGCATTTAAGAGTAACATAACACAACTTCAAATCCAAAAGGTCCTCTTTTTGTTTTTAAATTAATTGAGCAAGGCAATTGCAGGCTGTGCAGCCCTTAATTGCTGGTTGGTGATCCAGCTTCATTTTTCTTAGCCCTTATTCAAAATGGAGTCGCTCTGGTTTGAATGCTTCTTACATATTTCCCCCTTCCCTTTTACAAGAGGACCCTTAATTCTAATGGTTGCAGAAGGATGAAGGTCCATCTTCTGTAACTTCTTCATGCTGAATAGGGGCAATGATATTCCTGCCTAACTATTAGGGTCTCTTGTATTCAGGGTAGAGAGGAGTTCAGTCAGAAAGCATTGGTCTATTAAGCATCCGTTGTACCTCTGAATCCCAGCAAAAGGTAAAACCCTGGTGCTTCAGCAGTTTCTCAGCTTCCTGTGTGGTTTTCTTGATCTAACCCCATGTTATAGGGGTTGATGTCAGCATGACTCTGGTTGGTCCTCGTTCCACATTCACATTCAGATTCAACTGGCTCATGGCTCATACTGGGGGAACCCAGTCCATGGTTTGGATCCATGGGTCCCCCTCATCTCCTGCTCCATGGTTGTACACATCTTGAGGGCACCCACACGGTGTTCATCTCCCGCAAAAACACAAGCATACCCTCACCCCACATTAGTAAATCTAGCAAAACAGAAGCAAAGGCCTTTATTATTACTATTATTATTGCTGAAGCATTTGAAACTCAGCTTCTACCTCTTTGGTTAATTACCGCGGGGTAAAACTTACCATTGATAGCGAGAAACAGGCTTTTTCTGATTAACAGAAGGCATAGAGAAAGCAAACCGAGGCTTGTCCTTCTTGTACAATAGTATAGCAAAAAAGCAATCCTTAAACCTTCAATTTAAAGGTGGGTCCACTAGACGCTGTGGTTCATGATAGATCTTCAGATATTTGGTGGGCACCCACACAGATACCTGATTGTCACCTGGAGAGACACAAGCAAATCCTCTTCCTCATATAATTATCTTTCCTTTTTCCCAACTGTATGTGCATCCCTCCACCATATATCTTGTCCAGCCTTTTTATTTTCCTTTTGTCCTGTCAGGTGTTGTTCAGCTGCAGTCATGTGTTAATCTTATTGTAAATTTAAAAAATTTAATGTTAATAAAGCTAAATGCAGTTGCATATGCTGTGTCTTATATTCCGGTCCCCTCCTTTTTGCTTTTGTATTTGAATTTTTAAAGTACGATTAGCTCTTTCCACCATTGCCTGTCCTTGCGAGTTATATGGAATACCTGTAGTATGGGTAATATTCCATTGTTGAAAATATGTAGCCATGGCTTTACTATAGTATCCTGGGCCATTATCAGTTTTGATTTTTTCTGGGATTCCCATAACTGAAAAGCAAGATAAAAGATGTCTTTTAACATGAGCTATAGCTTCCCCTGTTTGACATGTGGCCCAGATAAAATGTGAATAGGTTATCTACTGAAACATGAACAAAGGACAATTTTCCAAAAGCAAGAATATGTGTTACATCCATCTGCCAGATGGAATTTGGAGCTAAACCTCTAGGGTTAACTCCTATTCCTTGAGGTGGCAGATGCAGGACTTGGCAGGCAGAACAGGGTTGTACAATTTCATTTTTTTTTCTTTTGAGGCAGAGTCTTGCTCTGTTGCCCAGGCTGGAGTGAAGTGGCGTGATCTCGGCTCACTGCAAGCTACACCTCCCGGGTTCACACCATTCTTCTGCCTCAGCCTCCAGAGTAGCTGGGGTACAGGCGCCTGCCACTATGCCCGGCTAATTTTTTGTATTTTTTAGTAGAGACGAGGTTTCACTGTGTTAGCCAGGATGGTCTCGATCTCCTGACCTCGTGATCCACCCGCCTCGGCCTCCCAAAGTCCTGGGATTACAGGCAGGAGCCACCGCACCCTGCTGTACAATTTCTTTAGCTTGTTTCCATGATAGACCACATCTTTTTCTAAGGCCTGCGGCATTAAGGTAGGTTAAAGAATGGAACATTTGTGCATCAGCAAAGACTGCAGACACCAATGCATCCGCCCTTTGATTAAGTTTAGTTAAAGGGCCAGGGAGGTTAGTATGTGCTCTCAGATGAGTGATATAGAGAGGGGAATGCCTTTGTTGTACTGTTTGCTGTAAAGAATGAAATAAAAGATTAAGTTGTTCATCAGTCACACTTCGAATTAAGGCACATTCAATATTTTGTGTGGCTTGCACTGCATAGGCTGAATCAGAAACAATGTTTACTGGCTGTTTAAAAGTTTTTAACACTGTTATCACAGCCATAACTTCAGCCCTTTGAGCAGAAGCAAAGTCAGTTTGAAAAACTTGCTGTTGAGGTCCAGCAAATGAGGCTTTTCCATTACTAGACAGCATTTCCTTTTCTATATTCCTTTTTTGTATATCCAAACTGCCCACAATTAAAGCAAGAGCCTGAGAAACGGGGCATATTCTTCCCCACTTTAAATCCAGCCATAGCCTGAGCTAAAAGAGTAACCTTAAGTAAGTTACCTCCAATGCCATCGCAAGCCTTAATATATTCAGCTAAATGAGTCTTCCCTCTCAGGGGTCTAATAGCAGTTTGACACTCTGCATTAACATTGTGGGATGCAAGAAGCTGTATTACAACATCCTGAGCTGTTTTATCAGTTATGGCTTTATACACAGCCTCTTGGAGCCAAGCAATAAAATCAATATATGGTTCTCTAGGTCCTTGTCAGACAGAACTGAAAGAAGGATATTTTCCCCTGTAACATTTATCCTTTCCCATGCCTGTAAGCACACGGAGTGCAGCTGAAAAATGGCAACATCCTCCGTTACTGCTTGATTCTGTAATCGACCCCAGTTAGGGCCAACTCCCATTAACTGTTCAAAAGAAACAGGCAGAGGTGGCTGTGCTTGTGTGTTTTCCCTTGCCTGAGTTTGAGCTTCATCAGCCCACCAAGTTTTAAACTGTAAATACTGAGACAGAGTGAGAACAGATTTTGTTAAAGTATCCCAATCATATGGTATTAACCTATTACCAAGAGCCACATTTTTTAACAAAGTTTGCACAAAAGGAGAGTTCAGGCCGTAATGACTAATGGCTTGCTTGAATTCCTTTGGTAACTTAAAAGGAAAGTTGGCCCAATTAGCTATATTCTGTCCTTCTTGCTGGGTTATAGTAACTGGAAATTGCCATGCTTCAAGGTCTCCCTTGGCTCTATCTGGCTTTTTGAATAGAATTTTGTATAGCACCACCAATTGCTCCAGGTTTTAATGTTGCAACTACAGGAGCAGTAACTTTTTCACCTAATTCATTTTCTCACCCATTCAGGGGAGAGAGAGGAGGTGGCCACTCACTTAATTCAGCCGGTGGAGCCGACAGGCTAGTAAAACATACTGTAGCTTTCCTTTCTTTTCTTTAATCTCCTCCAGTAGCTGTTCCTCACACTCAGAATCTGAAGTTAGTTTTTTACACTCGTCCTCCTCTTCCTTATCTAAATCTTCCGCATTATCTGTTTGAACGGCTCAAGAACTGCCTTTATTAGTGCCCACATTGACCAAACGGGAACTGGAATTTTTACTCCATCTTTATATGCCTTTTTAAAATCTCTTCCCATTCTCTCCCATTGATCCAACTCCATAGTCCCCTGTTCTGGAAACCATGGGCAAAACTGCTTTACTGTACTAAAGAGTAATAAATTCTGAGTACTAACTTTCACTCTCCCTCTTTGTAATAAATGCCTTAAGAATAAGCTGGCTGGTCGCAGTGGCTCATGCCTGTGATCCCAGCACTTTGGGAGGCTGAGGCGGGTGGATCATGAGGTCAGGAGATCGAGACCATCCTGGCTAACATGGTGAATCCCCATCACTACTAAAAATACCAAAAAATTAGCTGGGCGTGGTGGTGGGCACCTGTAGTCCCAGCTACTTGGGAGGCTGAGGCAGGAGAATGGTGTGAACCCAGGAGGTGGAGCTTGCAGTGAGCCGAGATCACACCACTGCACTCCAGCCTGAGCAACAGAGCAAGGCTCCGTCTCAAAAAATAAATAAATAAATAAATAAATAAATAAATAAACAAATTCAAATAAGCAGAATGTTTGCTTTCACTTTGTCCTCTTGTTCCCCTGGTTCTTCTGAGCACACAGCTTTCCCACAGAGCTTCTTTCAGTCATCCTCGGGTGTCCTCTTATGATGTATCCTCCACTTTCACACACTCTGGTTTTCCTTCACTGGGGTCTTCTTTGCCCCACATTGGGCGCCATGAACGTTGGGGTGATCGGACCCAACACCAGGCCATGGGGGCTATGAAGTCCAGCAGAGTCAAAGGAATGAGAAAAGACAAATTAACAGAGAAAGGGGGACCAGGGGGCCAACGCTAATATGGAGGCTGCAAAGGCCCCAAGCTCTGGGAACCCACGCTATTTATTGGTGATCAAACAAAGAAACAGGTGGTGAGGATGTGGGGGTTGAAAGGAAGCAGTGTATCAAGTGAATGAGCTACATCTGTGACAACTTAGCATTTTCTTTGAAACATATGTCTACTTGAGATAATGGGAGTGCTAGAAGCAAGGAGCCAGCAAGTCTGGACACATTCCAAAGGCCACGAGGAGTTTTACCTGGACCCTGGACATGTTCCAAGCCCGCCTCAGCTTCTCTCCAAACACTCAGCTTTTCTCCCAACAGTGAACAAACATCCTTGTTTGGAAGGCAGCAACTCTGATTCTAAAGTATACTTTTGTGACCCAAATTTACCTTTCTCTCTACCTGAGTTCTCTAAAATTTGGAAACTATTCATGAGTATTCTTATTTTATGGCAGTATAGTTATATTTGCATATGATGGATAAGAATCTGTTTTTTTTTAAACAGGGCACAATTGGAGACATTGGTTATTTTACCAAGGCTTTGATTAGACTAACAAATTTTCAGGTAAAGTTCCAGCAAAGCCTATGTGGCCAAACAATTCTTGCTGCACTTTGTGCAAATAATCAGGTGAAGTACAATAAGGCTAAAACTAATTTTGCACACAGATCAATCTTACTATACTTTCTCTGTAGTAGAAAAGGGGGACTACAGAGAGATAAAAGTTATGTTTCAAAGGAAAACTGTACCACACCTGTTTATACTAGATTCCAGCCCTGACCTTTGTTTTTAAGCTTTGTTATTTGACTAGAATTTGGGCTAACTCCTGAATTATTTCTTGGCTACAATAAGTCTCTAAAGAAGAACTGGGTTGTAATTTTATTCATGATGTTTTAGTTGTTTCCTTAGCGAAATTCCTTTTTTTTTCATTGTGATGCAAAAATTCTCTTTTGATTGTCAAATCACTAATGTTGTCTCTCATTGTTTTACTTCTTTCCAAGACAGCCTGAATCATGATATTCTGAAGACTAGAGATGATTTGACAGAGCCTGCAAATCTCCCTCATTTTGGATCATTCGGCATCCTACTTGGCCTTTCTTAAATTCTTTTTTATTATGAGACAGGGTCTCACTCTGTTACCCAGGCTGGACTCTGTCACTCAGGCTGGAGTGCAGTGGCACGATCATGGCTCACTGCAGCCTCAACCTCCTGGGCTCAAGTGATACTCCTAGGAGCCTCAGCCTTCTGAGTAGCTAGGGCTGCAGGCATGTGCCACCTTGCCTAGCTAATTTAAAAAAAAATTTTTTTTTTTTGTAGAGACAGAGTCTCACTATGCTATGTTTTCCAGGCTGGTCTCTAACTCCTAGGTTTCAGTGATCCTCCTCCTCAGCCTCCCAAAGTGCCGGGATTACAGGGAGTGATCCACCATGCCTGGTCACAAGGGTCATTTTCAAGGCGTAGAATTAGTTCAGAGCATCCAACGCAAGTATGGGCACACAGGTGCCTAAACAGCTAGAAAATTGAAGTACTTTGCCTCCCGGGCCATTATCTGTCTCTTTTTCCATCCATCCCCATGATGGAAAAGTTCCTGCCTCCACCAGAATGAAAAGAGAATTACTGAGGGGATATCAAGATACCTGGTGACAGAGACTTCTGGGTATAGTTGTTCCCAGTTACGAGGCTTATGCAAATAGAGATATTGTTAGAGTGCGTAGCTAGGCAAACATGAATAGGGCAGGAAAGGCCCCTCACACCCAGGAATGTCAGGGTACCATTGTCTGAAATTATTAGAGACCAATGTCTCTCTAAAATAATAATTAGTCACAGCCAGTGCCGGGAGAAGCAGTCTCCCAACAGACAGAAGATACCTGAAGCTGGTGATCAGCAGCTTCCTGATACGAATGCAGAAGTTGGGCAAGTGGGCTCAAACATGCTCACTAAGAGGAAAAATGACAGAGTTTAACTGGTATATGACCTTCCTCTAGGAACACTCAAATGGTAAAGGAAAAATGCCTCGAATGAGCATGTGCACAATTTCAGTAAACACACTGTGCATGTGGCCCTTCCCAGGTGCTGACAAGCCACTGCCCATGTGGACAGCCCACCCCAAGGAAAAATCAAGAGAGGGGAGAAACAAAACCCCAGAAGCATGCCAAACTTATAAGTCCGTCCGGGAGGGAGGTGGGGGGCGCCTCCACCCGGCCGCCGCCCCATCCGGGAGGTGGGGGGCATCTCTGCCCGACCGCCCCTTCTGGGAAGTGAGGAGCCCCTCTGCCCGGCCGCCACCCCGTCTGGGAGGTGTACCCAACAGCTCATTGAGAATGAGCCATGATGACGATGGCGGTTTTGTCGAATAGAAAAGGTGGAAATGTGGGGAAAAGATACAGAAATCAGATAGTTGCTGTGTCTGTGTAGAAAGAAGTAGACATAGGAGATTCCATTTTGTTCTGTACTAAGAAAAATTCTTCTGCCTTGGGATGCTGTTGATCTATGACCTTACCCCCAACCCGGTGCTGTCTGAAACATGTGCTGTGTCCACTCAGGGTTAAATGGATTAAGGGCGGTGCAAGATGTGCTTTGTTAAACAGATGCTTGAAGGCAGCATGCACTTTAAGAGTCCTCACCACTCCCTAATCTCAAGTACCCAGGGACACAAACACTGCGGAAGGCCGCCGGGTCCTCTGCCTAGGAAAACCAGAGACCTGTGTTCACTTGTTTATCTGCTGACTTTCCCTCCACGATTGTCCTATGACACTACCAAATCCCCCTCTGCGAGAAACACCCAAGAATGATCAATAAAAAACAAAAGAAATAAATAAAAATAAATTTAAAAAAAGAAAAAAAAAGGAAAGTGGATTTTATACAACAGCTGGTGAAGACCAGCTCAGTGGCTGGACCGAGAAGCTTCAAAGCACTTCCCAAAGCCAAACTTGCACCAAAAAAAAAAAAAAAAAAAAAAAAAAAAAGGTCATGGTCACAGTCACTGGCAGTCTGCTGCTGGTCTGATCCACTACAGCATTCTGAATCCTGGTGAAACCATTACATCTGAGAAGTATGCTCAGCAAATCGATGAGATGCATAGGAAACTGCAACGCCTGCAGTCAGCAGTTGTCAACAGAAAGGGCCCAATTCTTCTCCACAACAACGCCTGACCACATGTCACACAACCAACGCTTCAAAGTTTGAATGAATTGGGCTACAAAGCATTGCTTCATCTGCCATATTCACCTGACCTACCACCAGCTGACTACCACTTCCTCAAGCATCGACAACTTTTTGCAGGGAAAACACTTCCACAACCAGCAGTATGCAGAAAATGCTTTCTGAGAGTTCCTCAAATCTGTAAGTGTGGATTTTTACACTACAGGAATAAACTTGGTCTTGCTGGCAAAAATGTGTTGATGGTAATGGTTCCAATTTTGATTAATAAAGATGTGTTTGAGCCTAGTTATGATTTAAAATTCATGGTCTGAACCCAAAATTACTTTTGCACCAACCTAATAGTTGGGAGGAGAGCCAAAAACACCTAAGAAAAAGGCAGAACATAGACCAAAGGGAAAATATCAGAGCCAGAAAACTTCCAAGCTTTTTGAAAGAGTAAGATGCCGGGAAATTTGCAAAATGGCCACAGAAAAATACCCTCCAGAAGGGAAAAGCAGGGTGAGAAACCCTAATCAACCTGTAAAGCAGAGATTTCAGAATCTCCACAAAGTTTCAGGCCATAATCTTCGTACCCTAAAACCCTTCCTTTGGCCATCTGCTCAAAGAAAGATGGGGAAGCTCCATGACATTATGCCATGGTTTTCTGGGCCATAGAGCTGGGCTAGATCAGTAGAAATTAAATGCTGTTCCAGGACTGTGGCAATTAAGTGAAAGATTTCATTGGCCCATAGCAAGTGAGAAAAATACGGCAATGCTGTTGTTTTGTAAAGACAGCTATCCAACTTAAAGCATTGTCCCTCATTACAGGACCACATACACCAAACATTCCTCAAAATGTCTGGGGAAATGAGAGTCATAGAACCAGTATCCTTCACCTGGCTTTGCATCTATGGGACAGACACAAATGTGTCTATGGCTGGCCTATCCAGCCAGTACCTTAGTTCCAGTTTCTTTTGGGCTCTGGTCAGGCAACCTTAAGCTCCCCTCTTCCAGTTAGCATCAACAAGAGCAAATTCCTTCAACCATGCAGGAAAGGGTTCCCGGACCCAATAGTCAACTACCAACCTTGTTCCCCTTAAACTCTGGAAACTCACAGCTATTTTTCAATGCCTGCTTTACAGCCCCAAATATATATATATATATATATAACAAACCTGACTCCCTCAGAAGCCCACATTCTGATAACTCTTTTGTACTTTGCACAAAAGTTTTTTTTAAACCTGCACAATAGCACTTCCCCCAGAAAGGCTTTCTCGTCAAGGGGTAAAAACCTAGAAGCTTTGTGTTCTGTCCCATCCCCAGCCTCGGCAAAGACCCTTAACCTACACCTAAACACTGATATCTTCTCTACATGGGTATTTATTCTGCGGACCTCAGGCTTCCTGGACTAAAGCAACTCATAAATGAGACAATTTTTTTCCTTCAGTTTCTTTTCATTATTTGGGGATAAGAGTGTTTCTTTTTTGTGTTATGTATTTTCCAAATCTCTCACAACGACATTTTCTTCCTTTTCTACATAGCATGAGGGCTGAGAAAGCCCAAGGTGAGTTGCAGTTGGACAGCCCACAGCTGTATACAAGGCACTTCAGGGAGAGGAGGGGTGGTAACGTTGTCCCTCCCACTGTGCCTGTGATTGTGCCACAGAGCACAAAGGAAGCCTCCCATCCCTGACTCACTTCAGACTTCTGTCCAACACCTGTAACACCATCCCAGTTACCACCCAAAGAGAAGTCTCAAGAGAGTCCTGAATCCCTTAGCCTGTATGTGACAGCTGGTCTTTTACCCTTAGCCCAACAGCCTTCTTCAGAGTCACCCAAAAAGCTCTTTCAATTACCATCAACCTAGGAACCGACATTTTCACGGGTCTATATCCTCACCCAGGACGGGGCCAACTGGGGCTCCATCTTTCAGCACGTCACTCCAAAAGGGCAGCTCCGGGCCCTATATTGAGTGACAGCAAAGGCTCTCAACTAGCACCCCAAGGAGAAAAGTTCTTAACACCACTGCCACACTCCTCATGTCACTATCTCATTTTCTGGTCATAATCCAACCTCCCACAGAACTGATACCTCTGCAAGCTCCCTTTCCACCTCTGATCTGAGGTCAAAAGTTTGTTGGTCTCCTCAGATTCTCTCTCAATTGGAGGAAAGGACAACACGTAGGATACTTGAGAGAGTTCAACCTCAGGTTCCCACTAGAATCCAACACTCTTTACCACCTAGTCCAGCAGCACAGAGCACAGGATTTCAGGGTGTGGGGACAAATAGCACATCCTAAATTCAGGCATTTTGGTGATGTTAAAATGGAGGGGAGAGCTGAGAGATCAAAGAAGCAAATCACCAAACACGACTTTCCTGTATAATCGACATTACGTGTCTAGCGTCCTGACATTTGGAAAAGGGTCTAACCATGAAGAGGCCATTTGCAGCGAGCAGCTGCCTAACAATGAATATCACCTATTCCCCTCAGTCCCAAGATTCCTCCTACTCTGACACCAGTCACCAGACCCACATTCCCGAAGCGTACTGAATTGGGATTCAATATCAGCAAGACTGAATCCCAAATTCTTAACCGCCTTGAAAATTATACCTGAACTACTGTTTAATTACCTCTGTAACATTGTTCCTGAATTCCAGGACTGCTTACAGTGACGAGGCACTAATTCAGGAGAAAGGAAGAGGTCATATTTTTTTCTAATCCCAGGCTTGCCCATCCCCACTCTCGTTTCCTTTATGTTCCCAACCACTGTGATGAATCTTCTCTAATTACTGCCACCAAGAATGCTGCTATTTGTATATAGGTTTAACCTATTCGAAAAATGGGTTTTAAGAACAAACCCTCGCCCTTCCCCAAAATTTTAAAGGTAGTCCTTCGTTCAGGTTCCCTGTTACCAGGAAACTTTCTCACTTTCCTAGTTCTGGTCTCAGGAAAAACACCTTCCTCCCATCCCACAATGCCCAGTAACTTGGGGGAGTCCACATCCAGATGCAGTTCCAAGTCAGGCCCACAGCGTTTGCTCTCATTAACCAACTACAGAGCTTTTGCGCAGCTCACACACCCAACTTAACCTGCAAGCCAGAAAAAGGCTGCAACAGCTAGAGAGCAAAGTATAGTGCCCCACCAGGGAGGGAAGTCACCAAAGGCCATAGTCTTTTAATTTTTTAAACTTAATAACACACTTGTTAAATGACTTCTCTAATGACATCAAAGTGACTTAAAAGTCATTTCAAGAATTGTCTTTCCTGTCTCATGCAGGATGGTAACACCCATGTTTATATCATTATGAGAGCCTGAGAGGACTTTGATAGGGAAAAGAAAGGAACAGAAAGAAAATAGTTATGTCGTGTGTGGTAGAAGCCCCTTAGGCTTGTCTGACTTGGCAGAATCTGTCACTTGGGCACAAAAAGGCTGGGTCGGTGGAACTCTAATGGGTTCTTGACTTCACTAGATGGATGACTAGGATCCCAGGGAGTCGCTTAAAGAGCAGGAAGCATGTCTGCTCCCCTCTGGTTGTCAGAAAATCTGCTTAAAAATCCTCAGCTTTGAGCTGAAGAAAAGTGGCCTGCGAGGTTGGCAGCTGAAGCTCAGTATTCATGGGTGGAACCGTAAACTTCACCCAACTTAACATTCACTGTACAGCCCCTTCTTCCCGTGACAAGAGTTTTCATATTTTCTAGGGGTTTATCCAAAAGCTGCCCCACAGGCCAGATGCACTGTTTAACAAGGCTTCCGCGGCTTCTACCTTACGTCATCCAAGAAGGCGTTTTTTTTGTTTTTGTTTTTTTTTCCTAAGGCCACTATCACCACAAGAATATACGACTCGCCTGGCCAACATGGTGAAACCCTGTCTCTAATAAAAATACAAAAAAATTAGCCAGGCGTGGTGGCGCATGTCTGTAACCCCAGCTACTCGGTAGGCTGAGGCAAGAGAATCACTTGAACCGGGGAGGCGGAGGTTGCAGTGAGCCGAGATCGCGCCACTGCACTCCAGCCTGGGTAACAAGAACCAAACTCCGTCTCAAAAAAAGAAGAAGAATATATGACTCAGCTACAGTTCCAGGTCTCAGTTAACAGTTTAGGTTTGGGGATGTCCCACCCTCCAGAGCTCCAGTGGGCGTCCTCCTGCATGGGGGCCCCTACTAAATAAACACCAGCCCCCGCCATCTGGCCCTAACGGAAGGAGGACGCGAGGCGGGAAATCAACGCCCTTTAACGGCTGCGTGGGGGGTGGTCTCCCGCGCCCGCCGCCAGGGGTTTCCGGGCCTAACGGGCCTTCCGGGGCGGCGCCAGGGGCCCCGCTGGGCGGTGGGTCAGAGGAGCCGGGCGTCCTAACCCCTCCTCCGTGGCGGGGTGCAGGGAGGAGCCCCAGCCGCGGGCGCCCTGCCCTGCCCTCCCCTGCCCTGCCTGGTGGGCTTCGGCGGTGGCCCCCAGCTCCACACACGGCCGCAGGGTATAAACACGGGGCGCATGGGTTCCCTGAGATTCGCCTGAGTCTGGGCCCAGCGAGGCACGCTGTTCGCGGGGGGCCCTCCTCCCCTGTCCCCCTTCCAGTCGCATGTCTTCCGGTGACTTTGAACAATGTCACTCTCCCGGGTCACCATGGCCGGGGTGGCGGTCTCTCCCTGCGCAACGCTCCTCGGAAGTGAAGCCATCTCCCCGTCCCTCTGCCCTTACTCACAGGCCCTGCTACCGGGCCTGTCCTTCCCCTGCTTGGAACCCTCTAGGTGTCCCCTCAGCCATCTGGGGCTGAGCCCACTTGGCTCTCCTGCCGTCTCCCCAGGAGGCAGCTTGTTCTGAAGCGCCTGCGTCTAGTAACCTGTCGCTGCCTTGCTTCTAGCGCCTCTTAGGCCTTTCTGATGTCTTCTCTGCTGTATCTCCCCTGCCTCTTAGCCTTTATGTTGAAACTCTCCCAGGTTCAAAGGGTTTTTGCACCGGGAAGCCATACTCACCACTATTTGTGTTGTTTTGGGCTCAATTTATTAAACTCATACATCTGATACCATCTCTAAAAGCATTTTTTAATTGAGCGTCTACTCATTAATTCCTCGTTTAATTATAAATATCCCTACATTATTTAGATTACAATCACAAAGTGAGTATAGTTGAGTTCTTTGAACACTTTAATGACTTAAACAGTAGACACAACATACACTACACAACTTTACAAAGTGATTTACAAAAACTTCACTGGTTTTATACTCGCCCAAAAAGGCAACAATTAAACTTTGTTTCTTACACTTATCCTTTAGCAGGGCAGAGGGAGACATATGACCAAATGGTGACAATTTATTTGTGATAGATGATACGAGGGTTTTGCATTGTCCTTTTATTTGTATTTTTCACATAGTAGGGTTTTGTTTTTTTGGTGAGTTGTTTTTTTGTTTTGTTTTGTTTCGTTTTATTTTTTTTGAGACTAAGTCTTGCTCTGTCGCCCAGGCTGGAGTGCAGTGGTGTGATCTCGGCTCACTGCAACCTCCTCAGCCTCCCGAGTAGCTAGGATTACAGGCGCCCACCACCACACCTGGCTGATTTTTGTATTTTTAGTAGAGACGGGGTTTTGCCCTGTTAGCCAGGCTGGTCTTGAACTCCTGACCTCAAGTGATCCGCCAACCTCGGCCTCCCAAAATGCTGGGATGACAGGCATGAGCCACTGCGCCAAGCCCAGATTTTTAAATGTATTTTACATTTTAAGATGGGCAGATACACGAAGAGATTTTGGAAACAGGGAAGAACAGACCAAGACCTTTGACCATCTAATTAAGTCTGTCGGCCCTTCTGGGGCCCCTCCTAATGCCCCCAGGCCTTTTCCACACAGTGCAGTTCTGACAGAAAGCGGGAGAGGCATGTAAGCTTAGGGGAAGCTGAGGGAGACTGCTGCGGACAGGGCTGGTGGGGGTTCTGCCATGGTTTGGGAGGCAGAGGAACCTATTTGATTATATAATACCTCTCCAACCGAGGAATCAGCCAACCCTGCACATTGGTGTGTGTGTGAGGAAAGCAGGTATAGAAGTGAACAGGGAGGAACTGCCCAGAGTCACAAAGGGCTCCCCCAACCCTTATTCTCATCAGTCTTCTCCTCTATTCTGTTCTTTTCTTGGTCGCCTTTCCCATTCAACAATAAGTGTAAGGCCAGACTCCAAATAAAGGCCGCTAAAGTATTCAAAATAATTGTGGAGAGTGTAGAAGTTGAGACATTCGGCTTTGAAATCAGAGAGACAGCTTTTGTGTAAGCTCTCCCACCTATTAGGTGTGCGACGCTGGGAAAGCAATCTAAACTCAGAGCCTCTGGTTTTTCATCTCCACATTAGTGATGCCATAACTTGTAGGGACGACCATCCATCACAGCGCCTGTCGAGGTCAATGCTCAGCTAACGAGAGCTAGCAATGCTCCTCCTGCATTTCTACCAGCGTCCAGCCCGGATGCCTCTAGTTCCCTTTAGCACGTGCATGTCCTATTCTCATCTGCTTCCTGGACTCAAGTATGAGGGAGTGGAGCTAAGATGTTTTCCTTTCCAAAGCGCCCTTTGCAGACTGTGAGGAAGGATGGGTGCTCCTGACCCTTACAGCCCGTTCAGGTGTGCTGGGGTCCAAGGTCCCAGGTCTCTGGAGGAGTTTGCCCAGAGCTGGAGTCCACCTTCACCCAGAGGGCATGGAGGGTCTTGCTCAGGCTCTGACCCAACCTCCTAAGGAGTGCCCAGCTGAGGGCCAAATGTAAGAGGCCCTCCCATTCCCAATCCCATTCTGACCTGACTGTCTCCGCACACTTCTATACTCCCTAAGAGGAAATACTTGATTCACAAGACCCCAGGGTACTGTCCACTCCTCCCCAGTCCAAATCCCACCTCCTCCACAACAAGAAGGCCCCAATCTGGAAGCCCAGTCTGACTGGGAGCTCTGCCTGAAGCCCTGCCTCTCCATCAGGGGCCCTTCATCCACCCTCCGTGACCACCATATCCCCCACCTTGACCTCTCCTCCTTCCCCTGCTGTGACCCTTCAGGGCACTCTTCCCTATCTTGCCTTTTCCCTTCTCCCATGCATGTCTAGGACACAGCGCCTCACCAGGCTTTGGCGCTGGAGAGCTTCTGTACCTGCTGAGGGACACTCCTACCAGGAAGAGTGGCCCCACAGTCAAATGTCATCCCTCAACTTCTCCTGGGCACATTTCACTATTTCTTATACCCTTCTCCCCCATGCCCTGGGGCAGCCCTTTATCCTTTCACTCCCAAATCTGTCCCCATCTGACCTTTTCTGAGAGGTCTGATTACAGGTACACTGAGAGAGACAGCTCCAGCTTTAAAAGTGGAGCTTTGAGTGTCAGTAACTGGGGATTGTCAGAGCTAGCCTAGCAATGGAGACAGGGACTTTGGGCCCTTGGAGTCTCATTCTCAGGTCTGAGCCCACTATGCTTGTTTGCCCCCAACCAGGTGTGCCTCAGTAGCTGGGTATAAACATGAGACATGTGTCTCCCTGGGACGACTGTGAAATTTGTGGGTTTGTGGTGGGGGGCATGTAGAGGAATATGCCTTTTTATTTACTAGTAAAGAATACGTGTCTGATCATGAGTGTTACAAACTGGGAGGTAATTATGAGCAGAATGGGAAAATAGAGTAGAATTTCTAAATCAACAGGGGACACAGGAGAGAATAAATGGAAAAGAAGGAAAAGCAAAAAAAAGGATATAGTTAAATAAATGGTAAACATAAAATAAGATGAAAAAATAAGAGGGAGTATAACAATTATTTTATGAAATGTGAGTAGGCTGAATTTTTCAATTAAAAGAGACTACATTATTGGGTTTTGTTTTTTCTAATATATTATTTAATATATTGTTGAACAAGAAATATACTTAAAACAAAATGCTTCCAAAGCAGTTGATGAAAATAAAGTAGTTGACAAAGCCAAATACACACACACACACATGCAGAAATAGTAGTAGTAGTATTTTATTAGGCTAGGTTGAATAAATTATGTAAAAAATATACACACTACACAATCCAGCAGCTATGTGTTTTAATAAGCAAAAACTATTAGACATGCAAAGAGAACCTTGATTTTAAAAACACAACTCAGGCCGGGTAGGGTTGCTCACGCCTGTAATCCCAGCACTTTGGGAAGCCGAGGTTGGAATATTGCTTGAGGCCAGGCATGTGAGACCAACCTGGGCAATGCAGTGAGATCCTGTCTGTACAAAAAAAAAAATTTTTTTTACTTAAAAAAATTAGCTACTTTGGAGGCTGGGGTGGAACAGATCACTTGAGCCCAGTAGTTCAAGGTTGTAGTGAACTGTGATTGCACCACTGCACTCCAGCCTGGGTGACAGAGCAAGGCCCTGTCTCTGTCTCTCTCTCTGTCTCTCTGTCTGTCTCTCTCTCTCTCTCTCTCTCTCTCTCTCTCTCTATATATATATATATATATATGACACACGCAATTCAGTGGGAGATTTAAAAATACCTTCTAAAGGATCCCTTTTGTGTTTGTTGTTTCAAAATTAAGACAAAATAATCTTAGAATTTTAGTGTAAATGTCTAAAATAGCTAACAAAATCATGGAAACAGAGACTACTGTGAGAGTCTTATCTCACCAATGTTGCATAAGTTCCTCAAGAGAGCTACTGGATGAAGAAGGGCTTAAAGCACAGGACTGTCCTGGGCACTGCTGTATACAGAATGGAGAGGGTAATTCTGAGCTTTTGACTGCCTGGAGAACTGGTATAGGATCAGCTATGAGAAGCTGACTTTGCCAGAAGAGAGACCAGGGCAGGGTGAGCCCTGCTGGAGGCTCTAGTTGGTGGTGGTGAAGCCAGCAATAGAAACTTGAAAAAGTACAGGGCTGTGTTAGTCAGTTCATGAAAAAGTATAGGGCTGTGTTAGTCAGTTCATGAAAAAGTACGGGGCTGTCTTAGTCAATTCTTGTTGCTATGAAGAAATAACTGAGACTTGGTAATTTATAGAGAAAAGAGGTTTATTTGGCTCACTGTTCTGCAGACTGTACAAGAATCATGCTGCCAGCATCTGCTTCTGGTGAGAGCCTCAGGAAGCTTTTACTCATGGTGGAAGGCACAGGAGGAGGCAGCATATCACGTGGTGAGAGTGTGAGCAAGAGAGAGGGAGGAGGTGCCAGACTCTTTTCAACATCCAGATCTCATGTGAACTCAGAGTGGGAACTCACACATTACCAGGAGGACAGCACCAAGCCATTCATGAGGATAGTGACCCCATGACCCAAACACCTCCCACTAGACCACACATCCAACTTTGGGGATCACATTTCAATATGAGATTTGAGGAGGACAAACATTCAAAGCAT
Organism: Homo sapiens; assembly: GCF_000001405.40. Classification (NCBI taxonomy): domain Eukaryota; kingdom Metazoa; phylum Chordata; class Mammalia; order Primates; family Hominidae; genus Homo; species Homo sapiens. The sequence goes on from NC_000015.10 coordinate 62,229,275, forward strand.
ATCAAAGGCTCAAGCCCTCTCTAGGATTGGGGAACATGCAAGGAGAAAATGACATATGAATTGGCTGGGCAACATTCAACTATTCATTAAACAAGCAGGTACTACAGGTGGGATAATAGGCTATCATTTCTGCCAGGCAAAAATGTAGTTTTTCTTTGGCTGCCACTACTAAAGGAGACATTTTTCTTTAAAAGAATATATAAACTTCCCAGCTTGGACTTTAAGGTGCTTGGAACTGATTAGGTCCTCTCAGAACCCAGCCCATGGCCCTAACTCACAATTTCTCAGATGCAGCCAGAAAAGCGAGGTTGAAGGTGCTGTCTGTCATCGAGGACTCATTCTACATCCCTATCCTATACATATATGTGAATAAAGCCTCCTTATGTAGCACTATCTATAGGTCAGTAATATGTACACATGTATACACACATACATACACACATATATTTACACATATGTAGATATACATGAAAGAAACATTTCAACAAATTTTTTGTGAATAAGAATGAGATATTGTGCCTCCCTTTGAAAAATGCTTGATGTTGATATTGAACATGGGTAAGGGTTATCAATATGTGATTGGCTTTATCTAGGTTTCCTGCCTGTAATTGGAGTCACCAAGATGGTTATCAGAAGGACCCCCATGAAACTCCTACTCAACCTCACCTTCTTCCATGATTTAAAAAAATAAAGACTGACATGAGAAGTTTCAGAAGAAATACCCTCAAGGGTGTTTCTTGGGACTTGGAGGAGGAGGCATTAGTATTTGGGTTTGTAGAATCCCCAAATCAGGCAGAAAAGAGCCAACGTTTCAGAAGATGATGTGGGGAGAGAACAGTTGGTAGGGAATGATGCCAAAAGCACTCTTCTCACTATATTCTGTTGAAGGAAGGTCATCCTTTGCCTTCAAAGAGCAAAGTCCAATGGGGGAGACACAATATGTAAACAGGCAAATTCAATGCACATGACCATCGCTTTCACAGCAATATGGGCTGGTGGAAGTACACGCAAGACACACCTGGGCCAGGGGCTGTTTTCCTAGAGGAAGCTGTGTCTGAGGCTTGAAAATGAGGGGGAGTTAACTGAATAGTGGGTTTGGGGTGGCAAAGTCTTTCCAGTGGAAGGAACAGTACCTGTGAGGGGTGGAGCACATTTAGGGAAAAAATAAAGTTCCTTATGGCTGCAGCACTGCCTCAGGGGGCAGCAGTGGCAAGAGTGGAAGTGAAGACAGATGCAAGGGCCTTTACACCACGTTACAAAAGAATGGATTTTATCCTGGGGTCATGAGCTCTTTTCCCCGTTTTAGCCTCCTAAAAAAAAATAGGCAAGAATCAGACACAGACACACCCTCAGCAAGATACAGCCAGAAAGAGTAACCTGAGAAGAGTCCAGAGACAAGGAGATGGTGAAAGAAGGAAAGCCAGGCCCCAAAAAGCAGCTCCAGCAGCAAAAAGGTCACGTGGATGGTGGGCAGATGGGTGGGGAGACAAACAGGCCAGGAGACAGTAGCAGAGAAAAGAGCAGTGAAAGGCAAGGGATCTAAAGGGAGAGGGTAAGGGAGAGGGTGTCAGAGAGCCCCCCAAGACGCCAGAGTCACAGGCAGATTCAGACACTGAGGCTCAGACCCTGCTGAGCACCCAGGGGCTCTCTTCTCTTCTCTGACCTTAGGGTTGGCTCTCTTGGCAGACCAGTCCTCTCCCTCCATTGTCAGCTTCAAGAGAAGGGAAGAAAGACGTCTGCAAGTGTTCGTGTTTTCAGAGGGGGAAACAGAATAAGTCCCAGTCAGAAGGGTTGACTAAATGGGCCAGGGGTGGAAAAGTAGAGAGAAAATTTTGTTTCAGGAACATTGAGGGAAGAAACAATAAGCCCTCCTGTCCCCTCTCTCCAGGACCAAAAGTGGTCTTCAGTAGCTGAACCAATACCATGGAAGAAAATTTGAAAGGAAGAAAAAAAAGAAAGCTGACGGGAAATGGAAGTATTGTAAGAGACATTTCCAGTCACCTTGGAGAGGTGCAGGCATTAGAGCTCAGAGTCTCTGGCCAGACTGCCAGGGTTCAAGTCTTGCTATTATACCAGCTATGTGACATTGAACAAGTTACTTACAATCTCCATTTCTCAGTTTCTTAAGTGTAAAGTGAGGATGAAACAATAGTACCTACCTCATAGAGATGTTGGTCAGGTAAAAAGAGTTCCATATTTGTAGACTGCTTCAATAGTTATCTGTTGCACAGCTATCAATATAGCTGTTATTATTATTGCTCCTTTTTCCAGGCATGGCCTCTCCTGGTACCCACTGTGATGTCATATACTTTCAAAGGCCCCATCAGGGCTTCTCTGACCTAGTAGAGAGTGACAAACCCACTCCAGGTGTGTTTCATTAAAGAAGTTATTCCTATTTAGTTGTGGCTTGTGGAATTTGATTCCCAGAAATAAATTTGAAAAGTCTTGGAAAGTGTGACTACTTTGTTAGCAAAGTGTGGCTGGGTGGGATTGGCATTAGGGCTAAAAGACCTTTTCAGACTCTTGATCTTTGAGGGTCCCTACTGTTGCCTCAGAGTGTAGCCAAACAAGAGCCAGAGGGCCTGAGAATTGTCACTGGTGGGGTGACAGAGATTTGCTCTCCTAGTGCCGCTCCACAGTGGGTTTTAGTAAACTTCTTGAAAGAGCTTGGAACAAAATTGCCACTGGGGACCATAAGACTAACTGCTGCGCAGCCACAGAACTGAAAGATGAACTCTGAGCTGTTCCACCTGGCAGGGAAGCAAGGCTTATGGATGAGGGGCCTTGTGGGAGCTGAAGAACGCAACAGATGGTGGCAGCCCCCTCCAGCAGGAGAGTCCTGGGAACAGCCATGTCTGTGAGCTCTTTGTGGCTGATGCTATGTGGCATAAGTTTGACCCAGCTCAATGTCTAGAATATAGTACTCTTTAAATGTCTGCTGAATGACTGAATGAAAAGAGGTGGCTGAGGAAAGCATATGCTGAGAGGATCCTCTAGAAGCCTCCCTGATTAATAATGATCAGCTACTCCCTGAGACCTTGAAGAAGAAGACAGTGCTAGAAGCTGCTGCCCAAAATATCTAAAAGCCCGCAGAATAAATCTATGGCCTCCACTAGGGCCCATAAGTGGAAATTTGGAAAACCTTGATAAGTCCCATAGTTCCCGCAAGGGACTCCTTGAAATCTTAACATAAACTATCTAAAACCTCTAAAAGGAAGTCTTGGAGCCCCTGCTGAAATCCTTGGAGAAACCCTCCCAGGAAGCCTTGGAGCCCTGTCTGAAGCCCTGGAAACACAGCCAGGAGTGATGGACAACCTTTTGGGGCTGAGTCAGTCGCATGTGTGTATTAGGGTACTGGGCTCTGCCTTTGTAGCAAGAGTAGGAGGTGGGGAGGAAGGTCACTGTTGCTTTGTTTTAATATCATTGGCTTTGTCTCAGCTACCTAGACCCAAAGAGACTGGTCAAAAAGGAGAGGCCAGGGAGCTTCCAAGTATTTGATCAAGATAGTGGGCTTTGGAAATATTGACTCTTAGTGGTGGTCAGCTGTGGGGCTTGAAACCATTTTTTTCTAGTTTTTAAAAATTTTTGTTTTTTTTGTTATTGTAGTCTTCTTTTATTTGTGTTTTCTCCACATATGTATTGAAACCACTTCTTGATAGTTTTTTGTTGAAAGATGTTAGAATCTAGGAGAGCCTGCAGGCAGCCAGGTCAGGGCACAGATTTTGACAAACACGAGTACTATCTAATCATTTGTGACCCACTGGGGCCCAACAACAACAACAACAACAAGTTGTTCTTTGATCACAAATAGATGATTGAAGTAGTTCTGCTCATGTACTCAGATGGCTTCTTTCTCCAGGCCTCCCTAGAAAAGATTTCTTTGAATGCACTTAGCTGTGAAAGGAAGACACACAAACATTCAAGTGCTGAGATTATGTCAGAGACAAATACAGAAGCAGATTCAAGAACAGCTTCAGAACAAACAAAAAATGTAGATTGATACCATAGCAGAGGGAAAGAGAAGAAATGAATCTGAAAAAGAGATGAAAAGAAGGCAGTGAAGACACAAATCAAAACTCACAGTATCAGAAATGAGCAGACAAGAAGAGCACTGCTATCAACTGGAAGATAGTCATTCAGACAAAATATAGCCCAATATAGTCATTCAAACAGACAATATAGCCCAATATAGTCATTCAAACAGACAATATAGGCATCTCTGGTATAGTTGGTGAGCTTCTTTAGAAAAAATCTCTTTCTATAATTCTGAGAGAAGAAAAATGAGATATGAGAAAAGTAGTTTAAGGGATGTGTCTGAAAGGAGCAGAAATGGAAAGAGACAAGGATATATTGGGACCAAATAATAGAAAATTGTTTTTCTCCTTCTTCTCTCCCACTCAGCTCCACCCCCAAAAGTGTGGAACCCTAAACCCAAGTTCCCAGATACCAGCCAAGGTATCCTTTTCAAGGATAGCAGTCTCAGGCCTACTATGTTAACTCTTCTCTGCACAAGTTGCTTCTGGTGAGTCCTAGCTGATGTGCTCCCAACTAGCCTTCCTTTCCAATCCAGCTAAAAAGTTACAATCCAGCTCTGGCCTTGGGCACCATTTAAGTGACCTGAAACAGTGTAGGTGATGCTGAGTGGCTTTGTTGTAGGAAAATGAACAGAAATGCTCCCAAGCTGACTTAAAATGGAGAAAGTTCCTAGAGTTACTTCTGAAACCTGACACCCCTCAACCTCACCCCTACTCCTAAACTCACAGCCCCTCCATGGCCTGATAGAAACAGGTCTTGGACCTGGCTGCCTTAGGGTGGGATTCCTCTGGTTGGTAGCTTCTGCCCTGCATGACTGGGAGCCTCCTCTCAGTGTCCTCAGTAGGTTAGGGCTGGGCTCGGTGGCTCACGCTTGTTATCCTAGCACTTTGGGAGGCTGAGGTGGGAGGACTGCTTCACCCCAGGACTTTGAGAGCAGCCTGGGGACTTGGGAGGCTGACACAAAAGGATTGCTTGAGCCCAGGGGGTTGAGACTCTAATGAGCTATGATTGTGCCACTGCACTCCAGCCTGGGTGACAGAGCAAGACCCCATTTCAAACAATCAATCAGTCAATAAAAATCAGAAGATCAGCTTGTGAAATGGGGGATTGTATTCTTGCAGTGCCCTCTTCCCACCTCTTGGGTACTCAGGGCTATCCCTTTCTACTGCATCTCCAATATCAATCATCCAGAAGGATCTAGGATCATACTGATATTAAACAAGCTTGAAAACGATATGAATAGTTTTTTTAAGGCTAGGCTATTCCCCCACGATGAGCTCTAGAGGTGAGCTTCCACCTGCAGTCCAGGGACTCAGCCATTCTGCTTCCCACCTGAAGATCACACTGATGGAGTGGGATTCCTATTGGTTTCCCTACCTCTCCCTGGAGGGATGAATGTTCATTCTCCTGGTTGGCAAAAGGGCTGGGCAAAGATGGAGCCATCATGGCATTTATCGCTGGAGTCATCCTTGGGGCAGATCTAATTGTCAGCAGCTCTGTCGCCTAAAATCAGACAAGGAATGGCTGGAAATTAGGAGTTAAAGGCAATTCAGTGGCTATTACAAAAAAGTCAAAAAATAAGAGATGCTGGAAAGGTTGTAGAGAAAATAATGCTTATACACTGTTGTTGGGAGTGTAAATTAGTTCAACCATTGTGAAAGACAGTGTGGCAATTCCTCAAAGACCTAAAGACAGATATAACATTTGATCCAGCAATGCCATCACTGGGTATATACCCAGAGGACTCTAAATTGTTCTGTTATAAAGATACATGCACACGTATGTTCATTGCAGCACTATTCAGAATAGCAAAGACATGGAATCAACCTAAATGCCCACCAATGATAGACTAAATCAAGAAAACGTGGTATATATATATATATATACACACATACCATGGAATACTATGCAGCCATGAAAAAGAATGAGATCATGTCCTTTGCACGAACATGGATGGAGCTGGAGGCCATTATCCTTAGCAAACTAATACAGGAACAGAAAACCTAACACCACATGTTCTCACAAGTGGGAGCTGAACGATGAAAACACATGGACACATACAGAAGAACAACACATACTGAAGCCTATCGGAGGGTTGGGGTGGGAGGAGGGAGAGGATCAGGAATATGGGTATATGGGTTCTAGGCTTAATACCTGGCTGACAAAAAAAAAAAAATCTGTACAACAAACCCCCATAACACAAGTTTACCTATGTAACAAACGTGCACATGTACCCTTGAACTTCAAAGTTAAAAAATAAAAAATAAATACATTATAGCAATTTAAAATGTGAAAACTTGATTGAAATACAATTCTTCTGGTATTTTTTACAGTTATTTTGTTTAGGTTTAGGAGTTAGAATTTCCCTAGATATATCTATCTTATGAGAATTCAAGAGTTTGTGGTAAGACCAAAATCAGATTTTAGGGGAAAATAGTAAGGGACAGGGAGACCTCATAGCAGTCAAATCTGTGGGATCCAGGATTGGGACCAGAAACACACTCCTTGATGGGTTTATGTTGAAAGGTTTAGAGCTGGGGGCTGCAACCATTCAGAAATTTAGATTCCCAAAAATGCCCTATACTCCTTCCCCTGCTGATGGAAACTGGGAAAGCCTTAGTGTAGCATAGCCAGAACCTGAAAACTAAACATCATTTGGAAGAGAGATTTTTCTAGTGTCTTTTCTGAATCCTATGTCTTGTGACTTGTGCTAGGTATGTCTGAGCATCCACCTTTTTTAAGGGGAATTTGCATCCTAATTGTAGAAGGCAAACTCACTGTTTGCTTGGATCCCCCTCCCAGAATTCACCCTGGGCTCATTTGTACAATGCGGAAGTTTGTTTATAGCTCCCTTGGCCTACATTTTGTGCATGTTTTGCCCTTTTTAAAGAACCTCTTCCCCTGTACCTCTGACCTTCCTCTTCTTTCTCTCCTTCTTCTCACAACTTACTCATGTAGAGATAAAAGATCTGACCATTTATATCCTAGAGTGTTTAATGTTTAAGAAGGTCCAGGCTCTTCACCTAAGGAAATGAAGCTGATATACTCAAATGCATTATTAGCAGGGTTTAGTTTACTTACCTCTTTAACAAAGTGAGGCTTTCCTGATGCTCCTTAAATTCCCAAAATGCTGTCACAGAGACATGTTCCCATTGGTCAAGGAGCCTCTCAATAGTTCATAACAAGCCCCTAAGGATGGTAGCTCTTTTCCCTATTCTCTAGGTCAGAATCTGACAAGAGTCCAGGGAGGTCAGTATTCTTGATCCACAGATACTGTGGCATGGGACAAATAGACATTGCAACCTCATCTTGACTTAAGCTAGTGTGTTCTGCCTCTGTAATTGGTTAACTACCCTTTTCCTTGAGTCCTTCTGCCCTCCATTGCTGAGTTTGTTCTAGTCTGCCTGTGACAGTGAAATATAATGTGCTTATTTAGGAAAATCAGCCAAACATGCAAGCAATAAAAGAGAGACAAAATAGTAACTAAGAGTGACAAGTGTGGAAAAAGACGAATGCATAGATAATATGTACACATATAGCAGGAAATAAATATGACAGGAGAAAATATGTAAAAGAAGGGACAGTAAAGCATAATAACAGAATTTAGAGATTTATTCTAGGACTGCAAGAGTGGTTCAACGTACAAAAATCAATCAATGTAATAATATAATATACCGCATTAATAGAATGAAGAGAAAAAGTCTGCGTGATCTTGTTTTGTTTGTTTGTTTTCTTTGAAACAGGGTCTCATTCTGTCACCCAGGCTGGAGTGCAGTGGTGTGATCTTGGCTCACTGCAACCTCTGCCTCCTGGGTTCAAGCAATTCTCCTGCCTCAGCCTCCCAAGTAGTTAGGACTACAGGCGTGCACCACCACGCCCAGCTAATTTTTGTACTTTTAGTAGAGATGGGGTTTTGCCATGTTGGCCAGGCCAGTCTCAATCTCCTGAGCTCAGGCAATTCACCTGCTTTGGCCTCCCAAAATGGTGGGATTATAGGCATGAGCCACCGTGCCTGGCCTCACATGATCATTTCAAATGATGCAGGAAAAGCATTTGACAAGCTCCAACACCCTTTAGTGATAAAAACACTCAGAAAACTATGACTAGTAGAAGGGAACTTCCTCAACATAATAAAAGGGTATTTATTTTTTAAAAACCACAGTTAACATCATACTCAGTAGTAAAAGACTGAAATTTTTTCTAAGATCAGGAATAAGACAAGGATGCCCATTTTCACCAGTGCTATTCAACATCATACTAGAACTTCTAGCCAGAGCAATTAGACCAGAAAAAGAGAGTGCATCCAAATTGAAAAGGAAGAAGTAAAACCATTAACAGATGACATGATTCCATATATATATATAAATCCTAAAGAATCTACAAATAAAATTATTAGAGCTAACAAATTAACTCAGCAGAGTTAGGGTACAAGGCAGAAAATCAGTTATATTTCTATACACTAGCAATGGACAACCCAAAAAGAAAATTAAGAAAAGAATTTCATTTGTAATAGCATCAAAAATAATAAAATACTTAGGAATAAATTTAACCAATGCAGTGCAAGATTTATACACAGAAAACTACAAAACATTGCTAAAAGAAATTAAAGACACCAATAAATGGAAAAACATTCCATATTTATGGACTGGAAGACTTAATACTTTTAAGATAGAAATAATGACCAATATATATTTTTTAAATCCTAAAGAATCCACAAATAAAATTCAATACAATCGCTATCAAAACCCCAATGATCTTTTTTGCAGAAATAGAAAAGCTCATCCCAAAATTCATATGGAATTGCAAAGGGGCCTCAAATAGCCAACAAACCTTGAAAAAGAGGAATAAAAGTGGAATTCAAACACTTCCTGATTTCAAACTTACTACAAAGCCACAGTAATCAAAACAGTGTGGTACTAGCACAAGATTGACATATAAATCAATGGAACAGAATTGAGAGTCCAGGATGAAAGCCATACAAGCAGGGTCAATTGATTTTCATTCAACAAGGACATCAAGACCATTTGAAAGAATAGTATTTTCAACAAATTGTGCTTGGACAACTAGATAGCCACATGCAAAAGAATGAAGTTGAACTCTTACCTTACACTATATACACAATGAACTCAAAATGGATCAATGATCTAAATATAAGAGCTAAAACCATAAAACTTTTAGAAGAAAACATAGAGGTAAATCTTCATGACTTTCGATTTGACAATGGTTTTTCTTAGATATGACACCAATAGATTCATTCCGTACAGGAAGCAACTGCTTTTTCCCTAAACTTTTCTATGTATTATAATGCTTTAGAAAATATTTAACTTAAATTTTAATGCCTTAGGGAAGTTATTTTATTATTCAAACAGAGAACCCATGGTGGCCAGACATTCCCCAATGCTGCGATACTAAGATGAGTGAGACATAGCTCCTATACCATAAGGTTCTTTAGAGTTAGTGGAGCTGATCTTAGGGTGAAGCTGGACTTGGGAGCTGAAACTAGGATTCACCCCTTAGAGGTAGCCTCTGTGCATGTGTTAGGAAGTTGCCTAGAAACCTCCGAACCAAGACTAGGTTTGGGTATATGGAGTTCTCAGGTGTCAGTTTCTGGGGAAGCGAACTGTGGGAAAAACATGGCGTTCTCTTGGCTTTTGTAGAATGTAGGTCTTCACTGCTGTTCAAAATTAGGGCCTGGGGCTGCCTCTTTGAGGTAGATCAGTTAACAACAGAAACTGGGTAGTGTCTGAAAGGGTTAGCTTCCATGTTGATGGTAACAGTAGGTAGTAGGTCAGGAGGACAACTCAAAGGAGCCCAGAGAGAGACGAGGTAGGACACCCTTGACTAACCACTTCTGACCTACTGGGACAAAGCATGGAGAGGAGGGATGAATGGGTCCTGCCCCTGTGGGAAACATTAGATGATGCTCTTTCTCTTAGCTACTCTTTTACCCATTGGCTCTCCTGAGGCCCTGCCATTCCTACTTAAAAGAAAGAGGTTATCAGATGACAGAATAAGAGATCAAATTTATAAAAATCAGAGAAACAGATGAGATATGCAGAGAATGAGAAAAAGAAAGGTAGATAGTCTTGCAAGCAAATAGGGGTAGAAATAAGGCCCCAAACAGGAAGAGATTAGTGACATCAAAAATGGAGACAGAATGGGTCGCTGGAAGAAGGACAAGGGCAAGAGTAAGGAAAGAAACAGACATGAGGTTAGTAAGAGTGCTTCAAGAGGGGAAAGAGTCATCTTGCAGTATTCTCTCTCCTTTTCATTGTTTAGATACAAGCATATTTTAGCTGTCTTCCAACTCTCTCCCTCTTCTCCCCTTTCTCCTTTATTCCGTAATAAATAAGTGTTCAGAGCCTGACCATACCATGCACTAGGCTAGAAATAAAGAGGAAAAAGATGAATGAAACCAACTCCCCGCTCTTCATCCGCTGCTTGTGAATTATGTGATGCTCTCCAAAGGGCAGGGATCATGATAATTAACTTGTAAGTTGGGCTGTAGTTGGGTGCAAGGCTGGGGTGGGCGGGGCATTCTGTGTATATATCAGAGGAAGACTGATTTTGATCACCTCAAATTTGGGTCCACGGCTGCCAGATTGGCTGAAACTATACTTGGGCTAGGGAGCCCAGTGACCTGAGTTGTGGCTAAACATATAGACCCTTAAAGTTTATGGCTCCCCTGAGTGCTAGTTGGATAATTTAGGATTGCTAGGTAGGCAGCTGTGGCATCCTCACTCACTTATATGCACATATTGTGGAAGAGATGATTAGATTTTATCCACTTTTCCTGAAATAATACATATTAATGGAATTAACACACACAGAGTTATGTACTATTATCAAAATTTGATATAAGATATTTCACCATCAAATTATGGTTCCTCATCACATCTTCTTTGGAAATTGCTCTCTCTGCTGCAGATGGCATCACTAGGGCCCACATTTGGAACCTCTCCCAAGATGTGCCCTAGAGTCTATGGAGTTTGGATATTTTATTCCAGCTCCTCCTCCACACCTTTTGATGCTGTCAGCATTCTTCAGAGTAGGCTCCTCTTAGGTTCCTTGACTGGCACATAATCTCTCCTGCCCAAATAAACTCTCAGCCATGCTTAGCAAGAAGCTGCATAATTCATAGGAAGTGAAATTTAAAATTGTCCCCATCTTTGCCTTTCTAAGCTGCTGCTCGAAAGAGAATCCAGTAACATAGAGTGAGGTCTAGGGTTTCCAAGGATCTGTACTTTCCCCTATATCTGGAGAGGGGTAGCTGATGTCACTTCCAAATCTCTGGCTTGTGAATAGGTTCTTATTCTGCCTGTTTTTAAACATGCCACCCTCTCCCACTGTTGGCATCTGTGGGCCATATGGAAAGAGGGAACTTTTTCTCTTGAGCTTCTGTGAAGTACGGTTTATTTTCTAGTTTTTCCATTTCTCTTTTCAATGCTGAAGTATTTTTTAAGACTTCCTTTTAGTCAACAAGTGCCTTCATGTTTTGTCTCCTCTTCCCTTAGCAAAACCAAAAGTAAGGTATCCTTTGGCAAGGAGCCAGGTATATCACATCAAGGTAAAATGACCCATGGTTCCTCATTTTGACATTCAACTTACTGCCCAAAGGAAGATTTCAGTAGCCAACAGGAATGTTGCCCCTCCAAAGTGTGCCACCTCCAGTGAGCCTCCCTGTCATGCCCGGCCTGTGGACAGCCAGCCCCCGCCATCACTTCAGTCCCCCGCCAAGCATGGGTGTACTGTGTAGGCAGCCATGTGGCCTGATAGTCTCTACCAGTCCTGCTGTCTCTCGGCTGAGAATCAAACCCATCCTGAATGATGGGAAATGTGTCCTCTGCTAGCTGTGTTTTCAGTGGAGCTCAGGGGAGGGAAAGGGCCAAGCCATTACTAGGGTGCTGTTGGGAGCAGTGAAAAGGCCACATCCTTTCCAAAGGACACTTTTCCTGGAAAGCCCCTGGAGCTTAGCTGGCTCATCCTGTGAAGCCGGTTCTGGCCACTAGGGTGCAGGGCCATGAACTCAGCCTGGAGGAAGCCTGCAGGGCAGCTGGCACTCTGGAGGGACAGACAGAACAGGCCACCAGGTGCAGACAGGCAAGGGAGGCAGGAGGATGGAATGGAAGATGCCTGGGCTGGATGGAAGTCAGTGCCCTTGGGTGCTGGTACCTGCCTTCCCGGCCACCGCTAGATCAGGATTCTGAGCCTGTTGGCTGTCAGGGCTGGACTGTGCCCCATAGGCACCACGGCAGTCCCCGTGGAATCCCCCAGGTGTCACCAGGCAGCATCCAGGAAACAGGCCTGGAAGGTCCCCATCAGCCCAGTTGGACATGCTCAGACACTCTGGGGCTCCCCATTCAGTGGCACAAACTCCAGGAGCCAGTGAAGGAAATAGGAACACACCAGGATGAGCAGTATGGCTAAAAGCTATTTATTCCAAAATGAAAAGCAAAATAAACAGGAGTCTCATCACCAGGGAGCCACAACCCCATCCCTGCCTCCCTCCTCTGTCATATGCTATCAAATAAGTTTCCCAGCCACAAATAATTATTAGAACCTCCTCCCCATGTGCCAACTCCAACCTCTGCTATGTATGATACAGGGGGCAGCCCTACCCCCAGAATATACAAAATGTTACACAGATACAATATGTACACTGGGGAAGGGGACCCACCTCCAGCAGCTCGTGCCCTCGCCTGGTCTACATTAGCTCCATTGTCCTGCCTCAGCTGCCTCTCTGAGTAAAATGGGAGCCCCCATGAGGGAAAAATTGCTTTGGTGGGATTAACGCCATCAGAGAGGCCATGAGGCTTCCTCGAAAGAAATAAACTCTGAGCCTCTAGCTCTTAAATAACAATAATCGTCTTCCAGAAATTTAAGGACTCAGCCCTGGCCAAGGCGGCAAAGGGTCTGCACTTGTTTGTCTCAACCCATTAGACAGGCGGCTTGTCTTGCTACTCTAAGGGTAAAAGGGTGAGTGGGAATGGGTGGTAGGGACATGGTAGGGGCACAGCCTCCAACCCCACTTCTCCAGGCTTTGCTGACGGTGGCCTGTTTTTATTATTTTTTATTTTTTAAATTTTTATCCATGACTATTTTTTAATCCCATAACTTTTTTTCTATAACTTTTCCATAACTTTTTTCCATAACTAACTTTTTTCATAACATTTTACCTGCAGCTTTTTTCATAATTTCTTTAATCCCATAACTTTTTTTAATCCCATAAATTTTTTCCCATAACTTTTTTTTTTTAAATTTGGTGGCCTGCTTTTAGATGACAGTGATCTTCACCTCATCTGCACCTGTCTCCCTCACTAGATAGGGGTCTTATTTTGCTACTGTAAGGGTAAAGGGGTAACTGGGAAGGGGTGGCAGGGACGTGGTAGGGGCAGACTCTCTGGTCCCATTTCTCCAGGCTTTGCTGACAGTGGCTGGCTTTTAGATGATTGTTACCTTCATCTTGCTCTCCTGAGCTCAGTAAAAAATGGGGATGCAGGGGTTGCTGCCCAAGCCTGGGCGCTCCTGGGGGTTCTGCATCTCATGAAGCAGCCGCATGATCTGCTGTGCCGTGGGGCTGTCGTGGGGAAAACCCTCCCCAGCCTCTTCTTGTTCAGGCTCCACACTGTGGGAGATCTTTGGAGACAGGGAGGCAGGGCTCAGAGCACTGTGTGAGCCCTCCCCTCATCCTGCCAGCCCACCCTGCCCAAGGGCTCTACTCACCACCCTGCTTGTTGGCAGCCCCAATCTCCTGGGGGGCTGGGTCCCATGGAGCAGGCTCATCAGCAGGGTTCTGGGCAGCTGCCAGGAATCTGCCATGCCACTTGTTGCAGTCGCCCACAAGCTGCAACACCAGCTCCAGCAGCTTCACCTGGAGGGAGGGGTGCTCAGCTGCCACGCCCGTGCCCACACCCACCCCCACCTCCACCCCTGCAGAGATGTTGCACGCCCTACCTTCATCTCCTCCTTGTCCTGAGCCAGCCTGCTTATGTACTCATTCTCCCGGTCCACGTCTTCAGCACTGACCTCTGGCTCTGGTATGATGTGACGTACTTTCCTGCAGGAGGACAGGGCTCAGACATTGGGGCCCCTCTGACCACCCTGCAGCTCCCCCTGCCGTGCCCTGACCTCTCGCTCACTGATGGTGTCTGTTTGTCCAGACAGCTGAATGCAGCGACATTCCAGTTTCTCCACCCGCTCATTCTCCTGCATGAGCTCCATAAAGCGGCTCTGGAGTCAAAATAATGGGGTCACATCCCCGCAACAACCTGCCCCGCCCCCACCCTTCTTGGCCATGCCAGGAGAGACTCACTCACCTGCAGCTTCCCCATGGTCCCCTGCAAGGTCCGGTGGGTTTCCCCACACAGAATCGCCCCCAGTCCCTGGGGCTGAGGCTGCTGCCTCTGGCTCCTTCTGGGCCAAGGCCACCGGGTAAGACAGGCGCTGGCAGTGCACCCTTTGCTCCTTCAGCTGCCCATGTAGCTGTGCCTGCTCCTCTTCGGCACTGGCTAAAGCCAAGTTTTAAAATGCCACCTGCGGGCAGGAGGTGCCCATTCTTGTAGGGGGATACACAGGATGAACGGGCCAGGGCAGTAGAGAGAAGCCCTTCCCTTGGGGCCTCAGAGGGTGCACCTATTGGTCTCAGGTGAAATGGTGTCTGACCACTGGCTCCCAGGGAAGGGGTGAGGGTCCAAAGAAATCAGAAGGCAGAAAAACCAAGAGCATAAGGGTGTCTGGGAGGGAGGAGAGAGGGAGGAAGCAAAGGTGGGGCATGGGGAGTCAGGCTCATCATGGTCTCCCAGCTCTCCAGGTCCTCCAGGATGCTCAGCATGGACCAAGGCTCCTCCTCCTCCTCACTCTCCAGTCCATCTCCTATGGGGGTGGGGCGGGGCAGTGACCAGAGGGGTCCTCAGACAACCCAACAAGGGAGTACAGTGGGCCCACCTCTGCCCCCACCCTCACTGTGTAACCCTAGGCCAGCCCCTCCCCAGAGAGGAATGAGTAGCTGCTCTTTATTTTTATTGCATTTTTTTAAAGAGCCAAGGTCCCGCTATGTTGCCCAGGCACAGTACCACTACCTATCTACCTGGGAGTTCTGACCTGATCCATTTCTGACCTGGGCCAGTTTACCCATCCTTAGGCAACCTGGTGGTCCCCCACTCCCAGGGCACCATATTGATGCCGAACTCAGTGCGGACACCCCGTCGGCATAATGACCAGCTGTTCTAAGGGTCTCTTCCAACTCCTCAATCCTATGCTGCTAACAGTCCCCTGCTCCTCCGAGGACTTTCTCCTCTTCCTGTGACTGGTCTCCCCCGTACCTTCCCCAGGGAGAGCCATGAGACTCAACTGGGCCTGTAGCTACTGGTTCTGCTTCCAGGCGCTCCTAAGGGGTCAGGAAAGAGAATGAGAAGGCATGGATGTTGCCAGGTCTCATCCCCCTCGGGGACCTGCCCTCAGCAACTCCCTTTCCTGGGTCTCCTGCAACTCTTGGCAGGCCATCTCTGCTACTCTTTTCTCTGGTGCTGCAGCTGGTCCACGAGCTGGATCTGCAGAAATAACTGCCTGTGCAGTGCCTCCTCCTCAGAGATCAGCTGCTGATAGTACTGCTGCAGAAGACCTCAGCACTGGTCTCCCCGCTGCGGCAGGCTCTGAGCCTCTTGGTTCTTCAGCTCCACCTGCAGGAAGACCCTGGGCGTGAGGGCAGGTGGTGGCTGGCTTCCAGATTCTGGGCCCAGAAATAGGGTAGCAAGGGTACTGTGGGACTCTGTCGCCTGCCCAGGCCCCTGGCCCCTTGCTCCAGGCCTAAGTGACTGCCTCCCTTGCGGAGAGCCCCATGCCTCCTTCCCCAGCCTCAAATCACACACCCATTTCCCACCATTTAACCTGTAAGCCACAGGTGGAAAAGCAGAAGGAGCCAACCACCATCTGCTAAGTGTGCTACATGCCTAATGCTTTCCATGTATTATCTCATTTAATTCTGAGCACCTCTGCGAGGAAAATGCTCATTTCCTTTTTAAGTGAAAGAAACCAAGACTTAGAGATGGAAAGTAGTTCAATGGTGAGCAGTGGAGCCGAGGCCAGAATTCAGTTTGAATCTAAGGAGCCTCTTATACCACTGTTTTTTCCCTGTGATTGGGGGTGCTCCATGTCTCTAGCTGGGACAATAGCCAGCTAGAGGATATTGGGAGGAGTCCAAGGCTATCCACCTCTAAAAGTCAGAGGGCAGGAAGCAAGAAACAGTCACGGCACGGCCCTGGAGGCTGCTAGGGTCACCTGTACCCCAGGCTGGAGCTGCCTCTGGCCTCCCACCTCCCTTCCCCAGAGGCTGATGCCCACCTCCCTGCCCTTCTTGAATTGGGCGGGGGTTACCATCTCCTTCAGCTCGCCCAGATACTTCTTCAGTTCGTGTTTCTGGGAGAGCGCGCGCCTGATGGTGGTACGGTCGTTCCGCACGGTATGCCTGAGCGCCTCCACCTGCTCCTCTCAAGGCTCGGCTTTCCACTCAAGCTCCAGCAGCCTCTCCTCTTGCTCCAGCATCCTCTCCTCTTGCTCCAGCAACCTCTTCCTGCTCTTGGTTCAGGCGACTCAAGCCCTCATTTTCTTGCACATGGGCTTAAAGCTGTCCTGTCAGATTCTCCAGCTCCTTCCGCAGGTGTTCAGCCTCTGCTTGTAGCTGCTGCTCCACCTCGGAGGGCCCTGCTGGGGGCTCCGGGAGTAGGGGTTCAGCTGAGAAAGGAAGCGGCCTTCCGCTTCTGCTCTAGCAGCCTCTCCTGCAGCTCCAGCAACCTCTCCTCTTGCTCCAGCAACCTCTCCTCTTGCTCCAACAACCTCTCGTCTTGTTCCAACAATCTCAGCAACCTCTTCCTGCTCTTCGTTCAGGCGACTCAAGCCCTCATTTTCTTCCACTTGGGCTTAAAGCTGTCCTGCCAGATTCTCCAGCTCCTTCCGCAGGTGTTCAGCCTCTGCTTGTAGCTGCTGTTCCACCTCGGAGGGCCCTGCTGGGGGCTCCGGGTAGGGGTTCAGCTGAGAAAGGAAGCGGCCTTCCGCTTCTGCTCTAGCAGGCTCTCCTGCAGCTCCAGTAGCCTCTCCTCTTGCTCCAGCAACCTCTCCTCTTGCTCCAGCAACCTCTCCTCTTGCTCCAGCAACTTCTCCTCTTGCTCCAACAACCTGAGCAACCTCTTCCTGCTCTTGGTTCAGGTGACTCAAGCCCTCATTTTCTTCCACTTGGGCTTGAAGCTGTCCTGCCAGATTCTCCAGCTCCTTCCACAGGTGCTCAGCCTCTGCTTGTAGCTTCTGCTCCACTTCGGAGGGCCCTGCTGGAGGCTCCGGGGGCAGGGGTTCAGCTGAGAAAGGAAGCCGACAATAAGGGCCTCTGGATTCTCAAAAAAAACCCTCCTCTTGGTGCATAGCTCCTCTCAGGTTCCCCAGACTTGGCCTCCCTGCTAATAACTCCTCGCGCCCTGATGGTAGCCAATCTTCCAAGCCACTTTCAGGTACAGACAACTGTGGGTGGCTGACAACAGGCACTTTTTCCTCTTTGCTGATGGGGACATTGAGGCTCGTGGAGATGACAAGACTTGCCGTCTCCTGGCACAGACCTCTTTCCCTCTGCCTCAAAGCCTTTCCATGCATCCACCTCTCTGGCATTCTAAGCCATCCCCACAGCCCTCTGATGCCAGTCCTGCTCCCAGGTCACCCCAGCCCCAGCTTACCCACCTGGTTCCTTAGTTCAGCCAAGATCGTCTCCAGCTCCTGTACTCGACTCATGCTGTGCACTCTCTCCTCCCTCAACGTGTGCACCTGCCCAAAGCACAGGGGGAAAGGGCCCTGCAGAGAGGGGCTGGCAGCTGGACAAGCTACCATCTCCCTCTCTGCCCCTACCTCCACAAAGCCCAGACCCATGACCACCTCTGGCTGTGCTCCTCCCATTTCACAGATGCCTGGAACAATCAAGTGACCTATCTACGGTGGGGGCTGAAGGGTCAGGTCTCACCTGCTCTGACATCTCCCGCATCCTCTGCCACCACATGGCACTCTCTCCATGCAGATACTCGGCATACTGCTCTCTCTCCATTTGCAGATACTTCAGCCACTCCATCACCTGCAAGAATGGGCACAGAAGTTAGGAAGGGCTGTCTGGTCCTCACATGCTTCTGGCCCCCTGGGGTCACCTTCCTTCCACATCCCTCCCTCTGCAAAGCCTCACCTGCCCCAGGTGTGCTTCCAGCTGTGCCCGTTCGTCTGTGGGCTGCTGTAACTGCTGGTTAGCATCAGGGGCTTCACACCAGCTAGATAACTGAATGATGAAGAAAGAGAAGTTTCAATCTGAGGAGCCTGGGCTGTTCCACACAGTGCCCCTTAAAAGGGCTAGAGCTAGGTTCAATGTACAACTTGGTCAATAAAGATCTCTACTGTGAAGGTGCTTTCCTTTAGAAATAAAAAATTAGGTAATTTTAAAGAGATCTCAGGCCGGGGATGGTAGCCCATGCCTGTAATCCCAACACTTTGGGAGGCTGAGGTGGGTGGATTGCTTGAGCTCAGGAGTTAGAGACCAGCCTGGGCAACATGGCGAAGCCTTGTCTCTACAAATACAAAAATTACCCAGGCGTGGTGGCATGCGCCTATAGTCCCAGCTACTTGAGAGGCTGAGGCAGGAGGATTGCTTGAGCATGGAAGGCCGAAGGTTGCAATGAGCCGAGATCACGCCACTGCACTCCAGCCCAGGTGACAGAGCGAGACCCTGTCCCAAAACAAACAAACAAATAAGAAATCTACTCTCTATTATTACCGTGGAATAGTCGAAGTGTTGGCTTGAACCTCAGAAGGAAATAAACAGGCTCATGAGCTAGCCGTATAAGTGTAATCTATAAAATAATGATTTTCATCTACGCTGCATTTAAAAAAAAAAATTTAAGCCCTAACCCTGAGATTCTGATTCCCCAGATCTATGGCAGGGCCCCAATCTGTAGATTTTTAGCAGTCTCTAGAGGATTCTATGGCAGGACCAGAACAAGGACTCAAATTTTCCAGCTCTTGGCTGGAGCCTTCCCATACCCCACCACCCCTAGGGCTGCAGCCTCTCACCTGTTGAAGCGTGAGCTCAGTGAGTTCCAGTTTCTTTTTCAGCTCCTCCAAGTCACACTGCATCCCTGCCTTGTCAATCAGTACAACTTGAAGCTGCTCTGCCAAAGCTGAGTTCTCCTGCTTCAGCTCCTTATTGCTGTTGCTACGGCCAGAGGCAGTAGAGAAAGGAATGAACAAAGAACAGAAAGGGCTGCTTTGGTGATCAGCCCTCTACCCTCACCCCACAACCACAGAACCATGGCACTGGAAGGGACCTCAGGAATCAAAAGTCACAGGTGGCGGGCCAGAGAGAAGACATGAGTTCCCCAAGGCTATCCCATGAGTCAGAGGCACAGCTGGCCCTAAAGCGTAGCCTGTGCACGCATTCAAACCTGTGTGACCACGTCACCATGCTCACATGCAGCCCTTCCACCTCCCAGCACATCACCCACACTAAGGGCCCCACACCTCCCATCCCACCCTCCCCCGTCCTACCTGTTATTGTATAACTCCAGCCTGAGGGCATCGCTGTCTCTGGTTAACTGGTTGTTGTACTGAAAATACAGAAAGGTGAAGTCAGGATACAGCAGGCAGAGAAGCAGCTGGCAGACTAGGAACGACAGCTACAGTGACTATTCCACAGTAACACTTCCTCACTCTCAATCACGCCTGACATGTTTGCAAGGCATTTCCAAGCCCACAGTCTCATTTGTTTCTCAAATAACTCAGTAAGGGTGGAAGGGACAGGGAAAGAGATCGAATTTACAGCTGGCTACCAGAGGCCCAGAGAAAAAAGAGAATATTACTATTGTTATTACCGTTATGACTGCCATTGTTGGAACCTTTATTGAGTGCTTCACCAGGCACCATGCTAACAATCCCATTTAATCCTCACAACCACCATAGGAGACAGTTACTATTATCACCTCTATTGTGTCGTTGAAAAACATGGGGTATTAGAGGTTAAGTGCTTGTCTAAGATCATTCAGACAGAGCTGGGATTTGAACACCCAGGTATATCTGATTCTCTAAGCCCATTTTTTCGCTGTGAGGCAGGAAAATAGGATCTGGAGGCAGGGAACATAAGGCCTGTTCACACTTCAGCTATAACAGGAAATATCCTCTCTATGGGGCCTATGGCTAAATGACTTTGTAACTTTACTTCATCCTCTCCATTTACATAGGGCATACCCCAAGTAACCAATGGAATCCTCTAGGGGGTAAACTCCCAAAAATTCTGTAATGGTGCCTTTGAGCCCTTATGCTCGGGTGCGCTCCCACACTGTGGAGTGTGCTTTCAGTTTCAGTAAGTCCTTTCATTCCTTCCTCGCTTTGTTTGTGCATTTTGTCCAGTTCTTTGTTCAAGACGTCAAGAAGCTGGACACCCTCCACTTTTAACAGCTGGGGGTGGGGGCACAGATGGAAAGGGGGATAATCTTGTGTTCAGTTTTTGAAGGGTACATTCTCATAGTCCAAAACTCAGAAAATACAGAAGGGAAATATCTCCCAGCCACCCTGGTCCTTTCTCCTGAGTTTTTTACAAATCCTTGCAGACATGTTTTATGTATATTATCATAGTACACACACACACGTGTTCCCTCTCTCTGCACAAATGTTAACATACTAAAGATACTCTTCTGTACCTTCACAGTGCAAGTACCATATCTCCCACCTAGGACTTGACCAAGGCCACAGCCAGGTAAGGGCAGGGTAGGCACTTGGCCTCCGAGCTCTGCATCCAGTGCTCGCTCCCCACAGCACCCCCCAACTCACCCACAGCAGCCGACACAGCCCCAGGCTGACTCTAACAAGCACGCACAAAAGCAGCGAGAAATGGCCCATGCTGCTTTCTGGGCAGGACACTCCATCCCGCAGAAGGGACCTAAAGGTCCCTCACTCCTCCATCTGGAAAGCCGGGCTGCCAGGGTATGGGGCAGGCGGTTGGACTCACCCTATCTGCCTTCCTCTGCTCCTGCTCCAACTCTCCCACATGCTGCCAGGAATACAGCAGATGGCTGGCCAGATCCTCGGCCTCTTCTAGAATGAGAGAGGTTGAGATGGGGCCCAAAGGACTCCCCCTAAAGGCCTGTCAAAGCACCAGGTTGAAGGATGACGGGTGCCCAGATTCCCACATTCAAACTGCCTGGCAGCACGTTCATTGTGATACAGTGTTGTCTTCAATTCTGCTTTCTCAAACATCAAGACTCTAATTATCTGAATTGAACCTTTAGGAGAAAAGCCAAGCAAATGCTGAAAGAGGAGGAAAGCAACATTCTCCAGAGGACAGGAGGGAACTTCACACCCTCCACTCACCTGTAATTGCCTCTTTAGGGCTCCCCGGTTTTGCTGGCTTTCTTGCTTTTCCTATAGGAAGAGGAAGACAGAGCTCTTACTAGGGGGAGGCAGAGATGGCACAGCAAGGGACATGCCCCTAGAATGCCACCAATGCCCCAGGACAGGCCCACCCATGGGACCAGGTTATCAGGGACCCTGTGGGGATGAGGTGGAATCTGGGGAGTGAGCCTTTTTCCCCAGGCTGGGGGTGGGCAAGACGAGACTGGGGCCTCTACATCTGAGTGCCCCCCAAACCCAGCAGTCATGCCGTGAGCAAACAAATCATTTCTTCTAGTTGCTTGACAAGTTTTTGGTTGTGCTGTTTCTGCGGGGAGAGTCAAAGGAAGGTGACCAAGGATGGCCCCCTCCACTCTATTCCCCAGACCAGGAAGCGGTAGACAGGGGCCAGAAATGGATTTTAAAGGCAAAGTTCTCAGACCCACTAGGACCATGAACTGGTAAACTCTCCTCAAGCTCCCAAGGACAGAGGATTTGGGTCTTTGTTGGTTTTGGCCCACGGCCACAGAACTGAAAGTCCGAATCTGGATTCTCCCGAAAGGACAGTAACATAAACCTTTAGAGATGGAGTCTGAGAAAAGCTCACCCTTCTACCAGCTTGTGATTTAGAAAGGTGCATTCACTCAACAAACATTGACTGAGCACATACAGGCCAGGTATGGTTCTTCATAGCAGAGATGTAGGACAGAAAAGGACAGACAGGATCCCTTGGCCCTGAGGCTTACATTCTACTGGACCTTTAAATCGTGGACTCTCAGAGCTAACAGAGACTTTTGATACTTTCTAACTCTACCTCCTCGGGAAACACAAGCCCAAGGAGGAGAGGTGGCTTGCCCAGAATCAAAGAGCAAATTAGGGCCTGAGTCAGAGTGGAAATACGGGGCTCCTGACAACCAATCAGGCCAGTGCTTCCCTGAGAAGCCACAACCCCAGGACATGTGTGGCAAGGGCTGGAGCATGGGTATCTGAAGAAGAGACAGTAGGCAAAGAGGGCAGCAACAGAAGAGCCATGATGCATGCTCCGTGCTCTGGGGTCCCTCTAGCTGAGGCCTCGGCCCCCCTGCTCCCCATTTGCCCTTGGCATCAGGGACCCTCAGCCCTTTCTTCAGGGCCCCAAGGGGAAACTGGAGCCCAGGACTTGCAGCGTGGAATTGGTGGACCCCATTGAACTCTTACCAATGACTCGATGGTTTTATTCCGTCGACTGATTGTTATATAACTCGAGTCCAGGGCGACTGTTACCTCTTGGTATCTGCTCTGAGGCACGTGAAGAGAGGAGGAGTTGGAGGAGGATCGAGGGGAGAGGTAGAGAGAGCAATCATTAGGGTTGGGGGGAGGGTGTGAGAGGTCTCAGATGGCAGAGGGGCACCCAGCCCCCACTGTGGGAGGAGGTTGGAGGGCTGGCCTGCAGGGTCACTGGGTCATGGCCCAGGGCCTCTTACTTCCAGATCCTTCAGGGTAGCGGATGATCCAGAGCCCTCCGCACAGATACCTGTTGCTGACTACAAGAGATGAGAGTGCGCATGGAAATCTTCTGTCCCCTCCATGTCTAAGCCCTCTGACTTCCTTTCTTCCCCAGCAACTGACAACATTTTCTTTTCTGCCTAACTTGGACCCTTCATCCCATAACCTCTTTGTGCCAACTTCTCTCATGGTTTTTATCTCCCCACCATCCCTTCCTCCCAAGCAGCTCTCATCTGGTGTTTCTACAGTAGGATAAAATGATGTAACCAGCCACGGGGTACAACTCCTTCATGTGAACAGCCTCAAGGAAGAAGCCTCAGGGAAGAGGCAACTTCCTCAACATGGCCCAGCAAATCGGCCAGTCCCAGGATCTTTCCTCTCTCTGGTGATTCCTGCCTCAGTTTCTTTCTATCATACTTTCCTTTCCCCCGCACTCCCCTCAATTTCTGAAGTTCCTCAGAAACAACGCCATTGAGCTGTTGGGAGAGTTGTTGCAGGCTCTCGGTTAATGAGAAGGTCCTAAGGGCAGAGACACAGGCGTCAGGGGTGCAGGTGGCTCAATGGGAAAGAAGGTGTTAGACAGTGGCCTCCCTGACTCCCTCAGCCTAGAGACTGCTGCCCTGATAAGAGACACTCACTTGCTTTCATCCATGAGATTGGGGCTAGCATGATGATTCTGTGTGGGAAGAAACATATGAGATGGTCATTCAATTTCTGTAAGAATCACCGAGGACAGGTGAGCCAAGTTCCCAAGCTCATTCCAACAATATTCTATCTCCCCAAACCTCAAGGAAAAGCCCAGTCTCAGCCTTCCCCCAGCCCAGTCCCCAGGAAGGGCACCTGGCCCTAGGGAACAAACTACTTGTGAAAAGAGAAGAGAATCCATAGTAGGTACAGGAGGGCAGTGGGCAGAGGAGGAGGAAGCATGAACCTGAGGTGCCGCTATGCTAGCAAGACTGGCACCAGGGCAAGGGACACCACCAGGTAACACGGTGTCATTGGCAGGTGGCTAGACAGATGCAGCATTGTCTTTGGCGTCTGTCACAGAACAAAGCAGGGCATTAGGGGGCCATGCAGGAGAGAAGGTGCCTCAGTGGCATGGACACAAGAGTGTGGAACAGGTATGACAGATACTCACGCAATGACAGTGACAGTCATGCATGCTTGGAGCCACTCGGGGGTGTGGATATGGTTTGCCCAGGCCTTGGGCTGCTAGGCAGCATTTTGAATGGCCAAAGCTCAAAGCAGGGGCTGCACGGCCTCCTTCATGAATACATGAGGACCTCGCTCCCCCTGGAGTTCAGCAAAAGACAGCAGCAGGTTCTGACCTGTGGCAGCCACAGCAGGCTGGAGGAAGGTGTACCAAAGTCAGGGAAGAGAAAGGCACTGTTCTTCCAGACGGCCAGTCTGTGCCACAGAGTGACCCTAACTGGGCCCCTCCTGGGCAGAGGACAGTGATGAGGAAGTAGTAGTCTGGGCAATGTACAATGTAGCTGCCTCTCTCTTCTCTCTTCCCTTCTCCCTTGCAGTGGCATAATCAGCAGGGGCTACCATCTCCTACAGCTCGCCCAGCTTCTCCTGCAGCTCCTCCTTGACATGCTGCTCAGACTAAAGTGCATTGTTGATCTCCATATTCTCACTGTTCTGGACAGAGAGAAGCAATCACGCCACCCACTGCAGCTGGAGACCGCAGAACTTGGTGTCTGCCTCCCATGGCGCCGGGAAGGATGGAGGCAGATTAGAAAAATGATCCCCTCTCCCCCATAGCCATCAAACCAGGGCTCTGGCTCACAGGTCCCTTCAGAAGTGCCACTTCACATGAGGGCTACACTGCCCCACTTAACAGATGGGGAAACAAAGGCCTAGAGGGCTGGGGAGGAGGGCAGTCTCCCCAGGTGGGATGCACCAGTTTTACAAAGCTGCTCTCTGTAGCTGCTCCTTGAGCTCAGGGTTCTGGGAGAGTGTGGGGCTGATGGTGGTGAGGTCATTTTGCACGGTCCCCAGGGTTTGCCTGCATACCTCCGCCTGCTCCCCTCAGAGCTCAGCCACCCGCCCCAGCTCCAGCAGCCTCTCCTGCTCCCAGTTCAGGCATTTCAAGTCCTCATTGTCTTGCATGTGGGCCCACTGGAGCTGTCCTGCTAGACTTTCCAGCTCCTCCCACAGGTGCTCAGCCTCTGCCTGTAGCTGCTGCTGCAGCTGCAGACCCCAGAACTTGGTGTCTGCCTCCCACGGCACTGGGAAGGATGGAGGCAGATTAGAAAAATCATCGCCTCTCATCCACAGCCATCAAAGCAGGGCTCTGGCTCACAGGTCCCCTCAGAAGTGCCGCTTCACATGAGGGCTGCGCCCCCTGCTGGGGGCTCCAGGGGTGGGATTCAGCTGAGAAAGGAAGCAGACAATAACGGCCTCTGGATTCTCAAAAACACCCTCCTCTTGGTACACAGCTCCTCTCGGGCTCCCCAGACTTGGCCTCCCTGCTAATGATTCTCAAAAAAACCCTCTGCATTCTCAAAAAAAAAAAAACCCTCCTCTTGATCCACTGCACCCCTCAGGCTCCCCAAACTTGGCCTCCCTGCTAATGATTCCTTGCACCCTGATGGTAGCCAATCTTCCAAGCCACTTTCAGATAGAGACAACTGTGGGTGGCTGACAACACACACTTTTTCCTCTTTGCTGATGGGGACATTGAGGCTCATGACGATTACAAGACTTGCCGCCTCCTGGCACAGACCTCTTTCCCTCTGCCTCAAAGCCTTTCCATGCATCCACCTCTCTGGCATTCTAAGCCATCCCCACAGCCCTCTGATGCCAGTCCTGCTCCCAGGTCACCCCAGCCCCAGCTTACCCATCTGGTTCCTTAGTTCAGCCAAGATCGTCTCCAGCTCCTGTACTCGACTCATGCTATGCACCGTCTCCTCCCTCAACGCGTGCACCTGCCCAAAGCACAGGGGGAAAGGGCCCTGCAGAGAGGGGCTGGCAGCTGGACAAGCTACCATCTCCCTCTCTGCCCCTACCTCCACAAAGCCCAGACCCATGACCACCTCTGGCTGTGCTCCTCCCATTTCACAGATGCCTGGAACAATCAAGTGACCTATCTACGGTGGGGGCTGAAGGGTCAGGTCTCACCTGCTCTGACATCTCCCGCATCCTCTGCCACCACAAGGCGCTCTCTCCTTTCAGATTCTCAGCGTGTTGATCTTTCTCCATCTGTAGTTGTTTCAGTGACCCCATTACCTGCAAGAATGGGCACAGAAGTTAGGAAGGGCTGTCACTGGTCCTCACACGCTCCTGGCCACCTGGGGTCATCTTCCTTCCACATCCCTCCCTCTGCAAAGCCTCACCTGCCCCAGGTGTACTTCCAGCTGTGCCCGCTCCTCCATGGCCTGCTGTAACTGCTGGTTAGCATCAAGGGCTTCATAACCAGCTTCAACTCCTCCATCTGGGAAGCTGGGCTGCCAGGGGATGAGGGAGGCTGTAGGACTCACACTGTCCATGTTCTTCTGCTGCGTGGAGAGAGCAAAGAGAGTTCGTTCCAATTCTCCCGTAAACTGCTGGGAATACTGCAGGCAGCTGGCCAGATCTGTGGACTCTTCTGAAATGAGAGAGGTTGAGATGGGGCCCAAAGGACTACCCCTAAAATCCTGTCAAAGCAGCAGGTTGAAGGATGACGGGTGCCCAGATTCCCACCTTCAAACTGCCTGGCAGCAGCACGTTCAGTGTGATACAGTGCTGTCTTCATTTCTGCTTTCTCAAACATCAAGATTCCAATTGTCTGATTTGAACTTTTGGGAGAAAAGCCGAGCAGATGCTGAAAGAGAAGGAAAGCAACATTCTCCAGAGGACAGGAGGGAACTTCACACCCTCCACTCACCTCTAACTGCCTCTTTAGGGCTCTCCCTGGTTTTGCTGGCTTTCTTGCTTTTCCTATAGGAAGAGGAAGACACAGCTCTTACTGGGGGAGGCAGAGATGGCACAGCAAGGGACATGCCCCCAGAATGCCACCAATGCCCCAGGACAGGCCCACCCATGGGACCAGGTTATCAGGGACCCTGTGGGGATGAGGTGGAACCTGGGGGGTGAGCCTTCTTCCCAGGCTGGGGGTCAGCAAGACGAGACTAGCACCTCTACATCTGAGTGCCCCCCAAACCCAGCAGTCATGCTGTGAGCAAAGAAATTACATTACTAGTGTGATTCTAGTTGATCCACAATTTCCTGGTTGTGCTGTTTCCTTGGGAGAGTCAAAGGAAGGTGACCAAGGGTGGCCCCCTCCACTCTATTCCCCAGGCCATGAAGCAGTAGGCAGGGGCCAGGAGTGGATTTTAAAGGCAAAGTTATCAGACCCACTAGGACCATGAACTGGTAAACTCTCCTCAAGCTCCCAAGGACAGAGGATTTGGGACTTTGTTGGTTTTGGCCCACAGCCACAGAACTGAAAGTCTGAATCTGGATTCTCTCAAAAGGACAGTAACATAAAGCTCTATGAGGCAGGAAAATAAGGTCTGGAGGCAGGGAATCTAAGACTGTTTCGCGCTGATTTCCTAGAATCAAATTGAATGGTAAAGAGTGAGAAGTTCAGATCTGGGGATCCTGGGCCATTCCACACAGTGCCCTTTAAAAGGTCTAGAGCTGGGCTCAATGTACAACTTGGTCAATAAAGATCTCTACTGTGAAGTTGCTTTGCTTTAGAAATAAAATATTAAATAATTTTTAAAAAGATCTCAGGCCAAGGATGGTGGCTCATGCCTATAATAACAACACTTTGGGAGGCTGAGGTGGGTGGATTGCTTGAGGTCAGGAGTTCAAGACCAACCTGGGCAACATGGCAAAGCCCCATCTGTACAAATACAAAAATTACCCAGGAGTGGTGGCATGCACCTGTAGTCCCAGCTACTTGAGAGGCTGAGGCAGGAGGATCGCTTGAGCCTGGGAGGTGGAGGTTGCAGTGAGCCGAGGTCATGCCACTGCACTCCAGCCCTAGTGATAGAGGGAGGCCCCATCCCAAGAAAAAAACAAACAAACAAAAACTCTGCTATCTATTATCACCGTGGAATAGTTGAAGTGTTGGCTTGAACCTCAGAAGGAAATAAACAGGCTCATGAGCTAGCCATATAAGTATAATCTATATAATAATGGTTTTCATCCATGATGCATTTAAAACAAATTTAAGCCCTAACCCTGAGATTCTGGTTCCCCAGGTCTATGGCAGGGCCCAGTTTGTAGATTTTTAGCAGTCTCTAGAGGATTCTATGGCAGGACCAGAACAAGGACCCAAATTTTCCGGCTCTTGGCTGGAGCCTCCCCATAACCTGCATGATCCCTAGACCATGTCCCCAGCTGGATGGGGCTCCCACCACCCCTGGGGCTGCAGCCTCTTGCCAGAAGCAGGATCTTAGCCCTCTCCAGCTTCCTTTGCAGTTGCTTCAGATTGAGTCGAAATCTTCGGTCACTAGGACTTGAAGCTTCTCTTCTAGTTCTGAGTTCTTCTGCTTCCGGTCCTCGTTGTTTTGGCTATGGCCAGAGGCAGTAGAGAAAAGAATGAACAAAGAACAGAAAGGACTACTGTGGAATCAATGAAGAGCAGAAAGGACTGCTCCTCTATCCTCACCTCACCCCACAACCACAGAACCATGGCATTGGAAGGGACCTCAGGAATCAAAAGTCACAGGTGGCAGTCCAGAGAGAAGACATGAGTTCCCCGAGGCCAAAGCATGAGTCAGGGGCACAGCCGGCCCTAAAGCGTAGCCTGTGCACACATGCAAACCTGTATGATCACCTCACCATGCTCACCTGCAGCCTTCCCACCTCCCAGCACATCACCCACGCTAAGGGCCCCACACCTCCCATCCCACCCTCCCCCATCCTACCTATTCTTGTATGACTCCAGCCTGAGGGCATCTCTGTCTTTGGTTACCTCCTTGATATACTGCAAATACAGAAAGGTTAAGTCAGGACAAAACAGGCAGAGGAGCAGCTGGCTGGCCAGTAACAATAGCTATAATAACTATTCCCCAGTCAACAATTCCTTACTCTCAATCACAGCTGACATGTTTTCATGGCATTTCCAAGCCTATAGTCTCATTTGTTTCTCAAAGAACTCAATAAGGGTGGAAGCGACGGGGAAAGAGATCAAATTTATAGCTGGCTACCAGAGGCCCAGAGAGATCAGAGAATATTGCTATTGTTATTACCCTTATTACTACCACTGTTTGAAGCTTTGAGCGCTTCACCAGGCACCATGCTAGCAATCCCATTTAATTCTCACAACCACCATATGAGACAGTTACTATTTTTACCTCTATTGCGTAGATTAAAAAAATGGGGTATTAGAGGTTAATTGCTTGCCTAAGATCACTCAGACAGAGCTGGGATTTGAACACCCAGGTATATCTGATTCTCTAACCCTTTTTTTCACTGGGGGTCGGGACACAGAAAGGAAGGAGGAAATTAACTTTTTGTTCACTTTTTGAAAGAATGATAAATTCACATAGTCCCAAACTCAGAAGGTACAGAAGTGAAATATCTCCCAGCCACCCTGTTTCTCTCTCCTGAGTTTTGTATGAATCCTTTTGTGGCAGGCCAATTCTCCCTGATAGTCACACAGACAGGCCTTCATGACAGTCACACAGAGAGCCCTGCACCGCACTCCAGTTATACAAACAAATTTCCACAGAGCTGCCTTAACATTGAGCAAATAGTTAAACCTAGGGAAATCCGTGCCCAGGTATCAAAGCTAAAAATGAAACATATGGTCAGTAGGACCCTTGCATAGGCTTCTCCCTAACCTGGAGCAAGTCAAAATAATAGAGACAGTCTTATATTCCTTGTCTCGGGTCGACGGAATCTGAGACGAGTCAAGGTAACAGAGGCAGCTGTTTGAATAGATTCATCGGAGGGTCTAAGGCAGTCTCCAGACCAAGCTGTAAGGGAGGTAAGATAGAAATAATCATTCAGGTACCACAGTAGACAGACCTTGAAGGTACCAGGGCCCTCACAGCTTAATCAGACTTAGCAAGCATTTTTTGCCTCTGACCTTCTAGTTGAAACAAAATTAGTTATCAGTGGACTTAGGCGAATGCTATACTGTACGTAGACACATAACCCCAACCTATATAAACACTAAGAATACTGTAACATTTCGAGTTGGTCTGGTGGAGTTATCTCCAGCCTTCTCTCTGTATCCAGTTACAGCAATAAATCCCCTTCTTTCCTAGTTTGCTTCTCATTTTTGAGCCTCAAGAAAACGCAGCCAGACCCAGTCTGGCTCTGAGACCACTTTCAAGCATGTTTTATGTATATTGTCATAGTACTTACACACAACACACACACACACACACACACACACACACACACACACGGTCCTTCTCTCTCCACAAATGGTAACATACTAAAGATACTCTTCTGTACTTTCACAGTGCAAGTACCATATCCCACACCTAGGATTTGGCTAAGGCCACAGCCAAGTGAAGGCAGGGTAGGCACTTGGCCTCTAAGCTCTGCATCCAGTGCTCCACGTCCAAGCTCTGCTTGCTCCCCACAGCACTCCCCAACTCATCCACAGCAGCCAACTCAGCCGCAGGCTGCCTCTAACAACCACACACAAAAACAATGAGAAATGGCCCATGCTGCTTTCTGGGCAGGACACTCCATCCTGCAGAAGGGACCTAAAGGTCCCTCACTCCTCCACCTGGGAAGCTGGGCTGCCAAGGGATGGGGCAGGCGGTAGGACTCACACTGTCCATGTTCTTCTGCTGCATGGAGACAGCAAAGAGTCCATTACAACTCTCCCACACACTGCTGGGAATACTGCAGGCCGCTGGCCAGATCCATGGACTCTCCTGAAATGAGAGAGGTTGAGATGGGGTCCAAAGGCCTATCAAAGCACCAGGTTGAAGGATGACAGGGTGCCC
This sequence comes from Homo sapiens, assembly GCF_000001405.40. Taxonomy (NCBI): domain Eukaryota; kingdom Metazoa; phylum Chordata; class Mammalia; order Primates; family Hominidae; genus Homo; species Homo sapiens. The sequence goes on from NC_000015.10 coordinate 62,260,099, forward strand.
AGATTCCCACCTTCAAAGTGCCTGGCAGCACGTTGCATATGATACAGTTCAGTATTTAATTTTCCTTTCTCAGACATCAGTTTGTTGGTTCTCTGAATTTGAACCTTTGGGAGAAAAGCCAAGCAAGTGCTGAAAGAGAAGGAAAGCAACATTCTCCAGAGGACAGGAGGGAACTTCACACCCTCCACTCACCTCTAACTGCCTCTTTAGGGTTCCCTGGTTTTGCTGGCTTTCTTGCTTTTCCTATAGGAAGAGGAAGACAGAGCTCTTACTAGGGGGAGGCAGAGATGGCACAGCAAAGACATGCCCCCAGAATTCCACCAATGCCCCAGGACAGGCCCACCCATGGGACCAGGTTATCAGGGACCCTGTGGGGATGAGGTGGAACCTGGGGGGTGAGCCTTCTTCCCAGGCTGGGGGTCAGCAAGACGAGACTAGCACCTCTACATCTGAGTGCCCCCCAAACCCAGCAGTCATGCTGTGAGCAAAGAAATTACATTACTAGTGTGATTCTAGTTGATCCACAATTTCTTGGTTGTGCTGTTTCCTTGGGAGAGTCAAAGGAAGGTGACCAAGGGTGGCCCCCTCCACTCTATTCCCCAGGCCATGAAGCAGTAGGCAGGGGCCAGGAGTGGATTTTAAAGGCAAAGTTCTCAGACCCACTAGGATCATGAACTGGTAAACTCTCCTCAAGCTCCCAAGGACAGAGGATTTGGGTCTTTGTTGGTTTTGGCCCACAGCCACAGAACTGAAAGTCTGAATCTGGATTCTCTCAAAAGGACAGTGACATAAACCTCTATGAGGCAGGAAAATAGGGTCTGGAGGCAGGGAACCTAAGGCTCTTTCGCTCTGACTTCCTAGAACCAAAATGAAAAGAAAACCCTAACTTTCCATGTCTAAGTAACAAAGAACCAGAGGCTACTACCTCTGACCTTTTCTGTGAGGCAGATGGGAAATTGGCTGTCTGCAACAAGTAAGACTGATTGCTGGTCAAGTCTTCATTTGCAAAGAAGTATAACTTTGTAACTTCATCCTAGCCTCTGATTGGTTGCTTTTTGCAACTCATCAGATTGTTTGCACAGGAGTGTGACTTTTGTAACTTCACTTCAGCCTCTGGTTGGCTGCTTTCTGCAACCAATCAGACTGATTGCGGCTACCATTTCAGTTACATGAGGTGAGCATGAAGTGGCCGATGGGAAAATTCTGGTGGGTATTTGGACCAGGAAGATTCTGTATCCAGGCCCCTGAGCTGCTGCTCAGGCCCACTCCCACACTGTGGAGTGTACTTTTGTTTTCAATAAATTCCTGCTTTGGTTCTTTTGTTGCTTCATTCTTTCTTTGATTTGCTAGGCGTTTTGTCCAATTCTTTGTTCAAAATTCCAAGAACCTGGACAACTTGTAGTCACGACCTTCTACCAGTGACGTCTATAGATGGAGTCTGAGAAAAGCCCACCATTCTGCCAGCTTGTGATTTAGAAAGTGCATTCATTCAACATTGGCTAAGCACATACGGGCCAGGTACAATTCTTCATAGCAGGGATATAGGATGGAAAAGAATCCTATAGATTCAGACAGGATCCCTTGGCCCTGAGGTTTACATTCTAGTAGACCTTTAAATCTTGGACTCTCAGAGCTAGCAGAGACTTTTGATACTCTCCACCTCCTTGAGAAACGCAAGCCCAAGGAGGAGAGGTGGCTTGTCCAGAATCAAAGAGCAAATTAGGGACTGAGTCAGGGCAGAAATATGGAGTTCCTGACAACCAGTCAGACTAGCACTTCCCCAAGAGGCAACAATCCCAAGGCATGTCTGGCAGTGACTGGAGCAGGCATGTCTGGAGAAGAGACAGTAGGCAAAGAGGGCAGCAACAGAAGAGCCATGATGCATGCTCCATGATCTGGGGTCCCTCCAGCTGAGACCTGGGCCCCCCAGCTCCCCATTTGCCCTTGGCACTGGGTGCTCCTAGCCCCTTTCTTCAGGGCCCCAAGGGGAAACTGGAGCCCAGATTGGCAGAGTGGAACCAGGAGACCCTACTGGACTCTTAACTATTTCTCAGTTATTCTATTGAGTTGATTGTTTGTTAGATAGCTGGAGTCCAGGGTACAGTTACCTCTTGATAACAGCTCTGAAATGCACGCAGAGAGGAGGAGCTGGAGGAGGACTGTGGGGAGAGTCAGAAAGGGTAATCATTAGGGCTGGGAGCTGTTGGGATGTCTTAGCGGGCAGAGGGTCATCCAACCCCCACTGTGGGAGGAGGTTTGAGGGCTGGCCCAGAGGGCCCAGGCCCTCTTACGTCCAGATTCTTCAGGGTAGCAGATTGTTAGAAATGAAAATTCAGAGTCGTAAGGAACACGAAAACACAAACAAAAGATTTCTCAGCAAGGCAATTTTACTTCTGCAGAAGGATCCTGTTTGCAAGCCAGATTGCCTTGAAAGCACACCAAACAAAGGAAAGCAGGAGTTTTTATCCCTGATGCATCAGGACCGTACTGCTGTGTCCTATCTCCATTGGCTGGAGCTGGAACTCACAATCTAAACTGATTCTGACTGGCTAAAATCTTAAAACTTTCCTAAATAGGTAACGGCACAATGGAGAACAAAGAAAGGGAGGGGGTTACGTACAGGAAACTGGGATAATAATAACATTTCCAAATAAGGAAAAGGCATAGGCTACAAGCTGGGACATGCCTGGGCATGTCCAAGCATATCTAGGCAGACTAGAAACTAGAATAAACAACTTAGGCTTTGTTTAAAATATAAGGACATAGAAACATAGAATACACTTATTTCTCTACTATATTTAACAGCTACCCAGGGCATAACAAAGAGTCATTAGTAAACTAAAAGATTTATTAGTTTGTAGCATAAAAAGAAAAGAAAACTTGAAAGAAGTTTTTAAAAGGAACTGTTGTTCTTCTTAACACTTACTGTTTTTAAAAAGGGAAACTTTGAAGAGGAACTTTTTATTCTTAACACGATGATGCAGGGCCCTCCCAGTGGATACCTGTTGCTGACTACAAAAGATGAGAGTGCGCATGGAAATGTTCTGCCCCTCAGTGTCTAAGCCCTATGACCTCCTTTCTTCCCCAGCAACTGGCAATATTTTCTTTTCTGCCTATCTTGAACCCTTCATTCCATAACTCTTTTGTACCAAATTCTCTCACAGTTCTTATCTCCCCACCATCCCTCCCTTCAGAGCAGCTCTCATCTGGTGCTTCTGCAGCAAAAAATGATGCAACCAGTCATGTGGTCCAACTCCTTCACGTGAACAGCTTCAAGGGAGAAGGCTAAGGGAAAAGGCGACTTCCTCAACATTGCCCAGCAGCAAATCAGCTGCTCCCAGGATCTGTCCTCTCTTGCAAAACCCTGCCTCAGTTTCTTTCTATCATACTTTCCTTGCCCCTGCACCCCACTCTGGGCTTCAATTTCTGAGGTACCTCAGAGGCAACACCATTGAGCTGTTGGTAGAGTTACTGCAGGCTCTTGGTCAATGAGAAAGTCCTAGGGGTGGAGACATGGGTCACGGGTGCAAGTGGCTTGATGGGAAAGAAGGTCATGGGCAGTGGCCTTCCTGACTCCCTTGGCCTAGAGGCTGCTGCCCCAATAGGAGACACTCACTTGGTTTCACCTGTAAGATTAGGGCCATTGTCAGCATCATGTTTCTGTGTGGGAAGAAACATATAAGAGGGTCATTCAATTTCTGGTAACAATCACCCAGGGTGGGGTGAGCCAAGCTCCCAAGCTCATTCCAACAATCTTGCATCTCCCCAGACCTCAAGGAAAAGTCCAGTCTCAGCCTTCCCCCAGTCCAGTTCCCAGGAAGGCCACTTGGTCCTAGAGAACAAGCTACCTGTGAGATAGCGAGACCCCGTCTCTCTAAGTTCTCACCATGTTGCCCAGGCTGGTCTCAAACTCCTGGGCTCAAGTGATCCTCCCACCTTGGTCTCCCAAAGTGTTGGGATTATAGGTGTAAGCCACTGCACCTGGCCTATTAACTGTGTTTCTGATTCAGGCCTTTTCAGGGAAAAAAAGTTGCCCAACTGGAAGCCTCTCCCCGCTCTCTGTAGGTAAAAAGACAATAAACCACAGTCACCACCCCCACCCTGTCCTTTTACATCCAGAAACATCTACCCAACCAAGAAACAACCCAAAAAAACAGACATAAGACATCTGCCCTATGGCTCTTGGCAACTTAGAAATTGTGGGGCCTCTTTCCTGAGAACAGCAGTTGGGGACCATCCTAGGATTCAGGACTTGGAGTCATTTGGAGCCTCTCCCTTGCCCTGAACTGGACCTACTTGCTTGACCAGAGCCCCACCCAGCCTGTCTCCAGGCTCTGGCCTTACTCTTGGCCCAAGCATCTGGCTCTAGAGATCTTCTAATATCCAACAGGCCAGGTGGGCAGACAGTGGAAAAAGCTGGCTGACCAGCTAAGCTTGACAAGAGAAAACCACCAGGGAGCCAGGGCCTGGACAGGGAAGCTGGGTTTGGAGGAAGTGGCTACACCTCGCTCCAGGGAAAGGACTGCCTGCTCACTGGACCCTTTGGTCCTGGCCTCTGAAAACCCAAATCTGCTTCCCTCCTTAGAGCAAGTGCTGTAGAGGCTGGAAGAACTGAAGATAATTTTAAGTCTTGTAGCTAAGAATGGAGTTTAAAAAAAATAAAGCCTACTCTCCTCAAATGGTCCCATCCCATTAAGATTTTTTTCTCTCTCCATTATTCCCTACTTCTGGAAATGTTATCAGCTCTACTCAGGATACTGCAATCACAGACCTACACTCCTGGAGTAGAAAACTTACATGGTTGGCCAGGCACGGTGGCTCACGCCTGTAATCCCAGCACTTTGGGAGGCCGAGGCAGGCTGATCACGAGGTCAGGAGATCGAGACCATCCTGGCTAACACAGTGAAACCCCGTCACCACTAAAAATACAAAAAATTAGCCGGGTGTGGTGGCAGGTGCCTGTAGTCCCAGCTACTTGGGAGGCTGAGGCTGGAGAATGGCCTGAACCTGGGAGGCAGAGGTTGCAGTGAGCCAAGATCACACCACTGCACTCCAGCCTGGGCGACAGAGCGAGACTCCATCTCAAAAAAAAAAAAAGAAAGAAAGAAAATTTACATGGTAATAAAAATGAGAAATTTTTAAAAAAAACTTACATGGGAAACAGTTATGGATATGGAGAAGGTATAAAAGCAGCAAGGAGCCAGGCGCAGTGGCTCATGCATGTAATCCCAGCACTTTGGGAGGCCGAGGCTGGTGGATTACTTGGGGCCAGGAGTTCCAGACCAGCCTGGGCAACACAGCAAAACCCCGTCTCTATTAAAAATACAAAAAAATTAGCCGGGCACGGTGGTGGGTGCCTGTAATCCTAGCTACTCGGAAGGCCTGAGGCATGACAATCACTTGTACCCAGGAGGCAGAGGTTGCAGTGAGCCGATATGCCGCCACTGCACTCCAGGAGAAAGAGCCAGACTCTTGCCTCAAAAACAAACACTAAAACTAAACAGCAAGAAGGAAATATGTGGATCTGGGCCTTTGTTTCCAGAACAGAGACCTGGGCTGGGCACACAATCTCAGAGCATTAGAAAACAGGCTTCAGACCCCCTAATCCACTGGACCACTGGCAGAGAAAAAGCCAAATACACGGCTGCAGGATGCCCTTAGGCCTGTGCTCCCCACAGTACCACTCAGTATCTCCTCTGAGCTGGCAAGGTGAGTTACAGCACCTGGACAGACCTGACCGACTGCGGGGGTAACAGGTGTGATGACTGAACAACTCTCTAACAGCAGCCAAGGGTGCTCTGTCTTAGTCCCCCTCCCCATGCCCATCTTCAACAGGATCTGGTGCCATTTGTGCCCTGCTCCTCTGGCTTGTCAGGAGCCCCCCAGGTAAGTTAGATATGAAGGAAATGCCAAATCACAACCAGAGGAAGTCATCTCCTAGCCCCGTGTACCCCCATGCCCTGCCCCCACCAGACTCCCTGTGCTCCTGAAAGGTGCTCTGTGAATTCATAATGATGACCATGACCTCACCACTCCCCCTGCCTCCCCCACTCCCCTTATGGATGAATGTTTACCCACCTTAAATCTTCAAGCCAGCCTCAAATGCCACTTCCTCCGGCCTCGAGTCCATTCGGAACCAACCTACCCTTCAGCTGAGCATTTGGAATTTTCCAAAATTCTCTCTTTCCTCCTTCAGAGGAGTCTGCCTCACTCAGTGTGCAGCCTAGCTTGTTCATCTATTCTCTCCATTGTTTATTTAGCAAAGTGTCTTTGCTATCAAGAGCCCAATGAATATGGCTAAGTGTCCGTTTGATTTTAAAGAGATTAGGGGCAGAATGTTTCGGTCACTTATCTGTTTGGTTAACCTCATATTTTTCACAGTTAGTTCCTCCAAAAAAATAGATTCAATCCTTCCAACTGTAATGTGAACTCATTTTCTCTTAACCCTATGTTCTCTACTCTTAAACCAAAGTGAATTAATTTTAAAAAATCACAAACTTCTATGTGGTCTAATGATTGCCTTTAGGGCAAAACCTAAAAGTTGGTTGGGTTTTTTTCTCCATCCCTCCTAGTCTGAGAGTATCACACTGGGCACTCAAAAGCCCAAATCTCAGGCCGGGCATGATGGCTCATGCCTGTAATCCCAGCACTTTGGGAGGCCAAGGAGGGCAGATCATTTGAGGTTAGGGGTTCGAGACCAGCCTGGCCAACATGGTGAAACCCTGTCTCTACTAAAAGTACAAAAACTAGCTGGGCATGGTGATGGGCACCTGTAATTCCAGCTACTCAGGAGGCTGAGGCAAGAGAATGGCTTGAACCCGGGAGGCAGAGATTGCAGCAAGCTGACATTGTGCCACTGCATTCCAGCCTGGGTGACAGAGCAAGACTCCATCTCAAAAGAAAAAAAAGTCCCAAATCCCACATGCCTGCTCTGAAAGTTATTCTCAAATTGTTTTTAAACTTTAAGGTATGTCACACCTTCTCTAAAATGATAAAAGATGTGGGGGAAGGAAAAAAACCCAATCAATCAAGCAAGTGAAGAAGCGGACAAAAACAGGCTGAAGGTTAAGGCAGCAAAATATAATAAGCCAAAGGCAAAGTATCCCCCAAAACCAGAGAAGCCTAAGGGCATGCACAGCTGGAGAGAGCAAGCCAGGGAGGAGTCTCAGCACTCTCTCACCTTCCATTTGTCCAATGTGGGGAACGCAGCACCTTCACAAAGTCCTGAATCTACAGGAGGCGAAAAGGGAAAAACAAGGGCAGGGGGAGAAAGAGTCGCTTAAAGAGAGGCAAGAAAGTCAGGGAATGAGGAAGATATAGGTTCAGGGAAACGAAATGCTGAAGAAGAGTGGAGGAGGTCAAAACCATGACCTGTGGTTTTGACCTCCTCCCACCAAATGGCCACCTGCTGCCTTGCCAGGGGCAGGAACAAATAGATGGGAAAGTCCCCTAAGCGATGCAGTCACACAGAGTGGGGTCGCCTGACCAGTGCAGCTCTTAATACACTCACTGGACCCCTCTCCTCAGGCCCAGGACGTGGGCGATGAATCTGGTAGAGCTCCAGAAGACCTCCACCTCTATTTTAAAAACCAGACTTCTGAGTAAGGGTTCACTTGAACAAAGGGGGCTCCAGCTAAAAAACGAAAGACACTGATCTTACCCAGTATCATCTTACAGAGGAGGAAACTGAGGACCAGTGGAAGAAGTGATTTTTCTGTGGTCACTCAGCAAGCTGATGGCAAAGATGAACTCAAAAGTTAGATCTCCGAATCCTAGTGCCTGGGGCTCTCCTCACCACACGCTGGGGCCCTTTCAGTAACTCCTAAAGGGACAGCCTGATGGGCAAATGACTGTTCTCATTGGCCTGGTTTCCCCCTTGAGACTGGGGATGAGGAAAATCAAACAGCAACTACCATTTCCTGGGTGTCCTGGGTGTTTACAGCAGGCCCCTTACTAGGGATTAACACAAAAACAACAGCGATAACAAATCTCATTTAAACCTCACAAATATATGTAAAACAATACCACCCCTGTTTTACAGATGTGAAAAAGGAGGCCCAAAGAGAACTCAAGCAATTTGCCCTAAATCATATCCCTAGCAGATGGAGAGGTAGGATTCGAACCCAGAATTCTTAACCAGTACCCGACAGTTCTTCCACAATCTTAACAATTACCCTCTACTGCCCTTTGGGCCCCCTGCCCTCAGGAGCCTGGTCAGCCAAGACTCACATCCCCAGGTGAGTGGCAACCACCAGAAGTGGTTGTCTTAGTGCTACTGCCATTTTTTTTCGTTTTCTTCCTCTTTATTCCTGCCAAACATCAGGGCTGTTCCTCTGCTGATATTCTCTCAACTTTGGAAAAGAAGAGCAGTAATACTCATGAGAACTGCAAGCCCCTACAGTCACATCGTACGTTACAGTTTTTACAAAATACTCTTATATACCATCTGATTTAATGCCACCAACAACTGTACAAGGTGTTGTCACAATCACTTAGTGACAGACAGGGATTGATATGATGGCTACAAAAAAAAAGGCAATAATGAAACTTAAACTCAGTCTTCTGATCCAAGCTCTGGGGTTTTGCCATGAATCAGCAGCTGCCAGGGACCAAAACCAGAGGCAGAGGTAGAAAAGTAAACATGAAATAGGCAGGAACTGTACACTGTGCAGTTTAGAGTCACACATCCTCACACGTCTGTTAGAGTAAGAAGTGCACCAGCACCTCTTAAACTTTTACATCAATGTATCTTCATGGCAGAAGGCAGCCTTTCTGTTAAATCTGGGAATTTATCAGAAAGAGGACAACCCAAGCCTCATTTCAGAGAGAAGTCTGGTATACTCTTAGAAATCTATGTGACTGTCACCCCTAAGTATATTATTTTTTCTCTTTCAAGAGAATCAAGCGAAACTGATGCTTCAGAAAGATGCCCCATATTTATCCTGTGCCACGCAAAGTACCCTAGGTTGACATGAGATGAGGAAGATTCAAGCTGTCAAGTTCAGTTTCCCAAGATCTGTTCCACAGAAGATGAGCAGATCTCACTCCAGAGACCACTGACTGAAGGGCACTCTGGTCTCAGAACCATGGAGAACTCAAATACGAGGTAGAGAACTCAGAAAACAAAATGCTGAAGTCTCTCTTAAGAAGAGAAGCCTGGAAGGAAACCAACCAATCCCATTCTCCCATTGACAACTGTCAATGGTTGCTCACAGGTTGGGGCAGGGGTGGGGGTGCAGTGGGGAGTGTAGGCTTTTCACACTATCAGTGTCTAAATTAAGGGAGTAAGGCAACCTGAAACCTCTTGCTCCCAGGTTCCATAGTTCCCATTCCCCTTCCAGTTGGAAATTTGTACTGCAACCAGAGGAACCAGATAGGGGGTGAGAACACTTAGGGGACTGGGTCCTAAGATCAAAGGCCAGTCTTGTGGCAATAATGACAGTTCTCAGGGGGACTGTGACTCACTACATTCCACTCCTTGTTGGGGTGATCAGACCCAACACCAGGCCATGGGGGCTACGAAGTCCGGCAGAGTCAAAGGAATGAGAAAAGACAAGTTAAGGCATAAAGTGGGACCAGGGGGCCAACGCTAGTATGGAGGCTGTGAAGGCCCCGAGCTCTGGGAGCCTATGCCATTTATTGGTAATCCAACAAAGAAGCAGGTAGTGAGGATATGAGGGTTGGGAGAAAGCAGTGCATCAGGTGAATGAGCTACAGCTGTGACGGTTTAGCATTTTCTTTGAAGTATATGGAACATGTTATGCTACTTGAGATAATGGGAAACATGTTCTTCTAGTTTAAGATACAATCGTTTTATGAACCTGGGATTGCTAGAACCAAGAAGCCAGCAAGTCTAGACACATTCCAGAGGCCACGAGGGGTTTTATGCCCTGAGCCCTGGATTCCATCCAAGCCATGAGGGGTTTTATGCCCTGGTCTTAGATTGTGGTGTGGCAGGGCAGACTTCCACCCTTCAGCATGGAGATTGGTGTTCCAAAGGTCATGAGGGGTTTTATACTCTGGACCCCAGACATGTTCCAAGACTCTTTTGCATGATGTCAGACGTGCAAGCCCTGCCTCAGCTTCTCTCCCAACCCTCAGCTTTTCTCCCAACAACTCCTCCCTGTTGGGGGGGCCACATCGCTCTGAATGGTAGAGGGGGTGCTTGGAGACATGAGCTCAAAAAGCCTAGGGAGGTCTGGCTTGGGGTGGCAGGAGGTGAGGACCAAATCTGGAGTGGAGAGCCCTGGGAGTCATTGGCCCAAAGTCACCCAGGGGTGACCAGTGAGGGTGGGGACTGGGCTGCTGAGGGGGCGGGGCTGGCTGACAAGACTTTGGTTGGGGAAGCCCAGAGGCCCAGCCTGGTATGCCTCAGGAGTGGCACGGACTCTAGCAGTGGTCCTGCTGTTGAAGGGGGCTTAGGGCTGGGTCAGGTAGCCACAACCCCGTGCATTTTACCTTTTTTTCTTGGCCTTGACCAGTTGGCTTCATTTTACCGTTTTTTTCTTGGCTGTGTCCAATTCCCTGTGTTAGTTTCTTCCGACACCACAGGGCAGGGAGGGAGGTGGGGTTGGGACCACATCAGTGTAATCCTGGCAACCACTGCTAAACACTTCTAGCCAGCTACCACCAGTTGTGCAACTGAGCCAGAGGAGGCATAACCAGGGCCGCACTAGAATGCAGGATAAGGGCATGGCTTCAATGCTCCAAACCCATTGGTCGACGAGAAAGGAGGGAAAGGGAAAAAAAAAAGGGAAAGGAGGCATGGCCAGGTGGCAGCGTGGCCAGAGGGACCTGTGGTTTCACAAGGAAAGCTGCACAGGCAACCGCTCTCCCCGCCCACTCCAGGAAAGGGGCAGGGCTGGCTTTCACTTTAAAAACTTTAAAACTTAAAAAAAAAATCTGCGTGTACTTTATATATATGTGTGTGTCTATGTGTGTGTATATGTGTTCTTTCAGAGCTGTCTTCATTATACAGCTTCTATGCCAGGTCTTTGATTTTGGCCTTTATTATTCATCTTCGAATGGAGCACAAGAATTACCAGTATTACCTCAATTGAGGTACAAATCCTATAAAAATGGAAAACCCATAGCATGCTCGATGATTAAGGCAGAAGACTATATTATCCAACATTCCAATAAGATAAAATAATCACAATGATTTCTCTTTTTTGGAAAAAGATTATTTTATTCTCCTACATTATTGTTAAGTTTTTTTTAACAAGAAACATGTCTAATATCTTTAAAAACACACATTTTTCAATTTAATAAGCACTCAAAGCTCTTTACCAGTTTAAAAAAAAATTACAAGGCCCTTCTAAAGTAAGGCTAAATGCTAAGTGATGGGGGAGAGAAAAAGGACATAAACAACTCCTACTCTCAAGGGGTTAATCACTAAATCCTATTTGACTAGAATCACCTGGCCTCTCCAAACCTTGCAAATGAAACTGAATTTCTCACTAGATACTAGACTATGACTTGCAGCAATTGTGAAAACCAAGAATTGTGTTATGTCACTGGGTATTGCATGTTATCTGAATTCCACACTAGGCTGGGATCAAGGGTTGAATCTTTCATGATTTGCTCCATAACCTGTGTGCTTCTTATCCCAGACCCAAGTAAGCTTTCTTCTAGAGTTCTACAATTTACAGTTAGTATACAAGAATGGTCCTCAAAAATGTAGTCTCTGGACCAGCACCACCAGCATCACCTGAGAACTTTTTATAAATGCATATTCTCAGGCCCCACCTTAGACCTGATGAATCAGAAACTCTGGAGTAGGGCCTAGCAATCTGTGCTGCAATAAACCCTGCAGGTGTTCAGGAACCTCTGGCATACAGCAGGTAGAAAAATGTGTTTCCTTCTGTAGGTCCAAAGCCAGGGATACTGTATGTTCTGTCTTGATATGAAACAAAGACATGCAATTAAAAGACATAAATCTCCTTCCTACTCCCATCCTCCAGCTAATGTGTTTTATTTTTATAAGTTAAATAAGAAAACAAGTGGCAATCAGAGATTTAATCTAAAAAGTATGTTTACAGATATCTGTTCTTATCCAGTCTGATCTTATACAACACCACTTACATCCTCCTACATCTAAAGTTTTAGAAAGGGACCTTCACAATATAAGTCTAAGGCACACTAGGAGTGTGATAATAAAAGACCAAGTAGATCTGAATGTCCAAACTTACTAGAGAAGAAAAGTGGAATCACTGGCTGTATTTTCAAATTGCATTCAACAGGAAATTAAGGTTTTGAATTTTTTTCACCTTTGTACTTCCAAGTTAATAGAATTAAACCAGAATACTCCATACTTCCAAAGCCTCTAGCCAGGCAAAGTTTTACTTTATTACTTCTTGCTTTTGATTGATATAAAGCAGAGTCCTGGTAGGCATATTGTGTATACTTGCAAAGATGCAGAACTAAACAGTTGTTAATATTAAAACAAAAGTCCTGTAAACCTCAGATGGTGAGTGTAATATTTTAGCACTAACACCAAAGCCTCAAATATGAAAAGATATCAAAAACACCACTAGCAAACAAAAGTAAACTCTCAGCCGGAAGCAGTAGTTCATACCTGTAAGCCCAGCACTTTGGCAAGCTAAGGTGGGAGGATTACTTGGAGTCAGGAGTCCGAGACCAGCCTGGGCAGCATAGTGAATTCACATCTCTACAAAAAAATTTAAAAATTAGCATGCCTATAGTCCTAGCTACTTGGGAGTCTGAGGTGGGAAAATCGCTTGAGCCCAGGAGTTTGAGGCTGCTGTAGCTACGATAATGCCACTGCACTCTAGCCTAGGTGACAGAGCAAGACCTAGATAATTACATTCTGTCCTGCTCCTGTTTACACTAAAATCACTAAGTTAAAATGCTTTCATTCAGCAGGATAAAAATTAAGTGACATGGCCGGGTGTGGTGGCTCACATCTGTAATCCCAGCACTTTGGGAGGCCGAGGTGGGTGGATCACCTGAGGTCGGGAGTTTGAGACCAACCTGACCAACATGGAGAAACCCCGTCTCTAATTCAAATACAAAATTAGCCGGGCATGGTGGCACATGCCTGTAATCCTAGCTACTTGGGAGGCTGAGGCGGGAAGAATCGCTTGAACCTGGAAGGGGGAGGTTTCAGTGAGCCAAGATCACACCACTGCACTCCAGCCTGGGCAAACAAGAGCGAAACTCCATCTCAAAAAAAAAAAAAAAATTAAGTGAAATGTGGCCAGGCGCGGTGGCTCACGTCTGTAATCCCAGCACTTTGGGAAGCTGAGGCAGGCAGATCACCTGAGTTCAGGAGTTCGAGACCAGACTGGCCAACGTGGTGAAACACAGTCTCTACTACAAATACAAAAATTAGCCAGGCATGGTGGCGAGTGCCTGTAATCCCAGCTACTCAGGAGACTAAGGCAGGAGAATCACCTGAACCTAGGAGGCAGAGGTTGCAGTGGGCCAAGATCATGCCACTGCACTCCAGCCAGACTCTGTCTCAAAAAATAAAAATAAACTGATTAAGTGAAATGTGATTTTGGAGCTTGGGTGGCTAAAAAAGGAAAGAAAATATAAAGCTAAACAACAAATTACTTACTAGGAGAAAGTTTTTGTAACCTCAGTGACAGATAAAAGGTTTATATCCTAAGTCCATAAATAAATCTTTAAAATTACTCAGAAAAAATGATTTTAAAAGATAAAATTATTTTACAATTTTATAAAATTACTCAGAGAAAAACAAATGGTTTCCAACAGAAAATGGGAAATGGAGAAACAAACACTTCTCACAAGAATAAAAATTGCCAATAAGCATATAAAAGATTCAAAAGCACTAGAAATCAAAGAAATGTAATGAAAACAATAAGATTTTCTGCTTAAAGACTAGCAAAGACAACAAATGGAAGGGGGAAGCTGGAGCTCTGTCCCTGTTGGTGGGAGTATAAACTGAACCAATCTTCCTGCACAATAATTTGAAAATGTCTATTAAAATCCCTAAAACTGTTTTATATTATTTTCCTCCAGAAATTCTACTTCTATGAATTCAGTCATAAAATGCTTGCTCGAGTCCATTAAAATGTATATATGAGGAAATTCACCTCTGGGGTGGCAATGATTAACTTAATATACATCCAGCTATTAAAAATGATGATGCCAGGATATATTTACTGCCATAGAAGCAAGCCCAAAATATAGTAAGTGACAAAAGACTATATATTATGATTCTACTTTTTACAATGCTTATATGCATAAAGTATAAAAAGCAACAAACCAGAATGTTTTGAGTGGCAAAATTGAAGATGTTTCTTTATATTTTGTCATCCAAATTATTACATAAAAAATGTGATTTCCTTCATAATCAGGAAGAAGTGTTATTTTCATTTACTTACATTTAAATTTCTTTCTCTTACTTTTTCTCGTGAACATATCCCATGTAGGCTAGAGAGGTAGAATCCCTGCCTCTTGAGGTCATTCAGTCCATTTTTGGAATGTGCACTACACAAAGCTGCCCCATCTTCCTTTTATTTTAAAATGTCTGGAAACATTTTTGTTTTAAATTGTTTTATTGTTCTCAGAGTGTTTTTAAAAAATATATGAAATAGAGGAAAAGGCAAAGGAAAGGCTGACTCCCCAACTTCCTGGGGCTGCTCTTCCAATTTTTGCTGCTATTGCTATGTATTAATATTCACTGGGTACTAAAAAGATGGGCAGCCCCTTAGATACTTTTTTCTTATCTCTTTCTCATAATCTCAATTCATTCCTTCATTCACTTATTCTTAAAGGGGTTATGTGTACAAATACATAGTTCAAAAAATTTAAAAATATAACTATAAAAGTATGTGGCAAAATCCCATTCATATCCTATTCTCCCTCCACAGCCAAACACTTTTAATTGGTTTCTTATGTATCATTTTGGAATTTATATTTGCAAATACACATGTATATTCTTATTCTACTCTTCTCTCTCAACACAGAAAGTAGCAGACCATATATATTATACCATTCCTTGTTCCTTTTTAAAAACACACAAAATATATCTGAGTTCTTCTACATGAGTACATAGGTCTTTCTCATTCTTCTTTACAACTACACAGTATTCCATCGTTTGGATGTACCATAGTTTATTGAACCAGTTCCCTGTTGGTGGACACTGAAGTCATCCTTATCATACTATCACAAACAATATTGGCAAGGCAAGCATAACCACCTACACACACCAAGTTCATTTCTGAATGTGCCTTTGATGAAGCTTCTGTTTAAATCTCCACAAGATCACAAGGCTGAAAAGTTAGCCCCTTTTTCAGTTTTCATTATGTACAGCAGTATGTAGCAAAAGACTCCCTTGAGCAAAGCAAATGTACTCTTTGAGGATTTATTTCATAAAATAAATGGATAAACAGAACACCCAGCATAACAATTTCTATTTAACAATGCATATGTATGTATACAATACATGCATATGCATAGAAAGTATAAAATAAATCCGTCAAAGCATTAAGCATTGTCTCAGTATGCTGGACCTATGGAGTGCTTTGTAGATTCCCCCTCCTTGTCTATCAGTTCTAATTTCACAACAGTGAATATGTACAATTTTTGCAATATAAAATTTCAAAAAATGTTAACTCACATTAAGCTGGATACATTCTTTCAGTCTGTCCTACATTTGTATAGTGCTCCAGTGTGTTCAAATATCACTTCATTTTAAAATATTTTTTTTCAAATATAGAGACAGACAGGGTCTTGCTCAGTCGACCAAGTTGGTCTTGAACTCCTAGATTCTCCTGGATCCTCCCACCTCCGCCTCCCAAAGTGCTGGTATTACAAGTGTGAGCCATCACGCCCAACCAGCTTCATTTGAGAAACCTTTCCCAAGCACTCCATATATTACTAATTATTCCTTTCTTCATTTTTATATAGGATTTTCTTCATATCTCTATTACCTCACTTGTCACATGATAATCAGTTACTCACCCATCTGTCTCCCTTGATTGCTCGTGGGCTCCTTGAGCAATGTGCGACCTTGAACAGTGTGTGACACATACATGCTTCCTACACAGAGAAGGAAATGATTTCGCTACAGTGTCAATCATTACCAGAATTCAATACCTGTATTTCTAAATCGTTCTAGATACTCTGCCAACAACTTGAGAATGTTACGCTCTTTCCCTAAAACTTCCATCCATTCCAGCCATAGTTAACTCAATTGTGACATGCTCTCTGGCCAAGCCCATTTGTAGTTTTTTCTTTAGGTGATTTTTAATTTTAATTTTTGATTTTGATTGTTTGCTTTTTGGTATTTTTTAATCTAGGAGTGTTTGGTAAACTTCACCATGTCTATATGTCTGTGTCTTTGCACCTGGTGGTCTCTGCTTGGAATGATGTCTCAAGGTTTTATTCACCTGGAAAGAATTCCTACTCACCCTTAAAGACTCAGCTTAAATAACCCCTTCTCTGGTAAACCTTTACATTCTCCCATTCTTTCAGTAAGAGTTGAGAATTCCTCTACTCTTGAAATGTTTGTGCCTCTATTACTATGTATCAGGCAGTGAACTAAGCGTCTAGGATAGAAAGATGAAACGGTAGAACCTGCCCTCATGGAGCGCATGGTCTAGTATGGAAAACAGCCATATGAACAAATAACCACACTATAATATTAAATGCAATACCAAAAGGGAAATGTATTGAATATTTGACATGTGTCAATTACCTTGTTAGATACCTTATTAACAATTATCTATGATCATATTAGATACGTATTTGAATTGGACAGAAGGCCATGAAACTCTAGGACTGCTAGAGTTTGTTATGCTCTCAATTGTCTTCTAAAGAAACTGTCTCCTAATGGTTCTTTCTGAATATGCTATAGTCATACAACTATTGTGCAACTGTAGCATACACAAAAAGCATATCTGTAGCATACTCATGTGACCAATAATGCATAAAACCAACCTTACTTCTTTGGCCACAAGTAACTGGACCAAGGCTCAGTGTTTCAGCTAAGGACAACATATAGGTTGAACTTCAGGGACAATCGCCAAGGACATGGCATGGCTCAAAATTCTCTCTAATAGGGGCCTTCCGTTTTTAGAAGGTGACAGGCTAACCCAATCAGATATTCTCTCTTGGAAAATACAAATGTTGGGTGAACAAAGGAAAAGAGGGCAGGTTTTCAGAGCTCAAATCCTATCCTAAATACTGCTAAATTAATGTTCTGTGAAGTTTTGAAAGTACTAGGGCCAAGAAACAATATGGCTACTTAGATGACTTCCCATCCAAGTTTACATTCGGCCCTCATTACCAAAGGTGATAAGTGTGTGCCTCTTCCTTGCAACCCATCAGGGTCTAACACATCATATCGCCACTTCTGAAATTAGGAAATAGGCTCAGAAGTCCAAGAGCTTGACCAGAGTAATTCACTTGGTAGGTAGCAGAACCAGAATTCAAAGAGCAAGTCGGCGTGATTCTTCTCCAATATCCTGCCAGTTACATGGGCAAGTGGCCTCAAAATCAACAAAAGACAAGTAGAGGTTGACATGTGTCAATGGAAAGAGGCTCAAAAGGAAGAGTTTGTACACAAGAATAGAACAGAAACGTTCTGGAAGTATGTCTGGGGATGTGAAGTAGGAAGGGGCACACCAGGTTTCACCTTGGTCAAGTGACTGTCTAATTCCCCCGAGCTCCAGACTCAGCTATCTGTCTTTCTCACTCTAATATAAAATCCACAGGGCAGGACCTTAATCTCTAGCTTGTTCACCACAGATTAAAGCAGAGTCTGGCTTAATAGTAAGTGCTTAATAAATATATGAATGAATAAATGAATGAACATTCCACATTGTTGGGGGAAGGGGTTATCATGAACCAGACCCTAGCAGTCACTTACAAATACAGTTGATCCTCATTATTTGTGGATCCTATATTTGCAAATTTGCTTACTTGCTAAAATGTGTTTGTAATCTCCAAATTAATACTTGTGGAGCTTTCAAGGTGATTCATGGACATACACACAGTAGTGAAAAATCTGTCACTCCTTATGCACGTTCCAAGCTAAGGTCAAATAAGGTGACCCTGGGCCTCCTTGTTTCAGCTCTCATACAAAGATGACCCAAGGACAGAGGCAACAGAGGGCAGTGCAGGGTAGTGCAAGAAGCTCTGGCTCTAGGACTAATTGGACGAGGTCTGAATCTTAACTCTGGCACCTGTTAGTGAAGCAGCCTCAAGCAAATCACTTAATGCTTCTGTACTTCCTTTATTGTTTTGTAAATAAAGAAAATTCAATCTACCAAGATGAGTTGTTTTTAGGAATTAAGATTATAACCTATGTGAGATATGTGTATATGTGCATATTTTCCCTAGGAACAAGGGTTTAGTATTTCTTTAATTCAGTGTTCTAGGCAACTTTACAGAATATAACTACTGCAAATAACGAGAATTGACTGTAATTATAAGGACATAACAGAGAAGTAGACACAACAATTATTTGGATGAGGTAGAGGCAGGCTTCAAGAAGATTTTGAAGAAATAGAATTTACCAGGCACATAAGGTATGGAAAAGGCTTGCAAGGAGAGAGAATGGCACCTACAGACAGAGGTCCAGAGGGCGGGAAAAAAAGGTCGGTTCAGGAAATGGCACTTCAGGAAGTCTAGAGCAGTAGAACATGAGGCCAGACACGGTGCCATAGTGCTTCTGCACCCTGTGTACACCCTGTACTGCAGAACCTCACTCTCTGCATTTAATCTTGGTTTCTAGTTCTCTCTTCTATTAAACTGTGAGCTCCTCAAGTTCAAAGTCTCTAAGAAATCAAAGCGAGAGTCCTCTAAATTTGCAAACAAGTTATTACTAAACACAAATACACCCAAAAAGACTGTACAAAAATAACTTTGGTTTTCAATTGCAGTCAGCAATTCACAACTGGTACACATTTGCAATTTGTCCAGGGTTTTTCGCTGATGACTGCTGTAACTCTGTCATAAACTCTTTTCATTGTTTCAGACACCCAGACATTTGTTAGAACAGTTTTAAGATCTTGCTCTTTTTAGTGTAATTGATTGATTGGTTGATTGACTGAGATGGGGTCTCATTATGTTGCCCAGGCTGGTTTTGAAATCCTAGGTTAAAGCAATCCTCCTGCCTCAGCCCTCCAAGTGGCTGGGATTACAGGCGCACACCGCTGCGCTGGGCTCTCGTGTGATTAATTAACAAGGCTTAAACATATGGTCCATTAGACAACGCTTCCACCTCAGAGTAAAGATTTCTTTTAATTCACTCTGACTTATTTCTCTATATGAGAGATACAATTTACTATAGTAAAATACAAAGAAGCATATTGATATATATGTTACAAACAGGATAAGGAAAGCAAAATAATTTTTTCCACAAAAGCTTGCAAAATCCTGGCCAAAGCACAATAAACATGATGTTAAACTCACAGCTTACATTTCTCCACTGAGAGCTAGGAAAAAATAATGACAGTTTTTGTAAAGTCACAAAACTAAGCACTGCAAGAATTTACAAGATTTTGTAAACTTGTATATTCTCCCCAACCCCATATACAACTAGCCAAAGGAGCCTATCAATCTCACCCCGATACTTCAATTTCCTCCAGCCTCCAAAATAAAACTCTCACTGTCCAATATCTCAATTTATATTTTCAAATGTCTAAAATCTTAAAATTAAGAGCAGTGCATTAGCTTTTCCCCATAAACATTTTTGGTATAATTTTACTTAGGCACAACATAGTTTGTACTGTTATCTAAAAACATATGGATAGAACCAACATGACTAGAAACCAAACGAATATACTATGAAGACGAAAAGGGAATAGAAAATGTTGTTTTTAAACAGATTCAGTGCTGTTATTATCCACTCATAGGTTGGGTGTGATCAAATCACATTGTGCTGCACAGCTAAGTATGTCCTATATTTTATGACAAAGTAGGGTAACAAATTATTTATTGAGGGTCTGTTGGGTGCACAGAGGCATGCTAGAAGCTGTAAAAGATTTGATTCTTACCCTCAATAAACGTGCAATGTTATAGACCTACTCCCAAAACAAATAATGAGTGACGCTCTCTCAAATATATGTACAATCAAATGTGAAACGGAGGTAAAGATGGGGAAGATCTTAGGCTCAGAGATTGTATTCAGGCCTTTATGGTGGCAATCTTGATATAATTACGCATTTAAAAATAAATTGTCATCAGATCAGTCTGAAATTTATAGAGGCTTTTGTTGGTGAGAAACGTAGTTTACATAATTTACCCACAGGAATGTTTTTGATTAATGTTATCTATTAAAGACTGCAGTTCACAATATTTCCCCTGTTAATAGTACATATGTTTTTGGAGCTGATCTGGTGAAGTTCTTCCCAGAGTATCTGTATCCCGATTTTCAGATTCCATTTCATCAGTGGGGCAAATTTACAGGTCAGTATAGGACAAGTTTTAAGCATTAATGGAAAAGAGATTGTATTACATTTATATTGTCTTTCTAATCTGACAGCCCTGAGTTTAATTTAGAAAATTCCTCTATTTTTAATTTACCTTTGTTTTGATATATTTTACTATTAGGGATCACATAAATAATTTTCCTCTTTTTCTTGACTTCCTTGTGAACTAATACATTTTCAAAAGCTTCTTGTTAACTTCTAATTACAGGTAAGTTCCGTTTTCTGTTTGCTTAACAAGCTCATTGACGTTTCATTTGCAAGCACCGTTCTTGCGTCAAATGGAAGATAACTAATGGAACATCTGTGCACAGAGGTCAATATAGGAAAGCTTAGCAGAGTGATTACTTATTTGTTTTCTGTTAATGTCCATGCAGCTGCTCTGGGAATAAATGAAATGCAAGTACAGAGGACAAAATCATTCTAATTAGAGATTTACCTGGAACCTTTTTTAAAAATTCTATATACATGTCCTACTTCTCACCCCGCCAAAAGCTCCCCGACCTCCTTTTTTCCTTGATTCCCCACCAAATAATGGAAAAATCTGATGGGTTCATTTACTTAGTAAAAGAAAACCTTGTAAAACAAGGAGACAGAGAAACAATTTTAGTGCTAAGTATAACATGGCATATAAAAATATGTTCTACATGATTTTAAAAGGCTTTATAAAATTATTTCTTGTTGTTTATGAAATTATTTCAAGTCTATTTGTTTTTTCAAATCTCACCATTAGAGACAAAAACTCAAAACGTGCACTGTGAATAAGGTACAAGCAAAATTTAAAAACCAATAAATTTATGAAAGATATTTTATATTTAACTTAAAAAACTTTTCAACTCAATACTCAAGTATATACTGAAATTACAACTATTCTTACTTGAATAGATAAATATGTAACATTGTCAAAAGCATTAAGTATAGTCTGAAGATGTTTCGGAAGCAGCGAGTCATGATTCTGATTGCATTTACCCACTTACAACAAGAACTCCATCTATAAAGAGCTGCCTTTAACTCAATCCCTAACCTAAGACCATTGATTTGGAGTAAGTAGAGTGGGTCATTCACTAATGTACTTAAAAAAACAAAATCTTGATTCTGACTCAGAGATACCTAGGTTAAGTGTACAGGACACAAAGATTTTGACTGAGGCACAGTGTTAAAGATTCGTTAAAATATTTTGTATGCAGCACATGTTAAATTTTTTCACTATGGTAACCATACTTTTTAAGAAACTAAAGCAAAAACTGAAAAGTAAAACAGGGTAAATATCAATACGGTATGAGTCTGTTTTCACGCCGCTGATAAAAGACATACCTGAGACTGGGAAGAAAAAGAGATTTAATTGGACTTACAGTTCCACATGGCTGGGGAGGCCTCAGAATCATGGCAGGAGGCGAAAGGCACTTCTTACACAGGCAGTAAGAGAAAAATGAGGAAGAAGCAAAAGCGGAAACCCATGATTAACCCATCAGATCTCGTGAGACTTATTCACTATCACGAAAATAGCATGGGAAAGACCGGCCCCGTGATTCAGTTACCTCCCCCTGGGTCCCTCCCACAACATGTGGGAGCTCTGGGAGATATAATTCAAGTTGAGATTTGAGTGGAGACACAGCCAAACCATATCAAGAACATTATATGAAACATCCTAAATGTCAATAAACACATTGTATTAAACATACTATTTTTCTCATGTATCTGTACAATGGAATAATAGGATTGTTGGGCTCTTCCTAGATTATATGGATTCTGAAAGAGACATGTTAAATCAAAACTAATTAGGTGAAAATTATTACTATTTATGAATGCATTACCACTGTGCCTAAAAGTACACAGGAAACTGAATATTTCCATTTCAAAAACAATTTTAACTTAATAGTCTTATTTCTCAATTATTCTCTACATTTTTATAAGAATAACAAAACCAAAATTGTACCCCAATAAAAATTAACAAATCTAACAGTTCATTTTTATAAGTCTTCCTACCACTGGACAACTACAAAGCTTTCTGGTTCTAGAGCCTATCTCCATATTGAGAAATAAAGTTAAAGGATGCAATCTGGATGTTAATGAAACTCAAACTCCCTTCCTCATAAATTCTATTAAAACTACAAAATATTACTTTCAGATAAGAAGATATTAAGCTTCCATGACTACGCATATGAATGACATTTTAAGTTAGAAATCTAAAGAATGGGCCGGGCGCGGTGGCTCACGCCTGTAATCCCAGCGCTTTGGGAGGCCGAGGCGGGTGGATCACGAGGTCAGGAGATCGAGACCATCCTGGCTAACACGGTGAAACCCCTTCTCTACTAAAAATACAAAAAATTAGCCGGGCGTGGTGGCGGGCGCCTGTAGTCCCAGCTACTCGGGAGGCTGAGGCAGGAGAATGGCGTGAACCCAGGAGGCAGAGCTTGCAGTGAGCCAAGACCGCACCACTGCACTCCAGCCTGGGTGACAGAGCAAGACTCCATCTCAAAAAAAAAAGAAAGCTAAAGAATGCCCATAATTGGCACCAAGCCATTACTAAAGGAATCCTCTTTTGGTAAAAATATACAGGTTTTTTTTTTCTGAAATGGAGTTTCACTCTTGTATTTTTAGGAGAGATGGGGTTTCACCATGTTGGCCAGGCTGGTCTCAAATTCCTGACCTCAGGTGATCCACCTGCCTCAGCCTGCCAAAGTGCTGGGATTACAGGCGTCAGCCACTGCGCCTGGCCCTAAAAATATACAATCATTTTAAGGAGCTAAATCTAGGGTTAGTTTTGTCACCATAAGTACAACTAACCTGTACCTTAACTTCCAATTAATATACCATCAGCATTCTCTGTAGCAGTACACATCTATCTACTATATTATGTCACAGAATTTTTTGCATAATAAATTCACACAGTACAACACTCAAAAATGTCTACATCCTAAGTGAAAACTCTCCCTTCTACTCTTGTCCCCAAACCACCCAGTTTCCTCTCATTCATTCTCCTTCCTCCACACAAGTTAACCACTATTCTTGTATGTTCTTCTTTAAGATTATACAAGAATATTCATACATAGCCCATTGTTATTAGCCACTGTCCCCTGCTTTCCCTCACAAAGAGTTGCATGCTACAGACACTGGTCTGCCCCTTTTTTCATTTAACACATCTTGGAGAATGTTCCATATCAGTACACAGAAAGCTTTACTTTTCTGTTTTAAACACTGAAATACTTCTATTATATGGATATTCAAATATTTAATCAGTCCCCTATTGGTGGACAACCACATTGTTGTCAGTATTTTGCTGTTTTACAATGTTGCAATGAGCAACATTGTACATATATCTGCTGAGTACTGGTAAAAACGTCCTAGAGTAGAGTTGCTGGGTCAAAAGATATATATGACTTTGTAATTTTGAGATATTGCTAAATTGCCCTCTACAGGACTGTATATTGTGTTTGCCCACCAGCCATCTATAAGAGTGCCTCGATACAGCCTCACCAACACAGTACCTCAAACCTGTGTGATTTTTGACAATATTCTAAATGAAAGATGGACTCCCTGTATAGTTTTGATTTGTATTTATACTACTGAGTGAGACTACACATGTCTCCATTATGTTCATGAGCTATTTGTTTCTGTTTCTGTAAAGACTTTCAATATCCTTTTTCCTTTTTTTTTTTTTTTTTTGAGGCAAAGTCTCTCTCTGTCTCCAGGCTGGACTGCAGTGGTGCGATCTCAGCTCACGGCAGCCTCCGCCTCCTGGGATTCAAACAATTCTCCTGCCTCAGCCTCCTGAGTAGCTGGGACTACAGGCGCCCACCACCACGCCCAGTTAATTTTTGTATTTTTAGTAGAGACGGGGCTTCACCGTGTTGGCCAGGATGATCTTGATCTCCTGACTTCATGATCCACCCGCCTCGGCCTCCCAAAGTGCTGCGATTACAGGGGTGAGCCATTGCACCCAGCCCCTTTTCCCTTTTTTTTTAAAAAAAACATGACATTACATTTACGTAAGCACTTTTCCTATTTTTCTACAGGGTAGTCCTTTTCAGCTTCTAAGAGCTCTTTAAACTAGTAAAGCCCTGCCATAATGCACCTAAAAAACTGAGATATAAAATGTGTAGTAACACATTTTCCTTAACATGAATGAAAAAGTGTTTTTTCAGTCAGTCTGTATTTTCACAAAAAGGACAAACATAAAAGATTCAGAAACAAACTGTGCATAAAAAGTACAAATACCCTGAAACTCCGAAATGATTGTGAAGCAGTCACTTCCCAACCCTACTGCCCATCACCCAAAACACTAGGAGAAAATAAGAATGTTGGCTTTTCCCAGTCTCCACCATCAGTAGCAAGGTACACAAAGCCCAAGTTAAAGGAATGTTTCTGCAGAGGCTTTACTGTAATGTGGATTTAGCCCTTTCTATTTTTCTAACTCACTGATTTCTGCATGTATATCTTTAATAATTTCCCCCTTCTTCTTTCCTTCGGGTTTTTTGATTGTCCTCTCTGACAATGAGTTAAGAGGCTTTATTCATTTTCATTCTTTTCTTAATGACATAAGGATTTTAAGGCAATGAACATTCCTCAGAGCTCTCCTTTAGTCTCTAGTAAGTAATAATCGCATTATTGCTATTCTCTAGGTATTCTGCAGTTTTAATTTCAAATCCCTATTTGAGCTAAGGGCTGTTGGCATGAGTTTTAAAATTCCACAAATATTTGTTTTCTGTTTTTTTTATTAACTTATAGATTTAACTAAGATCAGAGAATGACATCTGTCCTTTTTCTACTTTTCAGTATTTGAGGTGTTCTTCATTGAAAAAGATTAGCTTCGTGAATGTTCCAGATAGGAAGAGGGGGAGAGAGAGGAATAGATAGAAGTTTAGTATTTTAATTATGGTTCAATTCTAAGCATTTTAAAATTTCATTTGATTTTTTAAACTATGATTTACAAGGATGTTTAATTTCTAAATTCATGTAGATTTTTGTTAATCTCTTCATTATTGCCTTCTAACCTTAATTGCTTCATATTTAAATTATAAATTACATGGTGTGTATGGTACCAATTGTTTTTAAATCTTCTGAATTGCTTTATGGATTAATACATAATTAATTTTTCTCCCATAGTCCATATATGCTTGAGAAGAATATATAATATCTAATTATTGGGTACAGAGGTCTATATTTGTCCATTATACCATGCCCGTTAAATGGTTATTCAAATCTACATATGGACATTCTGTTTAACTTATTTATGGTAAGCAGGGTATGTTGAAATCTCTAAATATGATAATGGACTTGTCAATTTCTCCCTGCGGTTTTATCAGTTTTTCCTCTGTATTTTGAGGCTATTTTGATAGGTACATAAAATACAAAAATTGCTACATCCTCCTAATTAACAGACTTTTATCATCACATTGTTACTAATGCTTTCTGTTCCAAAATCCTATTTTGTTTGATACTAAAGCTACATCACTTGTTTTTGGTTAATGTATACTGGCATATCATTATCACTCTCTCTCCTTTATAAAAACTTTCAATATTTTTGTATCCTTATATTTTAAATATAATAGATTAAAACAGCTGGATTTTGTTTTACTAATTCAATCTTTCTAACTGGTAACTTTAGTCCATTTACATTTGTTGTGACTGATTTATGTGGACTTGCTTCTATAACCCTTAGAGCTTCTATTTCTCTCACTTTCTAATATAATTTTATTATCTCCTCCTAGGATTCCACTAGGACATATTTTAGACCTCATTCTGCTCTCTCTCTCCCCATCTCCACCTCACCACCTTCTGCCCTATCATCTATCCTCATGTCTTGCTGTGTAACATTCTGACTTATTTTTTGGAGATGATTGTCTAATCAATTAATTCTCTCTTCTGATGTCTAATCCATCTACTGAGTTTCTTATTTCAACAATTACATTTTGTATTTATTTTATTTTGAGACAGAGTCTCACTCTGTCACTCAGGCTGGACTACAGTGGCATGAACATGCCTCAGTGCAGCCTTGGTCTCCTGGGCTCCAACGATCCTCCTACCTCAGCCTCCTCACCTCCCACCTCAGTAGCTGGGACTACAGGCATGTGCCCCATACCAAGCTAATTTTTTTTTTCTTTTTTTGGCGACGGGGGGCAGGGTGGGAGTTATCTTTTATAGAAACGAGTTCTCACCACGTTCCCCAGGCTGGTCTCAAACTCCTGGTCTCAAGCCATCCTCCTGCCTCAGTCTCCCAAAGTGCTGGGATTACAAGTGTGAGCCACCATACCCAGCTATATATTTTCATTTCTGTAAGTTCTATTTCATCCATTTTCTCTTCAGGTCTTCCTCGTCACTCCTGGTGGTCTTACTGCCTGCTCAATTTTGTGATTCTTTTTTCTTTATATTAGATTCTGCATGTAACTATTTTCTCACAATTCTAATATCTGAAGTCTGTGTTCTGTATCTGATGATTCCAAAACCTACAGTCTTTGGGAAATATATCTATTCATTATTTCTGACAATTCTCAAACATATTGGGTTGACTACTTGAATGCTATGATTGACTGAATTCATACTTGCCTGCTTTTAATCTTTGGGAAAGCTACAGGCTTAAATTGGAGATGATTTTCCTACAAAAAGTATCTGTGTCTGCTTCTGATGAGAGCTGTAGAAACAACTAACATGAGACCATTTTACCACCTTGCATAATCTCGAGATTCTCTTGGATTCTCTTGCAGAATCTCAGGATTACTCATGGTTCTCAGATTTGGCTCCCCATCCTTGCACATTTATAAACAGAAGACTAGACTGCTTAGTATAAGTGGTGACCACTTCCTCCTACCCTGGAAAAAACAAAAACAAAACAGATTTCTCATCTGAATGTGATCACAGACTAGCGGATTCTGTAAGAGAATAACTGGAGGCTGAGGACAGCAGGAAAAATAGGTGTCTTTCCTGACCATAGAAATAGGTTACTAGCTGCCCTAAAGGCTGTGTGCTCCAGAGTTTCACTATTTAACTCAACTACCATTCCCTCCATAATAGTGAATGGAAGCTGTATAAGAACTGTGTAAGTACAAGATATTACTTCAGCACTATTTCCTACAACTCCTCTACATGAATCCTACCCTCCTTGTGTTATAGTTCAAACTGGTCTGGTATACTCTGAATAACTCATTCTCTTTCCTAGATACCCAAATGTGTTTACTTTTCACCTATGTAAATAAGTTTCCTTCAACCTCCACCAGCTGACCAAACCCCACTCACATTTCACCGCCCCGCTGAGATCC
This sequence comes from Homo sapiens, assembly GCF_000001405.40. NCBI lineage: Eukaryota > Metazoa > Chordata > Mammalia > Primates > Hominidae > Homo > Homo sapiens. The sequence goes on from NC_000015.10 coordinate 62,287,781, forward strand.
CACCTACTTCATGAAGTCTTCAGGTCACTATTGGCAGAGCAACTTTTTGCTGCTTTAAAGAGAAATTAAGTCCATGCTTAGCATTTAATAATCAATGGAGTACTCAGTAGTTTTAATCCCCTCTGATACAGCTGGCATTTGGTATAATGAAAAACACTTTATTAGGAATCAGAAGATTTATTTGGGTAGATCACAAGCTGACTTATTCTAATTATTCATTTGGATAATGACAACACACTATGTCAAAAAAAGAATGAAGAAACTTAACGGATTTTAAGACTGAAAATGGCATTATTCATAACTTCATGTATTTGTCTCTATTCTAGGTGGTAAACTAAGATCATAAACTTAAATTCTTGGGATTCTTATAACAAAATGTTGAAAAGCTATACTGGTCAATTTTATAATCACATTTAAAAACGGTTTTAGACATTTATCCTGAATTTGCAGATTTTTTTCCAAATCTTTTCTTTGATCATTTTTTTTTCTCTCAAATAAGGTTCTGAACAAAAAATGACCTGTCTTCCTTTTCCAGTGCTTATGGGAATACTGAGTCAACATACACAATTTTATAAACAAGCACATAAAACTGAAGCACAATAGTTATGTCTTTTCTCCCCAATCAGTAAGGGCTTCATTAAAAAGATATTTTAACATTAAACGATGAAAAACATAAGAATTATGGCTTGGTAGCTAGTAAAAGGCTGGTGTGAGCAAGAGACACAAAGGTTAAAAATTTACTATTTTTCAGTCTTGTGTTTATTTTGGATATGTAAATATGTGGCTGGGTTACCTAACACCCAACTTCCAAAACTGATCATGAGGTTTTATGACAAGAGAAGGACTTTTATAGCAATTTTACTGCCTAATCGAAAACAGTCTAGGGAAGCTTTAAAGGTAACAAAATGAAACTTTACACAATTATAAACAACTCTGTTTCACACCCAACCTGGCACTTCCACTCACTGTAATAGTATATTTGTGATCAACTTTGTAACAACCTGTCAAAAGAGAGCTCTAACATCTGCCCACTAGGGATCACATCAGCCTTTCCGGCTCTGCAGCAGAAAACACATGGGAGTCACTCAGAACTCCGGATTTCCAACAAAGTAGCATTTCCCAGAGAGTAAGCCAGAGGACACCATCCTCTGAGACGCTGTCGGGTAGATTATTAAACAAATTTGGGAAAAATAGAAAGTAGCATTAAGGCTCCAAGAGGTGCTTTAGTAAAAGATATTTCGAACCTGGCTTCCCCAAAACCTTGCAATCCCCGCAAAGCAAACATCTATTAACATACCACTATATTTAGCACTCACAGAACATTTTGGGAGATATGGCAAAAATTAGGCTGCAGGTGTCAGCAAAGTAAACTCTTAAAAAACAATATTGAAAAAAATTAAGATTTTAAAAAAACAAAAAAGCAAAAGCAAAAGATAAGTAAATAAATCAAATTTTTAACCAATATTGGATAGGCACAGTGGCTCACACATGTAATCCTAATATTTTGCAAGGACCAGGTGGATGGATCACTTCAGCCCAGGAGTTCGAGACCACCATGAGCAACATGGCGAAACCCCTGTCTCTACCAAAAATACAAAAATTAGCCAGGTGTGGTGGCATGCACCTGTGGCTCTAGCTACTTAGGAGGCTGAGGTGGGAGGATGGCTGGGGCTTGGGAGGCAGAGATTGTAGTGAGCCATGATTGCACCACTGCACTCCAGCCTGGGCAACAGAGCAAGACCTTGTCTCAATAAACACATAAATAAAAATAAAAAACAATATTACTTTACCATGTGGCAGCACATGGTAAATGAGCTCAGCACATCCATACGTAATACTAAGTTTTTTTTTTTTATAAAAAGAACACTTTTTGTTTCTCTGAGCTTTACAGATGAACATCACACCCAGATAACTATTCTGTGGTATCAACACCACAGTTAACATGTATTCTGACTATACAGGAATGATTCTTAAAAGGATGTTAGCCCCCAAAACACATATATAAGCATGTAAAGCAAATGTAACTAATAATAACCATAGAAACAAAGAACTTCTGGAGGAAGTTCTGAAGTTGGAAATCGACACTCATATTTTTACCCTAAATGCAACTATTACTATCTCAGCCATAGAAATTATCAAAGTAAGGACCGAATATATTTAGATTTTAATCACCATAATGTGGATTATGTCACATAATAGAATTAGTCATCTGAGTGTTTGAAAATTCTCGTTAAATTGCTCATAATTTGAGGGTATACAGAACATTTCATAACTAACCTAACAAATTGTGATCTTTTCCCCTCCTTCTGTAAGACTTCCAATCACAAAAAAGAAGCAATACAAACTTCAGTAAAACTGCATAACAATTACCATTTGAGTCTACTAAACTGCAACTATTACCTCTACAAGTAATTAGACAGTCAGCTTCATAGGTCCATGAGATTTCCTATGATTATTCCTATAAGTATCAATTATGATCACAGGCATGTGGGGACCCATCTGTAATCGTAACATTCTCTAAACCCTCTATCACAATTTACATTTGAAAAACGTTTGTTTTTTTATGGTAAAAAAATATATATATATGTGTGTGTATATAAATATATGTATGGGTGTGTGTATATATATATGAATCATTAAAACTCTACCTATCAACAACAACAATGGTTTATAACCAATGGTTCCAGATCCTCTTCCATAACCCTGGAATGGCAATGGTTCCATATGCTATTCCATAAACTCTGTACCCTGGAACTCAGGAATCCAGATTTTACAGGAGTAAAAAGAGTTCTTCAAGGAGGAAAAAAAAAAGGTTGAGGGTGTAATCCCAGCTATTCGGGAGGTTGAGGCAGGAGAATCGCTTGAACCCGGGGGGCAGAGGTTGCAGTGGGCTGAGACTGCACCACTGCACTCAAGCCTGGGCAAAAAGAGCAAAACTTTGTCTCAAAAACAAAAAACAAAAAAAAAAAAAAACAGGTTGAGGGTGAGTGACTGTTAAAATGAAGTTTGAGTTACCCTAGTACGTGTTAACTCAGAAACAGACTCTTAGGCTCTACAATGATCTCAGGAAGTTATATGATTTCTCATTTAACATCTCAGCCTTCTAAGTTATTAAGGATGAGGAACATTCTATTTTTTAAAGACTACATCACCAGATGGCTCTAAATAATTACAAATTACTTCCTTATATTGAGTTGAAAATCACCTCTTTGTAATTTGACTTATTAGTTCTAGTTTTATGCCTTGTGTTCACCAAAAACAAATAAAAACTAATGCTTCCATATATGTACTCCTTCAAGTAGTTGAAGACAAGCTATCGTGAACCCCCATGTTTTCCTCTCTGAATCCACAGTAATTTAACCAGCTATCCTTGGATACAGAATAGAATCTCTTCCCAATCCTGGCTATTATTCTCTAAATGAACCTAAATTTATCTGAACACACCCTTCTTAAAGTGCTACCACAGAATTCAATTCAGTAATTCACATGTTGCCTGAAACATCAGAAAACAACTTCCTTGAAAGCATAGCAAGTTGGATTTACCCAGTTGCTGACCAGATCCCATCCCCTCCTGCCCCCATTCCCATCTTTGTGTTATGCTTTATCTCAAGTTCCATTTTGCTTATTATTCATGACTCTCAAGTTGTCACTGTGGACATCAGAGGCCATAAATATATACGGTTCTGGCTCATTGCTGTAAATCCTTCTGAGTCATACCTGCCATCCTCCAAAGTCTGTGAATCCCAAGATTAATAACTTGGCAATTCAGTTTAAGGTCCTTTTCATAAGGCGAGTTAGCTCAAGGCAATCACATTCTTCCAGGCCTCTTAAGAAATACTCCAACCCCAGAAAAGGCCCTTCTTTCTGGTATCAGGAGCTATAGGCCACAAACACAAATCCAGTGGAATTTCAGCTATTTACCTCCCAGATCATCCCCTCCGTGAAGTTCTACCTAGAGCAGGAAAAAATAATGAAAACACCACCTGCAGTCACAAATCCTCCAGTTTCCTGGCCAAGATTTCATATTCCCTTCAAGATACCTCCAAAAAAAAAAAAAAAAAAAAGCTCTCAGATTCATTGATTTTTTTGAAGGGTTTTTCATGTCTCTGTCTCCTTGAGTTCTGCTCTATCTTAGTTATTTCTCATCTTCTGCTAGCTTTTGAATTTGTTTGCCCTTGTTTCTCCAGTTCTTTTAATTGTGATGTTGGGGTGTCGATTTTGGATCATTCTTTCTCTTGTGGCCATTTAGTGCTATAAATTTCCCTCCACACCCTGCTTTAAATGTGTTCCAGAGATTCTGGTACATTGTGTCTTTGTTCTCATTGGTTTCATTATTTGTGCCTTCATTTCGTTATTTACCCAGTAGTCATTCAGGAGCAGGTTGTTCAGTTTCCATGTAGTTGTGCAGTTTTGAGTGAGTTTCTTAATCCTGAGTTCTAATTTCATTGCACTGTGGTCTGAGAGACTGTTTTGTTACGATTTCCGTTCTTTTGCATTTGCTGAGGAGTGTTTTACTTCCAATTAAATGGTCAATTTTAGAATAAGTGGGATGTTGTGCTGAGAAGAATGTATATTCTACTGATTTGGGGTGGAGAGTTCTGTAGATGTCTATTAGGTTCACTTGGTGCGGAGCTGAGTTCAAGTCCTGGATATCCTTGTTAACTTTCTGTCTCATTGATCTGTCTAATATTGACAGTGGGGTGTTAAAGTCTCCCAGTATTATTGTGTAGGAGTCAAAGTCTCTTTGTAGGTCTCTAAGAACTTGCTTTATGAATCTGGGTGTTCCTGTATTGGGTGCGTATATATTTAGAATAGTTAGTTCTTCTTGTTGAATTGATCCCTTTACCATTATGTAATGCCTTCTTTGGCTCTTTTGATCTTTGTTGGTTTAAAGTCTGTTTTATCAGAGACTAGGATTGCAACCCCTGCTTTTTTTTTGCTTTCCATTTGCTTGGTAGCTCTTCCTCCATCCCTTTATTTTGAGCCTATGTGTGTCTTTGCACATGACATAGGTCTCCTGAATACAGCACACTGATGGGTCTTGACTCTTTATCCAACTTGCCAGTCTATGTATTTTAATTGGGGCATTTAGCCCATTTACATTTCAGGTTAATATTGTTATGTGTAAATCTGATCCTGTCATTATGATGCTAGCTGTTTATTTTGCCCGTTAGTTGATAAACAGAACCAATGGCAAAAATCACGTGATTATCTCAATAGATGCAGAAAAGGCCTTCAACAAAATTCAATAGCCCTTCATGCTAAAAACTCTCAATATACTAGGAATTGATGAAACGTATTGCAAAATAATAAGAGTATATATGACAAACCCACAGGCAATATCATACTGAATGGGCAAAAACTAGAAGCATTCCCTTTGAAAACCAGCACAAGATAAGTATGCCCTCTCTCACCACTCCTGTTCAACATAGTATTGGAAGTTCTGGGCAGGGCAATCAGGCAAGAGAAAGAAATAAAGGGTATTCAATTAGGAAAAGAGGAAGTCAAATTGTCTCTGTTTGCAGATGATATGATTGTATATTTAGAAAACCCCATCATCTCAGTCTACAATCTCCTTAAGCTGATAAGCAACTTCAGCAAAGTCTCAGGATATAAAATCAATGTGCAAAAATCACAAGTATTCCTATAAACCAATAACAGACAGAGAGCCAAATTATGAGTGAGCTCCCATTCACAATTGCTACAAAAAAATAAAATACCTAGGAATACAACTTACAAGGGATGTGAAGGACCTCTTCAAGGAGAACTACAAACCACTGCTCAAGGAATAAGAGAGGACACAAACAAATGGAAAAACATTCCATGCTCATGGATAGGAAGAATCAATATCGTGAAAATGGCCATACTTCCCAAAGTAATTTATAGATTCAATGCTATCCCCATCAAGCTACCATTGACTCTCTTCACAGAATTGGAAAAAACTACTTTAAATTCATATGGAACCAAAAAAGAGCCTGCATCGCCAAGACAATCCTAAGCAAAAAGAACAAAGCTGGAGGCATCACGCTACCTGACTTCAAATTATACTACGAGGCTACTGTAACAAAAACAGCATAGTACTGGTACCAAAACAGATATATAAACCAATGGAACAGAACAGAGGCCTCAGAAATGACACCACACATCTACAAGCTGAGAAAACAAGCAATGGGGAAAGGATTCCCTATTTAATAAATGGTGCTGGGAAAACTGGCTAGCCGTATGCAGAAAGCTGAAACTGGATCCCTTCCTTACACCTTACACAAAAATTAACTCAAGATGAATTAAAGACTTAAACATAAGACCTAAAACCATAAGAGCCCTAGAAGAAAACCTAGGCAATACCATTCAGGACATAGACATGGGCAAAGACTTCATGACTAAGACACCAAAAGCAATGATAACAAAAGCCAAAATAGACAAATGGGATCTAATTAAAGAGCTTCTGCACAGCAAAAGAAACTATCAACAGAGTGAACAGGCAGCCTACAGAATGGGAGAAAATTTTTGCAATCTATTCATCTGACAAAGGGCTAATATCCAGAATCTACAAAGATCTTAAACAAATTTACAAAAAAAAAAGTAACAACCCCATCAAAAAGTGGGCGAAGGATATGAACAGACACTTCTCAAAAGAAGACATTTATTAGCCCATCTAATTTTTGTATTTCTAGTAGAGACGGGGTTTCACCATGTTGGTCAGGCTGGTCTCGAACTCCTGACCTTGTGATCTGCCCGCCTCAGCCTCCCAAAGTGCTGGGATTACAGGCATGAGCCACCATGCCCGGCCTTCATTTTGCTTTCTTATGTCTACTTTCTTTCTTACCACTCCATCGCCCTCTCTTCCTCAGCAAGATGTCAGTTAAGCAGTGTTAATTATGACTGCAACAGGCACCAGTGCCCAACACATGCAGCCCTACCATCATCCCTATCTCATTTTATAAACCTTTAAAGTGGATTCACTTTCTGTTATTTAACCTCCATAAATGTACATGTACCTGTGTCTTATCTACATTTTAACTTGGAAGACTGTTGTACTGGCATGGAGCTGACCATGATGCTGGGGTCACATCACAGCCCCCACCCTTTCTAAGTTGACATATGGCCATCCCATTAGCTGGAATCCACAGATAGACCTAAGCCTGTGGCACTGAGACAGAATAGATTTTGCATTTGAGAGGTATCTTCTGTGTGACTCTTGTTTGAAGGAGGTGGTGATGGTGGGGAGAGGTGACAGAGGTAGGGAGTGCCCTCCAAATGCAAAAATAACAAATACAATGATTGACCATCTGGGAATTCTCATACCTTGATTTGTTTTTTAAGCTGTTGCCACAAACCCCCTTTTGTAGCTTTTGCTTTGGGTGGAGGTAGGAGGTAAGGTTTATTCAATCCTGCCCTGGGTAGGGAGAAAGTTAATCTGTAGCAGGACAAGCCGCAGACAAAACCCCTCAGACACTGAGTTAAAGAAGAAAGGGCTTTATTCGGCCAGGAGCTTCATTCAGCAAGACTCACATCTCCAAAAACCAAGCTCCCCAAGTGAGCAATTTCTGTCCCTTTTAAAGGCTCACAACTCTTAAGGAGGTCCGCGTGAGAGGGTCGTGATCGATTGAGCAAGCACCGGGTACATGACTGGGGGCTGCATACGCCGGTAATTAGAACCGAACACAACAGGACAGGGATCTTCACAGTGCTTTTTTTATGCAAATAATCGACTAGGTCAGGGCTTGATCTTTAACTACCAGGCCCAGGGTGTGGCGCCGGGCTGTCTGCTTGTCGATTTCATTTCTGCCTTTTAGTTTTTACTTCTTTCTTTGGAGGCAGAAATTGGGCATAAGACAATATGAGGGATGGTCTCCTCCCTTAAATCTAGCCATGTGATTTTTCACAAAAGTAAATGGAGCATGCTGCCTTTTCACTTCTGTCAGTGCTTCCACATGGAAACAAAATGCAACACAATTTTTCCAAAACCTGTTCTGATTTAACTCTCCTCTCTGGCAGTGTTACCCTTAGGGGATAGCCGACTGTCCACAGTCTACTGGAGTTTTCTCTGGTTCGGTGTTTATTTCATTGCTCCTTCTCTTGAATGAGGCTATCTTATTCTTTTGGTTTTAAAGGAGTTTATGGTGCCTGTCCTTTTTTTTTTTTTTTTTTTTTTTTTTTTTTTTTTGAGATGGAGTCTCACTCTGTTGCCCAGGCTGGAACGCAATGGTGCGATCTCGGCTCACTGCAACCTCCACCTTTTGAATTCAACCAATTCTCATGCCTCAGCCTTCCAAATAGCCACCATGCCCGGCTAATTTTTGTGTTTTTTAGTAGAGACAGGTTTTCGCCATGTTGGCCAGGCTGGTCTACAACTCCTGACCTCAAGCCATCCACCCACCTCGGCCTCCCAAAGTGCTGGGATTACAGGCATGAGCCACTGCACCCAGCCTATGGTCCCTCTCCTGAATTGGCTTACCCCACCAGGTCTGTCTCCTTTGCTTTCTGCAGCCTGAATCGATTCCTTTGTGTTGATGGGCTTTCCTAAGAGCTTTTCTGAGTTAGTTAACTTTAACTCACCTCTTCGGTGCTCTTCATGCTCTACAGGCAAGGCTGAGATGCTAAGATTTAAAAAAAGAATGCTGTTTCAGATCAAGTTGATAGCATTTGTTTTCAATATGCATTTTTAAAACATTTTTAAATTTACGGTTTGTCAGGCCTCTGAGCCGAAGCTAAACCATCATATCCCCTGTGACCTGCACATACACATCCAGATGGCCGGTTCCTGCCTTAACTGATGACATTCCACCACAAAAGAAATGAAAATGGCCTGTTCCTGCCTTAACTGATGACATTATCTTGTGAAATTCCTTCTCCTGGCTCATCCTGGCTCAAAAGCTCCCCTACTGAGCACCTTGTGACCCCCACTCCCGCCTGCCAGAGAACAACCCCCCTTTTTCCTTTACCTACCCAAATCCTATGAAACGGCCCCACCCCTATCTCCCTTCGCTGACTCTCTTTTCGGACTCAGCCCGCCTGCACCCAGGTGAAATAAACAGCTTTATTGCTCACGCAAAGCCTGTTTGGTGGTCTCTTCACACGGATGCGAGGGAAACGGTTCACTTAGGTATATGAAAGAAGTGTGATTGTATTCAATGACTACAGCAGCACTGTAGCTCTGGCCCTCCCCTAGGGGAGAGAGGTTGATAATACTCCATCTTCAAGGGCATTCTTTACAGTGCGCCAGGTTAGTTGTTTTCCCACTGGCATTTCTAAGGAATGCAGTCAGTAGTGATGGAGATGCATTGAATTTTATTTCTGAGTCCTAAAAATAGAAATGAATCCTTTAAACTTGTGCATAGTATGTTTACCTTTCCCATAGAGTGGGGTTCCTTCAGACATCCCTTAGGATTCTACCTCTGGGTTTTTATAGGCCTTTGGCTAGAAAGAATGAATGTTCCTCAGCTCTCAAGCCAGCTGCACTCAGAAGATAGGAATACCTCAAGGCTCCTCGCATTTTTCCTATTCCGTTTTCACTGAGACTGATAACATTTTGCTGAGGGCACAGTGACAGAGGAATGTGGCCGTCATTTGCAGCCCATTGATTGGTTCCCAGCTGGTTCCCACGCAGGAAGAAAAAGCACCCCTGAGCTCTCCTCAGTATTTCCAGATGTAATGAAAGAGGACCTCTTTCTGCACAAAGGCAGCCCCAGCTTTTGGCTTGGGCAGAGGAGTTCTGATAGTGCTGATTGGTGCATTCATGGGAAATGAATGAGTAGAAGCCACAGTCTTTCAGAACCTGGGCTCTGGGGAGTGGGAGTGAAAAATAAAGATGCACCTTGTTGGTTTAGTTGATCCCCAGGTTTCTTTCCTTCTGTCAACTTCAGGTTTGTGATCATAGCAACCAGACTGAATATGCAAAAGGCTTAGGCGCAAGCAAATCTATAATCTATGCATATTTGAATGGGCTTGGTGACATCATGTACACAAAGTACATTTGGGTAGAAGTGCATGTGCTAAGTCTCCTTTTCATACTATACTGTCCTTTTCATACTGTACTTCTTTTTTGTTTGAGACAAGGTCTTGCTGTGTCTCCCAGGCTGGAGTGCAGTGGCACAATCACAGCTCCCTGCAGCCTTGAACTCCTGGGCTCAAGTGCTCCTTGTGCCTTGGCCTCCTTGTGTCTAGGGCTACAGGCATGTACCATCATGCCTAGCTATTTTTTTTTTTTATTTTTTAATAGTCAGGGTCTCACTATGTTGCCCAGGCCAGTCCCAAATGCCTGGCCTCAAGCAATCGTCCTGCCTCAGCCTCCCAGAGTGCTGGGATTACAGGTATGAGCCACTGTGCCCAGCCCTGTACTTCCCCTCTTGAAAGAGCCCAAAATATTACCAGCTTTTGGTCATGTGGCTAGGCCGCTTAGGTAGTTAGAATCCACCAACCCCGGATGCAGAAACCTTTCAGGTGGGGTAAATTTGCGTGTTTGTTTGTTTGTTTGTTTTGAGACAGAGTCCCATTCTGTCACCCAGGCTGGAGTGCAGTGGCACAATCTCAGCTCACTGCAACCTCACGTGAAGTAAATTAACAAACATTTTAAACACCTGTGTGAGTTTGGAATCACACAGAAACTCCTCTCTGCGAGGCTGGGTGGGGCTTTCCCAGCCAGACTAATGGATTTTTTATTTCTCTCTTTTCAAGACTTGCAGCACATCAGCTTAAAGGGTGAGCCAGCCAGTAGAGAGAAGGGGCCCCATCTAGGAGCCCGTAAATATCAAAGAAATGTGGAGAGACTTTGCTAGAATCCTCCTCAAGGTTGCTTTTCTTGAGGTCCCCAGACCAACAACATCAACATCCATCGGCATCACCTGAGAACTGGTCAGAAAGGCACATTCTTGGCTGGGCGCTGTAGCTCACATCTGTAATCCCAGCGCTTTGGGAGGCTGAGGTGGGTGGATCATTTGAGGTCAGGTTCAAGACCAGCCTGGACAACATGGTGAGCCAGGCATGGTGGCAAGAGCCTGTAATCCCAGCTACTACAGAAATCGAGGCAAAAGAATGGTTTGAACCAGGGAGGCAGAGGTTGCAGTGAGCCGAGTTGCACCACTGCACTCCAGCCTGGGCAACAGAGCGAGACTGTCTCAAAAAAAAAAAAAAAAGAAAAGAAAAGAAATGCATGTTCTCAGTCCCCACTCCAGGCCTACTGAACCAGAAACTGAGAGTGGGGCCCAGCAGTTGGTATTTTAACAGCCTCCAGGTGATTCTGACTAACTCTCAAGTTTGAAAATCCACTTGGGGCTTGCAGGGGTCACACTCCAGGTGGCCCCTGATGCCCGCTGGTGATATGGGTCCTGTGTGCTGCTGAGCTCAGCATTGTGCAGTCGAGTGGGCTGACTGTGAGACTGGCATATGCTCCCACTGCTGAGAAGCCGCTGAGACCTCCTTCCCTCATCATCTGCGGCCTCCCCAACAAATGACTGCCAAGACATCAGTGAAAAGTCTGTATGAAGTGGATCCAAATTATTAGCCTGCCTACCACTCCTTGTGCGTCTCATCAATTGAACCCATCCCTAGACCAAGGGCCCTTTAGGTGAAGAACCAGCCCAGAAGGGAAAGAGAAAAGAGTAGAACCAATGGACCTCCAGATGGGAGCGGCGGTCAGTGAGTAGTTTAGAGCCAGGTACATGTTAGCACCCTGGATACGTGCACATGCCCTGATCTTTGCTTCCCATCTGTGAACTTCAACACCCACGTGGCTTTTTCTTATATCCTTTAAATACATATCTGACTTAGTATCACCTCATAAAAGATAAAGAATCATAGTGAAGCAGAAACAAGCCACAGACCAGTGTACACTCAAACTGAAATCCTCTTTTTCCCACCCTCTCCCTCAAGAAAACATCCCTGCCGACTTGAGCAGTATGATGGCCATAGCGAAGCAGAGTGGCCCCCAGGGATCCCGCTCTGTCCTCGCACACGCGCACACACGAAGAGCAAATGAAGCGGATCCAAGGAGTGATGACAAGCGCTGCACAGGAATGTTTGCCAAAACTCTTCTGGGGGATCCGAGTGCTCTACCAAGGACATGAGTATGCCCTGAATTTCTGCAGCTAAGGCCATATAGTCTGGTGACCAAGCATTTGGTTCCTAGCTTCAGTCTTTGGTTCAAATCCCTGCTTGGCAACTTACTACCACACCTTACTACCAAAATGTGACCTTGAGCAGTAACTTCCTTAAGCCTCAGTTTTCTCATCTGTAAAACGGGGATGATAATCTAAATCATGAAGTTGATGGAAGGATTAAACGAGGGTAATAAATGTGAATGTATAGTGTCTGGCTATGGTATGGCTTTATAAATGTTACCTGTGTTAGAGCTGTGCTTTTCAAACCATGGATCGCAACCATTCACGGTTTGCAACCAGCATTTTTTTCAAGAAAAATTTTTAATGCATTACATATTGCAGGATAAGTATTGTTTTATGAAACTTTGGGGGTTGCGTGTATATGTGTTCTGGAATGCAACAGAAAAATATTTCCTCTTGTGAGTTACAATATAGAAGTATGAAATCTCATTTTATAAAAACAGAAAAAAATAACCAACAGATACTAGGCTTAATCCTGGGTGATGAAATAATCTGTACAAGAAACCCCCATGACACAAGTTTACCTATATAACAAACCTGCATATGTACCCCTGAACTTAAAATAAAAGTTAAAAACAAAAATTCAAACAAAAAAATAAAAATTAGCTAGGGATGGTGGTGTGTGCCTACAATTGCAGCTACTCAGGAGGCTAAGCTAGGAGGATCACTTGAGACCAGGTCAAGGCTGCAGTGAGCTATGATCATGCCACTGCACTCCAGCCTGGGCAAGAGAGCAAGACCCTGTCTCAAAAAAAAAGTATTTATTATTTTTAGGCGACAGATAACACTGTATGTTTTATTGTATAGAACAGTATGTTCTGAAGAACATTTACGTCGTAGAATGGTTAAAGCCATCTTCTAGTACATTTCTGAGGGTGAGGATGGTCTTGCAGACCTGATACAGTTTTTCAATTCCCTCTCATCCAAAACCCTGTTAGCTCTCTTGAACAAATGCAGCTGACTCTTTAAACAATCCATAGAAGCCTATTAATTTCTAGTTCCTAATTTTTAATATCTCTTTTAGCAATAGGATCATGCAAACTGAAGAAAACAGTGTTATTGAAGTACTCCAGAGCTTAAAAGAACTTCTTGAGTACATTAAAGAAAATATTGACCAAAAATTATCCCTTTAAGTGTCAAGGCTGTTCTTAAAAAAACAATATTACTTAAGAACGGGAAAATAAATTCCTACTTAAAGTGGATAATTATTATGGCACTTGCCATGACTATCTTTTGAAATGGTATCAGCCCTTGGAGAACTCTATTCTTTTACATGCACTTCTGGCCTGTGAGCAAGTGAAGTTTTTATATGTAGCATTGAAGAAGAGGAAAATAAAAGTTGATATCAATGCTCTTTTTTGTCAGTGGATTATTTAAAAGTTGTTGATGAAGAGATGCAATGTAATCCTAAAGAGTAGGAAAGCAATACCATGAAAGATGGTATTATATACTTCAACAAATCATATTTGAAGAGAAGCTCTCTGGGTTGTTAACTTTATGCCAGTACATGCCCAGTATACCGGCTCATCATGCTAATGTTGCGTATGTTTTCTCATTAATGAAGGTTCAGTGGACAAAAGAATAAAGTGAGTTGCATATGATAACTGTAGAAGCTGTGTTGCAATGTAAATGGAACTTAGACTGTAACTGTAAGGAATTTTATAAGCACATTCTACGAAACAAAGAACCATTAATGAGAGCCAAATCATTGGAGAAATACAATTAAAGAGGTATGTAATTTAGATACTGATATTTTATTTCAAATAAACAAGTAATTGTTAAAGTATGTTCTGTACAATATTTTCTTATTATCTGAGTGCATATATGCATGGACAATTAGAAATTCTGATGTAATTAGGCATCCTGTATTTTTATTTGCTAAGTCTGACAACCCTTGACACATAGGTTACTTGTCCAGAGACGCAGCTAGTAAGTGACTGAGCCAGGATTTAGCAGCACAAAACGGACTAAGACAAGTATATGAGAAGGACAGGGTGATGGCAGCATCATGTAAGATAAATACATCCTCATCTACCATAAGATGCCATGAATTTTTGTATTAAATAAATGAATCGAGAGATATAAAGACATTGCATTGTTTCAACATGCTCTGAAACATGCCTGCCACTAATTACCTGTTCCCATCAATGGATTATCTTCCATTTTAATAGTTAGTTGCTTTCTCCCTGTCTCTGAGTGCTGTGTCCTGTCCTGTGTTCTCCTGTGTCCTGCTAGTACTACTACAGAGTTAATTATCAAATATTTAATGAGTTCCGGTTACAAGTCAGACTCTTTTAATTATACTCCCTTTGACAGAAAACAGTTACCTCCTGATGGGATCAGAGTTGAAACATGGGTTTCTTCTCCCCTCCATCCCTCATTCACGCACACCAAATCACCCTACAGGGAGCAGGTAAAGGATCCAGACATCAGAGACAGCCCCAGCGATGGAAGGGGTCATTCTTTCCTCTTCCTGGAGCCTCAGTCCTGGTCTTCCATACTCTGGCCCCAGGAGCTGTCTGAAGTGCTCTCCTAGAGAGCCAATCCCACTGTCTATTTTTAGTCCTTAGTTTTATTTGAATATTGTGTAATCTCAGATTGGAGTTGGCCCTCTAACAACCTCAGCCCCAGAGAACCTTCACCAGCTGGGAAAGCTTCCCACCCCCCAGCAGGAAGGAATTACTCTCAAAAACTCTTACTCTGTATTTCTGTTTTACAGGCTTTACTGTGCTCAGAGAATATCTATATATAAGGTTCAACAACTCTACAAGGCAGGCAGCCTGGATATTATCCCCATTCTGCAGATTAGGAACAGAACCATGGAAAGGTTATACGTGGCCATTATGCACTAGTGTAGCCATACCAATTGTTAAAAAAAAAAAAAAAAAATCCAAACCAGGTGATAAATAACTGTTGCCCCAAATCTTCTGAGTTATTCTGCTAATAGTTATTCAAGCTTTTGTCCCAAAGCCTCTCTTTGCCCCTGGCTGTCCTAGACCTTCTCCCAGGACATCCTAGACCTCACTACAATTCACCAACTGAAGAATTAATGCCTAGCACAGCAGGAATCTTGGGGACCATCCCTCTGATGGGTCAGAACCTGCCGCATATTAGAATATATTTTCATACTTTCCCTGGTTGTATGACTGACCCTAGATTACATGAGTAAATAACAGAAATAGGAAATTTATACTGAGGCAACTCAGTATAAATTTAATGGGTCAGAGAAATGGACTAAATAAAGCCTGCCTTGGCCAGTGTTTGTCTTCCCTTAGTCTTCTTCTTAGAACATTTTAACATTACATGTGTTTGAAGCCATCTGATGATAATCCAAATTCTTTTTTAAAGTCTTATAAATATTCATATACCTTCCTCATAATCAAAGGCATAGCTGGAGAGTTAGAGCTGGGCTCTGTTACCTTTACCCTATCAGGGCTAGAGGCTTTGTATTTCCAATATTTAGCTTATCATCTGATGCAATGCTCTGGAACAACTCCTAATTATTTCTGATGTCAAGGTGTCAGGAGCTACCAGGTCTCCTCACAGACATTTCCAGTGCTCATAGAGGCAGGTGTGTGACAAATCACATGCACCCACAGGAAGAAAACATAACCAAATGAAACATGAAAGAACACACATGTCTGAATTGGGGATGAAGATCACATCCCCACTTCTCCTCTAAATAATGCCTTCTTGCTTATCCTTGTGTCTGGGTTATTATGATGATGGAAGTGAAGTTTAGCTAGGATGCGGTTGTGAGGAGTTTTCAATATGGCACATGGGCTTTCGGCTACATTAAACCTGTGACAAAAAGCGCTCATTTGAGTCAGGCTGTCACTGTAGCTAACCATGCATCCAGTGAAGTTTCCTAAATTGTTGCAAGCTGAACTGATCAACTCATGAGTCCTAAGATCAGTTCAGCTTGCAACAGTTTAGGAAAGGACTCCAGAGGCCACAACCACTAATGCAGATGTGGAACGGGCTCTTGAAACCCCCAGAGGTGACCAGCAGAACCATAGCCAGACTCAGACTAAAAAGGGCATAAAGCACTACTTTAGATACCGCATATAAGAGGAATCATATAATGATTGTCGTTTTGTGACTGGCTTATTTCATTTAACATCTTCAAGTTTCATCCATGTTGTAGCATTTACAGAATTTACAGAATTTCCTTCCTTTTTAATGCTAAAAATATTCCACTGCATGTATATACTACATTTTGGTTATCCATTCATGCATCAATGAATATCTGGGTTGCTTCTATCTCTTGGCTATTTTGAATGATACTGTTATGAACATGGGTGTGCAAATATCTCTTTGAGACACTGCTTTCAATTGTTTTGGATATACACCCAGAAGTGAGATTGCTTGATCACATGGTAGTTCTATTTTTAATATTTTGAGGAATCACAATAGTTCATTAATTTTGATTGCTGAACAATGTTCTGTGGATATACTATATTTTGTTTATTCATACATCAGTTGATAGACATTTGACTTGTTACCACTTTTTGCCCATTAAAAGCGATGCTGCTACGAACATTCATGGGCAGGTCTTTGTGTGGACATATGTCTTTATGTCTCCTGGGTAGATACGAGTGGAATTTCTGAGTTGTATGATAAATTTATCTGTAACTTTTAAAGAAATAGACACACTATTTTTCCAGAGCGGCTGCACCATTTTGCATTCCCACCAGCAATATATGAGGGTTCCCATTTCTCCACACCTTTGCTAACACTTGTCTGTCTTTCATTACTGGCTGAAAGTCTCAAGAAAGACTGTGCACTCAGGATCATCTTTATGACTAAGTTTACAGTTTCTAGGAAACACAGAAGGATAGTAGGGCAAGTTTTAAGACATCAGAGGAAACCAACAGACAAATCCAGAATAAGGGACATTCCATAATGTGTAAGACAATTGAAGCATGGTCTCTTCAAAGAGTCTTTTTTTTTTTACAAAGAACTGTTGGCCAGGTGCGGCGGCTCACGCCTGTAATACCAGAATTTTGGGAGGCCAAGACGGGTGGATCACGAAGTCAGGAGTTCAAGACCAGCTGGGCCAAGATGCTGAAACCCTGTGTCTACTAAAAACACAAAAATTAGCTGGGCGTGGTGGCAGATGCCTGTAATCCCAGCTACTTGGGAGGCTGAGGCAGGAGAATCGCTTGAACCCGGGAGGCGGAGGTTGCAGTCAGCTGAGATCACACCACTGCACTCCAGCCTGGATGACAGAGCAAGACTGTCTTAAAAAAACAAAAAACAAAAAAACAAAAAACTCTCCTATATTAAAAGAGACTAAAGAGATGTGGCAACCAATGAACCAATGCATGAGTTTTAATTGGATGCTAGTTTCAGAGGGAAAACATCTTTAAGAGATATTTTGGGAACACACAGGTAGACAAAGCAAATGTGGCAAAATATTAGCAACTGTTGAATCTTCCTGTTGGAAATATGCATGTTTATTATACTATTCTTGTATGTTGACAATTTTTATGAATAACTTTTTAAAATCTCATTTGAAGACAGACAAAAAATAACTCCAGAGCCAATATATCCTGCTGGGCAGAAATATCAAGAAAATATCTTTGGTCAGCCAGTATGCTAGCCTCTACTTCTGTCACATTTTCTAAGTCCTCTTCCAGGTATTATTACCTTCTTGTCGGTAACATCCTTCCTGGAACCCCAGGGATAAGCAATGATGTGACCACTGATCCTCCTTTCCCTCCCACCTCTTTGAGAACTTCAGACAATTTAAAAAGAATAAATGGTGACTGAACATAGATAACCCTCTGGGAGAGAATTCTACAGAGTTCTCTCCGACCTCATAATGCAGCGTTCTAGTTGAGAATCCACAAGGTGAAATTTCCATATTCAGCACACATTCCTTGTCCTGTCCAACCTTTGGCTCATAACTTGTTACTTTTCATGTATTTGTGTATTTGCCCCCCTTACCAACCTCCATGAGACGGGAATTCATCTTTAGATCGCCGATAGGGCCGGGGGCAGTGGCTCGCGCCTGTAATCCCAGCACTTTGGGAGGCCAAGGTGGGTGGATCACCTGAGGTCAGTATTTAGAGATCAGCCTGGCCAACATGGTGAAACCCCATCTCTACTAAAAATACAAAAATTAGCTGGGTGTGGTGGCACGTGCCTGTAATCTCAGCTACTCAGGAGGCTGAGGCAGGAGAATTGCTTGAACCTGGGAGGCGGAGGTTGCAGTAAGCCGAGATCGTGCCACTGTACTACAGCCTGGGTGACAGGGCGAGACTTCGTCTCAATCAATCAATCAATAACTATAGCATGTAGCATATGTACTGTACACAAAGTAGGTGTAAATATTTCTACTGAATGAGTGAATGAATGAGTGAATGAATGAATGGATGAAATTCTGAAGTTCGGGGAGGACTTACCCAGGAAGAACACAGTGGGCAACACAGAAGGAGCTGATACAAAGAAGCAGAGAGATTTTTCTGAAGATATCTGAAGGTACCGTCTATGTACACATAGATCTTAGAATCGGGAACCAAAGGACACTGAGAGCCCTTGGAAACCATTAACCTTTCTTGCCCGCCCGCAGCACAGCTGGTGTAAGCTCTTTCGACTCAGTGAGAAATATCCCTTTCTTAGCTTTGAGGACAATGCTTGTTTTTCCCATTCATTAAAATGCATACACCTGCAAAAATCAATTTTTTTTTGATGATGGTGCAGTCAGGATCGGAACACCATTAAACTGTTCCTGCTGCTGCTAATTAGAATTAACTCATTAGCACAGAGGGCTAAGCTGGAGGTGCCAACAGCTCAGCTTCCTGCTTCACCTCTCTCTCTGCTGACAGACCAGGAAGGAAATGAAATATACTTAGTTGAAACGATCTAGTGGCTTCGCAGGAAACGGGTCTTGCCAGATTTCAGGGCCTTCTGCTCTTCACTGACCTGGAAGAAAAGAGTTCCACTCATGAATTCTAAGGAAATTTATCCTCAAAATGGGAACTTGGAAGAGACAACCAGAAAACACCAGTACTTATAACGCTCTTTGGAAGACGTCACTCATCTGGGTCAGGCGCAGTCGTTCTAGCTTAACTCATGTACACTGGTAACCTAGTGCTCCCAGGCCTTGCGGAGCAGTCCTGCACAAGGCCCTTAGGAGACGGAGGTTACAGGAAAGGCCGGCAGCTTTATTTTGTAAGACTAGCAGAGCCACCTTGTGGTTGCTTTAGAAAATTGTGTTTGAGACTGCGGTCTCAAACACTAGAAACAGCATTAAATGATGACCCCAGAGGCAGGAGACGCAAAAAGGAGGAAAGCAGCCAGTATTACCAAGGAAACTTGGAAGCAGAGATAGTAGCATTAAAAAAATTAGTTCTGTTGACAACTATGTTTAAGCAATTTTGAGTTAAAGTTAAAACAACTTCCTCCTCAGACCCTCTAAGATGTTCTCATTGATTGTGAAGCTCTAACAGCAGTATATTCAGCAGTATTTTAAGGATTAGTATGTGTGATCTGAATTTGATAAACACTCTTTAGAGCCACATGGTGAATTACACAAAAATCACACCTGTCAGTACATGAAAATGTTCCTCCATTATTAGAGAAATCTAGTTACTAGAAAACAGTAATGTTCTTTGATGACACTAGCCTGGAAGGCTCAAGTGTGGATTCTTTCAGCTGTACAGTTCCTTCAGGTGTATTTGATCTAATTCAAGCAGGGCATTCCCTTCCAACACTCCTGAAAGATGGTCACACAGGCAGTGGCTGACAATGCCGCGGGCCCCAGCATGTTTGGAGCTCATCAATGTGAAGTGACTCATTCCCTCTGTGTTCAACTCTGTAGGAATTTCTTATATTGGGCTGAAGTCAGCCTCTATGCCTTACATGAATTGGTCTTAGTTCTGCTATTTGAAGCTCCACAGAGTGACTAATCTTTTTCCTTCATGACAATCTTTCAGGAATTTGAAGAGTTGTTATGTCATCTCATCTCAAAATCATCTCCAAGGAAAGCTACCCCAGCATTTTCTATCACCTATAATAGTACCTGGATGTGGTTTTCAGACTCTTCAACCTCCTGGTTACCCTCCTAAAAGCACTTCCTCTGCCTCAGTGTCCCACTTAAAAAGTGTGTGACTTGGAATTGGATACAGCACTTCAGAGCAATGGGCAGTGGGACTACCCCGATATTATATACACAGAGAAAATATTTAATGAACTCTATAATTTTATCAAGGTGTTGAGCTTTTTGAGCACCAACATCTTGAGTAAAAAAAAAAAATCTTTTTACATAGTTGCTAAGCCAGGATTCCCACATTCTCTATGTTTGTACGTACATTGTTTTTTATAACATAAATGTCACACTTCATTCAGTCCTACTTAATTCAATTGGTGGTAACCCATCACTTTAGCTTCTGGAGATATTCTTCCCAACCACTGATTTATCTATTTGTTCACCCTTCCATTCATTCAATAAAGATTTATTGAACAGCTTTTATGTATTAATCATTTCTTAGGCTCTGGGGATTCAAAGACAGTGTCTGTTGCAAAGGAGCTTACTACCATCTAGTAAGAGAGCATTGGTAATTGTTTCTATAATGTCACTGGGTCCTATAGTTGTCACTGGAAACCTTTCTCCAAAATTAGACTGACCCACACCACAACTGTTTAGTTGGGGTACTTCTAGCAGATAAAACTTTATCTGAAGTTATCATGAGAAATTTATCAGTTGTCTTGCTGAAAACAAGATTAGGCCTACACTATTAAACCAGTAAAATGTTGCCGGGCACGGTGGCTCATGCCTGCAATCCCAGCACTTTGGGATCACGAGGTCAGGAGATTGAGATCATCCTGGCTAACATGGTGAAACCCCGTCTCTACTAAAAATACAAAAATTAGCCGGGCGTGGTGGCGGGCGCGCCTGTAGTCCCAGCTACTCGGGAGGCTGAGGCAGGAGAATAGCGTGAACCCAGGAGGCGGAGCTTGCAGTGAGCCGAGATCCCACCATTGCACTCCAGCCTGGGTGACAGAGCAAGACTCCATCAAAAAAAAAAAAAAAAAAAGAAGAAAGAAAGAAAGAAAATGTCTTCCACATTCAAAATGGATCAAACCCTAACATTAAATGCAGACACAAGTCAATTTAATTGTATATCAAATTGCTAACATAACACCAGAGAAAGTATAATCAATTCAAGTAATTTTTGAAAATAACATAATCTAAGTGAGTAACATCTTGTGGCCACAAATAACTGCAAAAAATCTTGAATTCACATAGTAGGTTTGTTGTTAGTAAAGCAACAAGTATAATTCTGAAACTATTTTGTATATAATTGCAGGATAAAACAAATAAATATATTGATATTTTGGAGAAGAAAATATCAAGCCTCTCACTGTAGGAGAATTTGGAATGAGTGTAGATGAAAAAGAACCCTGTAGTATTGGATTTGAATTGGAGATGTAATATAAAATCAATATTTTTAAAAAATATAGCATATACTCCAGGTATACCCACTGAAAGGGCTTCAAAGCAATGATATCCCAGTAACTGGGGCACTTGCAAGCATCATGACACTTCACCTCTGCATGTTTCGGCATGTATCTCCCAAGAACAAAGATATTCTCCTAAGGAACCACAATATCATTATGACATATAAGGATTTAATATTGATTCCTCTTTAAAAAGAATCAGGGCTTTTTAGAGCAATGGATGATTCCAGGAAAGTATAAGATGAGCCTGGAAAGTCTTACAATTCTAGAAGGTGAGGATACGTTCAAAGACTGATGGAGACATGCCAAAAGGACACAAGAGCCAGGTTCAGGAGGCTCCCATGGTCAACTTCAGGGCAGTTTGAGCACCAAAATCAATAATGAAGTAAAGGATTATAATGGACTAGATAAAAAGGAATCCATTTGTGTAGATACTATAAAACCGGGCTGGAGGGGAAGAGAAGAGATTCTTTTTTACTAAAGAATATCAGTTAATTTCCTAAGCACATAGATCATTCTCAAGGATAAACCATATGTTAGGTCACAAAACAAGTCTTAAAAGATCCAAAAATTGAAATTTGTCAATCATCTTCTCTGACCACAATGGAATAAAACTAGAAGTTAACAACAAGTGGAATTTTGGAGACTATACAAACACATGAAAATTAAACAATATGCTCCTGAATGACCAGTGGGTCAGTGAAGAAATTAAGAAGAAAACTGAAAAATTTCTTAAAACAAATGATAATGGAAACACAACATACCAAAACGTAGCAAGTAAAGCAAAAGCAACAATACTAAGAGGAAAGTTTATAGCTATAAATGTCTACATCAAAAAAGAGGAAAAACTTCAAATAAACAATCTAATGATTCATCTTAAAGAAGTAGAGAAGCAAGAGTAAACCAAACTTAAAATTAGTGGAAGAAATAAACATCAGAGCAGAAGTAAATGAAACTGAAATTTAAAAATAAAAAAAATCAATTAAACAAAAAGTTGGTTTCTTGAAAAGTTAAATAAAATTGACAAACCTTTAGCCAGACTAAGAAAAAGAGAGAGAAGATCCAAATAAAATCAGAAATGAAAAAGAAGACATTACAACTGATACTGCAGAAATTTACAGAATCATTAGTGGCTACTGTGATGTGAACAACTATATGCCAATAAATTAGGAAATCCAGAAGAAATGGACAAATTCCTAGACACACACAACCTATTATGGTTGAACCAGGAAGAAATCCAAAACCTGAACAGACCAATAAGAAGTAATGAAATTGAAGTTGTAAAAAAAGAGTCCCAGTAAAGAAAAGCCTAGGACCTGATGGCTTCTCTGCTGAATTCTACCAAACATTTAAGGAAGAACTGATACCAATTCTATTCAAACTATTCCAAAAAATAGAGGAGGAGGGAATACTTTCAAACTCATTCTAAGAGGCCAGTATTAACCTGTTATGAAAACCAGACAAAGATATGCCAAAAAAGAAAAATACAGGCCAATATCTGGTAAATATTGATGCAAAAATCCTTGTCAAAATACTAGCAAACCAAATTCAACAATTAGAAAATTCATTCATCATGACCATGTGGGATTTATCCCTGGAATGAAAGGATGGTTCAACACACACAAATCAATCAATGTGATACATCATATCAACAGAATTAAGGATAAAAACATATGATCATCTCAACTGATGCTGGAAAAGCATTTGATAAAATCCAACATTCCTTCATGATAAAACCTCTCACAAACTGGGGATAGAAGAAACATATCTCAACATAATCAAAGCCATATATGACAAACCTACAGCTAGTATCATACTGAATAGGAAAAAACTGAAAGCCTTTCCTCTAAGATCTGGAACACAACAAGGATGCCAACTGTCATTATTGTTATTCAACATAGTACTGGAAATCCTAGCTAGAGCGATCAGACAAGAGAATGATAGGAAAGGGCATCCATATTGGAAAGGAAGAAGTCAAATTATCCTTGTTTGCAGATGATAAGGTCTTATATTTGGAAAAACCTAAAGACTCCACAAAAAAACTATTAGGACTGATAAGAAAACTCAGTAAAGTTGCAGGATACAAAATCAACATACAAAAATCAGTAGTATTTCTATATGCCCACAGTGAACAAGGGGAAAAAGAAATTTTTAAAAATCTCATTTACAATAGTCACATATATAATTAAATAGCTAGAAATTTGCTTAACTGAAGAAGTGAAAGATCTCTACAATGAAAACTATAAAACATTGATGAAAGAAATTGAAAAGGACACCAAAAAATGGAAAAATATGCCATATTCATGGATTGGAAGAATTGATTATTAAAATGTCCATACTACCCAAGGCAATCTACAGATTCCATGCAATCCCTAGCAAAATACCAATGACACTCTTCATAGAAATAGAAAAAAATCATAAAATTTATATGGAACCACAAAAGACCCAGAATAGCCAAAGCCGTCCTGAGCAAAAATAACAAAACTGGAGGAATCACATTACCTGACTTCAAATTATACTACAGAGCTATAGTAACCAAAACAGCATGGTACTGGCATAAAAACAGACATAGATGAATGCAGCAAAGTAGAGAACCCAGAAACAAATCCACACACGTAAAGTGAACTCATTTTCAACAAAGGTGTCAAAAACATGCACTGGGGAAAAGACAGTCTTTTCAATAAATGGTGCTGGAAAAACTGGATATCCATATATAGAAGAGTAAAACTAGACCCCTATCTCTCACCTTACACAAAACTCAAATCAAAATGGATTAAAGACTTAAATCTAAGACTTCAAACCATAAAACTACTACAAGAAAACACGGGGAAAAATCTCTAGGACATTGGTCTGAGCAAAAATTTCTTGAGCAATCCCTCACAAGCACAGGCAACCAAAGTAAACATAAGCAGATGGGATCACATCAACTTAAAAAGCTTCTGAGCAGATGGGATCACATCAACTTAAAAAGCTTCTGCACAGCAAAGGAAACGATCAACAAAGTGACTAGACAACCCACAGAATGTGAGACAATATTTGCAAACTACTCATTTGACGAAGGATTAATAACCAGAATATATGAGGAACTCAAACAACTCTACAGGAAAAAATCTAATAATCCAATCAAAAGATGAGCAAAATGTCTCAATAGACATTTCTCAGAAGAAGACATACAAATGGCAAACAGGTTTATGAAAAGGTGCTTGACATCATTGATCATCAAAGACATGCAACTCAAAACAACGAGATATCATCTCACTCCAGTTAAAATGGCTTATATCAAAAAGACAGGCAATAACAAATGCTGGCAAGGATGTGGAGAAAAGGGAACCCCTGTACACTGTGGGTGGGAATGTAAGTTAGTACAACCACTATGGAGAACGTTTAGATGTTCCTCAAAAAAACACTAAAAATTGAGCTACCATATGATCCAGCAATCCCACTGCTGGATATATACCCAAAGAAAAGAAAATCAGTATATTAAAGAGATATCTGCATTCCTATGTTTTTTGCAGCACTATTTACAGTAGTTAAAATTTGGAAGCAACCTAAGTGTCCATCAACAGATGAATGAATAAAAAAAGTTTTACAGATACACAATGGAGTACTATTCAGCTATAAAAAAGAATGAGATCCTGTCATCTGCAACAACATGGATGGAACTGGAGATCATTATGTTAAGTGATCACACATTCTCACTTATTTGAGGGATCTAAACATCAAAACAATTGAACTCTTGGACTAAGAGAGTAGGATAGTTATCAGAGGCTGGGAAGGGTAGTTGGGGGTTGTGGGGGAGGTGGGGATTGTTAAGGGGTATAAAAAGTAGAAGGAATAAGCCCTACTATTTGATAGCACAACAGGGTGACTATAGTAAATAATAACTCTACATTTTAAAATAACTTAAAGAGTGTAATGGGATTGTTTGCAACTCAACGGATAAATGCTTGAGGAGATGGATAACCTATTCTTCATGATGTGCTTATTTCACATTGCATGCCTGTATCAAAACACCTCATGTGCCCCATAAATATATACATCTATTATGTGCCCACAAAAATAAAAAATAAAGCAATATTTTAAAAAGAATATCAGTTCATAAATGTAGAAAAAGAATTTTCTTAAATACTTATTTTGCGATCACCAGTGTAATAATTAATTCAGGGAAATATTATTCAGAGATGCCAAAGCCACTGAGTGAAATAAAATAGAATATGCACATGACCTCAAGGTATTGCCCACAAATATATTATCTGTTGATGACAGAGGTAAAAAGGAATATTTACAATAGAAAGAGCTGGTGGACACCACTGTACCATATAATTAGCATCACCCTACCATAAGATTCCATTACACATCTACTAGAAAGGTTAAAATTTAAAAGACTGACAATACTGAGTTCTGGCAAGGATGTGGTACAACTAGAATTTTCATGTATTGCTAGTGGGAACGCAAAATGGTACAGCCACTGAAAAAAATAGTTTAGCAGATTCTTATAAAGTTAAGAACACATTTACTATACAACCCAGTAGTCCCATTCCTAAGTATTTATTCAAGAGAAATGTAAATAGGTCTACACAGAGGTCCACAGGAGCTTGGTTCATAACTAAAAGCTTGAAACAACCCAAATGTCCATCAACTGTTGGTGAATAAACATCTTTTGCTATATGCATACAATGTAATGCTAATCAACAAAAAGGAACGAACTATTGATACATGCAACAGCATGGGTAAATCCCAAACTTATTATGCTAAATGGAAGAAGCAAGATACAAAAGGTTACATAGTGCATGATTCCATTTATTTTACATGAATGAAAAGTCAAAACTACACTGGCAGAAATTGATTCTGTGGTTTCCTGGATTTGGGGGTGTGAAGAGGGGATTGAGTACAAAGGGGCATGAGAACTTTTGGGGACGGTAGAAATATTTTCCATCTAGATTGAAGTGATAGTTAGGCAACCATAAGCATTTATTAAAAAGTCATGGGGTTGGCACAGAGGCTCACGCCTGTAATCCCAGCACTTTAGGAGGCTGAGGTGGGTGGATCACCTGAGGTCAGGAGTTCGAGACCAGCCCAGTCAACATGGTGAAGCCCCGTCTCTATTAAAAACACACAAAAAATTGGACGGGCACGGTGGCTCATGCTTGCAATCGCAGCACTTTGGGAGGCTGAGGCAGGCAGATCGCCTGAGGTCAGGAGTTCGAGACCAGCCTGTGTCTACTAAAAATACAAAAAATTAGCTGAGTGTGGTGGTGGGCACCTGTAATCCCAGCTGCTTGGGAGGCTGAGGCAGGGAGAATCGCTTGAACCTGGTAGGCGGAGGTTGCAGTCAGCTAAGATCATGCCATTGCACTCCAGCCTTGGCAACAGAGCGAGACTTAGTCTCAAACAAACAAACAAACAAACAAACAAAAAACAAATTAGCTGGGAGTGGTGGCAGGTGCCTGTAGTCCCAGCTACTCCAGAGGCAGGAGAATCGCTTGAATCTAGGAGGCGGAGGTTGCAGTGAGCCAAGATCACGCCACTGCACTCCAGGCTGGGCAGCAGAGTGAAACTCCATTTCGAAAAAAAAAAAAAAAGGTAATGGAACTATACACTAAAAAGGATAGATTATATGATATATAAATTATACCTTAATAAATCTGAACAAAGAAATAGCATCACCAATAATGGGAGAGAAATGACATCATGTGCTTCCAGATATGATGCAAGGGAAATATCACCTCAATAATATTCTTGCCAAAAAGTAACCTAAATCTACCCATGAGGAAACAATCAAACAATCCAGCCAATGAGACATTCTGCAGCACAACTGGCCTGGACTCTAAGGGTCAATTTCTTACAAGACAAAAAAAATTGAGGGTCAGGGCAAGGGAGAGGTTACCTGTTCTAAATCTTAAAAAGCATTACAACTAATGCAATGGGGAATTTACTTGAATACCAGATTTTTAAATAAAAACTAACTATAAAGGACATTTTGGGGCTTAATTGAATATGAGTATATAATAGATGATTTTCTATTGAATCAATATTAAATTCTTATATGTGATAACGGTATTGTGGTTCCTTAGGAGGATATCTTTGTTCTTCGGAGATGCATGCCGAAACATACAGTGGTGAAGTATCATGATGCTTGCAAGCTGTTTCCCAATGATTCAATCCAAAAAATATATATGGGGTGAGGGGGAGGCAGATATGACAAAAACATTAATAACTGGTGAATCTTGAAGAAGGTGCTCATATTTTATGTGCTTTCATTACACTAGTCTTTTACATTTATATAGATTTGAAATTTTTCAAAATAAAACGATGGGGAGAGAAAACAGTTAATTTTTTTAAAGATTTAGACATTTAATTGGCCTAAACTTCAGTTATGTGGAAAATCCATATATTCATATAGAACAACTTACTATAGACAAATGAGGGTTTTTTTTTAACATGTTCACCCATTACTTACTTTAAAGAAAATGGTTCAGCTAAGGCTTACCTACTTTTTTCTTTTTAAAACAGCCTAGGGTAATTTGAAATGCTGAAACAATCATTTTCTTGACCTCAACTCCATTATTGAGCCCTGGCTAACTTTGGCTGATGATATAAAGCAAAAATATATGCAGCAAAAATTGACTGCCCAAGAGAAATGGACAAATCTGCCATCATAGTGATATGAGTATCCTTCTCTCTGTAATTGACAGATCAGGCATATGAAAAACAATCAGCAAGTATATAGAAGATTTGGGAGGACAATAATATAGAACATCGTACCCACAAAACTGAAGAAAAGGCTTTTTCAAGCGCATAGAGAACATTTATAAAAATTGGCCATGTAGTAAGTCACAAAACAAGTCTCAATAAATTTCAAAGAATCAGTACTGAACAGAAAAAAACCTCTAATCTCAATATAACTAAGATAGAGATCAATAACAAAAAAGATAACTTTCAAAATCTACAAAATATAAACACATACAAATAATTGATAGGTCAATGCAACATAATAGTGAAAATTAGGAAAGTCTTAGAACTCTCCATTCCACAAAAACAAAAAAACCTGCAAATCGAAATATATTGAGTTACAGCTAATGAAGGTGCTGAAAAGAAAATGTATAGCTGTAAATGTTTATAATGGAATCAAAGTGTCTTACCCTGGGATTCCCAGAAAGCACAGCCAACTAAGGCATAGCATTGTATTGGAGAGTGACCCCAGGGAGCAAGTAAGAACAAGGGAACAAAGCAGGGAAGGAGTGAGAGCAACATGAGGGTGCATTCTGTGTGCTGCCAGAGGTGCTGTGATTCCTGGGTCCTCACTGAGAAGCAGTACAAAATGCATCTCTAGGTTGTACATGGTGAAGAGAAAAGGAGAGGCAGCATTTATTCATAGCCTTCACGTACCATCAGTTAGAGGCTTACCCCAAAGGGAGCAAACTCTTCCACATTTTAGAATTAAGCACCTAGGGCAGGAGGTAAGAGGTTAGTGCCACAGGTCTGAGGCAAGGCACTAGCAAGGTTCACTCACACTAAGCTGGCTGGAACCCAGCTGGCACAATCACACAATGGAAATGGAATACAATGAAACTAAATAAACTACAAATTCATCTCAAACACATCTCAAAAGTAATGTTGAAACAAAAAAAGTTAACAGAAAAACATGCAGTGTGATTCCATTTATATAAAGGTCTACAACATACCAAGCTAAACAAAATATTGTTGTAGTCTCCATACTTAGATGTAAGGCTATAAAGAAAAGCAAATGAGTAACTGATACAAATTCTGGGATATCTGTTATATCTTAAGAGAGAGGAAAGGATGTAATGGAGGTAGGAGGGGGAATTCAGAGGGTGGGTCTTCAACAGTACTAGAAATATCCTATTTCTAACGCTGAGTGCAGAGGACGCAGGAGTGTGCTTCAATTTTATTCTTCGAACTTTACACAGCATTTCTGTTCTCAGTTGTAATATACTTCACAACAATAATTTTGAAAAATTGTTTTTAAAAAGATTCATGAACTATTAAGTTGGTGCAAAGGTAATTGCAGGTTTTGCCATTAAAAGTAACGGCAAAAACTCCAACGAATAGCAGAAACTGCAATTACTTTTGCACCAACCTAATATCAACACCCTTTCCTTTTCTCAACCTCACACTGAGCAAAAAAAGTATGAGTAATCGTCCAGGCACAGTGGCTCATGCTTGTAATCCCAGCACTTTGGGAGACTGAGCTGGGCGGATCACGAGGTCAGGAGTTCGAGATCAGCCTGGCCAACACCGTGAAACCCCGTCTCTACTAAAAATACAAAAATTAGTTGGGCGTGGTGGTGGGCGCCTGTAATCCCAGCTACTTGGGAGTCTGAGGCAGGAGAATTGCTTGATCCCAGGAAGCGGAGGATGGGTGCAGTGAGCCAAGATTGTGCCACTGCACTCCAGCCTGGGCAACAGAGCTAGACTCCATCTCAAAAAAAAAAAAAGAGTAATCACATACATCTAGGACTTTAACTTGCAACTAGATTTCCTTGCATTTTAAAAACAAAACTCTACAATATCAACCCTAAGTACTGATTTAACTTAATACTACATTCTTTGCGCTTTGGTCCCAGACTGTTTAACATAAATGTGAATTGATTCCACTTATTCAGACTTTTCAACTTCTACCATCACTTCTCACTCATGCCTGAAGGTGTACATTGTTCGCATCTCTTGCCCTGCTCAAATCAAACGTGTTCCCTTTATGTTCCATAAATGATACTGGTTCACACATAACTTTATACACATATATGTTATATATGTATATATAAAAGTTATAGACATGTTATATATGTATATATAAAAGTTATAGACATATGTTATATATGTATATATAAAAGTTATAGACATATGTTATATATATATAAAAGTTATATATATGCTATATATGTATATATAAGTTATATATACACACATATATGTATAAAATGTAAACATGCATGACATAGGTGTTTATGTCTCATATATCTATAATGGAGCAATAATCATATAGTTAAGAATAAAACACCTGTGTGCCTAGAGGAAAAGACCATTTGCTAAAAGCATTTGTTTTACTAAAAGGATTTTTAAAATTACTGCTATAGGCTATGATACTAAGATAGTGGAAAACATTGCAAAAATTATTAAAATAATTCAGCCTTGAACTTCTAATTTGCAATTTCATTCTTATCAGATTGGAGTAATGGTAAAAAGTTGCCAGAAATATGGGTAGCTCTTCTGCTTTGAAATCATAGCCTAGGACCCTGACGGTCCCCCTAGTTGTCTGCAGATAATTGACAGAGCCCCTTCTCTGAGCCAGGGATGTACTTGGGGCTCCATCGCAATGGGCGAAGGCAGCCCTCGGCAAAGTTTTCCTCAGCTCCAGGATGCTCCTCTCACCCTCCGATCCATAAAGCCCTAAGAGCCTTGGCCTGTTTCCGGAGAGTGCCCTACACCAAGGAGACTTTCTCCAGAGAGTGAAAAAACGCTGCAACTTACCAATACTAAATTCAGTTTTGTCAAGGCCAGCTCTTTGCTGGCACTACTATTATTAAAAGATCAGAGCTGGCCGGGAGCGGTGGCTCACACCTGTAATCCCAGCACTTTGGGAGGCTGAGGCAGGCGGATTACAAGGTCAGGAGATTGAGACCATCCTGGCCAACATGGTGAAACCCTGTCTCTACTAAAAATACACACACACACACACACACACACACAAAAGTTAGCCGGGCGTGGTGGCAGGCACCTGTAGTCCCAGCTGCTCAGGAGGCTGAGGCAGGAGAATGGCGTGAACCCGGGAGGCGGAGCTTGCAGTGAGCCGAGATCGCGCCACTGCACTCCAGCCTGGACGACAGAGTGAGGCTCCATCTCAAAAAAGAAAAGAAAAGATCAGAGCTGACTTGTTACCATCATAAAGCACTATTGTCTCAGGGATACCTGGATTTTAAAAACTGCCTGTCTTAAGTTGGGTTCCCCAGAAGCAGATGCTGAGAGGAGAATTCAGGAGCAAATGATTTATTAAAGAAGTGCTTCCAGGGGAAACGGGAAAGGGAACTGGAAAGCAGGACAGGGAAAGGTTCGATCTCAGCCAAATCCTACAGAGGCAGCTTCAATCTGTTTTTGCAGAGGAGCTCTAGAGGATGAGTTATGCCTCAGAGTCTGTCCAGAGCTTAGGCAAGGGAACCAGGATCCAGACCCAGACACCACTCAGTCGTTGGCTGAGGGCTGCAGGGATGGAATGTCCCAGGCATTTCTGACTCTCCATATCCATGTGATCAAATGACCCCAGCAACTCAAAGCAGTCCTCCAAAGAAGAGTTACACATACCAGTAGTAAAAGCACACCAAGGCTGGGGAGGGGCACATCATCACGTGGATCCCCAGAGGTGTCCCACCTGTCCATCAGGGGCTTTACCTGGAAAGGATAGATGGTGCGAGAATTCAAGGTGATGGAGCAGGTGCAGATGCTTGGGGTTCAGTTGAACCAGCCAGGACCCTGACGAGCCTGTGCCTGGCCAGCCTGCCGTCTCTTAGTTATGATGCTGTTCGTGCCTCTTGATTCGCTCTCTGGCTTTCCCCTCAAGGCCTTTGGCATGGATGCCTAAAACCAAAGCTCCCTGAGTTGTTCAGCCCTCCTGCCAGGACGACTGAGACAGAATTCACCTCCAAACCTGGAAAGTGTATGTGGTCTAAGTCTGGTCGACTTGGTTAAAGTTTATCAGGTTTCAAACTCTGTTTGGAATCGCAGGATCAGAGAACCTAAGAAAACTAAGTGACCATATTTTAGACAGAGACGTATCATCCACCTTAACATCTCTATGAGTTCTCTTAATTCACTGGTGCTAAATGATGTCAAAAAATCCAGGCTCTCCTCACCTTCAGCCTTTCCTCTGCCGCCAACTCCCCGTCATTTTTGCTTCCCTTTCCCCCTCCTTCCTGTTTTTGCATTTCTGACCCCACTGTCCTTCTCCCAGCTGGATGGCCAGTTGTTGGAGCTGGCACAACTGTGACACAGGTGAAGCCACCTGTTTTCTGCCAGGCCTTTCTCTCCCACCTCCAGCAGCTGTTAGCTGGGCATTTCAAAGGCCCATTGAAAGGAAGGGAAACAGGAGAGGGCAAAGCAGGCTCTGCCAGGCCAGCCAGAGTGCTGGCCAGCAGCCGTCATCAGCCTGTGCTGGAAAAACAGATTGGGAATTTTCAGCCAAATCCAAATCATGGCTCCTATTAAGAATCATCCAGACTCAAATTCCAAGTTATGTTTGCATCTCTGGAGCCACAGGGTAAGCTAAGCCTGTTTACACATGAACAAACAGAAATTTTTTAAAAGATCCTCTTTCTTTTACAGCTGATTTAACTTTAGCATTAAAAAGAAAAAAAGCAAGCAAGCAAACTTTTCTGTGAGCCATGGTTCTATACCGTTCACTAGAAATATAAAGGGTTCCTGGGATGTGCATGGAGGCTGGCTCGGGTTCCCCTCCATATTCAGGAGGCCATTTGGCACACAGAACATTGCATCATGTTGATGCAAAAGTAATTGCGGTTTTTGCAATTACTTTCAATTTTGCACCAACTTAATATTACTCCAGTTATTATCCTGCAGCTTAAAGCATAAAGACATATGCTATGCTTTTTAAAATTTCCTTGTGGACTTTGGTTATTTTTACTTAGCAGGTTAAGGTGAGTGTTGCATTTAAATATAAACGTGGAAAGCATTAAAGAATTCCTTGGCTGGGCACAGTGGCTCACGCCTGTAATCCCAGCACTTTGAGAGGCCGAGGCGGGTGGATCATGAGGTCAGGAGTTCGAGACTGGCCTGACCAACATGGTGAAACCCATCTCTACTAAAAATACAAAAATTAGGCTGGGCGCTGTGGCTCACGCCTGTAATCCCAGCACTTTGGGAGGGAGAGGTGAGAGCATCACAAGATCAGGAGTTCGAGACCAGCCTGGCCAATATGTTGAAACCCAGTCTCTACTAAAAATACAAAAATTAGCCGGGTGTGGTGGTGGCGCACTGGTAGTCCCAGCTACTCGGGAGGCTGAGGCAGAAGAATCGCTTAAACCCTAGAGGTGGAGGTTGCAGTGAGCTGAGATCATACCACTGCACTCTAGCCTGGGCGACAGAGCAAGACTCCATCTCAAAAAAAAAAAAAAAAAAAAATTAGCCAGGCGTGGTGGCATGCACCTGTAATCTCAGCTACTCGGGAGGCTGAGGCAGAAGAATCGCTTAAACCCTAGAGGTGGAGGTTGCAGTGAGCCGAGATGGTGCCACTGCACTCCAGCCTGGGCGACAGAGCGAGACTGTCTCAAAAAAAAAAAAAAAAAGAATTCCTTAATCCAACCAGGTGCGGTGACTCATGCCTGTAATCCCAGCAATTTGGGAGGCCAAGGCAGGTGGATCACTTGAGGTCAGAAGTTTGAGATTAGCCTGGCCAACATGGCGAAACTCCGTCTCCACTAAAAATACAAAAATTAGCTGGGCATGGTGGTGCATGCCTGTAATCCCAGCTACTTGGGAGTCTGAGGCACAAGAATCCCTTGAATTCGGGAAGAGGTTGCAGTGAGCCGAGATGGCACCACTGCCCTCCAGCCTGGGTGACAGAGCAACTCCATCTCAAAAAAAAAAAATCCCTACTCCTACATCTTTCTGTGTTTTAATCCCTGGACATTTTGTGAGGAAAAGCAGTTTCTAGGGGAGATGCTGTCAATAATATTGTGCTGCCAGCATTGGCTAAAGAAGCCACATACTCACTATTTATGCAACTTATATTGCATAAGGAAATGTTTATGAAATTAAAAAACCAAGCCAAATATGGCATAGAGTGAAATGTGTATTCATTGTTACAATTCCTTTAATCCAAAAAACAGCAATAGCTATTTAGGGATAGTGATAAAATTATGTGTGCATGTGTGTATGTTAAGCAGTGGATTAAAGAAAATAATTCTTGCAAAATGCCTGGTCAATAATAAGTTCTAAAATATGGCAATTTACTATTGATAAACAGGAAAAAAAAATCCCATGATCAACTAAATTTTGGAAAGTTTTATTTAAACAAAATTAAGCAGGTACCTTTACTGCAAGCTCTCAGAGCCACTTATATGCTAATAGCTTTGTGACTTGCCAAGAGAAATAGTAAAATACACTCTAAATCCCAGACTTACATGAACACAGAATCCCTCTTTCTTCCCTAAGTAAAGACCAGAGTTCTACAAAAGCATTTTGGAAAACTCCTATTCACACTATTCAGGAAATACATTAAATTTTTTTTTTTTAAGACAAGGTCTTTCTCTCTCCCTGTCACCCTGGCTGGGGTGCAGTGGCACGATCTCATCTCACTGCAATCTCTGCCTCCAGGGCTCAAGTAATCCTCCACCTCAACCGCTGGCCTCACCCCCCCAACACGCCCCCACCAGTAGCTGGGACCACATGTGTACACCACCACGCTTGGCTAATTTTTGTGATTTTTTTTTGCTAGAGACAAGGATTCGTCATGTTGCCCAGGCTGGTCTCGAACTCTTGGGATTGAGCAATCCTCCCACCTTGGCCTCCCAAAGTGCTGGGATTACAGGCATAAGCCACTGTACCCAGCCAAATAATACATTTTTAAAGCCAGGTTCTATTACTATACACTTCATCAGATACAGGTTCTCACTCCCATTCACCTACCACCATCCAGCTACCTTAACTTCTAATTTGTTTATTTCATTACTAAGTGATCAATTATATCTTTGCATGAATTTTGGCAAAACAAGGTCTTGTCAGTGGACTTTAAAATATATTTTCAATTGCAGTCTTTTTGGATATGAAATGTAACACATATGTACATATAACCCAAATATGTATATCTCCATATTTAAACAGGGTACCAATATAAGTTTTTCTTCTGAATGGCTTACTGATGGGTACCTTGCTAGATATCTCAGAGAGGATCTACTACAGGCAACTCATTACTACAGTGTTGAAAAGGCTGAAAGAACAAAAGGGGAAGATGAGATAACCCACATATTAGGAATGTGAGGAAATACTATCTCTCCTGGGGCTGTGGAATAAAAGGAGGGGAAAGGGTTACCAGGCGTATCCTCTGTACTCTGCTGCTGGGTTGTCCTGCACTGTCTTGGGCGCACCAGGGAGCAGCCACAGACTAATGCTGAAACTGCCAAATGCTGCAAGCCCTGAGCACCAGCGCGCGGACCTGAGGAATCCCCATCCCCCTGTCCCAGCGCCTCAGAAGCCTGAAGCAAGCTCTCCTCTGCCTGACTCCCAGTCTCCTGTCAGGGCTTCCCAGGGAGGAACCTAACAGAAAGCCATCTGACAAGAGTGTATGGGAAATGAAATTTCCAGCTTCCTAAAATACACCTCAGGGAACAGAAGGGAAGGAACAGAAGCTAAGGACCCACAAAGGACCAGTATATTGGCAGAAAGATATTTAAAAAGCAATCATATATGTAAATTTTAAAATAAAGTCATTTCTTTTTCTTTTTTTTTCTTTTTTGAGACACAGTCTAGCTCTGTCGCCCGGGCTGGAGTGCAGTGGCACCATCTCGGCTCACTGCAACCTCCGCCTCCCAAGTTCAAGCACTTCTTCTGCCTCGGTCTCCCAAGTAGCTGGGATTACAGGCACCTGCCACCACGCCCAGCTAATTTCTGTATTTTAGTAGAATCAGTGTTTCACCGTGTTGGCCAGGTTGGTCTCGAACTCCTGACCTCAGGTGATCCGCCCTCCTCAGCCAGCCAAAGTGCCGGGATTACAGGCGTGAGCCACCACGCACAGCCAGAATAAACTCATTTCTTTTTCCTCGTACAATCGAGAGAGAAACTGGTTTCTTTTAACTTTGCAAATTTGAATTAATAATGAAGACACTAAATTAGCACTGAACTAAGGTAATTTGGGGGAAATAAGGACTTTTTTTAAAAAGAAAATTCTTTCAACTCAGTTTTGAAGGAATGAGAACATGAAATAAAATTTTCATAATTTATAGACTTAAATTTCTCTAAAATATGTGTACTTGATTTGGCCAGGCATGAAATTTTAATTAGTGCTAAGTACATCATCTCATGTCACTCCCTTTTTAAAAATGTTTTTGCTTTTTGCAAATTTCACTCCTTGCTCAGGTTCTCAGGGCTATTAATATTCACCCCTGGGCTCTTCACATGGCAAACACTGCAGCCTGGTCGACTGTGCTGTACACGTGCTCAGTAACTAAGACTACAACTCAGTTGCAGCACAGTGAAACTTGTGGCTCTAAATGATGAGCCTGAAGCCCTCAAATTCCTGAGCTGCTTTTGAAATTATTAAAGAACGATTGAATTGCGTCTGGTTAAATTTTTTGCATAACATTTCCCAAAATATAGTCTACAAAACTCAAGTTCCTTAGGCTATTAACAGAGTACTTTAGTACGGTTTCTTTGATCTAGTAAGTCTCGGAAAAATGGTTTAAACCAGTGCTTTTCGAACTCCCTGTGGTAAAGGACCAGTTTTTTGTTTTAATTTTCAATTTGTCTCAGACCAATTTTTTTGCAAAATACAATAAAACTAATTTTTGAATAAATGAAATGTTAAAAAACAAAAAGAAATACTACCCCAGCTTTTTAAATTAGTAGTGTCAACAAGCATTAAATTATTCTAATTTCTCTAAACTTTCTAAATGCTTACCTAGTTCATTTCAGTACTTGTCACAGACCAACAAAAACAATTCAAACATTCAGTTGAATAAGTTTTCATACCACACTTTACATTGAAACAAAATGTAAATGTTTCATTACTAAAGTACTTCTCCAATATTTTAATTTGCTAATGGGCACTGGAAATTTATAAGAGATAGATACCACTTGCAACATAAAGGATATTTGTTCAATTAAATAAAGGCAGAACCTCTTCTTTTGGTTGGTTGGTTTTACCAGCACATCCTATGGAATCTCTGTTGCATATAACAGGCTTTGAGAAACACTTTTTAGTATGTTTTGTTAAACTCTAATTCTCTAAAAATTGTAGCTCCACACATGTTGCATAGGTTAAGTTTCCTTCCCAGCACACCTGTATTTTCAGGGAATTCCAAATTAGAGAGAGAGAAAGAGAGAGAGAGGAAGGAGGAGGAGGGAGGGAAGGAAAGAAGAAAAAAAGGGAGAGAGTATTATCTTGCATAAGCAGGTATTAATATATGTATGTGTAACTGATAAAAAGAGCCTAAGGGTTAAAAATCTTTCAAAAGTTGCTTCTGTCTTAGACAATTTTCTTTCTTAAATTTTCTTTCTTTTTTAAATTTTGAAAAGTCATTGCCATATATCCAGACAAGTGGTGCTCACCATGGAACCCACTTGTGTTTTGGAGGGAGCTGCCCTGCCAGCCCCAGGAAAGTACTCATTCATAAGGAGGGGAGGCTCGTAGGCTGATCCCTCAGGCTGTGACATTCACAAGGTTAAACGTGGGGGCGGCTAGCAAGCCAGGCTTGAGTATGCTTTCTATTATACTTCCCTAGGCAACAGGGTGGGTTCCTGTGCTATCCTCTCTTCTAACTTCCCACCACTGAGACCTCAGCGACGATGGCAGCTGCTGACATCACCACAAAACACGGCCTTCTTGCCATCCCTTGTAGTCTGTGGATTCCTAAAGATACACAAAGAAGGTGTAGGCGGGAATGTCAAAGCCTCCTCAGCGGGAATATTTAAGGATGCAGACGGTTGGAGAACTCACGTGCCTTGGATTGCCTCTACCAATTGGTACAGGGCACCCAGTCTGCATGCCAGTCCCAGAGCCCTTGGACTGAGAAGTTCTGGGTTCCAGCAGCCTTAATGCTGGGTCTCCTTGGACAACTTAATCAGCCTCTGTAGACCACAGTTCTTCCTCTGTAAAATAATACTAGACGACCACTATGGCTCTTTTCAGGATATAATTATGTAACCTTAAATAAAGAAATAGGCCTAAGGCAAATATAAGATTATAAAAGTATCTACACTACAATCTACTGTTATACATAGATTGATAGGCCTAATTTGCACATTCTTAATTATGTGGATAATTCACAATGAAAGTATGTATTTGAGGCAAATGTGAAAGTGGAGGTTCCACGAAGAGCCATCTTTTATATAGAATTAAGTTGACAAGTGACTGTTGATGTGACTTCATAACCCAGGAAGGTCTCCTTACACAAAACAAATACATTGCACAACTGTTTGCTGAGGCTCTAAGCTCTGTTCATAGCACACACAAACTCTCATTTCCCAGAGATCAGGATGGAATCATGCTACGATGAAGTGCCTGAAAGACAATCTTCCCTGAGAGAAGATTTTATCGTGGGTCCCAGCTCAGAAAGTACCTAGTTAGGCAAATTAATATGACCTAAGCTCTCAGTACTCAATAAGCCATCCAAAGACCAGCAGCATCAGCATCTATTAGGAGCATGTTAGAAATGCAGACTCTCATGCCCCACCCCAGACCTACTGAATTGGAATCTGCATTTTTACCGGACCTTAAAGTTTGAGAAGCCCAGAGCTAACAGGAAACTGCATTCTGAGTGCTTTGTGCATACAATTGTGAATAAATATGAATTACTCAGCCTTGAGGGCTTCTGGTAAATCAAATTGAGGCTGGTTTGGGTGCAAGCCAGTAAATCTGAGAGGGGAAAACTACAGCAAGGGAACCTGAGTGTGGACAGACATAATTTATCTGCTACATTTGCATAGAATTGGATTACCTCTTTGTTATTTTTCCTCAATTTGATTTTTTAAATGGAGCCATTATGATCCAGGTCTAAGGGATTCAGAGTCATCCACCAAAGTGGTGCTGAGAATTAAGAAAGTGCCTGCCTCTTCCCTTTTAACATTTCGCCCGCTTTTAGGGGGAAGGGAGGTATATACATTCCCAACTTACCCAGATCAGGGGTCCTTAACTAGTGGTCTGTGATCTGGCCGTGGCATGGTGGGAGACGTCACATCTCCAGTGTCCAACTACCCTGGGTTGTAATCTAAAGTCTGCACTTTGCCAGCCATGTAGTTTCAGGCAATTTCATCTCTAAGAGTCTTCATTTCATCTGTGGTAAAATGAGAATACTGATACTTACACTGTCCTCACAAGCAATTCAAAGATATAGAGAATCTAAAGCACCTACCTGGGATTAGGCAATCATGCTCATGTAGCAAATGTGAATGTCTTTTCCAGTTCCAGTGTACCAGGGCGCTTTAGCCCAACCACCCTCTTCCAAAGCCCCACTCCCACCAGCTCCTCGTCCAGTGGTTTGACGAACGTATATTTAGGGCCTTGGGTGAGCCAGGCAAATTAATAAATAACAGAGCTTTCCCTGTGGAGGTCTTCATCCAGTAAGAGGTTCATATGGAGTTCAATGATTCTGAGACTTTCAGATTTCACAAGTCATTAAAATTACAAAAATAATTTAGGGCAGTGATAGAGGGTTGCCAACTTTTGTGTGTGTGCGATTGTTGAGAAAATTGTTTTGAAACTTTCATTGTTTCTAAAAGAAAAGCCTATTTTAACATCAAAAAAGTAGGATATTATTGAAGGGAACCCTTTTTATAAGAATGAATGAATTTGACTCTTTGAAAAATATTGCATTGTGCTTTTTTTTTTAAATCTCAATGTAAAGAAATGAAAATCTCTTCATGAGCCTGTGGCATTTGGTACCCACTCCTTTTTAAAACGGCAGAAGGGTAAGGGGATAATTTTATCTACAAGTTGCCAGAAAGTCTTGAGGCCTGAAGTTTGCTGATCATATCTAAGCTCTACCTTCATCTCCCTTCCCCCCAACACTCCAGAATTTTTTTTTTTTTAAGACATTGCCTTGCTCTGTCACCCAGGCTGCAGTGCATGGCGTGATCTTGGCTCACTGCAACCTCCACCTCCCAGATCAAAGTGATTCTTCTGCCTCAGCCTCCCGAGTAGCTGGGACTTCAAGTGCACACCACTACACCCAGCTGATTTTTGTACTTTTTGTAGAGACAGTTTTCTCCATGTTGCCCAGGCTAGTCTCAGACTCCTGAACTCAAGTGATCTGCCTGCCTCGGTCTCCCAAAGTGCTGGGATTATAGGCATGAGCGACTGCACACAGCCTGAATATGTTTTATTTGCATAAAACAATGCTTTCTGTAGGTCCTGGTTATAGTTGGGCTTTGG
Organism: Homo sapiens; assembly: GCF_000001405.40. Taxonomy (NCBI): domain Eukaryota; kingdom Metazoa; phylum Chordata; class Mammalia; order Primates; family Hominidae; genus Homo; species Homo sapiens. The sequence goes on from NC_000015.10 coordinate 62,328,485, forward strand.
GAGGGAGCTGAAGACTCTAGCAGATATTAACCAATGAAATTGTTTTATTTAATACTCTTAGCAAATATATGTTTCTAAAAGAACTGAAAGGAACCAGATCCATATGTAGGCAGATGCTATTGCCAGTTGAGTGTGATTATAGATTATTATTATTATTATTATTATTATTTTTTGAGATGGAGTTTCACTCTTGTTGCCCAGGCTGGGGTGTAATGGTGCGGTCTTGGCTCACCGCAACCTCCACCTCCCAGGTTCAAGCAATTCTCCTGCCTTAGCCTCCCGAGTAGCTGGGATTACAAGCATGCACCCCCACGCCTGGCTAATTTTGTATTTTTAGTAGAGACGGGGTTTCTCCATGTTGAGGTTGGTCTCGAACTCCTGACCTCAGGTGATCTGCCCACCTCAGCTTCCCAAAGTGCTGGGATTACAGGCGTGAGCCACCTTGCCCGGCCTACAGATTATTTTTATGTACTTTGAACTTTTCACTACTTTCCACCTTTCCCCCAAGAATATGTATTATTTATACAATAAGAAAAAAGGAGTTATCTTGAAAAAAAACAAGAGTGTAAAAATTCTGGACTATGGGTCTGGGGCTCCCTGGAATTGTGCAGTATATTACCTGTCCAGCCATATGCAATGTGCCTGCATGAAATACACTTAGTGCCACTGCATATACCCTTTTATATCTTTTGAATTCTTTTTTTTTTTTTTTCTGGAGAAGGAGTCTTGCTCTGTTGTCCAGGCTGGAGTGCAGTGGTGCGATCTCAGCTCACTGCAACCTCTGCCTCCCGGGTTCAAGCGATTCTCCTGCCTCAGCCTTCTGAGTAGCTGGGATTGCAGGTGCACGCCACCATGCCTGGCTAGTTCTTGTATTTTTAGTAGAGACGGGGTTTCACCATGTTGGCCAGGCTGGTCTCGAACACCTGACCTCAAGTGATCCACCTGCCTTGGCTTCCCAAAGTGCTGGGATTACAGGCATGAGCCACCGTGCCCGCCCTGTATCTTTCAAATTCTGTGCTTCATGCATATACAATCTATTCAAAAAATAATTGATTAATTTTGGAAATGTTTGGGATACTCAAAGGGGAATTCCTGCATAGTGAGGTTTACCTCATTTTCTACGTACCCTTGTGAAACCCCACCCAACCCTCCCCATCTTTGGGCCTTGAGAGTCTCCTCCTGTGGCCACCTGACTGGGTAGCAGGTGCCACCCCAATTAGACAGGGTAGAAGATGTGATTATCTTATCTGGCAGTGTGGCCTGGCCTGGCTTGATTGTTACAATTAGGGTTACAAATCACAAATCAAAACAAAGGTCACTTCAAAAGTCCAGTGCTAACCAAAGCATGATGCTATATGAGAAAGTTAGGTGAAAAAGAAAAAGAGCTTTTCAAAACCAGGCCACAGATGACTGAGTGGACAGAACTCTGGGGCCTTCTGGGGCCTGTCTCAGGTCTTTAAGGTAAGCTGAACATTACTACTCATTAGTAAATTTTGAGATGAAAGCTTTTTTGCTCACCTAATTACCATTTTTTCCAAAGCATCTGCTTCTGGGAGAAGATTAATTAGTTGACTATTCCTGAAGGATGGATTTCAGGACATCAAAGGCCTGCAAAATGTAATGGAGAGAGAACCAAACTGTGGAAATGTTCTCTTTGGAGGAATGAAGATGAGAATGCGTTGTAGGAACATCACTATGAGTAAGCTTTGCATTGATTTGCTTTCTTTTGTTTCAGAAAAAAGAGGCCCCTACCAGGATACAAATACTTAACTTATACTGTATTTTATTAGCCTTCTCGTTGCAGGACTTATACCTAAAAATGTTCTCTCTCTCTTTGGATAAACACCTCGGAGTGGTATTCTATCTAAGACTAGATGCACAGACCTTTTAGATACTTAGTATGAAAAACACAAAACTCAAGGATGGCTTCCTTATGTGCACCTCAAATGTTTCCTCATTTTGATTCACCAGAACTTTTCCTTATAAATTTAAATAACTCAACCAACAAATATATATTGAAAGTCTGTGCAAGTTTACCCTACGCCTGTGCAGACACCTTGGGCTCAGAAACCCGGCTTGCCAGTGTCCCTGTCCCTAGCCCATGGGACTCTGCTCCTCCACCACTTTTCTTTTCCTTTTTGAAACATTGTCGGCCGGGCTCACGCCTGTAATCCCAGCACTTTGGGAGGCCAAGGCGGGTGGATCACAATGTCAAGAGATTGAGACCATCCTGGCCAACATGGTGAAACCCTGTCTCTACTAAAAATACAAAAAATTAGCTGGGCACGTTGGCAAGCACCTGTAGTCCCAGCTACTTGGGAGGCTGAGGCAGGACAATTGCTTGAACCTGGGTGGTGGAGGTTACAGTGAGCCAAGATCGCACCACTGCACTCCAGCCTGAGCCACAGCAAGACTCCATCTCAAAAAAAAAAAAAAAAAATTGTCATAGCATTTATGTTGTAATTTGATAACTACATATATTTGGTAGAAATTTTAGAAAATGTAGGAAATTTTAAATTATTCCTAAGTTCAACATTCAGAAATAATTGCTATTAGTGGCCAGGTGTGTTGGCTCACACCTATAATCCCAGAACTTTGGGAGGCCAAGGCGGGTGGATCACGAGGTCAGGAGTTCAAAACCAGCCTGACCAACATGGTGAAATCCTGTCTCTACTAAAAATATAAAAATTAGCCGAGCGTGGTGGTGTGTGCCTATAATCCCAGCTACTCAGGAGGCTGAGGCAGGAGAATCGCTTGAACCCGGGAGGCAGAGGTTGCAGTGAGCTGAGATCGTGCCATTGCACTCCAGCCTGGGCAACAGAGTGAGAAGCCATGTCAAAAAAAAAAAAAAAAGAAAGAAAGAAAAAGAAAGAAAGAAAGATTTGCTATTAGCATGAATTGCTATTAGCATTTTGTTGTTTAATGTATCCTTCCAGTTTTTTTCTGTCATAAAATTGAATATTACCATACACAATATTTTGTTATGTTTCTCCCTCTTTGTTTTTTTCATATACCAGTCTGTAAAGTAGAGAAGAAAACAACTCCATTCTGACTGAGGTGAATGTTGAAATGATTCTTTTTTTATTTTTATTTTTATTTTTTATTTTTTATTGATCATTCTTGGGTGTTTCTCGCAGAGGGGGAGTTGGCAGGGTCATAGGACAATAGTGGAGGGAAGGTCAGCAGATAAACAAGTGAACAAAGGTCTCTGGTTTTCCTAGGCAGAGGACCCTGCAGCCTTCCGCAGTGTTTGTGACCCTGGGTACTTGAGATTAGGGAGTGGTGATGATTCTTAACGAGCATGCTGCCTTCAAGCATCTGTTTAACAAAGCACATCTTGCACCGCCCTTAATCCATTTAACCCTGAGTGGACACAGCACATGTTTCAGAGAGCACAGGGTTGGGGGTAAGGTCACCGATCAACAGGATCCCAAGGCAGAAGAATTTTTCTTGGTACAGAACAAAATGAAAAGTCTCCCATGTCTACCTCTTTCTACACAGACACGGCAACCATCTGATTTCCCAATCTTTTCCCCACCTTTCCCCCCTTTCTATTCCACAAAACCGCCATTGTCATCCCGGCCCGTTCTCAATGAGCTGTTGGGTACACCTCCCAGACGGGGTGGTGGCCGGGCAGAGGGGCTCCTCACATCCCAGTAGGGGCGGCCGGGCAGAGGCGCCCCTCACCTCCCAGACGGGGCGGCTGGCCGGGTGGGGGGCTGACCACTCCACCTCCCTCCCGGACGGGGCGGCTGGCCGGGCGGGGGGCTGACCCCCCCACCTCCCTCCTAGACGGGGCGGCTGGCCGGGCAGAGGGGCTCCTCACTTCCCAGTAGGGGCGGCTGGGCAGAGGCGCCCCTCACCTCCCGGACGGGGTGGCTGGCCGGGTGGGGGGCTGACCCCCCCCCACCTCCCTCCCGGACAGGGCGGCTGGCTGGGCGGGGGGCTGACCCCCACCTCCCTCCCGGACGGGGTGGCTGCCGGGCGGAGGGGCTCCTCACTTCTCAGACGGGGCGGCTGCCGGGCGGAGAGGCTCCTCACTTCTCAGACGGGGCGGTTGCCAGGCAGAGGGTCTCCTCACTTCTCAGATGGGGCGGCCGGGCAGAGACGCTCCTCACCTCCCAGACGGGGTCGCGGCCCGGCAGAGGTGCTCCTCACATCCCAGACGGGGCGGCGGGGCAGAGGCGCTCGCCACATTTCAGGCGATGGGCGGCCGGGCAGAGACGTTCCTCACTTCCTAGATGGGATGGTGGCTGGGAAGAGGCGCTTCTCACTTCCTAGGTGGGATGGCGGCCGGGCAGAGATGCTCCTCACTTTCCAGACTGGGCAGCCAGGCAGAGGGGCTCCTCACGTCTCAGACGATGGGCGGCCAGGCAGAGACGCTCCTCACTTCCCAGACGGGGTGGCGGCCGGGCAGAGGCTGCAATCTCGGCACTTTGGGAGGCCAAGGCAGGCGGCTGGGAGGTGGAGGTTGTAGCGAGCCGAGATCACGCCACTGCACTCCAGCCTGGGCACCATTGAGCACTGAGTGAACCAGACTCCGTCTGCAATCCCGGCACCTCGGGAGGCCGAGGCTGGCGGATCACTCGCGGTTAGGAGCTGGAGACCAGCCCGGCCAACACAGCGAAACCCCGTCTCCACCAAAAAAGTACGAAAACCAGTCAGGCGTGGAGGCGCGCACCTGTAATCGCAGGCACTAGGCAGGCTGAGGCAGGAGAATCAGGCAGGGAGGTTGCAGTGAGCCAAGATGGCAGCAGCACAGTCCAGCTTCGGCTGGGCATCAGAGGGAGACCGTGGAAAGAGAGGGAGAGGGAGAGGGAGAGGGAGACCGTGGGCCGTGGGGAGAGGGAGAGGGAGAGGGAGAGGGAGAGGGGGAGGGGGAGGGGGAGGGGGAGGGGTGAAATGATTCTTACAACGCATGCCAATCACATTTCATCCAAATATTGCTTGACACTTAGCTAAGCATTTCCATATACAATGGCCTTCAAAATGATCAACTGAGCCCACTCTATGGGTCATCAGGACCACCATGGGTTACTCTGTACTACACCAGACATAGACATGTGTCTGGAGGGGATCTGGATGCTGCAGGGAGGCCTCCATCAGGGCCTCAGGGCTCTTCTGAGAGACAATGCCTTTCACCCCATTCCCCACTAATGAATAAATGTGTGGCTGCGATGTTGGCCTCTTCTACTCTAAATCAAAGGGAAGCCCTTGTGTTTCCTATATTGCTGTGGATGGAGCTCCATGTTAGAGTAAGTAAATGATTTTCTACCATGTTCTGGAGAAGTCCTCATTCCAGTTATTTTATACCTTCAGATGATTTCCTATTACTCATTAATTACCTTTGCTTTCAGATTGAATAACTCCCTTTAGCATTTCTTGTAGGACAGGTCTGGTGTTGATAACAATGTCTCAGCTTTCGTTTGTCTGGAAAAGTCTTTATTTCTTATTCATGTTTCAAGGATAACTTTGCTAGATAACTATTCTAGGATAAAAGTTTATTTCCTTCAGCACTTTAAATATGTCATCCCACTCTCTCCTAGACTGTAACGTTTCTGCTGAGAAGTCTGCTTTCAGAAGTATTGAAACTCTTTTGTATGTAATTTGCTTTTTTCTTGCTGCTTTTAGGATCCTTTCTTTATCTTTGATCTTTGTAGTTTGATTATTAAATGCCTTGAGGGGGTCTTCTTTGGGTTAAACCTACTTGCTGTTCTATACCCTTCTTGTACTTGAATATTGGTATCTCTCTCTAGGTTTGTAAAGTTCTTTGTTATTCCTTTGAATAAACTTTCTACCCATATCTCTCTCTCTACCTCCTCTTTAAGATCAATCACTCTTACATTTGCCCATTTGAGGATATTTTTTACATCTTGGAGGCATGCTTTGTTCTTTTTAATTCTCTTTTATTTCGTCTGCTCTGACTGTATTTTCAAATAGCCTGTCTTCAAGCTCAATAATTGTTTCTTCTGCTTTATCCGTTCTGCCATTGAGAGACTCTGATGCATTCTTCAGTATGTCAGTTAAAGTTTTCACCTCCAAAATTTCTGCTTGATTTTTTAACATTTTTCAATCTATTTGTTAAATTTATCTGATAGGATTCAGAATTCCTTCTCTATGTTATAGTGAATTTAATTTAGCTTCCTCAAAACAGCTATTTTGAAATCTCTGTCTAAAAGGTCACATGTCTCTGTTTCTCCAAGATTGGTCCCTGGTGACTTATTTAGTTCATTTGGTGAGGTCATGTTTGTCTGGGTGATCTTGATGCTTATAGATGTCTGACTGTGCCTGGGCATTAAAGAGTTAGACATTTACTGCAGTCTTCACAGTCTGGACTTGTTTGTACCTGTCCTTCTTGGGGAGGCTTTCCAAGTATTCAAAAGGAATTGAGTGTTGTGATCTAAATCTTTGGTCACTGCAGCTGTATCTGGATTAGGGGACACCCCAAGCTCAGTAACACTGTGACTCTTGCAGATTGTAGAGTTACCACCTGGGTGGTCTGAGATAATTCCTTGGATTGCCAGGTAGAGGCTCTTGTTCTCTTCCTTTACTTTCCCCAAAACAAACGGAGTCTCTCTCTCCATGCCGCACTGCCTGGAGCTGGTGGAGATGTAACACAAGCACCCTTGTGGCCACCAACACTGGGACCGCACTGGGTCAGACCAGAAGCCAGCACAGCATTGGGTCTTGCCCAAGGCCTATGGTGACCGCTGCCTGGCTATCACCAATGTTTTCAAGGCCCAAGCGCTCTTCAGTCAGCAGGTGGCAAATCCAGACATGCTTGTGTCCTTCCCTTCAGGGTGATGAGCTCCCCACCGGCCCAGGGTGGATCCAGAAATGCTATCCAGAAACCAGGGCTTGGAGTCAGAACCTTAGGAATCTACCTGGTGCTCTAGTCTACTGTGGCTGAGCTGGGACCCAAGCTGCAAGACAAAGATTTTTCCCACTCTTCCCTTTCCTTTCTGTATATAGAAGGAGTCTCTCCCCATGGCCACCACCACCCCAGGCCCTTGGCAAGTACAACCTGGCTACGGCTGATGTTCACTCAAGGCCCAAGGGCTCTCCAGTCAGCTTGTGGGTGAACAATGTCAGGCCTGGGACTCACCCTGCAGGGCAGCAGGCTTCTCTCTGGCCCAGGATGGGTCCAGAAATGCCATCCAGGAGCCAAAAACCTGGAATTAGGGACCCCAGGAGCCCATTTTGTTGAGACTCTAGATTCTGGAAACGCCGGCTTCTCCTGTTTTTCCCTCTCACCCTACAGGCAGTAGCTGCTTCCTGCAGTGTTGCTTTCTATGTTCACTCAACATTGCCTTTTCACTTTTGCAGTCCTCCAGCACCAATTTAACCAATTCCCTTTATTAAATTATCTCTCCTGAAGCCAGGTGCAGTGCCTCACACCTGCAATCCCAGCACTTTGGAAGGCTGAGGCGGGCAGATCCTTTGAGGTCAGGAGTTTGAGACCAGCCTGGCCAATATGGCAAAACCCCATCTCTACTAAAAATACAAAAATTAGGCCGGGCATGGTGGCTCACACCTATAATCCCAACACTTTGGGAAGCCGAGAAGGGCAGATCACGAGGTCAGGAGTTCGAGACCAGTCTGGCCAACACAGTGAAACCCCGTCTCTACTAAAAATACAAAAATTAGCTGGGCGTGGTGGTATGTGCCTGTAATCCCAGCTACTCAAGAGGTGGGTGCACAGGTGGTATGTGCCTGTAATCCCAGCTACTCCCTGTAATCCCATATACCACACAGGTGGTCTGCGCCTGTAATCCCAGCTACTCAAGAGGCTGAGGCAGGAGAATCGCTTGAACCAGGGAGTCGGAGGTTGCAGTGAGCCGAGATCACTCCACTGCACTCCAGCCTGGCAACAGAGTGAGACTCCGTCTAAAAAAAAAAAAATTAGCTGATCATGGTGGCTTGCGCCTGTAGTCCCAGCTACTTGGGAGGCTGGGTTGAACCTGGGAGGCAGAGGTTGCAGTGAGCCGAGATCGCACCAACCTGGGAGGCAGAGGTTGCAGTGAGCCGAGATCGCACCACTGCACTCCAGCCTGGGTGACAGAGAGAGGCTCCACCTCAAAAAAAAAAAAAAAAAATCTGTTAAATGAATAGCCAGTGGGTTTCTATTTTCCTGACTTATAAAGAAATTAAATAATTTACTCAAGGACATGCAACAAGGAAATGACAGAATTAGAATTCAAACTAGCTCCACTGAACTTCAGAGGTCCAGCTGTCACCTCCCACCCTGAGAGCTGCTCTGTGGCTGGCTTAGAGGCTGTGAGAGAAAAGAGACACATGTCTGTCTGCATCACATCTCTGTCACTAGCTTTATTCTAGAATCCTCTTTCAAAGACAAAAATATCTTTACAATAATTAAAAACAACCTTAAAGAAAAAATGACTACTGGCATGTGAAATGGTTTAAGTATGGTACATTCCAAAAGTGCTTGAGGGTGATTACTTTTAATGCTAATTAAAAGTAATCTGAATTCTTGAAACAAGAATATTTCTTATAGGCCAGTACAGTCATTAGAATGAAGTTACATTTCACAGTATTCAATATTTTAAGGGAAAATTCATAACTTTATACTAATGCACGTATTTATAGTATACTCCAGATCATAATTAGTTGCCTAAAGGAGAAATAGCTTAAAGATCTATGTGATAGATATTGTATAGCTTCTCCAGCTTATGCACTTTAGAATGTGGGAAACCTAGAGTGCAGTATGGTGTCGAATAAAGCATTGTAGAGAAAAGCTGAAGCTTTTATCTCATCTGGATCTAGAATGGGAGCCCTGTTCCACTTCCCACTTCTCCACCAAGCCTGGAGCCTATTTCATCTGTCAATACCTACTTCATAGTCTTAAAAGTGAGGCCTATGAATGGACAATGGCTAACACAGAGAAGACACTTAATGTATTTTATAGTTATTCTTATGCACACACACACACACACACACACACACACCACCAAATGTTTTGTAAAGTATAAAAGTCATATTGAATGAAACATACCATGTACAGGATGAGGAGATAAATTATTCTAAAGATGCAACTCTTTATTAAGTTCCTGTTGAAATTTAATGCAACCCAAATAAAAATTTCAAAGAATTTCTGTAGCATTCAGTAATCCCATTTTTTAAATGGGATTACCGAATGTGCATTACAGCAGCTCACACCAGTAATTCCAGCACTTTGGAAGACCAAGGAAGGAGGATCGCCTGAAGTCAGGAGTTTGAGACCAGCCTGGGCAGCAAAACAAGACCCTATCTCTACAAGAAAATAGCTGTGTGCGGTGGTACGTACCTGTAAGTCCCAGCTACTTGGGAGGCTGAGGCGGGAGGATCACTTCAGCTTAGGAGTTCAAGGCTGCAGTGAGCTATGATCATACCACTGCACTCCAGCCTGGGCAACGGAGCAAGACCTTATCTCAAAAACAAAGTTCTTTAAAGTGCTAATTAAGAGGGAAATACCCAAAGCAGAAAGATAAAGCCCTCTCTAATCCTATCTGCTAGAAGTAACCACTGTTAACCGACTGGCAAATACTCTTAGACTTTTCTCTATATATACACAAATACACCTGTAACCTCACCTGTAGCTATTATTGTAGGAGGGTGAGTTTGTTCCACCTATAACCACAGGGTTTCTATTACGCATTAAGCACATATGAATCATCCAGAACTATGTGTAAAGAGTCCTGGATCTGAGCAGGGAACCCGTAAACCTAGAAGCATCCTTATCCTCTTTCTCCACACCCCTGCCCAAACACGCACATGGCACAGTGGAACCCTTCTGCTCCCAGTGGGATCAGCCTGGACTCTGGGAGTTAAGTGATCAGTCACCAGTGTGTGGCCTGGGTTTTGGCTTCTCTGTTCTACTGATAAAAGCCACTACATCTACAGGTGTGTATTTAACTGCACCATTTCCAGGTAAAAAGCCTTGAGGATAACATTTTCCTCTAAATGCATTCAATGCCAGTATCCCATACAGTCTAAATAACCTTTACCATTGTCTGGGACAAAGCCCTGGCAAGGAGCAATAGGCACTCACAGAGGGTGACTATCTTAGTCCACTTTTGCTGCTATAACAGAATACCTGAGACTAGGTAATTTATGAAGAACAGAAATGTATCCTCACAGTTCTGGAAGCTGGGATGTCAAAGACCAAAGCACTGGCATCTGGGGTGGGCCTCCGTACTGTGCCCTCACATGGTGGAAGGTAGAAGGGCAAGAGAAGAACTCACTTTCACATGGCAGAAGAGCTGAAGGCAAACCCACTCCTGCAAGCCCTTTTGATAATGGCATTGATCCATTGATGAGGGCAGAGCCCTCATGACCTGAGCACCTGCCAGAGGCCACACCTCACAGCACTGTTGCACTGGGGATTAAGTTCTCAACACATGCATTTTGGAGACGACATATTCAAAGCTAACAATGATTAAATGACATTTAGTAAAAGGACTATTTTCGAAGGTGTGGCCCAGGCAAAGGGACAACAAGGAGTGGTGAGGCACCCCGGGGGTTTGTTTTATTTTCTCTCACACTGGTCTTGCTCTCATTCTCTCCTTTTTCTCCCTCTGCCTTCTACTGCAGCCTCTAGCACAGACATTTGCATTTACTGAGTAAATATATGCCTGATATAACTCCACTGTACCTTATAACTACCTCATTGTTACCCTTTTAACCTCTCCTTCGACTCCTTGAGTTCTGGGAAAGATCTGAATTTTCAGCTGCATAAATCCAATTCCCTGACTCCCCCTCCTGGGGTGATGATTAATGGAAGGTCGAAGCTGCCTTTTCTCTTTTTTTTTTCCGCTCTGTCACCCAGGCTGCAGTGCAGTGGCGCGATCTCGGCTTACTGCAACCTCCGCCTCCCAGGTTCAAGTGATTCTCCTGCCTCAGCCTCCCAAGTAGCTGGGATTACAGGCACCCACCACCATGCCTAGCTAATTTTTTGTATTTTTAGTGGAGACGAGGTTTCACCATGTTAGCCAGGCTAGTCTCAAACTCCTGACTTAAGTGATCCGCCCGCCTCGGCCTCCCAAAGTGCTAGGATTACAGGCGTGAGCCACCATGCCCGGCCTGAAGCTGGCTTTTCTTAGCCTCTTGGATTCCTCCACACCAGCATCCCTGGTGAGGGTTTGCCACATTGTGCGATGCTGCTCTCAGGGCACTGGACACACTAATAAGTTAACACATGGGTACCCCGCATGGTTGGCTGGGATGAGTGCCTGAAACTGCCTCTCAAGATTTGAATGTGGTGTTGCCCGCAGGCTCATACCCTTTTCCCTCTGGTCCCTTGTACACCTACATTTCTCACAATGCCTAAGAGCATTTCTTCAGGAGGAGACCGGGGCTGTCACCTGCCTCTCCCATACACATCCATGCAGAAAGCTGGAGCAGCCTGTGAGTTTGGCCCGGATCTTCAGGATCACTGATGCCTCAGCCCATGGCCAACACTTCACCTGTCTGATTATAGCCTCTTTGGATTTGCTTTTGATATACCAGCCCAGGTTCAAGAGCAGCCAGCTACCTTTTATCATCGTCCAACTGAGGTAACCACCATGGTGGAGAAGATTCCACTGGGGATGAGTCAGCTCAGCACCTGCAATGGCTCCTGCCTACACTTTGTCTAAGGCGCAACCTGTTTTCTCCCTCACAACCCCCTTGTACTCCGCCTCACTTGAAATGTGTTCAAATCCCACTAAATAATTAGAAATCATTGTGCCCACTACTTGCCGAGCGATCAGGAACCCGGAACACTTCCTCTACTCTCCTTACCCTCCCAAAGTCCCCATCCATAGCCAGCCCTTGGCATACCCTAGATCAAGGAACCCTCTGCTTTCAACCCACATTCCACTTAGTAGAATCCTGAGAATTCTCCAGAGCCCCTCTGATACATTCCATCTTGTAGCTCTTCCTTAACTGAATCCAATTCACGCCACCACCACCCACTCCCTGGGCCAACTCTGCCTCCTCCACCAAAGCCTTCACTTTTCATTCCTGGGAGAATCACGGGCCTCATCACCTGCTTCTCCTCCCATCCTGGTAACTTGAAGTGGCATCAACAGGAGCTTCTGTCTGCTGTGGTCTTCCTGCCAGTTCAGACACATCGCTGGCAGACCTGTTTCCCTTCTGAGAGTAGGCGAACTCTCCCACACAGTCTGCCTAGATTCACCAATTGTTAATATCTTACCTCACTTGCATAATACAGACATATATATACATTTTGACTATATGTACATATGCTTTAAATACATATGTATGATATATACATACATACACATATATGTTTATATGTGTATGCATATATGTATAGGTATGTATACATGTATATATGTGTATGTATGTATATATGTGTAGCTGAACCATTTGAGAGTCCACTGAAGACATCATGCCTCTTTGAAATACTTCAGTGTGGATCTTAAGAACAAGGATGCTTTCTTACATAACCTCAATACAATGAACGGAGGAAATTCAACGCTATAATAATACCACTATATAATATATAGATGAGGCCGAGCGTGGTGGCTCACGCCTGTAAACCCAACACTTTGGGAGGCCGAGGTGGTGGATCACGAGGTCAGGAGTTCGAGACCAGCCTGGCCAATATGGTGAAACCACAACTCTACTAAAAATACAAAAATTAGCCAGGCATGGTGGCACGCACCAGTAGTCCCAGCTACTCAGGCGGCTGAGGCAGAAGAATCACTTGAATCCGGGGGACAAAGGTTGCAGTGAGGCGAGATCGTGCCACTGCCCTCCAGCCTGGGCGACAGACTGAGACTCCATCTCAAAAATATAGACAGATGATAGATAGATAAGTAGAAAGATAGATAGATAGATAGATAGATAGATAGATAGATAGATACATAGATAGATGATATTCAAATTTTAACAATTGTCTCAACAACATCCTTTGTAGCATTTTTTTTTTCCTAATCTTCCTTCCAGTTCAAGATCCCCACTGCACTGAGCTGTCATGTCTTTCTGAGTCTCCTTTCTCCTGGAAGACTTGCTTGACCTTTTTCCTTCAGGACATTGACATTTTTGAAGAGTACAGGCAGACATTTTGTAGACTGTTATTCAATTCGAATTTGGTTGTTTCTTCATGGTTAGATTCAGATTAGGGCATATTGGCAGGAATGCTACAGAAGTGATACAGCTCCTCGGCATATTCAATTCTGGCAGGAGAAGCTTTGAAGAAATCAGTTTAAATTCTTCTCTCTGGAGTTCTCCTTCCTTTCTGCCATTTGAGCAGATAGGAGATCCTGGCCTCCTTACCTCAGGGGAGATTTGAGGCAGGGCAGGAAGTGGTAGTCCCTTCAAGGCCCCTTCCTGGCTTTTATTTCCAAAAGCATAGGCTTATTGAGACAAGATAGACGGACTTTGAAGGAAGCAGAGGTGGGGAAAGAATTGTCTCAGACCCAAAGGAAATTCCTCCAGGGTAGAGACAGGAGAGAGAAGTGTGTGATTCCTACAAGGAAACAGGACCAGCATCCTATTCCCTGGCAGACCTCACGAGGTGGCAGGACCTCAGAGGGAAGCACTGTGCGATGCCCCAGGCAGGCTGCATCCTAGGCCTGGGCCCCAAACTTAACAAAGGCTTCTGTGCTCCCAGTAGAAGAAGGCCCAACACAGCTGGCAGCCCTGAAGCACGGTACAGACTAAGACAGTGGGGGCCTCCTCACTGCAACCTGGGGGCCTCACCAGTGCCTCGCTCCAAGAATGGCCAGAACCTCTGTGCTCCCCTAGGACATCAGCACAGCCCTAGCGATGACTGCCCAGCAGTCACCGGACTTGAAGGTTAAATTAAGTTTATTTAAGAAAAGCAGGCCGGGCGCGGTGGCTCACGCCTATAATCCCAGCACTTTGGGAGGCCGAGGCAGGTGGATCACAAGGTCAGGAGATCGAGATCATCCTGGCTAACACGGTGAAACCCTATCTCTACTAAAAATACAAAAAATTAGCCGGGCGTGGTGGCGGGCACCTGTAGTCCCAGCTATTCGGGAAGCTGAGGCAGAAGAATGGCATGAACCTGGGAGGCGGAGCTTGCAGTGAGCTGAGATTGCGCCATTGCACTCCAGCCTGGGCGACACAGAGAGACTCCATCTCCAAAAAAAAAAAAAAAAAAGCAAACACGGTCAGGCACGGTGGCTCACACCTGTAATCCTACCACCTTGGGAGGCCAAGATGAGAGGATCACTTGAGCCCAGGAGTTAGAGACCAGCCTGAGCAACATGGTAAGATTCCGTCTCTACAAAACTGCAAAAATTAGCCAAGTGTGGTGGTTCAAGGCTGTGGTCCCAGCTACTCAGGGAGCTGAGGTGGGAGGATTGCTTGAGCCCAGGAGTCTGAGGTTGCAGTGAGCCATGATTGTGCCACTGTACTCCCACATGGGCAACAGAACGAGACCTTGTTTCAAAAAAAAAAAAAAAAAGAAAAGAAAAGAAAAAAGAAAAAAAGCAAAGGAAATGCAATATTTCTCTTATCCCCAAATTTATGGCTGAAATTCAGGCCTGCTGAACACACCCCTCACTGCAGCCTGTCTACCAGGTGTGGGCCCAGCTTTACATAGTTCATGCTGAGGCCGGGATTTCATGCAGAAAACTGGTTGCAAAAGGTGCTGAAGGGGCTGGGGGAGCACAAGGGAGAAGGAGATCACCCAGACATCAGGATGCTGGCACCCGACCGGCCAGCACGGCACTGGCCTGTTGGAGGCTTTGCCACTGTGCTGATGGGGCTGCGCGGGGTCCTGATCGGGAACCAGGAGCCCACACCCTCTGGCTGCTGCCGTGGCCAGAGGTCCCTTCAAGGGGCCGGAGGCCACAGAGGCTCATTTCTTCTTCCTGCTTTCACCTTCTATCAGTGCCTCTCGCAGGCAGACCCCCAGCAGAAGCAGCTGGCAGAAGGAGGGTCTTGGAAATGTAGTCTGGCTTCTGCCTCCACTGCTGCACTCCAGGCCTGCAACACCGAGGACTCCGCAGAAGAGGAGAGAAGGACCGCCGGCCCTTCCACACACACCCGGTGCCATCTGGTCCATGGCCATTTGCCTTGGCTGCCAGGAAAGCACCCTCCAGTCAGCCTCTCACCTGCAGTGGAGGATGTAAATGTTAACCAAAACCAACAGAAAAGAATGGAATATGAGCCACACCTGCACAGGTGCGGGCCGGCTCTGGGCCACACATGGCCAAGGTTGGCCTTACTGTTCAAATTGTCGGCCGTGGAATCCATGGTTAGGAAAACCTGATGCTTTATTTTGTTTCTTTAGCAACCATTCAGGATGACTTCCTTACATTTTTTCAATTTCGATTTGTTCTATATTTCCTAGGAGATAGGGCAGAAATATTTGACTCGAGTGCTACACAAAACAGGAAATTGCATTTCACCGGGTTTTATTATTGCTGGTTCCCTTTAGCTCCTAGTGCACTTCCAAGTCAAATGTCTGCCTTTGAACAAGTGGCAAATTTAGAGGTAATTCAGAGACATTTATTGACAGCCTGCTGCTACTGGCCTGACCCTAAGAATTTAAAAAGAAAAGGAAAGAAGAGAAAAAGAAAAAATTGACACAGTCCTTATCTTTAAGTAGCTTACAGTTTTGTTTAGGAATGAGGCTTCTGCACATGCAACTTGAAGAAACAAATAGAAACAGTATAACATATTCTACAGTTTTGAAGTCTGTGATGCAGATTCTAAGGATGACAGAACAGCTATCTCTAAAAGGATTATATTTGGAAGGCAAGGAGAGGGCAGGGCAAGTTCCTAGCATGAAGAACTCTGACAGCAAAAGAGAGAAGTGAACAGGCACCTGGGAGCTGGCAGTAAGATTGCTCAGCTGCCTGAGGGAAATGCAGGTCATATGCTTGAGGGTCTTGAACATCAGTTTGAGAAAATTGAACTTCATTCTAAAATAGCCAAAATGTGGTCACGAAAGCAATGACAATTATAAACCATGTTGTCATCATTCTGGTTTTATAAAATATCACATATAAGCAGCCTAAAAGATGCAATATTTTAATCAACCTGACTCTTAAGTAATTAAGTTCTGTAAGACTAATAATTAGGTGTTTATAAAATACTGATTCGTTAGGTATTAGAGAGCAAATATTTTATCTTATACCTCAATGTATTTTTTTCTCCTAAAATACAAAGTATAAATATTCCCCACTCTGTGACTCCATTTGATTCCTGAGTAGGGGAAGTGAGATTAGATAGAGTGCTGTCCATTTCTATGTGGCCCCTAAATTCTTGAATTAGGAAAGCAAGGGATTCAAGCTCTAACTCAAAAATGTATCCCATTGTCTTCCGTCCCTGAATGCATATGGGGAGGGTTAAGAAAGCAAAGCTGGTCTATACCAAACTTTCCAGGGCTCCTTCCCTCCTTCCATTCCCACCCCCACTTTCCTCCCTGCTCCCCAGGGCCTGATCCAACCTGCCCGAGTAAATAGCCAAGGCCCCAATCCAGGTCAGCATCTTCTATCAACTGCTTTTAGGTGGGGAAGCTGATAATCAAGCCTTCAAACCCACCTGCTACTCAGGCGCGCGCGTGCGCGCACACACACGTACATACGCACGCGTGCGCGCGCACACGCACACACACACACACACACAGAGACACACTCGTTCTGTTGTTAACTTTGAGAAGAGTCCCTCTAGTGGCCACCTGTACAACACCCTGTGGGACCCAGATGTCGCTGAATGGCTGACATTGGTAGGTTTCCTCACAGTGGCTACCTACACTTTAGGTTTTCTGAGTGGGAGAGGTGGGAGAGGAAATGAAGAGTCGGCTTTAGCCAGATTGTGAGGACTTTTGTGGCTGGACTAAGGACTTTGGCCTTTTCCTTATAGCAATGTGAGATGTTGGGCATCCAAAGTTTTAGAGGAGACAGTGAAGTGATCAGTTCTCGATTTAATAAAGACAATGCTTGCCTTCAGTACTTGGGTGACTATCAGAGGGTAAATGATGATAATGAAGTAGCTAGCTTAAGACAGAAAAAGTAAGCCATAAAAATAAAATAAAATAAAATAAATAGGTCCGGGCGTGGTGGCTCAGGCCTGTAATCCCAGCACTTTGGGAGGCCGAGGAGGGTGGACCATGAGGTCAGGAGTTCAAGACCAGCCTGACTTAACATGGTGAAACCCCATCTCTACTAAAAATACAAAAATTAGCTGGGCGTGGTGGCGGGCACCTGTAATCCCAGCTACTCAGGAGGCTGAGGCAGGGGAATCACTTGAACTCAGGAGGTGGAGGTTGCAGTGAGCCAAGATCGCACCACTGCACTCCAGCCTGGGTGACAGAGCAAGACTCTGTCTCAAAAAATAAAAATAAAAATAAAATAAATGGAAACATCTTTGTATGTGCCTGGCTCAGTGCGAAGCTAAGAGGAAGGCGCTGCACCTCCTCATTTACCAGGCTGAGGGGGGTAGGTACAGAAACTGGCATAAGACCTCTTAAAATGCTATGCTCTCCACTGCCTCCTCAATCCCCAAGGACAGTGTGTCTCCTTCTCCATCACCGCTCTCCCACGGTTTGAGACAGGGACATCTGTGTAAATGGAGATCAAGGACAATTGAAAAGGGAAGAAAACAGGAAGTTACCACCAAAAGACACTGAGGACCATATAAATTAGGATTAGTAAGTTCATCTCAAAGAAAAAATTCCAAAATAACAATGGGGCTTCACAGATATAATCACTTTTATTTTTGTGGGTTTTTTTTTCTCTTTTTCATGTAAAAGTCTAGGGACAAGCAATTCAGGGCTGGATTGTGGCTCTGTCCCTCCCACTTCTCAGGAAACCAGCCCATTTCCATCACTATTCTGCTGTCCTTAGAAAGTAGTTCTTATCTTCATGGTCCAAAATGGATGCCAGAACTCCAGCCATCACATCTATGTTCCAGGCAACAAGGTAAAGGGGAGATCAAAGAGAAGGGGAGGAGCACGTGCTAGCACATTTTAAGGAAGTGTCCTAGAAGCTGGAACAGCAATTCTGCTTACATATCATTGTCCAGGCCTTAATCACCTGACCCCACTAAGTGCAAGGGAGGCTGGGAAATTCTGGAAGCCAAATGATAAAGTATGTCTGTTGGGAAGAGGGTGGTGGGTTTCTTTGAGTCCCAGCCAGTGACCTTATCTTCTTCTTACTTTTTCTGTCCCTAATGCCCATCGTCTGCTGCCAGTGTCCAAAGCCTATGTTGTGCCAGTGCTCCACAAACCTCTTCTTCCAATGTGTTCTGCAAATAAACAGGACTGCTGCTGCTGTATATTTACTGCTAGGGGCTCAAGTGCAGGAGGTACCTTCAGAATAAGGCTTTTATGTTCTAGAATGGGGGTTGGCAAACATTTTCTATGAAGAGCCAGATAGAAAATAGTTTTGCTTTTGTGGCCCATGCAGTCTCTGTTGCAACAACATACTCAACTCTGCCATAGTAGTGTGAAAGCAGTCATAGACACTATGGAAACAAATGAGTGTGGTGTATTCCAATAAAACTTTATTTGGGGACATTGAAATTTGAATGACATATAATTTCCATATGTCATGAAATTTTATTCTTTTGGTTATTTTTCAACTATTTAAAAATGTGGCCCGGGTGCGGTGGCTCACACCTGTAATCCCAACACTTTGGGAGGCTGAGGCAGGTGGATCATTTGAGATCAGGAGTTCAAGACCAGCCTGGCCAACATGGCGAAAACCCATCTCTACTAAAAATATATATAAAAAAAAAATTAGCCAGGTTTGTGGCATGTGCCTGTAATCCCAGCTGCTTGGGAGGCTGAGGCAGGAGAATTGCTTGAATCCAGGAGGCAGAGGTTGCAGTGAGCTGAGATCGTGCCACTGCACTTTAGCCTGGGTGACAAAATGAGACTCCACCTCAAAAAAAAAAAATAAATAAAAAATAAAAATGTAAAAACTGTTCAGTTTTGGCCCATGAGCTGTAGTTTACCAAGCCCTGCCCTAAAAGACGAAGGCATAGGATAATCATTATAAATGTCTTAGATATATGACATTGTAAACGACTAGTGGTGGTGCTGAGCTAAGTCCTGTACACAATCCTCCCATTAACACATGCATAGATAGCATCTGATTTTATAGATGAGGAAACTGAGGCCCAGAGAGGCTAATTAACTTATCTAAGATCACACAGCCAGTAAGTGATCAAGCCTCATGCAGTTTGTGTCAAGTCGCAGCACTGTGTCAAACTGACAAGGCTGTGGAAACTGCATGAGGAGGCTGGAAGGAAAGATTGAAAGAACAAGGAGGGAATATCCTACGAAGGCTCAAGGGGACACAGAGGCAGATGCCTGCCCAGAGCAACTTGGTGGTAAAGAGTAGACTCTAGGGTCAGAAGCCAGGTTCAAATCCCCACTCCACCATCTGTTAGCTGTGTGGACTTAAGCAAGTCATAGGACCTCTCTGAGCCTTATTTCTCTCATCTGAAAAATAAGGATAATGATATTACTTCCCTCATGGAGTTGCTTGGAGTGAAGTGCTTAGCTGGCACCTGGCACAGAGTCACATTATTGTCAAATAGAGGTCCAAGGAGTTTAGGATGAGGGACAATCTGTGTCCTTACTGTGAGGAGGCAGGAGAAAGGGGCTTTGGGAATGGCATTGCTATTTCAGGAAGTATTCAAATACTTAAACAGAAACTCTTGGGCCTGTGCTAGATGGGAGGAAAGAACCCGGGAAATTGAACTTGCTGCTTTGGGCTTTCACACCATGCACTGGGCTGTGGGTGGAGAGGGTTGGAGAAGAGAGAACAAGACCCCACCCAGGGGAGCTGCCTAGCTTGTGGGAAGATGAAACACTTAGATTTGAAAACTAAGAGATCATGTGCAAAGCCGTATTTCGTTACCTCCTGCCTCCAGCCCTGCTCAGCCACAATCACAAAGACATTTTCAGGAAATGAAACCCCCTAAACACAGCAGGCAGGATACTGGGAGCTCCAGCTCAACCAGATCAGGGCTTGAGAAGCATAGGTTTAGAGATTGACTACACAACAGAATCCCTGGGCAGCTTGTTCTCAAATATAGATAGCTGGGCCTCACCCTCTTGGAGATTTCTATTCCGCAGGTATGGGGAGGGTCCCAGGAATATGCAGCTTAAAACTTTTTTAAAAAAACTTTTTATTTGGAGATAATTGTAGGTTTACATGCAATTGTAAACAAAGTACAAAAAGATCCTGTAGGCCTTTCACCTACCTTTCCCCGGTGGTAACACCTTGCATGACTATAGTACAATATCACACCCAGAAAATCAACATTGATAAAATCCAGCAACTTTATTCAGATTTTACCAGTTTTAACATGAGCTCATATGTGTGTGTCCTTAGTTCTGTGTGATTTTATCACATGTGCAGATTCATGTAACCGCCACACAGTGAAGACAGGCAGTTGCATCACACAGATCTCTTGTGCTACCTTGTATATCTGAAGCCACTTCCCTTCCTCCCTCACCACATCCCTAACTCCTGGCAACCGCTAATCTTTTCTAAGACAAATATTTTTTGTAGCCTTTTCAGGTAACTGTGGACATTCTTTGATACTCTGTAAGTAGTGCCTCTCTCTCTCCTTTTTTTAGACAATCTCCCTCTGTTGCCAAGGCTGGAGTGCAGCGCTGTGATCATGGCCCACTGCAGTCTTGAACTCCCGGTCTCAAGCAATCCTCCCATCTCAGCCTCCACCTCCCCGTGAGTAGCTGGGACTATAGGTGTGCACCACCACACCTGGCCAATTTTTAAGTTTTCTGTGGAGACAGGGTCCCACTATGATGCCCAGGCTGGTCTCAGATTTCTGGGCTTAAGCAATCCACCCACCTCCGCCACTCAAAGTGTTGGGATTACTGGCATGAGCCACCTCGCCTGGTCATTTGTTTGTTGTTGTTGTTGTTTATCTTCAGAGATAATTACTTTGCGTAACTGAAACTGTGTACCTTTTGACCAACACCTTCCCAATCCCCCTGCCCACAGCCCCTGGCAGCCACCATTCTGCTCTCTGCTACTGTGTGTGACTACCTTAGAGCTCACATTCCAGAGGTCATGCAGCATCTCTGGCTGGCTTATTATTTCACTTAGCAGCATAATATCCTCCATACTCATCCATGTTGTCGCAAATGCAATATTTTCTTCTTTTTAAAGGCTGGATAGTATTCCAGCATGCATATATACCACATTTTCTTTATCTGTTATCTATTGAGGGACACTTAGTTTGATTTATGTCTTGGCAATTGTGGCTATGTGCTGCAATCAACACAGGTGTGCAGCTATTTCTTTGAGGTCTAGATTTCACAGGAATATGAATTTTAACAAACACACCAGGTGATTCTGATGCATGCCAAGACTTTAGAAGCATGGCAGGGCCGGGTGTGGTGGCTCACGCCTATAATCCCAGCACTTTGGGAGGCCGAGGCGGGCGGATCACAAGGTCGGGAGATGGAGACCATCCTGGCTAACACGGTGAAACCCCATCTCTACTAAAAATACAAAAAAAAAAATTAGCTGGGCGTGGTGATGGGCACCTGTAGTCCCAGCTACTCGGGAGGCTGAGGCAGGAGAATGGTGTGAACCCAGGAGGTGGAGCTTGCAGTGAGCCGAGATCGCACCACTGTACTCCAGCCTGGGAGACAGAGTGAGACTCCATCTCAAAAAGCAAAACAAAACAAAAAGCATGGCGGTAGGGAAACAGTGGTGGAGACCCTATAATCTTGGTGGAAACGGGAGCCAGTTGCGAAGCTTAAACTGCAACTAGGCTTCCAGGGAATCATGAAATAAATGTTGACTTTGTTTTTAATTTTCCAAACCCCAGTTAAATTCAACAAAACTGATTGAGAGTAATAAAGGGTGTAACAGAATGAGACCCTGATCTAAGCAGGCTCTTGAGCCAAAAGAGGGACCAAGGAGGTCGCAGGGCAGCTGTCTGGGTAGAGAAGGGGTGTTACTCATCCCCTGCTGCGGGGACACCGAAGCTCTGCAGATCAACTGTCCCAGCCTCATCTGCAGGAGAGGAGCGAGGGTGCGGGACTCAGCTGGGAGGGCCCCAGGACCCCTGCCTCAACAGCACAGTGGGGTGAACCTGAGGTGCAGACTGGCCCTTTGCTCCCCTGCGGCAGGGAGCTAATGAAGTTTTTCTAAACCGGTTTACTGGGCCACAGATATTGTCATCCATGGAGAACTCGAATTGTCAGAATCACCAAAGATTCTAAAGCATAGATGGTGCTGGTTCACTAGGCTCCACCGGACTCCTCCCCTTCTGACGCTCAGAGGCAAAGATCCTTTTCCTGATTTCAGGAGTGGGGCCGAGAACGGCCACAAGGAAATCGCATGAGCAGGGAGAGGATCATGGCAGTTCTGGGTGAGAACTCTGACTTCTGCGGATTAGAGGGCCCACGTGACGGTAATGGCCAGCCTTAGGGCCGGTGGGCAAGGGTCTGCGGCGGGGCGGACCCCACCTAGGTTTGCATGCTGACCCCGAGAGGCAGCAAGAGAAAGCAGAAGTTGTTTTCTGCCTGCAGTGGAGGATCAGGCGGTGCCTTTCCCTATTGCTTCCTTCTTGGGGCCCTGAGATCCTATTCACCCTGCAAGGAAACAAAAAGGCAATTAAATGAGTGGGACTAGAAAAGACTGATGGGAGGCCGGACACGATGGCTCACGCCTGTAATCCCAGCACTTTGGGAGGCCAAGGCAGGCAGATCACCTGAGGTCAGGAGTTCGAGACCAGTCTAGCCAACATGGTGAAACTCCGTCTCTACTAAAAATACAAAAATTAGCCGGGCGTGGTGGCGGGTGCCTGTAAGCCCAGCTACTTGGGAGGCTGAGGCAGGAGAATCGCTTGAACCTGGAAGGCGGAGGTCTCAGTGAGCTGAGATCATACCACTTCACTCCAGCCTGGACCACAGAGTGAGACTCCGTCTGGAAAAAATAAAAGGCTGACAGAGAAACAAATGGGAAAACACAGGGGAAGAAAGCCTATTGAGTAAGAGCCACAGAGAAAATAAGAGTAGAAACGGGAGTGAGGGTAAAGAAAAGGGAGATGTGAGCAGATACCGGGAAAAGGAGAAGAGGGCAAGCCCGCTTTAGAAAGAGCAAGAAAGCTGGTCAGTCAGGGTTCACCGTCTCAGCTTCTGAACCACATGGCCTGTCCGTGGGCTCTCTGACCTGGCAGGGCCTTCTTTGGGGCCAGGCAGGCTGGAAGCAGGCCTGTGGTCTTCCTCAGAAGGTGAAAGCTTTAGACATGGGGACAAGAAGACAAGGAGAGGAAGCCATTGGAGCAGCAGAGAAGGGGGTGGAGGAAGTGATCCTCCCTCATGATGTGGAACACGCAGTGGACAATGGGGATAACAGCACCCACTCTAAGGTTATTGAGAATAAAACAAGACAAGGCCTGTGCAGTAGCTACCTCAGCAGCATCCCCCAAGGACTGTTCTGAGAATGGTGATGACAGCCTGCACCATCCAGGGGGTCATGGGGACAGTATGGAGTTGATCCCAGAAGCATATAAGAGGCAGTCAAGACTGACTAGCTGTAGAAAGAAGAGCAGAAAGAGGCCAGGGGTAGTGGCTCATGCCTGTAATCCCAGCACTTTGGGAGGCCGAGGTGGGTGAATCACCTGAGGTCAGGAGTTCGAGACCAGCCTGGCCAACATAGTGAAACCTTGTCTCTACTAAAAATACAAAAATTTGCCAGGTATGGTGACACATACCTATAATCCCAGCTATTCAGGAGGCTGAGGCAAGAGAATCACTTGAACTCAGGAGGTGGAGGTTGCAATGAGCCAAGACTGCACTCCAGCCTGGGTGACAGAGCAAGACTCCATCTCAAAAAAAAAAAAAAAAAGAAAGAAAAGAGAGAAAGAAGAGCAGAAGGAAGACCCAAAGTCTGTTCCTGGATTTCTGTTTTGGGTAACTAGTGGGTGATCCTGACAGGGAATAAAGGAAATGTGGATTCTGGGGAGAAAATGAGTTGTTTTGTATTATTAACATTTATATCTGGGCAGAAAACTATAACGGGCCAATAAACATGAACATGTGCTCCTCCTCACCAGTAACTAAAGAATGAAAATGAAAACAAAGTCCTTATGTATCGGAATGGGATACAAAATTGAAAATATCCAGTAATGGCAAGGATACAACTGGCATTCTCATACATAGTTGATGGAAGTATAATGTAGAAAACCATTTTGGGGGACAATTTGGAAAGATTTATCTAAAATGTTAATTGTGCTGTCTGTTTGACCGCATCATTCCCCTTCAAGGAATTTATTCTAGAGCTTCCAAAGTTAAAAGCACAAGGCTATTCCCTGAAGCTTGTTTGTATTAGCAAGAACACCCCAATTCCTCCACGATCCAACCATGTGATCTTGGGCAAATTACTTCCCCTGCCTGTGCGTCAGTTTCCCCACTTGTAAAATTGGCACTCATACACACACACACACACACACACACACACACAGAACTAGCACTCGGATCATTCATTTGTTGGGATTAAATGAGAAAATGCAAGGCAAGCACTTAGCACGGAGCCTGAGCTGTGATCAGTGCCCAGCTAAGGTTAGCATTCCTGCTCCTCTTGCTAGCAGCAGGGGTTCCTGATGGGGCATTAATGGAGGGACTCTTAGGGAGAAAGGGAATAGCTGGGCTTTGGGGGAGCACTGCTGCATGAAGCTGAAAGCCCAGAGCAGATAGGAGAGAAAATGAGTCTGCTTCTAAAGTGCCCACTTCAATCACAGCAGGGAAGGAAGTAGGAGATTCAGAGACAGTCTAGAGAGATGTGTAACAACGGTAGATGGAAAGGAGAGGTAGCTGAGATTCTTTGTTTTTTGATTGGGGAAATCTATAAACCGATGAGCCCCAAGGTTCCTGTGGAAAAGTCGGCAGCCGGGCACAGCCCCAGAGTCTCGGGGTGGATTATTTAGTGCTCCCTTGTTGCGGAAGTGCACCTGGGCTTCCAGAACAAGCAGGGGTGAGGAGTGAAGGTGGCAAAAGAATGGCTGATCTGGAGCTTTGTGGCCTCACAGTGCTGGGAACCCAGTTTAATGGTTCTAGGATGACCTTGGGAACACGGAGGGTCTTGGGCTCATCGTCAGGAATGGGTCTGTGGTGTCATGAACCTGACTTTGTTCTCAGCAGCCGTGTCACATGGGGTAATCCATTGTCTGTACTTGAATTGGGCACAGCTCTTTTGCATTCTATCTGCCCACTTTTCTTACTGTCACTGCTCATGGGCTCAGAACTGCAAAGATGCTCTGGGCCTGAGCATCTGCTCTCCCCAGCCACACCAAACCTCCATGCTGTGTAGGGGATCTAGAACAGAATTTAAGGAGTAAACAGACACCTTACAGTGCATTTTGTGTGCTTACAAATAGCTCTTGAAATTTCACCCTTAGAGAGTCCTATGTTTTGGGATTCCACAAGTATTCCTGACAAATATGTTAACTTTCATCAGTTCACATCTGTGTGCAAATACGTGTAATCCCATTGCTTTTCCCTTGGAGCCGTGATCTGTTTAGAAAGACAGTAAGAGGTTTCATGAGGTGGATGGAGAAGAAGAGGGCGACTTCAGAACTCATGCCATTCACCAGGGGAAGGCAGGACTCAGCTTCATGATGAGGTAGGGGTTCTCTGACTCTTTTCCTTTTTCTTTTTTTTTTTTTTGTTTTTGAGATGGAGTTTCACTCTTGTCGCCCAGGCTGAAGTGCAGTGGCTCCATCTCAGCTCACTGCAACTTCCGCCTCCTGGGTTCAAGTGATTCTCGTGCCTCAGCCTCCCAATTAGCTGAGATTATAGGCACCCGTCGGCTAATTTTTGCATTTTTAGTAGAGACGGGGTTTCACCATGTTGGCCAGGCTGGTCTCAAACTCCTGACTTCAGGTGATCTGCCCGCCCCAGCCTCCCAAAGTGCTGGTGGCGTGAGCCACCACGCCTGGCCCTCTGACTCTTGAAAAGCTCTGGAACCTGGAGCAGGAGAGAGAGTCTCCAAGATAAACCTAACCAGCTCTACAGGGTGGTGGAAGCCTCGTAGAATGCAGAGATCACACGGCTGGGTATGGAAGATCTGCATTCCTGTCTCAACTTTGCAACTTAATAGCTGCATGGACCCAATTCACCATAGCTAATCTCTCTTTCCTAGGTTATAAAGGAGTCGGTCATGCCTGCCCCAGCGTTTGTTTGAATGTGACTGTGCTTTGAAAAATATTCCCAATGCCACCTAAGCTCAAGCACATTTTTTATCATTACTATTGGAAACATTCCACGAGGGCTGGCCTCAGGCAGGTCAACGTGAAAGCATGCTCTGTACGGCTGAGGCCGGCTGGCCAGCAGCCGTGGCTGCAGGTCTCTCAGAGTCACTCACAGAAGCACTGAAATGACCCACTCATTTTTGTTGAGATCAAAACCTTAAACGGAACAAGTCTAATTGACAGCAAGCTTCCTTCAAGGAACTTCAATGAACAATTCAGGGCCTGCTGATGCTGGGATAAGATGGACAAAGAACTCTGGGTTTGTGTTTCTGCCCTGGGGAGTGCCTCTGCCAGGGCAGGCAGCTGAGGTCTGTGCCTAGGTCTCTCTATTAAACTTCTTTCTCTTGGGCTGGGCCACAGAGCCCTGATTCACCCCACAGCAGCTCCCAGTCCTACCAAGCAAATGTGGGATGGGGCCTGCACTGGGTGCAGAGTGAAGCAGGTGCCCCGTGGGCACAATGTTGCGAGTGCAATAAAGAAATTGTATAGGACTGCCCCTGCTCATGTGGATGGGAGGGAAGATGTAGGCACACAGTGGGGACAATGCCCACTAGCATTTCATAAGTGCAGTGGTGGTAGGGGTGGAAAGAGCCCTGACCACAAGTTAGACACGGGTTCAAGTCCTTATTCTGCCACCTTCAACCTTTCTCAGTCTCAGTTTCATTGTCTGTAAAAACAAGGGTGAGACTGCCAGAGCTCTCTGGCCCATGGTTGTTATGAAGAGTTCTTGGTATTACGACACACCGTACAAATAACCTGTCATTATTAATGATGCATTATCAGCATTAATGATACATTGCTAACGATTCAAGTACTGGAGGGACCACAGTAGAGGTGATGAGATTTGTGTGGCAATTTGATGATCATGAAGCCTATTGGTAAATGTTCTGAAGATTTTTAGATACAAACGATTGCATGGTTTTACTTCATATCATAGAAGTCAGAGCTAGGAAAAGACAGATTAATCATCTAATTCAAGCACCTTATTTTACAGACAAGCTGACAGAGGCAGAGCCTAGAGACTCCATTTGATTTCTCTTTGCTTTATGCCATGCTTCTGGCACAGACTAGATGCTCAATACTTGTGCTCAGTACTAGTTGTTGTTGTTGTTGTTGTTGTTTTAGAGACAGGGTTTCGCTCTGGCTGGAGTGCAGTGGCGCGATCTGGGCTCACTGCAACTTCCACCTCCCAGGTTCAAGCAGTTCTTGTGCCTCAGCCCCCCAAGTAGCTGGGATTGGAGGCACATGTCACCACACCCGGCTAATTTTTGTATTTTTAGTAGAGACAGGGTTTTACCACGTTGCCCAGACTGGTCTCGAACTCCTGGGTTCAGCCAATCGGCCCCCCTCGGCCTCCCAAAGCACGCTAGGATTACAGGCATGAGCAACTGCGCTTGGCCATTGTGCTCAGTACTTAATGAGACAGAACTGAATTAATTCCCCCACTTAAGTCTTAGTGAGTGCAGGGCTGGGACTCTATGACACTGAATGGTGAGATGGAAGGAGAAAACAATAGGACCTGGGATCGACTTGCACATGCACTTTTTCAACAGTCCTCAAAGCATCTGAAATACTTAAAGTGCCTTTTAGACAAAATAATTCAATTGCATTATTCTATAAGTAATAAATGATATATTTATGTCTATGTGTACATACATAGTTTTTGGCAAGGGGAGGTGATGAGGAAAGAGAAAAGTGATCGTAATTCCTGCTGGTTACACATCCTGAACTGTAAGTTTTCAGGTATTTTAGTTTACAGGTAGCTCCTTCTCTTGCTGTTGAAAAAAAAATCCTCAATTTAAAATTAAATAATTTCTTATACATATGATATACACATATAGGTACATACATATGCACATTTGTATGTATGTATCTATCTAGTCTATACATAATTTGCTTTTTTTTTTTTACTATAAAAAATTGTCCTTCCTAGCTGCATAATTAACATTCCGTTTTACTGCAGCTCTTCAATATCCTTTGCCTGGCTACTTCCTCAAATGACCTAGATCCGTTTTGATCTCTGGATAGGGATAGCATGCTGCCTAGGGAAGATTCTGTGTTAGAAATTATTCAGGAGGTCTGGCTGCTTGTCAAAAGTCTTCTGCTCTTTACTACGGAGCTTGGTTTTCTCCTTGTGGTTGGGGCAGGCAGGGAACACGTGAACTAGTGTTACTTTACAAACATGTATGTAATAGGGCTTATGATCTGATAGCAACTTTCTAAGTGCTTGCAAATATTAACATTTAATCCTCATAACGACCCCATGAGTTGCCATTATTAACCCTTATTTAATAGATGAGGCTAAATAATTTATTTAAATTCTGCAATAATTTAGAAACCCTTGGAAAAGCCCTCTGCCAAGACTAACACCACTCTTTTTTCTTTCTTTCTTTTTTCTTTTTGGTGTAGTTGGCAGGATTTAATACCACTCTTCAGTGAAAAATGAAACTTATCTGATGACTGTCTCTAGTAGTAGATACTCTTAACTTTGGTGGGGGATCATACACCCCTTGAAGAATCTGATGAGGCCAGGCGCAGCAGCTCACGTCTGTAATCCCAGCACTTTGGGAGGCTGAGGAGGATGGATCACCTGAGGTCAGGAGTTCAAGACCAACCCGGCCAATATGGTGAAACCCCATCTCTACTAAAAATACAGAAATTAGCCAGGCGTGGTGGCGGGCACCTGTAATCCCAGCTGCTTGGGAGGCTGAGGCAGGAGAATTGCTTGAACCTGGGAGGCAGAAGTTGCAGTGAGTCGAGATCATACCATTGTACTCCAGCCTGGAGGACAAAAGCAAAACTCTGTCTCAAAAAAAAAAAAAAAAAAAAAAAGGAATCTGATGAAAGCTTTAGATCCCTTACATGGAAAATACACCTTCGTTGACGAATTAATCTCTATCCCAAAGTCATCCGTGGAATCCAAGTTAAAAACAGTTATTATAGTAGAGGAATGCGTCAGCACCCTCTGGGAGGAATTACAGCTTCTCTCCATGTGAACTCCAAACCATAGAGAGGGAAAGATTCTGGAATCTGCCTTATGCTCTGTGTGCCACATGCCCCTTCTTTTTCAATTATTCTAGATTAGAAATCATCTGGACAAATGAATAGCCATAGTGGTTATGAAAGGTGAGATTCTTGAGTACTTCCACATTCTGCGTCATATATTTCTGCAAATATTTTCCTGTAAGCATGTATGACTATTGTAATCAGACATAATATAAAGAAGAAAACCAAAGTTTGCATTACAGACAATCATAGATTTGCAAAATTTTGTGCGTACAAGGATATTCACTGCTGTTTTGCTTGCAGTCCTCCTACATAGCCTCGGTAAAGGAGAGGCTAACTCAACAATGGTGCCTCCTTCACTGGATTGCTGTGTGGCTGCTAAAAAACCTGCAGGGTAGCTCTGAATGTGCTGAGAGAGCCTCAGATATATTGTGAGGAGAATAAAGCAAGATATAACATGGTGTAGAGGGTACTACAATTTTGTGGAGGATAGAAAAATGAATATTAGTTGATGCATCTAATACCTTTAGGAGGATCAGAAAAACCGGCAAGAGTGATTGTTTCTGGGTCAGAGCAATAAGGGAGGCTTACTGTTCACTCTGTACCCTTTCATACCTTTGAAATGTGTTAAATTTATGTATTACCTATTCAATAAATAGATAAAAATTTGTAAAAAGAAAGAGGTCTTAAACATCATTGAGAATCAACTCCCTGTTATCTAAGAGCTTTCTTCCTACCATAGAAGCCTGCGTAGTCTGTCCTTTTTGCCTGGAACACCTTTCTGTACCCCAACCCAGCCTGCGGATCTCAGCTCAGTTGAGGTTTTCTCATCAGGGATGTCCCTGGCCTCCCGCGATAGGTCAAACACCCTTTTATCTGCTCTTGTAACACCCAATGGGCCTTTCCATCAAACACTTTCCCAGTTGCAGTTTTACATATACTCATGTGATTGTTCGATTCATGTTTGTCTCTCGCCATGAGGTATAAGCTACATGAGAGAAGGGTCTTTGATTTTACTCACCAGTATATCCATAAAATTTGGAACACAGGAATGTATTTGGTGCACTGGTATGGAATAGGGTAAATACTGAATGAATAGGGGAGTATATGTGCCGGCAACTACCCCTACTACTGGTCATCAGGCCCGTTCTTATTCATTATTATTAAAAAATTAATTTAAAATTTTTTATCTATTTATTTATTTTGAGATAGGTTATGAAACTGGCTAATTTTTATTTTTTGTTGTTTGTTTGTTTGTTTTTTTGAGACGGGGTCTTGCTCTGTCTCCCAGGCTGGAGTGCAGTGATGTGATCTCAGCTCACTGCAACCTCTGCCTCCTGGGTTCGAGCAATTCTCCTGCCTCAGCTTCCCAAGTAGCAGGGATTACAGGTACATGCCACCACGTCCAGCTTATTTTTGTATTTTCAGTTGAGACAGGGTTTTGCCGTGTTGTCTAGGCTGGTCTCAAACTCCTGGGCTCAAGTGATCCACCTACCTCAGCATCCCAAGGCGTGAGCCACTGCGCCCTGCCAGCCTGTTCTTTTTCTTTTTTAGAGACAGGGTCTCTCGCGCTGTTACCCAGGCTGGAGTACAGTGGCATGATCTTGGCTCACTGCAGCCTGAAACTCCTGGGCTCAACTGATCCTCCCACCTCTGCCCCTCAAAGTGCTGGGGTCTCAGGCATGAGCCACCGTGCCTGGCCAGGCCTGTTTTTAAACATCTGAGAACCAGGATCTCACAGCTCCCTGGAGCTGTCCACTGCACCTTCAAATTCCTCTCACTGTTGGTAATTTCAGCTCATATTGAACTAAACTGAGTCTTTGTGGCTTCCACTCACTGGATTTAATTCCACCTCAGTAACACAGGGAGCAGGACTAATCCTCTTTCACATGATTGCTTTTAAAATATTTGAGCATATAGTTTCCTTTTTACCTAACTACGAATCTTACATTCTTTCAGCCATTACTAACTGTGACCTCGAGACTGGGGAAGGTGTCACCTACATCTCTGTTATCTGTAGCCCTCAGCTCTGGGTTCGGCTTAGTATATGTTGTTTGGATGAATCATTTTTCATATGGCATCTTGTAAATTACTTACCCTGAACATGTTCCACTTTGCCTCTTAAAATATTGGCCAAAATGCTGGACAAATATCATAGCTTCAGTATCCCCAGTGCACCTTCTTTCCATTGTCCATAACTCTAGTAATGCCAACTAAGATCCCATGAGCTTTGGGGGCAGCCATTGATGACACATGGTCAGCCCTGTTCATGCTACTCTCCTTCTTTCTGTTTTTCAGAGCTCCTGTTTCTACCCTAGAGCATTACTATATGTTGGCCTTTATGTATTAAAATGCTACACTCACCTGCTCTGAGTCTCATTAGAATGGCTAATGTTATAATGTTGACTTGTTTCTCAGACTCTCCAACGCCAGACCAGCAGCTTCACGAAACACCGTGAGTTCCACACCAAGAAAGACATCACCATTAAAAAATAGGTCCACTTGGACCTACATGCCACAGCAAATACTATTTGGGGCCAACCCACAATGGTTCCCTCTACAACACCTTTACTCAATGAGTATCTCCAGAGACGAAAGGAAAACTTAAAGGTTTGAGCTTCAAGTGAGAGTTTTTTTTAAAGGCCAGCCTCTTTACTCATCAACCCTGCTGCTCAGAACTCTGATGAGACCCATTCTCGAGAGCTCTCATGCTGCTGAATCTAAGCTCTTAGCATCAGATGACTCCTGGGTAATGCGAGCATGGGCGCATCACTGCTAATGTGCACAGCGCTTGGCAGAACGCCACAAGGCCGATATGTCGAGTGTAGCTTCTCAGTCTCTT
This sequence comes from Homo sapiens, assembly GCF_000001405.40. NCBI lineage: Eukaryota > Metazoa > Chordata > Mammalia > Primates > Hominidae > Homo > Homo sapiens. Next base: position 62,360,559 of record NC_000015.10, read on the forward strand.
AGCCAAGATCAACCGTAGAACCAGTCAATCTCCAACATCGTAATAACTCCTCTTTGGGGAACATATCCTGACCTGGTAAGGGGACAGATGCAGTGATTTAGTTTCTTTTTCCCACATTCAGCTTTCATGAGCCATATGACAAATGAGCAAAGGATCAGAGCATGCTGGGAACTAATGAACCAGAGGGAGAAATTCATTTAATGACTTAAGTGTGTTTTATCTAATGTGAAATGTAGGTCAATTCACTGTAAATTTATTCATAGGGATTATTTGTCCTTAGCCTGATTACATGGCATGTGTTGTAAGATTTCAGCCCTGTGTAAAACAGAACAGGTCCTGCCTGTCTCTCTCCATCCTTCCCTCCCCGCAGCATCCCTTCCCCTCACACACACACACAGGGTGGCAGGAATCTAACAACATCCATCAGTGCTTGTCTCAACAGATAAGGCTGATTTCAAACTATTCAAAACACTGATTTGGGGCTCTTCATTTTATTTTATTTTTTCAGATGGGGTCTCACTCTGTCGCCCAGGCTGGAGTGCAGTGGCACAGTCATAGTTCACTGCAGCCTCAACCTCCTGGGCTCAAGTGATCCTCCCACCTCAGCCTCCCAATAGCTGAGATTACAGGTGCACCCCACTATACCTAGCTAATTTTCTCTTTTTTCTTTCATAATTGAGATTTTTATTGGTTGAGGATCAGTACAGACATTTCAATTTGTACACAATTCTTAACATACGTAACAAAAATCTAAAAAGCCATGTTTTGTAATTCATTTTTAAAGTTATTCCAGTGACTTCCCAGCTCGAAATTCTGAAGCAAATTTTCCTTAAGAGGCTATCAGGTACCAGTATCTTCACATGTTGATAAGCTGTCACACACGTCCCACCGATTCACAACTGGAACAGCATGTACACTCCACATTCAAATTTTTAATCTTTCACAGCACAGTAACAAAGTTATTAGGAAAATAGGGCTACCACAACCAAAGAGGTTACAGAGTGCACATAATTCTCACAGGGAAAGCCATGAACAAAGAGTGGTTTTCTTTAGGAAACAATTCTACTAAAAAGCAACATGGGAATAGAAGTAATTTAAAATGTTCAAGACATTAAATGCAGGACTGACTCCATATTGTCATTTAATATGCTTTGTATTTCAGGATATAAAAACTAACCCCCCATCTACGGAATGTTAAGCTGACACCCGAGACAGTCAAAGCCTCCCGTAATTAAATATCCCACACTATTTTCTGGCTGTAGCAAAAACTTAATAACCAGCAAACGATTTCACCTCTTAAAAAAAAGCATTTACACTTAAAAAATGGGATGAGGTGGGATTCTCTCCTTCTTAAAAATGTTTCTAGAGCTACTCAAAAGCTTGCATTTACAAAATAGTTGATAAAAATATTCCTCTGGATTGTACAAGAAGGGGGACAGGGACCACTGAGAAGACGTAGTGTAGGGTATTAATCAGACTTGGCTTCTTTCTCTCCTGCTTCATCAGGGAGGCTGGACTCTCCTCAGTTTTCGTTTCACCATTTTCTGCAGGTAAATCTTCTTTAGTTTCTTGGTTAGCCACTTCTGCCTGTTTTCCCTTTGCTCCCCTTTTCCCTTTTGTTTGCGTTTTTTTGTCTGAAGATTTATCCTTCGCTGCTGCCTTTTTTGGCTGCGCTTCCACTTTTGCAGGAGGTTTAGCTGACAAACTCGCCGATGTCCTCTTGGGCTCTTCCTTGGCGGCCCCTTCGGTGGAGATGACCTTCCTCTTGGGCATCCTGGCGGCAGGGAGGGCGCGTGCCAGGTGCCTGCGGGCCGCGGCGCACCGAGAGCCTTCACGAAGCTGGGCAGCCTGGCCGCTGCCACTCTTTCTGCGTCCCCAGCTGCTGAGAACCACAGTGAGGGCAGTGGGAGAACCGGATGGAACTAGATTGGAAGCCCGCCTCCTAATTTTCTAATTTTTGTAGATATGGGGTTTTGCCATGTTGTCCAGGCTGGTCTCAAACTCCTGGGCTCAACCTACCCTCCTGCCTTGGCCTCCCAAAGCGCTGGGATTGTAGACTTGAGTCACCATGCCCGTTTTATTACATTTTTGGAAAAACTTGGAAAAATCTAAAAGCTGGACACCTACACAGAAATTCAGACATATTGCTGAGTAGAGTCCAAAAGAAAAATTAGGCAAGAAGGAGAGAATTTCATCACTCTGTTGGTCCAGCCGGGTATGTGTCACCAGAGAGACAAATTTATCAAACACAACAACCAGGGAATGAGTCTTGGGAGGTTTGGCTAGCAACGGTTTCTCAAGTCTAATTTAAGAAACCCAAGATAACAATCTTAGGGCACTCATCATCACCGTCACTGTTGTTATTATTTTGTAAAATGCAAATTAGTAACTGAACAGGTCAGCTTGCATTAGTGTCCCGTGAGCTTCCTTAGCTTCTTTACCTCTCAGAATAAAAAAGAATGTTCAGCCCTTGGTCCTAAAAGATAGGGGTCATAAAGCAATTTGAAGGAAGATTTGAACAAAGGCTTAAAAAGAGACATCGATTCAAAATAGATCCCCGCAAGATCATATTTGGGGAGGAAAAATGTGTGGGGACCTAGTTCACATCAGTATAATTTGTGGTTTCCTGCAGCAGTGTGAAAATCTTCTCATCAAAAATCATCTTTCTGACTCAGAGAAGAGAATAATGAAATTGTAAGCTTCTTTTTCTTTTCTAAGTCTAGCACTGATTTTAGAAGAAACATATAGGGAAATACTAAGAAACATTAACTTTTTTTTTTTTTTTTTTTTTTTCTGAGACGGAGTCTTGCTCTGTCTCCAGGCTGGAGTGCAATGGCACGATCTTGGCTCACTGCAACCTCCACCTCCCGGGTTCAAGCAATTCTCCTGCCTCAGCCTCCTGAGTAGCTGGGATTACAGGTGTGTGCCACCACGGCTGGCTAATTTTTTATTTTTATTTTTATTTTTAGTAGAGACGGGGTTTTACCATGTTGGCCAGGATGGTCTTGATCTCTTGACCTCGTGATCCGCCCGCCTCGGCCTCCCAAAGTGCTGGGATTACAGGCGTGAGCCACTGCGCGCAGCCAGGAACATTAACTTAACATTGAGCACCTAGCAAGTAAAGTCAAATGTCATACTTTTTCCCATGCCAATTTCATCTCCAAGACAAAGAACAGGATAATCTTTTCATAATTCTGTAAATTCTAATGCATTTTACAGGGGAAAACAAAGAATGCAACTTTTTTTTTTTTTTTTTTTTTGAGACAGGGTCTCATTCTGTTGCCCCAGCTGGAGTGCAGTGGCACAATCACTGCTCACTGCAGCCTTGAACTCCTGACCTCAAGCAATCAGCCCACCTCAGGCTCCTAAGTAGCTGGTACTACAGACATGTGCCACCTCACCCAGCTGATTTTAACTCTTTTTGTAAAGACAGGGGTCTCCCTATGTTGCCCAGGCTGGCCTCCAACTCCTGGGCTCAAATAACTTTTTGTTTCCATGTGTTTCTAGTTAAGGAATGAGACCATTAGGTTAAATGCACTCTCCTTATCTCCCCTAGGAATCATGATTTAGTTTCCTCTTTTTTTGTAGAAAACAATGGAGAGGCCAGGCACAGTGGCTCTTGCCTGTAATCCCAGCACTTTGGGAGGCTGAGGTGGGAGGATCACTTGAGCCTAGGAATTCAAGGTGACAATGCACTATGATCACACCACACTGCACTCCAGCCTGGGTGACAGAGTAAGACCCCGTCTCTAAAAAATCAAAATAATATAAAATAATAAAACAGAAAACAGTGGAGAACCCTAAAAAACCTTCAAAGTAACTTCTCAAGTCCTATAAAAAGACTTAAATTGCCTTGTTCCTGGATGATGGGGGTTTGGAATGTAAGTAATAATAATGTCCTATATTTGTTTGAAATTTTACAGTTTATTATGTACTTTCACTCACACTATTTTATCTGATGCTCATATTGCCCTGTGATTCTCAGCAGAGCTTCATCTTGCATGAGGGGTTGGGTTCTGTAGTCACCAAGGAAGGTGAAATCACATACACTTAACATCCCCTGACCACGAAATAGAGGACACATAATTTTGTGTCTATGTAAATAAGTTCATTTGCCTTAGAGGCCAGGATATACCAAAACCTCCACAACTAAAAACCCAATGAGGGGGCTGGGCACAGTGGCTCACACCTGTAATCCCAGCACTTTGAGAGGCCAAGGCAGGTGGATCACTTGAGGACAGGAGTTTGAGAATAGCCTTGCCAACATGGTAAATCCCTCTCTACCAAAAAAATACAAAAATGAGTGGGCATGGTGGCACATGCCTATACTCCCAGCTACTCGGGGGGCTGAGGCAAGAGAATTGCTTGAATCCAGAAGGCGGAGGTTGCAGTGAGCCAAGATCACACCACTACACTCCAGCCTGGGCAACAGAGTGAGACTCCATCTCAAAAAACAAAAACAAAAACAAAAACAAAACCCAATGAGGGACACTAAGACCTGAGACTAACTGAGGGTTCCATGTCTCCCATCTCACCCTCACTTCAGGGCACAGGCTCATTGAGAGGAATGGCTAGTGGAATTGCCCAGCTTGTTTAGATTCTTATTCTTTCCCTCCTTTTTTGTCAAGGGTTTCATTGCATTGATTAGGGTCCAATCAGAAAAACAGAAACCATTCTAGGTATTCAAACAGAGGGGCTTTATTACGGGGAATTAGTTGCACAGGGGATAGGAATGTCCAGAAGAGAGTTAAGAAGCTGATATGGTTTGACTATGTCTTCACCCATATCTCACCTTGAATTGTAATAATCTCCACTTGTCAAGGGCAGGGCCAGGTGGAGGTAACTGAATTAAGGGAGAAGTTCCCCCGCTACTGTTCTCGTGGTAGTGAGTAAGTCTCACGAGATCTGAGTTCCCCTGCACAAGCTCTTTCGCCGGCCGCCATGTAAGATGTGCTATTGCTTTTCCTTTGCCTGTCACCATGATAGTGAAGGCTCCCCAGCTATGTAGAACTGTGAGTCCAGTAAACCTTTTCCTTTAAAAATTACCCAGTTTTGGGTATGTCTTTATTAGCAGAATGAGAACGGACTAATACAGAAGCCAAATAAAAGACAGTGAAGCAACCCAGCCATTCCTGATTTCTGAAAACCTCTGCCACCCCTCGGCTGGAGGAAATTACACCAGAACTAGGGGCTGGGATCACTGAAGTTAAGCTGGAACAAGGTAGGCCCGTTCAGCAAGAACTAGAGCCATAAAGGAAATGCAGCCACTACTAGTGAAGCCACCCAAGAAGTGAAGAATGAGGAGAAATACCCGAGACTTTCTTCCTGCCCTCCAGTAGATTCCACAATTCCACTGTTACTACTGCAGCTGGTGCTCTTTTGCATGCACCATTTCCTGGCTGGAGGCCAACTGACAAAGTCCATTACATCATCTCCAGGTAGAATAACACTGCACCCAGGAGGGAGAAAACTTGTGCATGACCTCAGCTATCACCATTGCCTATACTACCGTGGCTAACCAGGAGGTCCTGAGTCTGTCAACATAACCTTTTCATTACTACTACAACCATCATTTGAGAAAACCAACACATTAAGGCTATCCATAACCAAGGAATCTCACACCTGCCCACTGGTGCCTTCTGTAGATGGATCACAACCGGAAGCCAGCAGAAAGGACCTCTGTCAGATGCAGCCTGTAGGGGTCAGCCCCCTTGCCCAAGACACAGCAGATGAAGGGTGAGGAGTGGAGCTAAGGAAAAAATAGCAGGTACAGCACTATAACTAAATTATGTTTGTGCTAATTGTATCCTTGAATTCCTGCATGTTAAATGTGCACATGACGTGTCACCACTGTACACATTACCATTTCCAATTGACATTTGAGGAAACTAAGATTCGGGTTAAATAATTTGCCCAAGATTACAGAGGTAAGAAGTCCTGGAGGTCCTCTGATTCTGATGTCTAATGCTTTTGCCACGACCCCTGATTCCTTTCATGTGGATATGTTGGAAAAGGACTAGGACATCTGAGGTTTTAAAAACGCTTTTATAGACTCTTAGAACTGTACTAATCCAGGGGATTTTAAACTGAGTACTCAAGCTCTGAGGTCCACAGACTATTTGAAGGACAGAGTCAACAGGACCCCGAGATCCACCCTCCACTTCAAATCTTGTGGCAATCTAATCTGGCATGTCTCAGGATTCTAAGTAAAATTTTAAGAAAATGATTCTGCTAAGAGAATAAAATTGTGTTCTAATTGATCTCTCCTAAATGAAGTAGCTATGGCTCAGAGAGGGTCTAGTTAACAGCAGGCTTAAACCCAGGCTTATACCCAGGTGTTCCCGCTTGTTACTCAAGGCTCTTACCAGTGAATCGTGCTGTATGCTTACTAACAGATAGTGAGGCGAGAAAGGGAGAAGCAACAGGGAAAGGCAGGAGAAAGATAGACATCAAGCAGAAAGATGGCAAAAGAAAAAAAAATAGAGACCAAACAGGAAGATGGCAAAAATGCCATTGTGTTTTTGCATTCGGGGCAAAAACAAAGATAACTGTCAGAAATCTGGCCCATTCGTGGAAGGACTAAGTGAAATCAAGAATAATGATCAAAAAGTGGAAGCAATCCAAATGTCCATCAGCCAATGAATAGATAACACATGTGGACTATCCACATGGTGGAATACTATTTAGTCATAGAAAGATACTGATCCATGCTACAACAAGGGTGCCCCTCAAAAACATGCTGCTCTTAACGCCTGTAATCCCAGCACTTTGGGAGGCTGAGGCTGGTGAATCACAAGGTCAGGAGATCGAGACCATCCTGGCCAACATGGTGAAGCCCCATCTCTACTAAAAATACAAAATTTAGCTGGGTGTGGTGGTGTGTGCCTGTAATCCCAGCTACTCGAGAGGCTGAGGCAAGAGAATCGCTTGAACCAGGGAGTCGGAGGTTGCAGTGAGCTGAGATCGCGCCACTGCACTCCAGCTTGGCGACAGAGTGAGACTCGGTCTCAAAAAAAAAAAAAAAAAAAAGGAAACAACATGATACTAAGTGAAAGAAAAGACTACACATTGTTTGATTCCATTTATGTGAAATGTCCAAAATAGGCAAATCTGCAGAGACAGAAAATAGATCAGTGATTGCCAGGGCTGAGAGTAAGAACACAGAATGCCTGCAAAGGGACCTAAGGTTTATTTTATGGGTGATGGAAAATGTGATAAAAACTAGATTGCAATAATGGGTGTACAACTCTATAAATTTATTAAAAATCATTAGATTGTACACTTAAAATGAATTAATTTTATACCTCAATAAAACTAATTTTTTTTTTTTGAGACAGAGTCTCACCCTGTCACACAGGCTGGAGTGCAGTGGCATGAACATGGCTCACTGTAGCCTCAAACTCACAGGTTCAAGCCATCCTCCCACCTCAGCCTCCCAGGTACCTGGGACCACAGGTGTGTGCCACCATGCCCAGCTAATTTTTTGTATTTTTTTGTAGAGATAGGGTTTTGCCATGGGGCCAAGGCTGGTCTCAGACTCCTGGATGCAAGGGACCCACCTGCCTCAGCATCCCAAAGTGCTGGGATTACAGGCATGAGCCACTGCACCAGGCCAAAATTAAATTTTTCTTAAAAAAATAAATAAATAAAATGAAACAAGGGCTGACTCTAGCCTGTGGTCTTGATGGCACAAAAAACTTGCACAATAAAATCTCATGAGAAAAAAAATCTTGCAATGGCTGTTGAGGTGGGTGAGGTGTGGCCATTCTACCATTCCTGTGTTGAGTCACACAGGGTACCTGCCTTCAAGCCCAATAATGGATCTGTCATGGGGTACAATTGTGCCCTGAGATTGCCGAACACTTTTATGTCCTGGCTTTACAGACTGTAAAAGCTACATAGATGCAGATTTGGAGTGAATACAGTATGATAATAACAAAGTTATGAGAACATACAGTATGAGAATACAGTATGAGAATAACAAAGTTATTGTTACATATATGCCTTGGCACCCCTCATTGTAACTATCTGCATACTAGTCTGTATTCCTTTCTAGACTGTAAGGTCCATGAGAGCAAGAACTATAACCATCTTGTTCACTGTTTTTCTCTCCACCACGGAGCACAGGCCTGGTTCATGGTGTGTTCTAAATAACCATTTGTTTAAATAATGTTTTATTTATTTTATATTATTATTATTATTATTATTATTTTGAGATAGGATCTTGCTCCATCGCTCAGGCTGGAGTGCAGTGGTGTAATCACGGCTCACTGCAATCTCTTCCAGCCGGGCACAAGCTATCCTCCTGCCTCAGCTTTCCAAGTAGCTGGGGTCAAAGGCATGCACCACCGTGCCCAGAAAATGTTTATATATATATATATATATTTTTTTTTTTTTTTGTAGAGATGAGGTCTTCCTATGTTGCCCAGGCTAGTCTTGAACTCCTGGGCTCAAGCAATCCTCTTGCCTTGGCCTCCCAAAGTGCTGGGATTACAGACGTGAGCCACTGAGCCCAGCCTAAGAATTTTTTAAATTATTGGGAACTCTCTAAAAAAAGTAGTGATGCTAATTCAATGACCATAAATTAATCTAACAACCATGTATTTGGGAACACAAGCACATTCCCACATGTCATTTTATTTAATCTTCACAGCATCCCTGTTAAGCAGATATTACAGGTAGATAGCTCAGAAAGCTGAAGTGATTTAGTTCAAGGTAGTGGAGAAGGAATTCAAATTGAGGTTTCCTGATGCTAAGTCCCAGAGCAGTTTCATTGCACCTGAGTTTCACACAAGCAGAGATGGGCTCCTCAACTTTTGATAAGGTTGCAGTCCCCATAAACCCATCAAAAGTTGAACATATCATAAACCAAAAATACATTTAATATACCTAGCCCACGGAACCTCGTAGCTTAGCCTCACCCACAGTTGGGCTAAATCCTCTAACAAAAAGCTTACTTTATAAGAAAGTGTTAATATTTCCTGTAATATATTGAATACTATACTGGAAGTAAGAAACAGAATGGTTGTATGGGTACTTGAAGTACAGTTATTACGGTACTTTTTCAACTTGGTTCTAAAGCAGCATACAGACAGTTGCTGAACTTGCGATGATGCAACTTAAGATTTTTCAACATTGCCTTCAAATCGCTGTAAAGTTGGAAAATCTTAAGTCGAACTATGGCAAGTCAGGAACTGTGTGTATGTTGCTTTAGATTTCTCTGATGATTCATATCAAACATACATAAAGGAACTATGCCTGAAAAGTTCAATACTTTTTATCAGGAAATGACCGTAACTGCTTAGTGATTTTTAAAAATTCATTGATAAATAGAGTCAAAATGTGGAGTGGACCACAGAGGTCTCAGGGAAATAGCTATCAAATGAAGGATAGTTTTTATATGTCAGAAATCTGTTCTCCAACTGCTGAGCTCAAGTGATCGGTCCACCTTGGCCTCCCAAAGTGCTAGGATTACAGGTGTGAGGCGGAGGTTTCAGTGAGCCAGGATCTCACCTCTGCACCCCAGCCTGGGCCACGGAGCCAGACCCTGTCTCAGGAAAAAAAAAAAAAAAAAGGAATATGTTCTAGGAACAGATTGAACCAGGGATAACTGCCTATGAAAGCTTGAGCTTTGCTTGATACTCCTAAAATTTTATTAAATTCTCTTATGGAAAGAAAATAAACTACACTTGATACTTTACTGAGCAACTTTTAATAAAAGTATGTGATAAACCTAACAATGACCGCAAACATGAATGAAGAGATGCAAGCTTCCAAGAGTGGTTGTAACTGCCTTGGACATTATTATTTCTTTTGGCTATCCCCTCTTGGTGAGTGGTCCTTGCAATGCTGAGGAAAGAAAAGCTTCCTTCTTCAGCTCTTCCCTATTCTTGCCTCCCACAGTTAGCTGCTTCCACACAGCCAGTGGCTGAAACGGTTTTATCATCCTCTCTTACTTTCCTCCCTTCCTTCTCCCTCCCTTGGTCTACTGAGTGCCACTAGAGCCTTAAATATGCTCTTTCTTTAATCTTTGAGTAAGCTATTCAAAAATAATGAAACCTCATTCCTTTAATCCCAGCACTTTTGGAGGCCAAGGAGGGCAGATCACCTGTGGTCGGGAGTTCGAGACCAACCTGGCCAACATGGTGAAACCCCATCCCTTCTAAAAATACAAACAAATGAAAACAAAACAAAACAAAACAAAACAAAACTAGCCAGGTGTGGTGGCGTGTGCCTGTAATTCCAGCTACTCAGGAGGCTGAGGCATGAGAATTGCTTGAAGCCGGGCGGCAGAAGTTGCAGTAAGCCGAGATCATGCCACTGCACTCCAGCCTGGGTGACAGAGTGAGACTCTGTCTCAATAGTAATAATAATAATAATACTAATAATAATGAAACCTTTCGATATTATTACTCTTACTGAAGATAGAAGAAGAAAAGTATAATCAACCTTGTATTCCTATAGAGGAGTGAGGCCCCAGGTGTTAGGCGTAGTGTTGGGGCCATGTCAGTTTCCATCTCAGGTTGCCAGAGATCTGGGTCAAGGATTTGCTTCCTCCCGTGTTCTTTCTTAGCAAAAGCATAGTTTATTAGAAGTCTAGATGCTCAGGGTTGGAGAAAATTACAAATATGGTTGTGTAAAAACTCTGTCTTTTTCCTTTACTCTCATGCCACAACAATCATCAACACAGAAGACTTCTGTGACCAAATGTGTGAAGGTTTCCCCCCACACCAAGCAGGTGACAACAGCTTGGTGTTCTCTAGTTCATTTCCAACACTACCTGGAGATGATATCAGATCCCATAGGTTGCGGGCTCAGTCCCCAAGACTGCCCCCCTCATCACATACCAGTCACATGTCCGGGTCTCTAGAACTTCTGACCAACTGGCTTCAAGTTGGGGCTCCCATAATTCCCTTTTGGGTTGGATTAATTTGCTGAAGTGGCTCACAGAACTCAGGGAAATACATTTACCAGTTTATTATAAAGGATATTGCAAAGGATACAGATGAAAACATGCATAGGGCAAGGAATGGGGGAAGGGGCACGAAGCTTCGATGACCCCCCTGCCCGGGTGCCACCCTCCAGGAACCTCCATGTGTTCAGCTATCCAGAAGCTCACTGAACCCTCTTGGGTTTTTAGGGAAGCTTCGTGATGTGAGCATTCCTTCCCCCAGGGCACAGGGCAGGACCCTCTCACGGGAGGGTCTTAGGACCCACAATCATAAAGGTGGGCGAACATTAGAGTTCTGCCTTGGAGCAGGCAAAAGGAGGGCAGGAGAAGGTCAGAGGCTGCCACTGCAGCCTCACACACCCAACATTATAATAAAAGACTGCAACAAGGGCTAAGCGGGTGGTGATGGTTAATACTGAGTGTCAACTTCATTGGAATGAAGGATGCAAAGTATTAATCCTGGGTGTGTCTGTGAGGGTATTGCCAAAGAAGATTAACATTTGAGTCAGTGGGCTGGGAAAGGTAGACCCACCCTTAATCTGGGTGGGCACAATCTAATCAGTTGCCAGCATGGCTAGACTATAAGCAGGCAGAAAAATGTGAAGAGAGACTGGCCTAGCCTCCCAGCCTACATCTTTCTCCCATGCTGGATTCTTCCTTCTGTCAAACACTGGACTCCAAGTTCTTCATTTTTGGAACTTGGACTGGCTCTCCTTGCTCCTCAGCCTGTAGACAGCCTATTGTGGGACCTTGTGATCATGTGAGTTAACACTTAATAAACCCCCCTGACTAATACAGGGGTTATGAGCCAGGAGCCGTGGATGAAAACCAGTATATATCATAACACCATAATAGTTCTGATCCATTTCAAAATATATTTCTAATATGATAATCCCTACATCCTATCTCTTCAATTCCAAATAGACTCTGGGAAAAGTGTCCTCCTACCAATCCATCTTGGACCTCAAAACATCTAGGCAAGCCTTGGAGATTATTTATCCAAACTCGGATATATCACTTCATATTTTTACAATATAATTCATGTTTATCTGGAGATCTCAAAAATTTTACTTTCCCTTTGCCATCAGCCTTTTGTCACAGGGGCAAAAAGATGGGGAAAAAAAAGAGGTGACTTTTTCTGACTTGATTTTCCTCTTTTCTTTCTTTCTTTTGATATTTCCAACAGCTTTATAGTATGGCAGCCGATAAAGGATTAAAAACAAAGCATCAAAAATGACCTCAGACCAAGAAATAAAGAGCAAGAGTCAGAGGAAATCCAAAGCAACTCCATTTCCCTGATGCAAACTTCATCCTTCTCTGAATGGCCCCCTCTCACTTGTTTCCTGACCTCAGCACTAACCTCATACAACAAAGGAGACTTCTCTTCTGATTCTTTTGTTTCTATTATTCCCGCCCTTCCCACACTAAATAAGGAATTGCAGAAACAATGGAGGGTGACTTCAGAAGGTAGGTTATAAAAAGGCACCATGGCTTCTGCCTTGCTCTCATGTCACTGCCTCTGGGGAAAACCAGCTGCCATGTTGTGAGGATGCTGAAGCAGTCCTAGGGACAGGCCCTCATGGGAAGGAACTGGGGCCTTTTGCCAACAACCAGCACTGCCTGCCAGGCATGTGAACGAACCACCTTGGAGGCAGATCCTTCAGCCACAGTTGAGCCCTCAGAAGGCTGCAGCTCTGCCGGGCATGGTGGCTCACGCTTGTAATCCCAGCATTTTGGGAGGCCGAGGCAGGCAGATCACAAGGTCAGGAGTTCAAGACCAGCCTGGCCAGCATGGTGAAACCCCATCTCTACTAAAATTAGCTGGGCATAGTGGTGTGCGCCTGTAGTCCCAGCTACTCGGGAGGCTGAGGCAGGAGAATTGCTTGAACCCGGGAGGCGGAGGTTGCCGTGAGCTGAGATCGCACCACTGCACTCCAGGCTGGGCGACAGAGTGAGACTCCATCTCAAAAAAAAAAAAAAGGCTGCAGCTCTGACTGACATCTTGACTGCAACTTCAGCAGAGACCTTGAGCCGGAGTACCTGGAAAATCTGCTCCTGGACTCCTGACCCACAGAAAATATTAATTTTTAATCCATTAAAGGTGAGAAAACTTATTATATAGCAATAGGCAATGAATACAAAAAGTAACCTGAATATGTGACTAATAATAAGACAGATTTGGTCAGAAAAGTAGCCAGATTCTAGTTGCTGAACTTGCTCCTAGTGTGGGGAGAGGAGAGACTGAGGTAAGAGGGGAGACCAGTATATTTGACATAGTTGTCTTTTAAAAGACCATAAATATGTTCTTTAACTTTAGGTATATATTATTGCTGTCTTTTCTTTCCTCCACTTTCTTTCATAAACAGGATCTAAGCAGGCTGATGTTACCAGGGCATCCACCTCCCTGGATTTAGAGCTACTGAGATCACTGGAGAAGCACTTGAGTATGAATGAAGGACAGAGTCATTTTCTTTCTTTTGATATAAAAAAATACATTCTAGGCCAGGTGTGGTGGCTAACTCCTGTAATCCCAGCATTTTGGAAGGCCGAGGCGAGTGGATCATCTGAAGTCAGGAGTTTGAGATCAGCCTGGCCAACATGGTAAAATCCTGTCTCTAAAAAAAAAAAAAAAAATTAGCCGGGCATGGTGGTGCGCACCTGTAGTCCCAGCTATTCAGGAGGCTGAGACAGAAGAATTGCTTGAACCTGGGAGGCGGAAGTTGCAGGGAGGCAGAAGTTGCAGTGAGCCCAGGTCGTGCCACTGTACTCCAGCCAGGGCAACAGAGCAACACTCCATTTGAAAAAAAAAAAAAAAAAAAGACATTCTAATTTCAGATTCTGCAATAGAATAACGTCAGCTTTGTCTTCATAAGGACCTTAGTGTCTTTAAAAAGTGCAAATAGTAACTAACAGTGGTGAGAAATGAGAACCTGTTGTGGGATCTTCCTGGATAAAATTATACACCCACATACACACATGTATAGATATTAAAAGCCAATTTCCGACAGGAAAAGTTAATTGTAGACACTATTTTGAAGATCAGTCTTGGGAATTATGATGTATTAGACAAATGGAAAGTGGAATTAAGAGTGAGAAGATTAAATATTTGAGAAGAGTTATCAAATTTTACTTGAGAAGGGCTTTTCAATTTTAGTGCACATAAAAATCACTTTTTTTTGGCAGAGATTTGGGTTCCACTGTTTCCCAGAAGTGCAAGAACTTCTGGACTCAAGAGATCCTCCTGCCTTGGCCTCCCAAAGTGCTGGGATTATAGGTGTGAGCCACCACAGGTGGCCCTGTTTGTTTTGTAATAGTTCAAAGTCTAATCATCTGTACAGTGGCAATCAGAGAAGGTCTTTTAAAATAATTTTATTATAAAATATGTTTTATAATTTTAAATAACAAATTTTAAAATAATGTTTCCATGGGTTTTGATGGAATAATATGCTCTTATTTTGAAATAGCATTTGACTTGCTAATTCTAAAACAAAATGAGAAATTTTTAAATCCAGTTTTGGAGGTAAAAATTAGCTCAATACACATTTTTATTAGGAAGAGGATGCAGGAGAGCACTATAAATATCCTGGCTGTGTGGCGCGTGGTTGGTAGAATCAGTCTTACTACTGACTAGTAACATAGACTTTGCAGACACAAACCCTAAGGACATACTGGTACAGCATGACTTAACTGTTCTCAGTGTGGACTATCAGTATTTCCAGTCATTTCCACAGCTGACAGACTGACAATTGGGTTTGTGCAGCAGTGACCCAATTCAGTCACTCAGACAGCTAAAAAGCACAAACATGTCACAACACAGGCAAAAATAGGAAAATGACAGTGTGTGAAATAACAATCAAGAGAAAAGGAAGAACTCTAGGACTGAAGGGAATCACGGGGGACCCTAAGTCCGGCACCTTAATTTTATAGGTGAGAAATGGAGTCATGAACATATGGAAGCTTGTCTTTGACTACACGCTGCCCTAGCTGGAATTCAGACCTCTCAGCAATTAGCCCAGTGGCCCAAGGATTACTGGGCTCAGCATGGTAAAGTCAGCGCTAACCCGCCCCAAAGACAGCAGCCTCCGGGCATCATCACTGTCTTGGAGGGTGCACCTGGCTGCTCTGCTGAAGCGTTGCTGTCTTGATTAATTATTTTTTTAAAAATTTATCTGTTGCTTTGTACTGAACTTATTGAAAAAATTTGCTCTTTAAAACAATTTTTTTTACTTTAAAAAATCTTTTGAAACATTTAATTGGAAATTGACAAACTGTAATTGTATATTTATAGGGTACAAAGTGATGTTACCATATATGTACACAATGTGGAATGATTAAATCAAACTAATTAACAGATCCATTACCTCACTCATCACTTTTTGTGGTGAGGACATTTGAAATTTACTCTCTTAACAATTTTGAGGCCGGGCATGGTGGCTCATGACTGTAATCCCAGCACCTTGGGAGGCCGAGGTGGGAGGATCGTTTGAGCCCAGGAATTCAAGACCAACCTGGGCAACATGGTGAGACCTTGTCTCTACTAAAAGTAAAAAATTAGCTGGGCGTGGTGGTACGTGCCTATAGTCCCAGCTACTTAAAAGGCTGAGGTGAGAGGATTACTTGAGTCCAAGAGGTCGTGGCTGCAGTGAGCCGTGATCACACCACTGCTCTCCAGCCTGGGTGACAGAGTGAGACCCTGTCTCAAAAACAAACAAAACAATTTTGAAATATATAATACACTATTATCATCTATTGTTACCATGCTGTCCAATATATCTCAAAAAAAAAACTCAAAGAAATGCTCTTTGTTGAATAACTTTCTATGATTATAAATTTTAAAATAAAACATTATACAGGCCAGGCACGGTGGCTCATGCCTGTAATCCCAGCACTTTGGGAGGCCGAGGTGGGTGGATCACCTGAGGTCAGGAGTTCGAGACCAGCCTGACCAACATGGTGAAACCCCATCTCTACTAAAAATACAAAATTAGCTGGGCGTGGTGGCATATGCCTATAATCCCAGCTACTTGGGAGGCTGAGGCAGGAGAATGGCTTGAACCCAGGAGGCAGAGGTTGCAGTGAGCTGAGATTGTGCCATTACACTCCAGCCTGGGCAATAAGAGCTAAACTCCATCTCAAAAACACAAAACAAAACCAAACAAAGCAAAAAACATTATACACTGTAATAATAACGTGTTAGGGCCGGATGTGGTGGCTCATGCCTGTAATCCCAGCACTTTGGGAGGCTGAGCCGGGCAGATCACTTGAGCTCAGGAGTTCAAGACAAGCCTGGCCAACATGGTGAAATCCCCTCTCTACTAAAAAAAATCCAAAAAAACAAAAATTAATTGGGCATAGTGGTGCATGCCTGAAATCCCAGCTACTAGGGAGGTTGAGGCAAAAGAATCGCTTGAACCTGGGAAAAGGAGATTGCAGTGGACCGAGATTGTGCTACTACCCTCCAGCCTGGGCGACAGAGTGAGGCCCTGTCTCAAAAATAATAACAATAATGTGTTAGCTGGGCGTGGTGGCACAGGCCGGTAGTCCTAATTACTGGGGAGGCTGAGGCAAGAGATCACTTGAGGTCAGGTGTTCAAGGCTGCAGTGAGCTATCATAGTGCCTGTGAATAACCACTGCACTCCACCCTGGGAAACATAGCAAGACTCTGTCTCTAAAAACAAACAAAAGGCCGGGCGCAATGGCTCATGCCTGTAATCCCAGCACTTTGGGAGGCTGAGGTGGGCAGATCACCTGAGGTCAGGAGATCGAGACCATCCTGGCTAACACGGTGAAACCCCATCTCCACTAAAAGTACAAAAATCAGCCGGGTGTGGTGGTGGGCACCCTGTAGTCCCAGCTACTCAGGAGGCTGAGGCAGGAGAATGGCATGAACCCGGGAGGCAGAGGTTGCAGTGAGCTGAGATCACGCCACTGCACTCCAGCTGGGTGACAGAGTGAGACTCTGTCTCAAAAAAAAAAAAAAAAAAAAAAAAACCCTCCAAAATAATGTGTTTCTTTGTGTCCTACTTTAATCGTTGATTGTATCATGAGTATTCCCAGAGCGACAGGTTTAATGGCCGACTGTTTTCCAGGTTGGAACCCTGTTTATTTTGATCCTCTTGATATCTCCCACCTTTAGCGCTGTGCTGGTACACAGCAGAAACCCAATAAATATATGCTGAATGAGCTAATTAGTAGAATATGTCATAGTTCAACTCATCCTTGGTTGTGGCAAATTGAGATTGATTATAGTTTTTTCACAATTATAAACACTGCTGCAGTGAACATTCTTTGATGAATTTTTGCAGCTACTCTTTATTATTGCCTTATGATAAATTCCTAGAAGTGGAATTACTAGATCAAAGCCTTTGGAAATATATTGGCAAATTGCCCTTCAGAAAAAGAGTTCAATCCCCCATCCTCCTGCCAACTTTCTTTCCCCTTTAAAAAAAAAAAAAAAGAAAAAAATGAACAATGAAGATATTTTTCTCTTGGGAACTGTAGTGCTGGCAAAACATTTTAAAAGCACTCAACCCATTTTGATGGAATAAAAACAGCTTTTGAACACTTTATGTCTGTATTATATTAAATCATACCAGTAATTTATCTAGAGGTGAAAGGTTATTGAAGCCACTGCTAAATCACTTATATTCCTTGGACTTGTTCTGCCTTATATACGTTTAATAAGAGAAAACATGTGATTTTTGCTTGAGAGAGATCAAGTGAGCCCAGATTGGCTGTGATGGAACTACTGTTAGATGAATTGGCTATGAGGCCAGGGGTTATGGCAGGAAAAGCTGTAGTCTTGGAGAACCGCAGCAGCAGGAAGCAATGCGCTACATGCTCACATGCAGGACAATATGGGACAATATGGGCAGATCTTCAAGCATACTGCAAGGTGGGGAGGAGGGGACAGACACATTTTTCAAATATGTAAAAATTAAAATCATGGACATTAAACACATCAGAATGGTGCCTACATAGGAGGAAGGAAGTGGTCCATTGGGATAAAATGTGAGAGGGACAGTGGACAGCCAGTGATGCTGCTAATGTGCCATAACTAAGGAGTCCAAGTAACCTAGTCCACAAGAAGAAAGGCAGAAAAGAAGGAAGAGAGGGAGGGAGGAAGGGAGGAAGAAATCGGGGAAGGAAAGAAGGAAAGAAGGGAGGGAGGGAGGGAGCGAGGGAGGAAGGAAGGGAGGAAGAAAAATGGAGGAAGGAAGGAAAGAAGGGAGGCAAGGTGGGAAAGGAGAGGAAAGAAGGAAGGACAAAGGAAGGAAGGAAAGAAAGGAAGGAAGGACAGAAAGAAGGAAGGAGGAAATATTGAAGAAGGGAGGGAGGGAGGGAGGGAGGGAGGGAGAGAGAAAGGAAGGAAGGACAGGGTGTGGCACCCTCTGAGCCCTGACTGGCACTAACTCCAGGTGCACTGCCCTGGAGTCCTTTACCTCTTCTGGGCCTTGGCTGCACTGTGATGGGGAGAGGCTAGATGATTTCTAAGGTCTCAGCCATATCATGCTGTGACTCAAAGCACAAGTAGGACATGAATGCTGTGGCCTAGACTCTTAAGTGTAAATACAGGTGTAGTGTTTTTCCTGTATAAGCTGACAAATACTACAAGAAGAAAGCATTGATTTTTAAAATAAGCCATGTGCTTTATATAAGAAGTACTTTTCACATAGACTTCCATGATATTATAAGCAGATGTGAGTCGTTTATTAAATTTACAAACAGCAAAGTTCCGTAATGATGGACCTCCCTAGGACGGCCAGCTATTCTTTGGCAGAATTCCAGCAGGAAATTTTCTGGTGTCGACAGTTCTTCTTTCCTCCTGGAACCACACACTATTAGACAATGTTTGAATTATTTAAATATGCCCAAGTCTACAGTTCATTGTCTTATTTCAAAGGACTGTGCTTCTATAAATCATATCAAACGTCTGAGATCCTGACCAAAAAATTGAAAAAAAAATCAGGCACAGATACTCCTGGCTATTGAAGGAAAGTATACAGCAGAAGGAAAGGATATTACATAATGAAAGTAAGTATCCATTGTTTGGAAGGTTTATGTTAACACAAGAGGACATAATGCAGTCGGTTGGCCCTAAAGGTAAAGATATGTGTGAGCCTGGGCAACATGCTGAAACCCTGTCTCTACAAAAAATACAAAAATTAGCCAGGGCATGGTGGTGCATGCCTGTGGTCCCAGCCTCCGAAGGAGGCTGAGGTGGGAGGATCGCTTGAGCCCACTGCAGTGAGCCATGAGTGTGCCAGTGCACTCCAACCTGGGTGAAAGAGCAAGACGCTATCAAAAAAAAAAAAAAAATGTGTGTGTGTCTCTGTGTTGATTTTGAATTAAACTAGTTTAAAATTGCATACCACTCTCATAAGAGCAACAATAAAGTCAGTCTATTACAATATGTGAGGAACCAGGGGTTGCTTAAAGCAATTTTTCTCCCTATTATAGAAGGGAACAGCAAGCCCTCCTGAAACCTTGACACCATCTATGATGATGGATCCCAGACCATCACTGTGTGATCAGTTTCATCCTGGTTTTCATTTGAAAGAGGAAGCAGTTTGAAAACCAGGGGTTTTCTCTAATTTTAGAAGAAAAAAAGACAGGCCAACTTTTCAATATTCTGTTGGTCTTAGTCAAGTTATGTAAGACCCAGTCCCTCGCCTCTAGCTGCTGCCAGGAATTAGATACACACGTGCAAAGAGATGTGCAGGAACAAAATACAGTGAGTCTTACCAGTGGAGAACATTTCCTCTGCTCTTGGCTTGGCTAATGGAGACTTGGACTCTGGGAGAAACACTGTCAGTTTCAGCATTTGTGGAGACAAAGACCAGGGCTTCTCCCAGCATGGGCAGCTCTCTCACTCTGCCGCGGCCTCTGCTGATGTTGGTTCATTTCAGCCTACCTTGCACAAGAGGTGTATGGGTACATGGGAGAGACAGGAAGGTGGTGAGGAACAGAATTACTATCACCAGAAAACAGACTCTGAGACTCTGATATTTTCATGCAGTGGGTTGACTGGGGAATGCTTTCATTCCTCAATACACTATTGAGGGAGTAAGGAAAGCAGGCTACACGAGGAAAAGGTTGGACTGTGATGCAGTCATGAAAAGACCTCGGTCTGCCGGGCGCGGTGGCTCACGCCTGTAATCCCAGCACTTTGGGAAGCTGAGGCGGGTGGATCACAAGGTCAGGAGTTCAAGACCAGCTTGGGCAATATGGTGAAACCCCATCTCTACTAAAAATACAAAAATTAGCCAGGCATGGTGGTGGGTGCCTGTAGTCTCAGCTACTCGGGAGGCTGAGGCAGGAGAATCGCTTGGACCTGGGAGGCGGAGGTTGCAGTGAGCTGAGATCATGCAACTGCACTCCAGCCTAGGCGACAGAGCAAGACTCTGTGTCAAAAACAAATAAATAAACAAAGAAAAAACAAAACACCTCGGCCCATTCGGCCCATTGCAAGGGAAGCTCTGATGGTGGAGTAGCTCTTTAGATCTTTCCCTCATGGTCTTTGTTGCCCACTGCCTATATGGGAGGAAGGAAGTGGTCCCCTGTATTTGAACGCCAATCACATGATCACTGGATGCTGGCTGTCACCTCCCTCCACCCCACATCCCACGTGCCTGGAAGGACTAGACAGGGACTCAGATAAGAGCCATCAGCCACCAACACCCCAGTGGCTGGGGAGGAGTGCCTCAGCGGAGGCACCACAGCATCCACTACACAATATGAAATACATTTCAGCTGCTCCAGGAAACAAGACCAGAACACCAGCTACAGCACAAAGCAGTACATTTTAAGTGTCATATGAATGACACCAATTACACATTTTATAGATGTGCAGAGAAATGATGGAAAGCTAGAAGTGGAATTATTAATGATTAGATTCAACCTATTCCTTATTTATTTACTTATTTATTTAGAGATGGAGTCTCTCTGCTGCCCAGGCTGGAGTGCAGTGGCGTGATCTCGGCTCACTGCAACCTCCGCCTCCGGGGTTCAAGCGATTCTCCCACCTCAGCTTCCTGAGTAGTTGGGATAACAGGCATGTGTTACCACATCAGCTAATTTTTGTATTTTTTAGTAGAGACGGGGATTCACCATGTTGGCCAGGCTGGTCTCGAACTCCTGCCCTCAAGTGATCCACCCGCCTCGGCCTCCCAAAGTGCTGGGATTACAGGCATGAGCCACTGCGCCCAACCACAACCTGTTCATTTTGCAAATAAAATTACTCTGATGTTAAAAGTGAAGGGACATGTCCAAGGTCACATATCTACTGTGGAGCCACCAGTAGAACCCAGGTTTCCTGATTCCCACTTCAATTTTCATTTTCCTCTTTAGTAAACTGCCCCCATTGGGAGTGATTACTTTTGGCAGGATTGATCTGCATAATCTTGAATAGAACCTGATGAAGTAGAAAACAGAAACCCCAAAATAGTCCTCCGTTGCAGAATTAAATTCAAACCAATATCTTTGGTCTTAGTGTTAAAAATGGGCAAAGTCAAGATAAAGGAGTAGAAAGATCCCCCTTATAAGTAATTCCATGTTTCATTTGTCTATTTGTGGGAATGTGGGAGGCTGCCATCTCTTCTGAAGGAATGGACAGCTCCAGCCATGCTCATTTTGTGGAAATGAGAAATGGTTTCTTAGGGTGTTCCCCCGAAAAAAAACACCAAAGAATATATGGGCAAGAAACCACCAGAGTCAACACCAGACCACAGTGGTGGCATCTAAGGTTGTCTGGTAAACCATAACTGTAGTTGTGCTCACCTTCTTCCAAATGACAGCATGTTTTCTATTTTACCTGATTCTATGAGTAAGATGAGGTTTCCTCAGATGTGGTCTCTGGATCAGCTGCATCATGATCCAGAAAAGATTTTTAAAGGAAAAGATTTATTAAATCCACATCTCTTGGAGCAGGGCCTAGGCATTTGAATGAGCAGTCTCTTGAATCTAGTCTCTTTCTAGAGAGATGTCCAATGTGTAGCAAGCCTCCCTCTCTCCAGCCTTTCAGTCTCATGGTGGTTCTCCATGTGGCCTACCTGCAATCTGGGAATATTCATTTCCCTGGAGATTTCCCTCTCAGAGAGGATTGTTTCCAACTTTTTAACAGTCTATAAAGGGAATAATTCTATAATTAATTTCAGATTGGGTGAGAATATTTCTTCTTGCAGATATGGATGAGCTGTGTTATGCAAATGGGGAGAATTTCCCAATAGATTATATTTAGAATATTGTATAACTGTGGAACCCCTCCCTGACAATATGACAGTGACAATATCAGTGACAATATGACATATTGACAAAGTGACAATATCAGCTGCTTCTAAATGGAGCTAGACTTTTAACAACTTAAATAACAAACAAAACTTTTGAAACTAAAGGTTTTTTTTTTATCTCCATTTGAATGGAATTTGGAGGGATTTGGCGCCTTCTTAGTGTTAATTCTTGTGATCATGTATTTCCTTTAACTTTATTATAAACATTCTAATTCAATTAATTCTAAGATCTCATGGACCTTTCAGGGAAAGAAGGTGCCTGCCACTAAGTATATTCCATGCTAATGCTCAATTAGAACATCCTGGAAGGGCACGGTAGCTCACACCTGTAATCCCAGCACTTTGGAAGGCTGAGGTGGGCAGATCACTTGAGGTCAGGAGTTCAAGACCAACCTGACCAACATGGTGAAACCCCGTGTCCACTAAAAATACGAAAATTAGCTGGGCGTGATGGCAGGTGCCTGTAATCCCAGCTACTTGGGAGGCTGAGGCAGGAGAATTGCTTGAATCTGGGAGGCGGAGGTTGCAGTGAGCCGAGACGGTGCCATTGCACTCCAGCCTGGGTGACGAGTAAGATTTCGTTTCAGAAAAAAAAAAAAAAAAAAAAAAAAAATCCCTATTTTGCAGCCCCTAATGAATCTCCAATTCAGACAACAGGAATAAGTAGGTGAAACCATTTGATAAAAGGCAGATGGGAACTTTACAATAGTGGGATCCAGCTGGCATCTCCTGAACATATTGGTCAATCACAGCTTCATTGAAAAATAGACAAGCTGACATTCTGTGCCTCCTGATATGATGTAGTATGGAACACACAGCAGCAGCTATGAAGTATGGTTGCCTAAAAGTCAAACCTGAACTGAACTAAGCTGATAGAACCAACTCCAAGTTTACAATAGGAGGTTAGTGGACCAAGTTAAACAACTTCACAAGGAAGCAACACATAGATCTGGAATATGGAACATTCTATGGGACAGTTAAGGAGTTTTCTTCAAGTTAATGCCACACAAAAAGTAAGAATGGGCTACTCTAGATGTCAAGATTAAAAGAGAGTTGAGAAAAACAGGAAACGAATCTACTGTTTGGTGTTTTAAAGACAATTAGGGAAATCTGTGAATATAGACTGGGTGTGATCACAATATAGATAATATCAAGGAATTGTTACTAATTTTAATAGGTGTGATAATGGCATTGTGCCTATGTAAGAAAAATGTCCATATGTTGTAGACAGTGGAGTATATTTAGTGAGCAGGGGTGAAATCACATGGTGTCTGAGATTAGCTTTAAAATATGCACACAGAAAGGATAGATGGACCAAGTAGCAATATCTTGAGATTGTTGAAGTTGAGTGATGGGGTATATGGGGTTCATTATATAATTCTCTTTACTTTTGTTACATATTTGAAAATTTTCATAAAACAATTAAAAATAAAACCTACCGGGCCAGGAGTGGTGGCTCAAGTCTGTAATTCCAGCACTTTAGCACTTTGGGAGGCTGAGGCAGGTGGATCACCTGAGGTCAGGAGTTTGAGGCCAGCCTGGCCAACATGGTGAAACTCCAGCTCTACTAAAAATACAAAAAATTAGCTGGGCTTGGTGGCATGTGCCTGCAATCCCAGCTACTCAGGAGGCTGAAGCATGAGAATGGCCTGAACCTGGGAGGTGGAGGTTGCAGTGAGCAGAGATCGTGCCAGTGCACTCCAGCTGGGGTAACAGAGTGAGACTCTGTCTCAAAGAAGTGTTCTAATTATTTCTAAGTTTTCATTTTACTTTTTGATTTTTTTGTGAAGCTATGGATTATATAGAATACATTTTAGTTTTTGGTAGAAAAAAATTAAGCTAATTGAGTTGGTGCTGGAGGTTATTGTTTTTCTTGTTTTGTTTTCATCTTATTTTAGACTGCATTGGGGAAATATTCAAATAATGTTAAGAACTCACACATGGCAAATCACCTGAATGGGTATTTTCTTCTTTTTCCTTCTCTCCTCAGCTGCCCTCCAACTTACCTTTTACATGGCTCTGTAGCATGCGAACTTTACAGTCTTTGTAAAGGTGATTCTGACTAATGTTGAAAATTCTGAGTTTGTAAAAATAAATATAGAACCATGTGAAACATCGAAAGTCTGCAAATCTCAATGGAATCACCTTTTGAGGCAAATTGCAGAAAATCAAAACTTGCTGAGCTCTAGGACATGGGTCTGGCAGGAAATAAAAGTACGTTCAAAATGGTGAGACAAATAATATATGAACCATTTCATCAGAGCTCCTGCTACGTAGTTAATCTTAACAGTTCCAGGCTATTCTAGACTGCTCTGGGCAACAGAAGACAGGACAAGGACCAAACCTGCTACTTTGTACCTAGGACTGGTCTTACCAAAAAATGTCTTCTTTTGATGTTTTCTAAACTCCTGGAGCTTGTAACTCTGAGGGAAGTGATAAGATGAAAGAAGACTTTTAAAGACTTTTTATCAACAGAATCAATTTGAATATCTGGTGTGGCCGCTCTAATCTTAAAAGGGAAGGCAGAGACTATTTTATTCAGTAGATGTCTGCCACAGCTGGGAGGGAGAGTGTCTTGCTCATAATAAGTCCTGGCATCAACTCAGTAAATATTTGTTAAATTGATTTAAGGAAACAGGCAAGTAAGAATTGTGCTGGACATATTTATTTTGTCTTTGATGTAAACCCATAGTCCCCACTTACCTCCCTGAAGTTACACTAAACATATCTAAGTAATTTCAGCTTAAATTTTCTATATTTCAGTTGATCGCTTTTAATTAATGAAAAACATTTAATGATTTAGACATGATCTAATCATCTTATTTTGTTTAGAACAAATCCATTCCATCTGAGGAAGACCTAGAATAATATTTCCTAGATGACAATAAATATACTATTTTAAAATTAAAATTGGTCTAATCCCTAAACAAATTTTTTTTAAAAGAGTTCTGTGGCACCTATAAATAAATAAAAAATCTCCAGAGCCCCAAAGACCAATCTTAGCTAACATATTTTAGTGAAACGTGGGCGGGGGGCGGGCGGCGCAACGGTCTGTGATAACAGATTTTTAAAACACTTTTTTGTTTAAAAGTCTTTCTACTGTATCTTGATATTATGGAACAATTTCATGAAAACATATTTATCCATAACCTTAAAAAAATTCCAAGTGACCAGAGACTTAAATGACACATACTTAATAAAGCAATTTTGATGATACACAATAAAGTACTTTTAAAAGATTTTTAATCACAGTATAACTCCAAACACATCTTAAATCAGCAAGCAAGCAGCCAAAAGAAAAAACATTCTGCCTCCTATACTATTCACTCTATATTAACGATTTGATTTGGATTAAGGATCAATTCAACTTAGGAAAATAATTACTGGTATTATATTCTTCTAGACAGTATGTTGCTTCAGAGACATTTAAAGAACCTTTTTAGTATGTTTTATATGCTGTAGAAGAAAAATTAATGTCAAGCATGTTCTGCATTGGGTATGATGATTACCATTTCCTGAATCTATCGGAGCAATTTCCTCTTTTCTTTTTATTTTTTTTCTTTCTTTTCTTTTTTTTTTTTTTTTTGAGACGGAGTCTTGCTCTGTCGCCCAGGCTGGAGTATAGCAGCACCATCTTGCTCACAGGAACTTCTACCTCTCGAATTTAAGAGATTCTCCTGCCTCAGCCTCCCAAGTAGCTGGGATTAGAGGCATGTGCCAATGCACCCAGCTAATTTTTGCATTTTTAAAAATAGAGACGGGGTTTCCCTATGTTGGTGAAGCTGGTCTTGAACTCTTGATCTCACGTGATCCGCCTGCCTTGGCCTCCCAAAGTGCTGGGGTTACAGGTGTGAGCCACCGTGCCCAGCCTCTTTTTTTCTTAAAAAAAAAAAAAAAAAAAAAAAAGAGGTAAGGTCTTGTTATGTTGACCAGGCTGGTCTCGATCTCCTGGCCTCATGCAATCCTCCCATCTTGGCCTCTCAAAGTGCTAGGATTGCAAGCATGAGCCATCATGCTCAGCCCAATTTCCTCTTTTAAATAGGACATTTAAATCTGTATCTGTCATGCTATCCTGAATAGTTAGAAATGAAATGAGGTCCTATGCTTTGAGATAACTAAAAAGCTAAAATATATTAATTTTTGCAAAATGTCAAATATTTGCTTTTCAAATAAATTAAAAATAACTTATGAACTATATGCTGTACTACAACTCAGATAATATTTCCTCCTGTAATTTTTGGTTAATATACTCTCCTAAAACTTATCAGAAAAGAGGTAGAGAGATTTCTAGAAACCTAAAGATATCAAATTACAAAAGAAGCCTAAGTATCTTCTTTTCATCTCTGGTTCTGAATGATGGACAATTTTGAGAAAATGTGGTTCCTACCTACCTTGCTCTCAGGAAAGGATACAAACATTTTTGAAAGAGAGGAAATCATGAACTGTTGGTGTATTGTATCAAGGGAGCCCTTTAAAATATTTTATTATGGCACAAAATATTCTCTTATAAATAAAGTATAACAAAATATTTGGTGGAATTTCTTTTATTTTTTCAACATGGACACAGTTGAGTTTGCTCAGCTATGAAAGCTGAGCAAAGCCACCCCAGATACCTACAAGTGCTCAACAGGAATTCAGGAGGTTAAGGCTCAGTGCAATGGGAGGAGAGGGGCAATCTCTCAGCATCCAGCTCTTTAGCACCAAGCAATGTCTAATTTGGTAATTACAAATCTGACTTGTGAAGAAAATGGTTTTTCGTTCCAGATATATTTATTACAAGTGACTTGGAAGCTATCTCTTTGACTTACCTCCCCAAATGTTCCACTCTTTATTCATACAAAGTGTATTTATTTTGCTACTTAAGATCTGCTGGGCAGAAGTAAGAGGCTGTAAGGCTTGAGAAATTGCTTAGATGGAATGTTTTATCTCCCACCCTGTTTTCCTCTGCTGGGTAGAGACGAAGCCCCAAAATGTAATCTTGTTAAAAAAAGTTAGATTTTGTTTTTTTAGTTTTTTTTTGCTGGTCTACAATGAACTATGATCACTCTGAATAAAGACAGCGACTACTAGTAGCTGACTCTAAATTTAGAAATAACTTTTTTTAGGTCTAGGGAGGCATCTCAATTTCAGAAAAGTTAGTAAAGGTTACTGGTAAAATTGCTTTTACTTCTACTGGGGAAATTTTTGAAAAATATAATGCTAGGACGTAGAATGGTTAGTTGATTTCTCTAAAAAAACAGTAAATGGTTTTTAGAGCCCTAAGAGTGGTTAGAAAAACCAGGAGCTGTAAAATTAAGAAGTGTCCAAAGCCAATTGGTTTGAAGCTAGAACTAAAGCTGAGTTCTAAGGCTGATGTTCTTTCTCACTGGGGGAAAGAATTTAATTGACCTTGGAAAGCCACAGAATAGTGCTATCTGGCTTATTAATGCCCAAATATTCAGACACCTGCACCTCACCCTTGTGAATGCCTTAGGATTTAGCTGGAACTTTGAAAAGTAACTGAACCAAACCAAGGCTATAACTCTACAGGATCTCAGCATCCCAGAATTTTGCTGACACTCTAATAGAATAGATAACTTTTCAAATATCTCAGGAACTAGTAAGATAGGTAGTGAACAAATAAGGCTATTTTCATAAAGCAGATTTTTATTGAGTACTTATTAAATACTATGTGTCAGGCTCCTTCAGGCACAGAGATACAGATGAGGTTCTTGCTCTCATGGAATGTAGCTTCCATTACTGAATGGCATCCCGCTGATGGGTAGTGGAAAAGTGTGGGGATACTTTCAAGAGGATGCATTAAGTAATGGAAAATCTTGAAATCCAGGTGTCAGAAAGATTTTGAGATGCTTGATAGGAAGCTATTGGGCCCTATGAACGGAGGACTAAGTGGAAGGGGAAAATCACTTAAGTTGCAACCATTTTTTCCTTTCCTTCTTGATGAGCCTCTTATGTAAACCTGGCATTTGGACCATAAAAATATGGTTATTCTTTGTTAGTAAACCAAGGAACAATTTAGGTGGCATTAATTTAGTGAGCTTATTACCAGGCTCATACAGAAATCAATAAACATGTACTTTTTAATCAACCCCTGAGGTGGCTTGTTGCCACCACTAGTTATTCTGTGAGACTGGTGAATGTTTAAAAAGGCGTGGTGAACAAAAATACTTTACCTGTACAATGAGAAATTGTGCCCTGCAATTTTTAGGACTTTCTCAAGTTGCCAAGTAATTGGTTCTCTCACTGTGCATTGATAATGTATACTTTGTTAGCTTTACAGTTTATATTCTGCAATAAGTTACAAAGTTGTACCCTAAGGTTATCTTTGCTGCTATGATACATACAGTCCGGTTCATCAGCCTGGTTAAGGACAGGGTATTGTTCTCACAGAATGTCCAGCCTTATCCAATGTTCCAACGGACTTATTCAAAATAATTTCAATTTACAAAATCAATTCAGTCTCCGGTTTATGGTGACAGCAGTTTCTTTCTCTGAGAAACACTAAAAAGTTGCCAGCAGTTCCATTTGAGTAACTGAATAGATTTGCTACCTATTTCCTGGTCCATTCTGTATTGGGATGGAAATAATGTCGTCTTTCCTTTTTTTTTTCTTTTTTGAGACAGAGTCCCGCTCTGTCATCCAGGCTGGAGTGCAGTGGTAGGATCACCGCTCATGCAGCCCCCGAGCTCCCGGGCTCAAGCGATCCTCCCACCATTCTCCCCAGTAACTGGGACTACAGGCATGCGCCCCCACACCCGGCTGATTTTTAATTTTTTTTGTAGAGATAAGGTCTCGCTATATTGCCCAGGCCGATCTTAAACTCCTTGGGCTTGAGATCTTCCTGCTTTGGCCTCCCAAAGTACTAGGAGTAAAGGGGTCATGGCTAATTCTTGTTTTTTTAAATTACTAATGTGTCCCTTACAGATAAATAAAAAAGTAAAATTACTCACAATTCCACCAATCACTGAGAGACTTATTGGTGTTTATCTATCCAGTCTTTTCTGCCTTTCTCCATAAATCACAGTTTTTAAAAACGGGACCATACGGTACATAGTGTTTTGTCTCCTCACCCCCTTGAATAACCTTCACATTGTTCCATGGTATTTACAGTATTTACTAATAATGACTGTAAATGTAAGAGGTATATAACTGACTTTATTCAGGGCATGGCAAGCAGGAGTGAATTATTTTCTTCTTATCAACACAGCACGCCCCTACCGCCACTCATCCCTATAGTCGTTCTCTAAATACCTAAGTGACACCTGACCAGCAAGGTTTCAGGGTCCTTGTGCTGAAAGGAGCAGGCTCGCCTGGGGTCACGGCCCTCCGCTTCGCAGCAAGACCCCACCGCCCACCACGGCCCTCCAGTTAGCCACAGCTCGCTTCCCCCAGGACCGGGCCAGAGGTCCCGAGAGGGCACTCTGCGGACCTAGGGGCCCCAGCCTACAAGACGCTGTGTCCTGCAGTCATCCCCTTTACACAGCAGAGCCCCAATTCTGGGAAGCCGGGGTCACCCCGAGCCTCCCTTCCCCGTGACAGCTCGGCCGGTGCATCACCTTCCCTCGCGGACCCTTTCAGCATCACCACGCGTGGGAGGAAACCCAGGACGGGCGCCTGAGCCTCGGTGGCGGCCCACCCCGGTGCCGCGCGGCGCCGCGGCCGGACCGGCGCCGCGCCGTCCCCGAATGATGACGCGCTTCCTGCCCTCCCAGCGCTCTCGGGCAGTGCGCTCGCGCTCGCCCTCGGCTCTTGTTCCGCGCCCGGAGCCAGCGGCGGCGGCAGCGGCTGAGGCGGCTGCGGGAGCGGAGTGGTCGCCCAGCGCGCGGGGGGACGCGGGCTGCACTCCCGGGCAGGCGCTCTGCAATGAGACAGTAAATGCATCCCCCGGTAAGGCGCACGGCTCACTCGGGTTTTCCTCTTCCTCCAGCTGCATGCACGTTGCATGAATTTCTCGTGTCTTTTCCCTCCCCTCTCCAGAAGGAAAATGTGGGGTTTTTTTTCCTCCCTTTTGCTTCTCGTGAGTGATGCCAATGCAGGAAAAACCCGTAAAGCTCCCAGATTTGATGGTCTAGGAGGGCTTCTTGCAGGAAAATAAAAATAAAATGAAATTAATGCACCTGTCTATTGCACATGTATGTTTCACTGCACCGGACCCGGGCGCAGCGGTTTGCAAACAGCCTCGCAGTCGGCGCCAGAGAGCGGATTCCTGGCCGTGGGCAGCCGGTCCCCTCCGGGGCTCTCGCTGGGTTTCCGGTAACTGGGCTTTGAAAAGCGGCCCCGCCTGCATAGAGTGTCCCCTCGACCCCAGCCGGGCCCCCGCGCCAGAAGAGTTGGCGCTGGAGGAGCAGCTTCATTCCAGCACTGGCCGCCGGGACTCCAGCGCCACTTTGCAAACAAGTCTCCCGCCGAGGCTCTGGGCTAAGACAGCCCGCCAGTGCGGAGTTCCTTCTCCGGTGCCGGACACTCAGACCTGCCGATCCCACGACTGCCCTTTACTTGGCAATCTCGCCACGGGCGAACTGCTGGCCGCTGAGCGACGGGGGCAGTGCCGGGCCGAGAGCGGGGCCAGGCTTTGCATCCAGTGCGGCTGGCCTCACACAGACTCAGCGGCTCCCTCTCCTTCCTCGGTCCCACGAGCTGAAATTTTGCGCCCATTGGAAGCTGGAGGGACCTGGAGACGAGTATTTCGGGATCCCTGAGGGGACCGAGGAACGACTTTCGAGGGCGCCATATTTTCAGTGGGTCTTGACTGCGGAGGGGAGGGGGCGAGCAGTTTCTGGGTCCCGGGGAGAGCCCCGCGCCCCAGTCGGAGAGGCCTGATCGGTTGTCGCCGGGAAAGTTTGCGCGCCGAGGCAGGCGCGGAGGCGGCCGCACAAGGCGCGCACGACTGCTGTCCCCGCAAGGGCGCGCGGACTACAGCGCGTCGCCACGCCAGCCGGCGGGGCTTGGGAACGAGAGCCGCCGTCACGGACAGCGTGCTGGGCTTGCCGCCTTCCTCTGTCCCGCCTGGACCCGGCCTTGGGGCTCCGAGGCTCAGGGAACACGCCCCTCTTCCCCGCAGCTACCGCTGCCCGGGTGCTCAGCCGGAGCCGTGCGCTGGGCGGCGTCCCGGGGCTGGGCGCCGAGTGTAGAGCGTTCTCCCGGTGCCCGGGCTCGCCTGGGTGCTCCGAGGGGCGCAGTAGCTCACTTCCTGGGGGAGAGGAGGCGCCTTGGTTCGTGGATCAGGACCAGGGCCTGGCCTGTGGTCGCCCCGAGGCCGCCGAACAGCCTGAGCTTCCAGTCGCCTCTTTGGCTTTAGCGGCGACAGCAGTAGCGCCCGCGGCTGCGTGTTCTGCTCTCGCAGCTCGTAGAGGCGAGGAAAGGAGGGCGTTTCCAGAAGTTGGGGCTTCAGGTGACGCGTGGGGAAACTTGGATTCTTGCTGTCCTTGAAGAGCTGGGACAACTTAGGCCAGAATTCCTGTGTCTCATAGTGAAAACTTCTGGTTCTTTCCAGAAGATGAGAGAGGAATGAACTGAAGTGTTGGCGTTGTCAAAGACATAATTAAAGACGGTTGGGTAGGGATGATGTCTTGGAGAAGTGGTCCCCAAAATACACGTAAATTGCCCTGGTGCTGTAAGTACCACTTACTTTTCCATTAATAATACCTGGGTGTGTTAAGCTGTGGCATTGTAAGGTTGCACGCTGACCTCCCTTCTCCAGAGCTTGGAGGCAGCGACCTCTCTGGAGTGAGGGGGAAGCGGGAGTGGGGAATCTTTACTTTTGAAGTAGACTGTGACCTCTGCTTTGTGATGGGACAGGGCACGGGCGTGTTTGCCAACCTACAGGCAGCCAATTGCAGGAACGTGTTCTCCTTGGAGTGTTACCGAAATGATGTCATAGTAT
Organism: Homo sapiens; assembly: GCF_000001405.40. Taxonomy (NCBI): domain Eukaryota; kingdom Metazoa; phylum Chordata; class Mammalia; order Primates; family Hominidae; genus Homo; species Homo sapiens. The sequence goes on from NC_000015.10 coordinate 62,392,682, forward strand.
TGAGGTTTTGTCGGCACTTCCGGTCTTCTTCACTGAAGAGGCTAGAAGGGACCACAGAAACCTCTGGGGTTGGGGGTTAGGTGTGCAGAGGGAGGGGAGAGGCTTTCCTGTGGGAGATGTGCCTGGAGATGTTAGGTGTTAGGCAGCTCTTTCCCTGATTCATTTCATGAAGCGCCTGCAAAAGTGACTCCGATATGAATGTCAGCCAAGATTTTACCTACCTTGATTGCTTATTTGGGACCTCTATGCAAAATCAGAGGATGGCGGTGGGTGTGACAAGTGGTCTTGAGAGAAGAGGGATGCCTACACGAATGCCTTTTTTTTTTCATTGAGCACTAGAATAGTGGAAAACACCCAGAGCCCAAGATATATTTTTCCAAAATTAGCATAGCTAATTTAGAAGAGAAATCAGTTGCAGAAAGCCTCAATCCGTTTTAAGTTTCCAGTCTTAGAGGGAGCACCTTAATCACAGAAACAGGTCTCTTCATATTGGGGAAGCCACTGGTTTCTCTCTGCCTTTGTAACCATTTAAGTTATCAGGGAGATTCCAAAGAGTATTAGAGGGTCTCTCTTTTTGGCATTGATGTGGAGCTTCTACCTCGAAAGAGAAAGCGAACTTTTAACAACTTGACCCTGTTGAATGAGTTACTAGGGATATTCTGTACAGGCATAGGCTATATATGTGTTTTGAACTCATCTACTGCTGACTCATTCAGGTTTTTCCAAACACTGTTCCCTAGAGTATTTTTAAGTGAAATTAGGGTTTAGGAAGAGGTGAGTATGTTATTTTCTAGTCAATATCTGTCTTTTCTCTCTCAAAATTAACCTGATTTCCCCTCCTTCACCCCTCACTCCCAGAACATCGTTAGTTCTCTAGAGCAGTAAAGGACGATTACAGGTGGTGAATGATATAAATTTTTACCAACTATGCTCAGAAAAAAACTATGCATCTAAATAGGTATTTATGCATTTTAGCGTTATGCTTTGTAACTATGTATATGCCACATATATTTTATACATGTTAAACCTTACATAATAAAAAAGAGAAGCTTTATTGCAAACCCTCCAATCTTTATTCCCAAGTTTACTACCTTAATATTTATCTTTTTTTTAATGCCTCTCTCAACAAATTGTTATACATCGTGCTTTGTTGCCTCTTGCCTGATTCTTTTTTTTTTTTTTTCCGAGATGGAGTCTTGCTCTGTCACCTCAGCCTTCCAAGTAGCTGGGACTGCAGGCACGCACCACCATGCCCAGCTAATTTTTGTATTTTTAGTAGAGACAGGGTTTCACCATGTTGGCCAGGCTGGTCTCGAACTCCTGACCTCAGGTGATCCACCCGCCTCGGCCTCCCAGAGTGCTGGGATTACAGGCATGAGACACCGCACCTGGCCAACCTGATTCTTAATCATCATAACTTCATGGCTTGACCAAAATTCTTGCATTTTTTTCCTTTTAAGATTTTGTAACTTCAAAAGGTTAGAAAACGAGTATGTGTTTTGGAAAGTTGCCTGTCTGTTTACCAGTCTGTGTAGTGGTGTTGTGATGTGTGTGTGGCATGTCCAGACTCTTGAGACAGTTTCTACAACTTGTGATCTGTGACATTATTGCTCCAGAACTTTTGAGTCATAATGTTTTCCTGATGATTTTGAGTGGTCGTTGGCCAGTACAGGAAGTACTCAAAAAGAGCTAAATAATTCAGTTATTTTTATTAGGTACAAAAATTTTAAAGACAAGAAGGAAAACATAATAAGCAGGCCTGGAATTACAGCTTAACATACCCACTGGTGCCTTTTTAATTACAGTACTTTCCCCAGAACTTTTTAATCGTATTACTTTTATATCTAATAAGGAGACTAGTTAAAACATAAGCCACACATAACTATTACAAATAATAGGGATAAATGGTGGGTATGACCAGATGTTTTGCCTAAAGTTCAAAGAGTTAGGGAATGTGAACTCTGTCAAATTTCCCCTGCAGGGCCCACACCCCCTCCTCAATAACCTGGAGAAAGGCAAAGAAGTCAGGGTGGAGGAGGGGAAGATAACATGCTTAAGGTAGACCTCTCTTGTGTGTTGACCACCCTGACAATCTTTGGCTTGGGGCAGGTGCCATTTGAATAACAGCTGGTGGACAAGGTTGGGTACAAAATGCTTTAGTTGTGAGAGTCTTTATATGTCACCCAGAGCTATGAATTAGGACTGGGCTCATTTGCCACCCATTTCACAGTGGAGTTTCAGAGACGGTGCCAAGACCATGGTTTTGTTTTTCTCTTAATCAACAATTTAATTTCAGTCAAACTGATGCTGTTCTGAAAATGTAGAACAAGGAATGAACATTTGTATTTTCTTTTTACTCTTTTAGCTGCAGTTTTAACAAACTTAATTCCCTACGTCTGTTATTCACTCATTCAGTGTATGTTTTTGAGGGTTTACCATGTACTTTATGCTGAGAAGACATCCCCTGCCCTCACAATGCCCACACATTGTGTTCCGAGGAGGTGATACTCTTTTGTACTTTGTGTATCTAGTAGCCAGGGCGGGGGTGGGGTAGAGGGTGGGGAGATGAGAATGTGATGAAATAGTAACTGAAATACAACATTATAAAAAGATGAGAAAAGGATGTGAGCAGGCAGTTCCCAGAACAAGGGATGCAAATTATTGTGTCTCTTCTCACCTTCTCTAGTGGACAGAGAAATACAAATTTAAAAACAGATATTATTTCCTGTCCATACAATTGATACATCTTTTAAAAGGTTGGTAATACTCTCTGCTCGATGGGGCAGGGTGGGAATTCTCAGACCATTGATATAAGTGTGAATTGCTACAACCTTTTGGAAAAGCAGATCATTTCTGTGAAAGTTTGGAGCACACGTGCCATGTGAGCCAGCAATCCCACATTTGCAGCCTTGTTTTACATTAGGAAAAACATTGACATGTAAGAATCTGTGTGTAAGGGTGTCTGTTGTAGGATTTTTTTCAGTAAATAAACCAGAAGCAACAAATGTTCATCAGTAAAATGAATAAAATAAGGTACATCCATAGTATGGATTATTTTGTGAGGGTAGTGCATAACATAATTAAAAATAATACATAAAATAAAAGCTAGTTGCAGAGTATCATATGTATGTTGCATGACCGTATTTCTGATTTTTTATTTTTATTTTTATTTTTTTGAGATGGTGTCTCAGTCGCACAGACTGGACTGCAGTGGCTTGATGTGGGCTCACTGCAACCTCTGTCTCCTGGGTTCAAGTGATTCTCCTGCCTAGGCTTCCCGAGTAGCTGGAATTACAGGCACCCGCCACCACACCTGGCTAATTTTTGTGTTTTTAGTAGAGACAGATTTCACCATGTTGGCCAGGCTGGTCTCGAACTTCTGACCCAAGTGATCCACCCGCCTTGGCCTCCCAAAGTGCTATGATTACAGGCATGAGCCACTGTGCCTGGCCTTATTTCTGATTTTAAAAAAGAAGCCCTATGTGTATGACCTTGGAGAAAGATGTGTAAGGACACCCAAAACTTAAATATTGTTTAAGATTAGCAGTGAGGAGGGAGAGGTAATTAACTTTCTCCATGTACGCTTCAGTTGGTTGACTTGTTCAAACACGCAGGCTTTTCTATATGAAAACAAGTTAAAAAATATTTGGTTAATGGATAAGAAACTCACCAGCAACCATTTAGAAAAAAAGACTGGGAAGTATCACGCTTACTTTCTCTGATGCCTCTCATTGTAATCTCTTATCTCTTTGGAAATTTTCAATTAATTATTTTCTAAAATCTTTGATTTCTCAACTTTTAGTAGAGTATACCTTCAGTGTAAAGGATAGCTTTGATTTCTCAACTTTTAGTAGATTATACCTTCAGTGTAAAGGATAGCTTCAGAAAAACTGTTTCCCTCTGCCCCAGGAGGTGGTGAAAGTAAGAGCTCAGGAAAGCTCTTACAAGCACTCTCCTTTATCTTAACTTTCTCTGATCCCATACTGAAGGAAGACCAACAGTGCAGGGAGAGCTTCTGGCCAATTGAGAAGGCTTTCTTTTTTTTTTTTTACTTTTAGACAGGGTCTAGCTGGAGTGCAGTGGCATGATCTTGGCTCACTGCAACCTCCACCTCCTGGGTTGAAGCAATTCTCATGCCTCAGCCTCTCAAGTAGCTGGGATTAAGGGCATGCGCCACCACTCCCAGCTAATTTTTGTGTTTTTAGTAGAGATGGGGTTTCACCATGTTGGCCAGGCTGGTCTGGAACTCTTGGGCTCAGGCAGTCCACCTTCCTCGGCCTCTCAAAATGCTGGAATTACAGGCATGAGCCACGGTGCCTGGCCTGAGAAGCCTTTCTAGATAGCAGCAGCATCTCCTCAAACTTGGTTTTCCTAATTGAGGCCCAGAGAGGGCTGGGTTGGTGTTTGAATCCAAGTCTCTTTCCATACGATCTCTGGCTTAGCTGGCTGTTCCACCTCTACCATTTTCAACCCAGCCTCCTAATGTGATTTTTGAAATCTTGATAGAATGATGAGTTTTTGCCAGTTGCAGCTAAAGCCAGCCTTTCAAAAGCATTTCACATTTTATTTTTATTTTTTATCTGAATAATATTTTTAGAGACAGGGTCTCTCTGATGCCCAGGCTGGAGTGCAGTTGTACAATCACACCTCACTACAGCCTCAAACTCCCGGGCTCAAGTGATCCTCCTGCCTCGGCCTCCTGTGAAACTGTGGCTACAGGAACTTGCCACCATACCTGGCTAATTTGTATTTGATATTTTTTTGTAGAGACCATGTCTCACTGTGTTGCCCAGAGTGGTCTCGAACTCCTGACCTCAAGTGATCCTCCCACCTTGACCTCCCAAAGCACTGGGATTACAGGTGTGAGCCACCACACCCTGCTCTACATTGAAAAAAGTACATACTGTGTGACTCTCTGAATCCTGATGGGAGATCCAGAATCTCAACCCACTGGAAACCAGGGCTGTGCTGCACAATCTGAAAACCATGCTTGAGATTACATCAGTGGTTCCCAAACTAAAATGCATGGAAATCACCTGCAGGGCTTGTTAAACCCCAGATTATTGGGCCTGAGTTTCAGATTCCTTTGGTCCTTGGTGGGGTTTGATTTGCATTATTAACAAGTTTCCAGAAGAGTCTTATCCTGTGGATCACCCAGAGAGGGCTGGGCTGGTGTTTGAACCCAGGTTTCTTTCCATCCAATCCCTGGCTTAGATGGCTGTTATGCTTCTACCATTTTCAACCCAGACTCTTAATGTGATTTTTGTAATCTTGATAGAACTGATGAGTTCTATGGAGAACCACTGGTTTAGAGGAACTAGCTACCTCTCTTCCATGGGTCTTGTGCTCTTTTCCAGCCAGCCGTGTTATGGATGTGATATGGTTTGGCTGTGTACCCATGCAGAATCTCATCTTGAACTGTAGTTGCCATAATCCCCACGTGTCGTGGGAGGGACCTGGTGGGAAGTTATTGAACCATGGGGGTGCTATACTCATGCTATTCTCATGATAGTGAGTGAGATCTCACGAGATCTGATGGTTTCATAAGGGCCTTTTACCCCTTTGCTTGGCACTTCTCTCTCCTGCCGTCATGTGAAGAAGGATGTGTTTGCTTTCCCTTCCACCATGTTTGTAAGTTTCCTGAGGCCCCCCAACTGCCCCCTGCCCCAGCCATGCTGAATTGTGACTCAATTAAACCTGTTTCCTTTATAAATTACCCAGTCTTGGGTATGGGTAATAGAGTAAATTGGTACCGCAGAGAGTGGGGTGCTGCTATAAAGATACCTAAAAATGTGGAAGTGACATTGGAACAGTTTGGAGGGCTCAGAAGAAGACAGGAAGATGTGGGAAAGTTTGGAACTTCCCAGAGACTTGTTGAATGGTTTTGATCAAAATGCTGATAGTGATATGGACAATAAATTCTAGGCTGAGGTGGTTTCAGATGGAGATGAGGAACTTCTTGGGAACTGGAGCCAAGGTGACTCTTGCTATGCTTCAGCAAAGAGACTGGTGGCTTTTTGCCCATGCCCTAGAGATCTGTGGAACTTTGAATTTGAGAGAGATGATTTAGGGTATCTGGGGGAAGAAATTTCTAAGCAGCAGAGCATTTAGGAGGTGACAGAGCATAAAAGTTTAGAAGATTTGTAGCCTGACGCAGTAGAAAAGAAAAACTCATTTTCTGGGGAGAATTTCAAGCCAGCTGCAGAAATTTGCATAAGTAACCAGAGACCTTTGCGGCAGCCCCTCCCATCTCAGGCCCGGAGGCCTAGGAGGGAAAAATGGTTTCGTGGGCTGGGTCCAGGGCCCCCTGCTGTGTGCAGCCTTGGGACTTGGTGCTCTGCATCCCAGCCGCTCCAGCAGTGGCTACAAGGGGCCAAAGTACAGCTTAGGCCATTGCTTCGTAGGATGCAAGCCCCAAGCCGTGGCAGCTTCCAGTTGATGTTGGTCCTGCAGGCGTGCAGAAGACAAGAATTGAGGTTTGGGAACCTCTGCCTAGATTTCGGAGGCTGTATAGAAATGCCTGGATGCGCCACTGCACTCTAGCCTGGGTGACAGAGCGAGACTCCGTCTCAAACAAAAAAAAAAAAAAAAAAAAAAAAAAAAAGTAAGAAATGCTTGGATGTCCAGGGAGAAGTTTGCTGCAGGAGCGGAGCCCTCATGGAGAACCTCTGCTAGGGCAGTGCAGAAGGAAAATGTGGGGTCGGAACCCCCACACAGAGTCCCCATTGGGGCACTGCCTAATGAAGCTCTGAGAAGAGGGCCACCATCCTCACACCCCAGAATAGTAGATCCACCAACAGCTTGCACCACATACCTGGAAAAGCTGCAGACACTCAACACTAGCCTGTGAATCAGCTGAGAGGGAGGGTGTACACTGCAAAGCCACAGGGGCGAAGCTGTCCAAGGTCATGGGAACCCACCTCTTGCATCAGTGTAATGTGGATGTGAGACATGGAGTCAAAGGAGAGCATTTTGGAACTTTAAGGTTAAATGACTACCCTATTGGATTTTGGACTTGCATGGGGCCTGGAGCCCCTTTATTTTGGCCAATTTCTCCTATTTGGAATGAGTGTATTTAGGCAATTCCTGTACCACCTTTGTATCTAGGAAGTAACTAACTTGCTTTTGATTTTACAGGCTTATAGGTGAAAGGGACTTGCCTTGTCTCAGATTAGACTTTGGACCTGGACTTTTGGGTTCATCCTGCAATGAACTAAGACTTAGGGGGACTGTTGGAAAGGCATGATTATGTTTTGAAATGTGAGGACATGAGATTTGGGAGGGGGCAGGGGTGGAATGATATGGTTTGGCTGTGTCCTCACGCAAAAATCTCATCTTGTAGTTCCCATAATCCCCACAGCAGTGGGAGGTTATTGAATTATGGGGGCGGTTACCGCCATGCTGTTCTTCTGATAGTAAGTGAGATCTCACGAGATCTGATGGTTTTATGAGGGGCTTTTCCCCCTTTGCCTGGCAGTTCTCTCTCCTGCCGCCATGTGAAGAAGGACATGTTTGCTTCCCCTTCTGCCATTATTGTAAGTTTCCTCAGACCTCCCCACCATGCTGAACTGTGACTCAATATACCTGTTTCCTTTATCAATTACCCAGTCTTGGATATGTCCTTATAGTAGTGTGAGAATGGATTAATACAGGTGAAAGTTAGAATCTCAGTCAAGGGACATTTAATGCAATTCTGCCAATTTCCCCAAGCTGGGAAAAATTAATATTTGAGTCATGTTACTTAATTCTTGTCTGAATTTGTTGTAGATATTTGGGGATTTAATGATGTTTTATAGATAGATATATGTTTCATCAGCAGTGAAAGTGAGAATTCATGGGTATCATTTTAAATAGTCTATAATGAATTCTCTTGGGAAAGAGGAGATTCTGATTCCTGGTTTTTTTCATGTCATACATGCATATTCAAGATTTTATGTCATTGATTTCTTTTAATAAAATGTTGGCTACATGTGAAGGGCATTGAGAATAATATGGTGACCAGATGATAAATGTGGCATAAATTGTGTCACAATCTGATCATTCATGCATTTTTTTGGAGGAAATTAAGCGCAGTAGCCATTAATTTCAACAAATGTTTATTTCAGTGTCAGCAAAGGGGTTATGTTTCCGGTTTTTTTTTTTTTTTTTTTTTGAAGTAGGGTCTCACTCTGTCACCCAGGCTGGAGTGCAGTGGTGCAATCTGGGCTCACTGCAGCCTCTGCTTCCTGGGTTCAAGCCGTTGTCCTGCCTTAGCCACCCAAGTAGCTAGGATTACAGCCATGTACCACCATGCTTGGCTAATTTTTCTATTTTTAGCAGAGACAGGGTTTCACCGTGTTGCCCAGGCTGGTCTCAAACTCCTGAGCTCAAGTGATCTGCCTTCCTCGGCCTTCCAAAGGGGTTTTGTTTCTAATGATGCTTATCAGTGACACATAAGTGTTTGGCTGTCCTCTGGGACCCTCGCTTGTCTGGATGTCCTTGAGAGATTTGGATGAACCAAAGCTCAAGCAGAGTATTCCCTAAAAAGCTTTCCTTCTCACTGATCTCCTAGTTCTAAAATTTTTTAGCAGGTGAACGTTTATTCTGTTTTCAGCCACTTAGTTTTAATTTGTTTTGTTTATTTTTAGAGACAGGGTCTCGCTCTATCACCCAGGCTGGAGTGCCAGCCACTTAGTTTTAGAGCCTTGAATGTTTTTCTAGTGATTTCCTAGGTCAGCTCTAAGTAAAGCAGAATTGGTAGTGATAGTGGAGTGCAGGAAACAAAGAGACCTGGAAGGGAAATTGTCATGAAGGAGGTCATGTTTAAGTGGCGCTTTGCAGGATGGGTTTCTTCTGCACTGTTCCTGGACCTAGCTGCACATTGGAATCACCTGGAGGTTCTGATGTAGTTGGTTTGGGATGGGGCCTGGGCATTGGTGGGTAAGTTCTCCATGTGATTCTAATGTGCAGCCAGGGTAGAGGACCACTCGTCTACAGTCCTCTGAGTCACCTTGCCTCATTCTTTGGAGATTTTAGCATCTGGCCCACAGTCCCTCCTCCCATCAATATTTTTGGTGACTTGAACATCTATATAGGTTGTCCACCCAATTCTCAACCTCTTAGTCCCTTGACCAACTCTCTTTCAGTTATCTTTTCCTCTACCCTGCTTCAGCCATCGCTCACATGGTTATCTCTAGACCACTGATTCTAGACAAGGAGGATATTTGGCAATGTCTAGAGACTTCTTTTGGCACAACTTTGGAGGAAGAAGAGATGCTATTGACATTCTAGTGAGGCTACTGAACACCCTGCAATGCACAGGACAGCCCCACACAACAAAGAATTATGCCATCCAAAATGTCAGTAGTCCCAGGGTCAAGAACCCTTGCTCTAGTGTCTTTGAAGTGTTTTTTAACCCCAAGCCATAGGAGAAATATAGCTTATGTGATGACCCAATACAAACACACAGAAGTTTCACAAAACAGTATTTACTCTTACTGGGTATAATGTACTTTCATGCTTTTTATTGTTTCATTAAAACAATAAGATGCTGTTTCTGACCCACTAAACTGATTTCACTGCCTACTAAACTTGCACCCCATTATTTGAAAAATGTGGTTGTAGACCTAATCATTACTGATAACCGCACCTCCAGCAAAATCTGGACAAACTCACCAGTCTGACCGTCCCCTTTTCTCTTTTGTCTTATTGCCTCTAGTACTTGGTTCCACCTAGCTTTCACCTACAAGGGCTTCTGACCTGGTGGCCCTTTCTTTTTCATTGTCCATCATCCCTTTCTTGTCCTCCTTACCCAGCTCAGATTCTTGCATATACCCTCAACTACCTTGACCTTTCCCCGCTTTGTCTTACTGTCCTCGGAAAGAAAACCCCATCCTTGGTTAAGCCCACCCTCTGCTCACTCTCCTTCAGCTTCAGGCTGATGATCCTGCCTAGAGAAAACACATATCTCTCTGCATTGTCTTGCTTTTAATTTATGGCCACAAACCTCAAGGGGACTCTTGACACTTTCAGGTCCACTATGTTTCTATACCCACTTCTCAGCTGATGACCTGGCTTATTTCACTGAGAGAAGAAGCAATTAGAAGCTACTTTCATCATCTTCCTATACTAAACTTACTAACCTACCAGCACACACGTGTGAATGAGATCCTGTCCTCTCTTGGCTTTCATACATGCAGCTATCTCCTTTCCCTTTTGCATCATCAGTTTCTCACTCTGATGGATAGTCCCCATCAGAAACATGCAGTAGTACCTGTCATCTAAAGGAAAAAAACAGCAGGCTGGGTGTGGTCCCTCACGCGTAATCCCAGCACTTTGGGAGGCTGAGGTGGGCGGATCACGAGGTCTGGAGTTGGAGACCAGCTTGACCAACATGGTGAAACCCCGTCTCTACTAAAAACACAAAAATTGGCTGGGCATGGTGGCGTGTGCCTGTAGTCCCAGCTACTCGGGAGGCTGAGACAGGAGAATTGCTTGAATCCAGGAGGCAGAGGTTGCAGTGAGCCGAGATCGTGTGACAAAGCGAGACTCCATCTCAAAAAAAAAAAAGAGAGGAAAAAAAAAAACAGCAGGAAGAAAATACTCTTGACCCTGTGTCCTAGTCTGCTGTTCTTCCATTCCTCTACATGCCCTTCATAGTAAAAATATTTGAAAGAACTGTCATACTCACTGACACCATTTCCTGCTCTCTCATTGTTTCTTGAACTCACTCCAATCTGGCTTTTTGCCAATTTTTGTTTTTTTGTTTTGCCACGTTGCCCAGGCTGGTTTCAAACTCCTGGGTTCAAGTGATCCGCCTGCCTTGGCCTCCCGAAGTGTTGGGATTACAGGCATGAGCCACTGTGCCCCTCCCAGAACCACACTTATTAAGGTAGTGGCAATACCCATGTGGTACAATCCAGTGGCTAACTCTTTAGTTGTCATCTTCTACAGGCTCTCCTCAGCATTTGGCCAGGTCATTGCTTTCTCTTTGGAACCCTTCCACTGGCTTCCATGTCACAATCTGGTTCTCCTACCCCCGGCTTCTCCAGCTCCATGCTTCTTGCTGGATGTTTCTTCCTGGCTTAAAGTTGGGGGCGCTCTCTCACCTTTCTCTTCATTAGGAATCTCTCCAGGATCACCTCTTATGAGGTCACGCCGGCATCCCCTGGCCCCTGTTCTCAAGCTTCTTCCTTATTTTTCTATCATTTACTATTCCCTGATATTACATACAGGACTCACTTATTGTCTATCTCACTGCATCTAGAATATAAGCTCCAGAAGAGAAATCATCTCTGCCGCTGTATCCCCAAGTGCCTGCAAGAATGCCTGGCACATGATAGGTACTCGACAAAAAATTCTTAATGATTGATGAAGGAAACTTGCTGGTTAGAGGTTAGCCTTGGATGAGGGAATGGAAGTCTTTTCCAGACTTGAGCTAAGGAAGAGCATAATGTTGAAGTGGAAACCAGTGTCTCATGGTGCAGTATTTTTAGGTCATGTGTTGAGAGTTAGGGGTTCAAGTATTGAATGAAGAAAGCACATCCTTATTAAATACTTGTTGAGTGGTAGAAGGCACCTGCAGAGGACAGCTGGATGGAGACAAATGGTTGCAGTTCTCATCTTTATCTCTGAAGGGGGTACTTAAGCAGTCTACTTGGCAACTTTTGTCTCTGGGTTGAAGATGATAAATGGACTTGTCTGAAGTGTTTATCATGGACCTTAATGTTCTGGTGACTTGTTTTGGTGAATCACTCATCCCCAGAGTCCACTTCTTCACAGGGGGAGATGTCTCCTTCTTCTCCTAAGCATTTGAGCTCATTGGGGAGTTCAGTGGGCCCTCTCTGCGCTGCTTTCAGACACCCAGGTTAAAAGATCCCCAAAGCATTCTCGTCCTGTGTTTAAATTAAATCTCCTCTTCTTTCTTCATTTGCATTGCTTCAATATAGTCCATTTAATTACTTGGCACCGCACCTAGGTCCTAGTTTCATATAAATGAGGCTATTTCCCAAGTGTAGCCCGAGGTCATGCATGCTGGATCTTCCAAGGGGGGCGTGGATTATTCCTGGGTTTGGGAGATTACATGGAGAGTACTTTAAGAGGCTTAATTTTCTCCTTGAAGGGCTCTCTACTGGACTCAACACCTGTCACTCCTAGGCTCTCCCTGATGGAGTTAAAGGAGCTTGCCCTGTGGGTAAAACATCAGCCAAGGGCAGCCTGAGGCACAGCCACAAAGCAGTTAGGTTTGGTACACTCAAGAAGACAGGACGTTTAGTACACCCAGGAAGACAGGGCAGATGTCTGTGTGGGAAAACTCAGTGACTCGAGGGAAGTTTACTTTTATTGTCAGTATTTATTTTATTTTAAAGAAAGGTGGTTGGAATGGCTGTAGGTGGGTGTCTCCCTTTGATAGGGAAAGAACTGAGGCTCAGAGGGGTGTGACGCTTGACAAAGCTGGCACCAGAACCCTGCTTCCTCCTTTTCTTGGGATGTGCTGTTGGAACCTGTCTGTAATTCAGGGTTGCGGTTCTTAGCCCTGGGTACGCTTCAGAATCTCTAGGGAAGCTTATTAAAACTGCTAGTTCCGAAACCCCACCTGACTCACTAAACTGAATCGGGAGCCCTAGGGAGGATCCTAGGAGGGTTTCCTATAGAGGGTGAAGGCAGCCAGGGGACTGGGGACAGGCACCCTGCAGGGCAGATGCCTGCTGGCCATGTACACTTGACAGACCCAACTCCTTTCTGAGACACAACACCCATCTCAACTGACTGTGTCGCAGTTTGCTCCTCACTCCTGCACCGCTTCTGGTTTCTAAGACCCTGTAGGGCTCCATTTAAAATGCATACAGAAAGGGCTTTTTATTTTCTTTGGGGTAATTTAATTTTCTGGCATTTTCCCAATGTGTTTTGTCCTACTTAGGTGAGAATGAAAGCTGCATTTAGTGTGAGGAAGTCACCTCTCTGAGGGCTTTTATGAGTCCTCTTGATTAGGGTCCCTAGGTGAGGCTGAGACTGGCTCTGGGGTGGGGTTTGGGTTTAACCAGCTCTTGGAGAAGCTGGTGGGGAACCAGAAGCTGGCCTGAGTGCTGCTCTGACAGAAGGAGTAGAAGGGTACAAGCTGGCTGCGCAGGGATGGATTTTAACAGTAATAAAGGATGGTAAATTGTTGGCTGGTTTTTGCTGGTGAACCTGTCACATGTTTGAGTGCCCCGATCTTGTGACAGTAGCTATAGGCTGGAGACAGCCCAATGGAGCCTGCAGCAATGCCTTGTCGGGCTGAGCTGGCTCTTTGATGAACCTCAGAAGTTGTTTAGATGGAGCTTTATGAATGTGCCTGGTGAAGGGCCTAGAGTAAGCCCTGGGGAATCCGAGAAGCATCAGGTGGCCGTATGCCTAACCATAGGGACAGGAGAAGGGCATTTTTCTCTTGAATTGGAAGCTGACGGATTGTATTAGTTTTCTAGAGCTGCTGTAACAAAGTACCACATACTGGGTGGCTGGGATCATAGAAATTTACTGTGTCAGTTCTGGAAGCTAGAAGTCTAAGAGCAAGGATTTATTCCTTCTGAGGACTGTGAGGGGGAGCCTGTTCCATGCCTCTCTGTGTTTCTTGTAGAAGGGCATCTTCTCCCCGTCTCTTCATTGTTGTCCCTCTGATGCAGGGCAGATGAGCCCCAAAGTGGGGCTTAGTCCATGAGGGTTCTTGGCTTTGCCCAGGAAAGAATTCAAGGGCCAGCTAGAGGTAGAGGAAAACAGCTTTGGTGAAGCAGCAGTGTTACAGCTTTGGCAGTGCAACAGCTCTGTGCCTTCTCCTGCAGAGTAGCACTACCCCACAGGCAGTGTGCTGACAGTAGCAGCTCAGGGCAGTTTTGCAGTCATATTTATACCCACTTTAATAAAATGCAGATTAAGGAGTGACTTATGCGGAAATTTCTAGGGAAGGGTTAGTAACTTTTGGGTCATTGGATCATTGCATGGAAAGGGATGGTAACTCCCAGGTGTTGCCATGGCAATGGTAAATTGACATGGCATATTAGTGGGCATGTCCAACTGAAAGTTGCTTTCACCCTGGCTGTGTCTTAGCTAGTCCTCAGTCTGATCTGTAAGCCCTGTCTCCTGCTTCACCTCTATCCTGTTGTGTCTGTTTCTGTGTTCAAATTTCCACTTTTTATGAGGACAACAATCATATTGAATTAGGGACACCCTAATGATCTCATTTCAACTTGATTCTCTCTGTAAAGACCCTATCTCCAAATAAGGTCCCATTCTGAGGTTTTAGAATATTGGACTTTAACATATTTTTTGGGATGGGGGGTACAATTCAACCTGTAACACAAATTGTCAGACTGCCTTCTGTCTCAGAATCTGCATCTGACATGGAATGCTTGTCAGTGAAGTTACCTTTAGAGGCCAAGGGACCCTAATTGTAGAATTCCCTTAAGTAAAGTCAACAAAGCCAGCAGGTGCAGAATTCCACAGTTCCCTTAATTGTGGAATTCTGCACCTGGTGATTTTGTTGATTTTACCTTTTATTAAGGCCTTGCACATTGATTACTATCATAATCCTGTGAGGTATTATTACTACTTTGAGGAAGCTAAGATGTAGCAAGGCTTGTATACTAAATAGTAGATAAGTTTGACTGAAGCTCAGATCTCCTCAGTATCATAGGTTTCTCCCCGTAATACCAGTGAGTCTCAAACCTTGATATGCATAAGAATCTCCTAGGCAACTCATTAAAAATACAGATTTGGGAGGCCCTGTCTGAATCAGAAGCTCAGGTTGCAACCACAGAATACATATTTTTATTGTTTCCCCCGGATATTTCAGTGCATTCAAAGATATGAGAACAAATGTACCCTATCATGGACATAATTTAGAGGGGAAAAACCACCATCACCACCAAGTTTTCATTTGATTTTTGTTAGCTGGCTTGCGTCGGAATCCCTAGGAGATGTCATGGAAAGGTGCTTACTGGGCTGGGCGCAATGGCTCATGCCTGTAATCCCAACACTTTGGGAGGTTAAGGTGGGTGGATCACTTGAATTCAGGAGTTCAAGACCAGCCTGGCCAACATGGAGAAACCCCATCTCTACTAAAATACAAAAATTAGCTGGTGTTGTGGCGGGCGCCTATAATCCCAGCTACCTCAGAGGCTGAGGCATGAGAATCGCTTGAACCCGGGAGGCAGAGGTTATGGTGAGCTAAGATCACACCACAATACTCCTGCCTGGACAACAGAGTGAGAGAGTGAGACTCTGTCTCAAAATAAATAAATAAATAAATAAATAAATAAATAAAAGAAAAAGGTGCCCACTTGAGTCGGGGGCATTTCAATCTGTAGAGCCCAAGGGGATTGTCTTCTTGTACAGTACCCCTGCCACCATAGTTGTGAGCAAGGTCTGAGCTCTTTGTCTGCCCACACCATGCTAATTGTCCCTCCGTTAGTGGAAAATAAATCTGGCTTGAACTTTCTGTGCTACACAGATGTACCTTGTACCACAGTGGAGTGGCGGGTGGGAGGTAAACTGAGAGGGTGTGGCCTTAGATAAGTCACTGTGTGCCTTATCAAAACAAGGCAAGAAAAAAATGTGATTATTAAGTATTTATTGTTATTGTTATAAAATGTGCTTGTATTAACTAAAGTGTGTTCGAGCATGCACAGTGCAGAAGAAACACCTGAATAAATTTTTTAAAACAGGGCTGCCTGGGCCCCAGCCCCAGAGATTTTCTTTTAGCAAGTCTAAGATGGGCCCCCAAAATTCTGAGCTGCTGGTCAGAGGACCACACTTAGAGCAAGCAGCCCAATATTAATGCAATATTGTCACTGTATAGTTCAGCTTTTGATACTACAATGACCGTCTCTCTGAATAATGAAACTATTTATAAGCTTTGGCCACTAGCCTGTAGATTCTAACCCATGTTCAGGACCAATATCCAAATTATTTCACCATATTAACTTTATTGTAGTGATTATATAGTAAAATACATGGTTTCTTAGCTAAGGGTTATGTTTCTTAGAGTGTAGTCTTTGGATCACCACCATCAGTATTACCTGTGATTAAGGTTAAGTATTGTAACTGCCCAATACCTGGAGATTTTAATTTGGTAGTCCAAATTAATTGTATGGTCCAAGAATTTGTTGTTTTCTTTTCTTCTTCTTCTTTTTCTTTTTTTTAATTTGTAGAGACTAGGTCTTGCTTTGTTGCCCAGGCTGTTCTTGAACTCCTGAGCTCAAACAATCCTCCTGCCTCGGCCTCCCAAAGTGCTGGGATTACAGGTGACAGCCAGCATGCCTGGCCCTTATTTTTACTTATTTATTTATTTATTTTTTGGGGGGTACAGGGTCTCACTCTGTCTCCCAGGCTGGAATGCAGTGGTGTGATCTCTGCTCACTGTAACCTCTGCCCTCCAGGTTCAAGCGACTCTCCTGCTTCAGCCTCCTAAGTAGCTGGGACCACAGGTGGCACCACCATGACTGACTGTTGGGGATTTTTTTTTGTAGAGACTGGCCATGTCGCTTATGGCCAGTCTCTAACTCCTGAGCTCAAGCCTTCCGCCTGCCTCAGCCTCCCAAAGAGCTGGGATTACAGGTGTCAGCCACTGTGCCTTGTAGTTTTTATAATCAAAATATCCTTAGGTATACTGAAGTTTAAATGTCACTGAACTAGGGTTTGGAAATCAGTCCTGCTTTTTACCAGAAGCCAGTCACACAGTAGGGTTATAAATACTGTTAGATTGTTTATATTGGCATTTGTTTCCATTTTTTTCTGGCTGTTGCAGGGTCTCATTCTGCAACAGAGATGTAATCTTAATAGATTGTTAGCTTTCTATTTGAATAACCATTCCCCTTCTCATTTTTTATAAAAGCTCATGCAATTCATTTTAAGATAGCCTTTTAAAAAGTTACATTCATTGTCAAAGTAAATTCCTTTGGAGCATTAATAGTATGTGAAATATATTTTAGATTTTTGGAGTTAATTCAAGGAGGCTTTGTGGTTTTAAACTGCACAGGTAGTTAGGAATGACCATGGTTGAAATATATGTATATTCTTGGACTCTGCATGCATATTTCAAAAATTGGTAAATGCTTTCATATGGGAGGGGGAGGGTTGGGAGGAGATACTTTATTAATAGAAGAGATTCAGTTTTCTTGACCAGTGTAATAGATCTTGGTATTCTAAGTTCTGTGCTTTGCAGATGTTTCCACAAATGAATTTTTTCCCCCTAAAGACAAGATTTTTAGTTCTATGTTCTTCCTTCTGGGAAAATGAGGAACCTTTATTTTTAGAAATGGGAGCTAGGTCCGGGTGCAGTGGCTCACGCCTGTGATCCCAGTACTTTGGGAGGCCGAGGCGGGTGGATCACGAGGTCAGGAGTTCAAGACCAGCCTGACCAACATGGTAAAACCCCGTCTCTACTAAAAATACAAAAATTAGCCGGGCGTGGTGGTGTGCGCCTGTAA
The DNA here is from genome assembly GCF_000001405.40 of Homo sapiens. NCBI lineage: Eukaryota > Metazoa > Chordata > Mammalia > Primates > Hominidae > Homo > Homo sapiens. Next base: position 62,410,123 of record NC_000015.10, read on the forward strand.
TCCCAGCTACTCAGGAGGCTGAGGCGGGAGAATTGCTTGAACCCGGGAGACGGAGGTTGCACTGAGCTGAGATCACGCCATTGCACTCCACCTTGGGTGACAGAGCGAGACTCCATCTCAAAAAGAAAAAAAGAAAAAAAAAAGGGAGCTAAAGTTAATTTTGTGTCTTTGGGTCATATATACTCACATCATTTTATATAATGTATTCTTGAAAAGTTAGAGATAAATAAAGTAAAAACTGCAGCAAGATTTACAGGCATTTGTCAAAATTTATAGAACTGTATCCCTAAAAAGGATGAATTTTACTTTACGTAATTATACTTTAATAAACCTGATTTTAAAAAAAAGGTATCAGAGGAACTTGTCACTTTAGCCATGCTTTTTGTGAATTAGTTTGCAAAGTAAAGATTCCTTTTGTGAAGCATGTATTCCCTCAAGGACCCTCTCTGTTTCATACTTGTTTGAAAACTGTTCTTTGTGCATTCTCTCCGTTAGTGCTTAGTGGGCTGGGTGGAGTGGAATTGGTGCAGGGCTACTGAGGGATGGGCGCAGCCTCTTATCCATTACTCTTAGTCATTTCTTTCTTAGAACCACATCTGGCACATGTGGGAGTTCACAGAGGTTTGGGGGATGAATTAAACCATCAGATTGATGAAGAAGCCGAGGTGCAGAGAGCGAAGGGGCTTGTTCAAGTACGGTGATAAGGTAGCGTAAGTGGGAGAAGAGTCCTTTGGTCTTCTGACTCCTAGGCCAGTGCCCTTCCACTGTGCATTCTCCAACGCATAGTGTATCTTGTAAATTCGTGTTTTATAGTTTGGGAGTCTTTTAAACCAGGGTACATCCATGTGCTTGCTGTGGTTGTGGAAGCAGCCTATTCTTGTAGAAGAGCCCTGGCTTTGGAGTCATTCATCAGTTTGGCACATCTTTTTCTGGGTGTCTACCAAGTGCATGGTGGATACAGCCTGAAACAAAACAGACCTGAGCCCTGCCCTCATGGATAGCACAGTCTGGAAGCGTATGTGTGGACCGAGGCATTAAAACAAACCAAAGAGGGATGAATGCTGCAAAGGTCACAAACATGCTGATGTGGGAACCCACCGCATAGTGGCCATAATTTAGTGTGACCTTGGACAAGTCACCTAACCACTGTAAGCCTTAGTGTCCTCATGAGTAAAACGTGTATATCATCCCCAAGTAATGAAGTTATTGCAAGGATTTAGTAGATGATGGATGTAAAACAGATAGTTCATGCTCCTGGGCACATGGTAATTAGATGTTATTCCTCCTTAGAGAGTGTGAGTAATGGATGTGTGTGTGTGTGTGTGTGTGTGTGTGTGTGTGTGTGTGTGTGTGTTTTGTTCCCATGCTGCATTGGCCCTTGTAGGCAACCTCAGGATAGAAGTTTGATATATTTTTTTTTCTTTTGGGTCATCTTAACAATGGGGAGATATATTGGAGGGCTCTGCAGGGTTTTGCCCATTGAGGTTGAGGTTGGAGCAGAGCTTTCTAGTCAGGGAGCTGAATTATGCTAACAGGTGAGCTGAGATAGTGAATGATGCCTTTAGTCTTCTCTCCATTCCTCTGGGGCTGCCAGGACTTAGGCCCTACTGACATGGTAATTTTTCAAGTACGCCAGAACTTGGAAAAGTTTGGGAGATTATTCATCTCTCAAAATGGGGGCCCTAGAAGCAGGGGCTAGGCTGTTAGATTTTAAGTTAACTAAAGAGAAAAATGGAAAGGAGACAAGGGGACCCACGGGTTGTGTGGGAACTTTAGAAGAGGGATGTGGATGAACTAGTTCAGGGTTTCCCAGACTTCTCTGATGATAAGATTCATCTGAGTACTAACTCAAAGTAAATTTACACAGCTCGCTGGGCATGCTCTGGCGTATTTAACAGTTAGCCCATGTAATTCTTACCAGGGACTTTTGGGAAACACTGGGTTAGATCATAAGTCTCTTTGTCCCTGCGATTTAAAATCGGTCTGTGGACCAGCAATTTCAGCATCACCTGGAAACTTGTTGGAAATGCAGAATCTTAAGTTAATCCAGACCTACGGACTTAGAATCTTCATGTTAATCAGATCCCGAGGTGAACTTGCATGCATACTAAATTTGGGGAAAGGCTTGCCTAGAGGACTGGGACACCTGTCAACATTTGAAACCAGTAAGGTGGTGGTAACAAGGGCTGATAACCTTTTTGAGGAATTGGAAGAGACGGAGGTCTGGGATTTGAACTCAAGTTTCTGGCTCCAAATTGAGTGCTCTACTCAAATCCTCTTGAACCTGTGGTCTTTCATCATCTCTGATGGCAGGGTGCTAGCTGTCCTTCTGTTAATGTTGACCCTGGAAGAATGATGCCCAGGGAGACAGGAGCATGTGTTTTTTGGCACGACTGGGACCACCCAAATGTGTCACAATTCTTGGCATCCATTAACTCTGTCAGGACACCTTCTTCCTGTCCCTGGGTAAAGACTTACATTCAAATGTAAGAGTCAGCAACTTTGAGTTCTTGAAGACCTGTGGAGGTTTACATCATACCAGCAGTGGGTCCTTGAAAAAGTTGTTATATTTTTGTCCAAGGGCAGGATCAGATGGAGTACAGTTTTTCTAATGCTCCCCTAGACTCTTAAATCCTCCTTCTCTAAGCACAATGTCAGAGGAAATACCCTGCGAGGCACTTGCCAAATGGCTTGAAATAAGCGTCCGTGCACATTTCTGAAAAGACAATTAGAAGCTTATTTGAGGAACTAAAGGCCTGCTGTGCTAGACATTAGTTGGAGAGAACTCAGTGCCAATTTGGGAAACTCTCCTGGGGGCTCTTTCTCATCACAGCCCCTGTTTGGAGAAGCTGAACTAGAGAAGTGGAGAGACTGCAAGGCTTGGGAGAGTGGAGGATAGGGAGGAGGGGAAGAGGGAGCGATGTGCCCTCGAGAAAAATGAACAATGCCAATGTCTCCTCCAGGGAGAATTGAAATCTTTGCAGGTAAAATCAAGTGGAAAAGGGAAAGTCATTATAAGTTCATCAACACTTGAATTGTGTTGCTAGTTAGCACTGGTATCCTGGCCTTGGAAGACTCTTTAGCAAACTGAGCCCTCATGAGGTTAGTGCCCTGCCCAAGGTGACACATGGGGTTAGATATAAAGCCTGATCAGAATCCAGGGATCTTATTTAGTCCATGCACTGCCCCTTGTGCTCTGCTGCCTTGGAAGATGCTAAGAATGTAAAATTACAATGATTGGATCCAGATGTGCTGGCCCTGCCCCCACCCCCAAGCTAACATAGTGAGTTTTATTGCTAGTCCATCTGAAGTGTACAAGGCATAAAGATCAGGAAAGAAAAATCTCAAGCCAGTAAATATCCCTATTGTTGGGGATGCTATACCCGGCTGTTTCTCTTGGCTTGACGCGCCAGATAGAGCGACCTACGGAACACAGAACAGGGAAAACCTCTGCACTGTAAGTGGCAGGATGTTTGTGTTCAAAGTCATGGCGTGAATTTATATGCTATTGCCAAGGTCTGCAGGGACAGGTGCACATTAAGTTTTTAAAATTAAATTGTAGAAAGGCTGAAACTTTACAGCGATTCTTGTAGCATGAGTAGGGGATCTGAAAGGGCTCCAGTGCAGAGGCATGGGGTGGATAGAGGCATTTTCTGTGATGAAACACCAGATTGCTTGTGCAGAAAATCTGAAGCCTTTGACATTTATGTTGCACAGTTCAGCAATAGATTACACATTGTCTTGGTTAAAAATGGTTTAATGTGTATGCCTATTTTATTTTTGTCCCCTAGATTGAGTTTTGAAGGCAGGAACCAAGCCCTTTATTTATCTGGCAGTCTGAGGGTATGGTAAATGATTGGAGCCATCTGGCTGCAGTGGTCAAGGGAGATTGCCTTGGGAAGTTGAACTTGAGCTAGAGGCCAAGTGCACTGAATTTTGGTGTCTTTCCATGTGGTTTTGGCTGTGGCAGCTGGGCCATTACAACTTCATAATCACATGTCATATTGGTTGAACTCAGTGAAGTGTTAGCAAAAAAAAAAACTATATATATATATATATATATATATATAATTTGAGAAATTAAATCCTTTTAGATGATAGTAGGAACAAGTAAGTGGTGCTTGAGGTTTAATTTGATTTGAGAATGTGGGGGAGGAGAGTGAGCCTATGCTTTGATTTCAGTGGTAGAGCACTGGTGTTCCAAGGGGATTGTGTTTGAGAACCAGTGGGCTTAATCTTGCCACTGAATCCAGTAAGAAGCTAGTTTGTCCTTCAAGTAGAGGCTGAGGTGCTGTGTTCAGCAGGCTCCTCAAAGTGTAGTCCAGGACCAGTGGCAGCAGCAGTATCACCTGGGAACTTACTACAAATGCAAATTCTCCAACCTCACCCCCAAACTACTGAACCATACGCTCTGGGCTGGGGCTCAGGAACCGTTGTTTTAACAAGTTCTCAGGGGTGTTCTGCACACAGAGGTTTGAGAACCGCTGTCATACAGTATGTAACAGCAAAAGTGATTTGGACGTTCAGTCTAGTGGGTCATTTCCCAAAGCATTTCATGTTTGGTTGCCTTCTTGTTCTGGTAACACAAGCCAAGTTGATGGGGGTAAATAAAGTTAGATTTCCACTAGTGCTTAGTAATAAATTAATGACAGCTCCAAGGTCTGGCTGGACGGAACCCTCGAGTCTACCTCCAACTTGGCTCTAAAAGCAGACTCTGGTTGTGACCCAAGGAGGAGTAAATAAAAGAATTTTTCCTGTCAAGCATGCCTTTTAAAATTTTTATTATTTATTTATTTATTTATTATTGAAATGGAGTTTCGCTCTTGCTGCCCAGGCTGGAGTGCAATGGCGTGATCTCGGCTCCCTGCAACCTGTGCCTCCCAGGTTCAAGCAATTCTGCCTCAGCCCCCCGAGTAGCTGGGATTACAGGCGTGCACCACCATGCCCTGCCAATTTTTGTATTTTTAGTAGAGACAGGGTTTCACCATGTTGGCCAGGCTGGTCTCAAACTCCTGACCTCAGGTGATCTGCCCACCTCAGTTTCCCAAAGTGCTGGATTACAGGCGTGAGCCACTGTGTCAAGGATGCCTTTGATAGTCATGTTCCTATTAGGGACAGAGATGGACAGATTTCTGGGAGGAAAGGGTAGGAGAGGTGCCCGAACTGACTGACAGCCGTGCGAGTTTCTTCTGAGGAGACGTAGCAAGTGGCAGGGCTGAGACATGGATATGGATGTTTTTCACCTGTGTTCAGCTGGCTGCATGATAGCAAAAATGTTTGATGAACATTCTGCTGCTGAAAGGACTTTTTCATTGTAACAGTTGAAACAGAGCTCTCTGTTTAAGAAACGTTTCCTGGTGGAACAAATGATTCCAACTGAAACAAACTAAATGTTGAGATAGGATTTACTTTGACTTTGAGGGGAAAGAGGACAGCTAACAGTGCCCATTCATTTAACCCCTGCTTGCCCCATTCTGGGGAAACAGCAGCCCAACAAAACAGGAGTCCCGCTCTGCTGGGGTGACCCAAAGGAAGAGGCCCGCTGCCAGGCGCTCCTGGCACAGGGAACAGTGTGTTCCAAGGGTTGGGCCAGTGGGCTCACGGTCGCTGGGTCTGCTTCCTCTGTTTGGAATTTGTGGTCTTTGCAGTGTGTGAGGCTGAGAGATTGTCACTAAGCTATGTCCAGAGGTCCACGTGTCAAGTTTTAGGATCTCGGAGTTGTGGGGGGTAGCCCTCCATGTCCATGCAGTAAATCACATCATAAAACTTAAAGGGACCCTATTTTAGTTGAAGATGTAATTGGCTTAAAACTAATTTAAAGGGAGTCAGGTCTGGGTGGAAGTTGGGATGATTCTGTGAAGAATGTTGGGGAAATATAAATTAAAAACAAAGTTGGTTGGGCACAGTGGCTCATGCCTATAATCCCAGCATTTTGGGAGGCCAAAGTGGGAAGATCGCTTGAACTCAGGAGTCTGAGACCACCCAGGGGAACATGGGGAGACCCTGTCTCTACAAAAAATACAAAAATCAGCCAGGCATGGTGGCACATGCCTGTAGTCCCAGCTACTTGGGAAGCTGAGGCAGGAAGATCACTTAAGCCCAGGAGGTCAAGGCTGCATTGAGCTGTGATCACCACTGCATTCCAACCTGGGTAACAGAGCAAGACTCTATCTCAAACAATAAATAAGTAGATTAATTAATTAAAAACAAAATCCCTCTTCAGTCCAGAAAACCTCTCCACAAAGGTAGAAGAGAAAGAACACAATCTTATTATTGGCTAAGCTTTAAGCCAGAATGTGATGTGTATCACAGGCAATCTGCTAAAGGAATTGCAGAAAGGGAAAGAAATATTGCTCTTTTGTGTAGCTAAGTAGATACAACTCATTATATTTATGTTTTCAAGATTAAATTGCTAAATTTGCCGTATCTTTGAGGCTGGAGGTAGGGTTTGCAATTTGGAGTCAGGTGACAGCTGAAGTTAGGCTCATTTCCTGCCCAGAATATAGCATTATCTTCCTTGATATTACATATCAAAGAGATGACTCTCAAGCCATTGCGAGAGAGGCTTATTTAGCATTTGGCCTGACAGGAGCCACCCTGCCCCTTTGCCCAGAGGAGGGTGGCTTGAATGTCTTGGAATTCAAGGCTTGCTCTGAGCTCATGAAGGCTCCTAGAAGACCGGGCTCTGCCTGCAGTAAGGGTGTTGATCTTTGATAATTACCTCCCCTTGCTGGCCTCAGGATTCTCACCTGAAAAATGAGGAGTTGGACTGGAGTGCTGTGATGCCATGGCATGGGGGCTCTGTTCTCCTCCCCATTTCCCCAAGCTGCCATTTCTCCGCTTCCTATCTCCAGAACATCCCGGCCAGCAGTTGCCCAGTGGCTCAGAAGCCTAACAGATCTATTCCGCAGATCATCGAGTTACAGAGCAGCTTTTGGAGTTGACGTTGGGGAGTGCTGTGGAGATGGCGTCAGGTGTTAGGGCACCCTTTGGCAAGGTCACCTCCTCCTCCCCAAGGCATGAAGGTCTCTGGGGACAATTCTGCATCTGATAGTTGTCTAGTCCTTGCTCTTCCTATCTGGCTTATTCTGCCTCTATAATTTTATTTAAGTCATTTAATTTGCCTGTCGCCCTCTCCAGCGTGCTTCCTTCGGCATCTTTGTCCCTTCTTTGCTCTCCAGTCAGAATCAGGGAAAAATCTTTGTTTCCTCATCAGCTTCGTTTCTGGGCTATCTCTAGAGGAAGTGGTAAGGCTTTACATGCTTTTTAGACCAAGCGTATTATGCTTCCTCTCATGCCAGAAGCAGCTTAGAAAATTGCTTTACTGTGTCCTCATTAAGGACTTTCCAAGAAACTTTGAGTTAAATGACAGTGTTCACATATAGAAATGCCCTTTCAGATACTGCTTCAGTTACTTGATTCACCCTTGAATAACTGGATCAGAAAATTGTTTTCCCTGCCTGAGTCAGCCGTCCTGTGGGAACCTCATACTTTGCATCTGAGTTCAGGAAGAACTGAATCGAGTCTGCAAGGAGGTTTGTGAATTTAGAGCTAAGAAAAGCTTCTCAGGGCTACAGGCTCTGGTGGTAGAGATTACGTACTCTACTTGACTCTCAGCCACAACAGTGCCTGTGGACCAGGGGGCATTGAAGTAGCACCATTGGAGGAATTATGCATTCATTGGGACAGAAATGTAAAAGCTAGGCTTGTCAGGCCTTCCCCTCCCTTTTACCGCTCTGGTCCCTTTTCCCATCTCACATTCACTTTCAGAGCAGGGTGTGGTTGTCCGAATGCTTGGCTTTGCCACCTCTGGTCGCTTGCCCCCTGGCCTGTCTTAAGTTCTACCTGGTATTTAATGTAGAGAGGACACATGTTGCTTTTCCCCCGCTTATCCTTGGATCCTGATGTGGCAAGGTGAGGAAGGAAGGGTCTCCCTGGAAATAGCTGTGGACAAGTTCCCATTGTGACTAATCTCAGATTCTGTATCTATTAAATCCACTTAATATGTGACCTACAAGATGGTAGAGACCAAATGGTTCAGTGGATGTTGTATGCTGGGTGCAGTGGTTGACCCACAGTGGGGGCTCTGGGAATCTGCCTCCCCCGCTTTCTCTTGGTGAGTCCTCCTCTCTCCCAGTTGTGCCTGGTACACTCCCACTCATCCTTAAGACACAACATTGCAATGATAGACTATTCTAGAATCAACACAAATCCCTCATGATTTTGTCCTTTGAGTTGCTCTTATAGCTTCTGATAATTAAGAAAGGAAAGCATTTGGTGTGGAATAACTTGGAAAGAGAAATCCTTAGACCTCTGTTGTCACTGCCCAGAATGGTTATTGAACACTTGAATTGTGGCTGGTGGGACTGGGGAGCTGAATTTCTGATTTTATTTTATTCAAATTTAAAACTAGTTATTGGAAAATGTCTCACGTGTCCGTATGAAGAGAACACCAAACAGGCTTTGTGTGAGCAACAAGGCTGTTTATTTCACCTGGGTGCAGGTGGGATGAGTCAGAAAAGAGAGTCAGTAAAAGGTGGTTGGATTATCATTAGTTCTTATAGGTTTTGAGATAGGCGCTGGAGTTTGGAGCAATGTTTTGCTGGCAGGGGCTGGATCTCACAAAGTACATTCTCAAGGGTGGGGAGAATGATAAAGAACCTTCTTAAGGGTGGGGGAGATTACAAAGTACATTGATCAGTTAGGGTGGGGCAGAAGCAAATCACAATGGTGGAATGTCATCAGTTAAGACTATTTTCACTTCTTTGTGGATCTTCAGTTGCTTCAGGCCATCTGGATGTATATATGCAGGTCACTGGGGATATGATGGCTTAGCTTGGGCTCAGAGGCCTGACAGAAAACTTTTAAGTACATTTGGAATAACTTGGGTATGTGAATCAGCTTTTTCAGCTATAAATGTTATGAGATCAAAATAAAGATCAAGCACTTCCGATGAAGATTTAGCATTCAGATTGAGATATGTGCTGTAAATGTAAAACACACACCAGATTTCAAAGGCTTGGCAAACAAAAAAAGAATATAAACTATTCCACTAATTTTTATATTGGTTACATGTTGAAATGATAATATTTTAGATATATTGAGTTAAATAAAATATATTATTAAAAGTAATAAGTTCACATGTTTCTTTTTATGTTTTAAAACGTGGCTACTGGAAAATTTAAAATCACATACACAGCTCACATTATATTTCTATTGGACAGTGTTGCCCTAGGCCTTGGCCTGTCTAAAACTGGCTTAAAGGCCACAAGACAGCTGTTGGTGCTGGAAGTTCCTGGAGAGTGATGCTTTCTGGAGTCTTCCTTAGTGATCTGCCTACATTATGTATCAGAGCTGCCACTACAAATAGGAACTATTGGAGCACCCTCCTGACCTTAATACGATACCTCTGGGAGCAAGTTGGAGAGAGCACCTTTTTCTAGAAAGGTTGCACTGAAGAACCTTTGAAGAAGAAAGGTTAGAAAATTGCTTTACCTCTGAAGAAGCAGAGGTCTTTTTTTTTTGGGTGGGGGGAGGGGTTGATGGGGACAGTCTTCCTCTGTCACCCAGGCTGGAGTGCATTGGCTCACTGCAGCCTCGACCTGCTGGGCTCAAGCTGTCCTCCTGCGTCATCCTCCTAAGCAGCTGGGACTACAGGTGCACCCCACCAGACCTGGCTAATTTTTGTATTTTTAGTAGACCATGTAGCCCAGGCTGATCTCAAACTCCTGGGCTCAAGCAATCCTCCCACCTTGGCCTCCCAAGGTGCTGGGATTACAGGCGTGAGCCACAGTGCCCCTCCTGAACTCTATTTCTTGACAACCCAAGGGGCATCTTATCCCTGTTAGGTTTACTTCCTCAAAGATGGGCTTCTGCCAGGGCTCTTTGAGATTCCCTGTTGATCCCACTTTGCTTTGTTCTTATTTCTTATGTTAGGACCTCAACTGAAGAACAATAACACCAATCAGCCTTATAAAACTGGGAAATTAAAAGTGCTGACTTACTTTATAGTAGACTTCCTGAAAGCTGTGTGGTCTAGAATTTAATGTATTCATAGTGGAGTGGTGGGCTGGCATCAACTAATGGAATTGTATTTAAAATTTTTAAATGCTTAATTTAAAAGATAAGACTGTTTGTGTTAAATATTTTCATAGAATTTCATGTCATTTTGGATGGTAATGATTAACCAGTCCAGATTTTTCAAAAATTGACATTATGTTAATAGGTGATTAAGAAAACATTCTTGGAGCACCCCTGTGTGTAGATGTCCTACCTGCTGTATTTTTTTTTTTGAAATGGAGTGTCGCTCTGTCACCCAGGCTGGAGTACAGTGGCGTGGTCTCGGCTCACTGCAAACTCTGCCTCCTGGGTTCAAGCAATTCTCCTGCTTCAGCCTTCCGAGCAGCTGGGACTACAGGCGTGCCACCATGCTCGGCTAATTCTTGTATTTTTAGTAGAGACTGTGTGGCAGGCCAGGTCTCACTAACAACTATTTCAGTACTGAGTGGTTAAGTTAAATATTAAAAGCCAGTGACTTTATACAAAGGCTGGGATGTAACAAAAGCCCATCAAGAGTTTTGCCTAGGCCTTTCCTGGGCCTTAAAGCATGACAAAATAAGGAAGGAATTCTTAACAGGACCCATTTAGGATTAAACAAACTTTACTGTGGGTCTGAAGAAACTCCCCAGGCCTCCACAAACAAGTTTATTGGGGGTCTGAAGGAACTCCTCAAATCTCTGTGATTTAGCAGGAGACAAGATAAGGGTAATCACTCCAGCACCTGGATCCATTTAGATTAAGTAAATTTACTGAGGCTCCAGAGAAAGGTCTTCAGGACTAATACCTTAGTTATAGATTAAAATAAGTTAATCACTTATGTCATTAGATGAATGCACACTTACACGTAGACATACATATAGTTTAGAAGGTATATAACCTCTGGAAAACTTCATAATTTTGAGTTGGTTTGGCGATAATTTCCAGGCCTTCTCTCTGTAACCAGTTATAGAGATAAAAACTCCCTTCCTCACCAGTTCATCTGCATCTTGTTACCGGTCCACGAGAAATAGCATTCCGACCCTCAGTTTGGTCTGGGAACAACGGGGTTTCACCATGTTGGCCATGGCTGGTCTTGAATTGCTGGCCTCAGGAGATCTGCCCGCTTTGGCCTTCCCAAGTGCTGAGATTACAGGCATGAGTCACTGCGCGCAGCCCCTACTTGGTGTTTTTTAAGCATAGAGAGGGGTGTAAAATGTCATTTTACTAGGGGGCAGGTTAACACAGCTGTACCTTTATGTACATATGAAGGAAAACAACTTGAGGTTGTATAAGGAACTTAAAATGAGTGTTGTTCGTGGAATACTATACAGCCATAAAAAAGAATGAGATCATGTCCTTTGCAGGAACACAGGTGGAGCTGGAGGCCATTATCCTTAGCAAACTAATGCAGGAACAGAAAACCAAATACCATATGTTCTCACTTATAAGTGGGGACTAAATGATGAGGACATATGGACATATAGAGGGGAAAACACACTCTGGGGCCTATTGGAGGGTAGGGGGTGGGGGGAGAGAGAGGATCAGAGAAAATAACCCAGGCTTGATGCTGCGGTTATGAAATAGTCTGTACAGCAAACCCCCGTGACACAAGTTTACCTGTATAACAAATTTGCACATGTAACCCTGAACTTAAAAGTTAAATAAAATTACAGGGGGAAATTTCTTTTTAGCAATATTAAGTCTTCTGACTTAAGCAAGAAAAAAAAGTGAGTGTTGCTGAGGGTAGCGTTAGGAGGAATTATTACTGCATTGGATAAGATTTTAGGGAATCATTCTTTGTGTCAGACTTGCCTATCGGGCCAGGTGCAGTAGCTCACACCTGTAATCCCAGCACTTTGGGAGGCCGAGGCAGGTGGATCACCTGAGGTCTGGAGTTCGAGACCAGCCTGACTAACATGGTGAAACCCCGTCTGTACTAAAAATACAAAATTAGCCGGGCCTGGTGGCACATGTCTGTAATCTCTGCTACTTGGGAGGCTGAGGCAGGAGAATCAGCCATTGCACTCCAGCCTGGGCAACAAGAGCAAAACTCTGTCTCAAAAAAAAAAAAAAAAAAAAAAAAAGACTTGCCTATCAAAGTGTTTCTCAAAGTGCAGTCCAGGCATCAACCCTCATCAGAGGTGAATCACCTAAGATGTTGTTTAAAGTGCAGATGTCGTGGATGGAGATAAGGCCCAGGAATGTGAATTTTTAAAACTTCTGTATTCCCTAAATGGACACACTGATGGGCACATGACTTCAGATTGTCTCTTGTGCAGAAGAATTAAAGCAGTTAGTTGCTATTAATATAAAATTATAGTTTTTACTGTATTACAGTAATTGTCTACCCAAATTATCTGAGCATTAGGCCATTTACTATGCAGCTTTTCAGACCAAGACAGAGTTGAGAGGAGCCCCGGAGGTCTCCAGATCGAAGGTACCAGGGATACCTTCTCTTAAGAGTGTCTACCCTTGGTCCTTATCCCATCTCCTGGCACTCCAGCAGCAATGCAGAAATGCCTTCCACAGGAAGGCTCCAGAACCACTCCCATCCCTCTGCCATCTTTAATCAACCCATCTTCAACTCCTCCTATGTGTGGTTTCTGGATTTTTCACCTTCTTGATTCCATCCTTTGGAGACTGGTTTTCAGTTCTGGCTGCTCAGAAACACTTGTGGAAACTCGTAAGCTGGTGATGCCTGGACCCCTCTCCTGGAGATGCTGATTTAGCTTGCCTGGAGCAGAACATGGGTGCTGTTTTTGAACACCGGTATTGGGAGACCACCCAATCACTCAGACAAGCCCACAGACAGCTTCCTTTGGAGGCCCCTGCATGGTCTGCACAGTGTAGTGCAGCCTGCAGCTGGCTTCTCCCAGGGGGAAGAGGTTATCCTGATGCTGCCCAGGATCACATTAGCTCTAGGATCACGTTAGCTCTTAAAAAGTCATTGGGACCTGGTGCGGTGGCTCACGCCTGTAATCCCAGCACTTTGGGAGGCCAAGGCAGGTGGATTGCTTGAGCTCAGGGGTTCAAAACCAGCCTGGGCAACATGGCGACACCTCGTCTCTACAAAAAAATTATCTGGGCATGGTGGCGTGAGCTTGTAGTCCCAGCTACTTGGGGGGCTGAGGCAGGAGGATCACCTGAGCCTGGGAGGTCGAGGTTGTGCCATTGTACTCCAGCCCAGGTGATAGAGTGAGACCCTTTTTTAAAAAACAAAACAAAACAAAACAACAACAACAAAAAGTCACTGGGGAGAAGGGTATGACCTGTGTCTCCATGTTACCAGCACCTATCCCTGTACCTGACCTATAGCAGGTGTCTTGCAAATGTGCGTGAACATATGGTCACCCGAAACCACACATCTTTTTCACATGAACTGCCAGTAAAAATCATGCCTTCCCCACCTATACTGATGAAATTGATTTTTTTTTTTTTGAGACGGAGTCTTGCTCTGTTGTCCAAGCTGGAGTGCAGTGGCATGATCTCGGCTCACTGCAATATCCGTCTCCTGGGTTCAAGGAATTCTTGTGCCTCAGCCTCCCAAGTAGCTGGGATTACAGATGCCCGCCACCACACCCAGCTAATTTTTGTATTTTTGTAGAGACTGGGTTTCTCCATGTTGGCCGGGCTGGTCTTGAACTCCTGACCTCAAGTGATCCACACATCTTGGCCTCCCAAAGTTTTGGGATTACAGGCGTGAGCAACCGTGCCCGGCCTGAAATTGATTTTTAAGACATCAAATTCAGGGCTTTAATTGACTCTGCTTTCATTTGGTAACTTTCCCTCTTTTCAAAGGCTGACTAATGTTAACGTTAATTGCAACTAGATGTAATCTGGGTAGCAAAATGGTTAGACATTAGAGCTCTGCACAGGGATCTGAATCCTGGTTCAGACATGGACTTGCTGTGAAGCATCGCATAAGTTCCTAACTGTCCATGCCTCGGTTTTTTTATTTGTAAATATGGATAATAATAGTAACTACCTCAGTGGGTTGTGGTGGGATTGAGACATTGCATATATGAGGCACATAGCATGGAGCCTTAAGCTTAAAGATGGTAGTGATTGGGGTGGTTGTGGGGAGCCCACTCGTGTCATGATTTGCTGTACCCTACGCTCCCTTTGAGGGCCATGGATGAAGCTTTTCTTAAGGGAGGCAGCTGGCATTGTGAGTGGCTGAAGAAAGGAGAAAGGAATGAGACGCGGAGTGGTGAAGGCCTCAGGTAGGCTTGCTCCTGTCTTCCTTGAGTGAGATCTGCAGTGGGTAGGGAAGGATGGCTCTGGTGTCAGCAAACAGCAAGAACACTGTACTTGTCTGTGTACACGCACCTCCACCTGCATCTCTTGCTTTCTCCTGGGACTAGACCAAGCGTCTTGCTGCTGACTGCTCATTAGGCTCACCTGGGAGCTTTTAATCCACACCAGGGCCTAGCCCCATCGCACACAAGTTGAACCTGAAACTGCCGTCCAGGCATCCCTATTTTTCTTTTTCCTTTTTTTTTGTTTTTTTGAGATAGAGTCTTTCTCTGTCACCCAGGCTGGAGTCTAGTGGCCCAATCTTGGCTCACTGCAATCTCTGCCTCCCTGGTTCAAGCAGTTCTCCTGCCTCAGCCTCCTGAGTAGCAGGGACCACAGGTGCATGCCACCATGCCTGGCTAATTTTTGTATTTTTAGTAGAGGTGGGGTTTCACTGTGTTGGCCAGGCTGGTCTTGAACTCCTGGTCTCAAATGATCTACTCACCTTGGCCTCCCGCAGTGTTGGCATCACAGGCATGAGCCACCGTGCCTGGCCTTTTTTTTTTTTTTTTTTAAGAGATAGTCTTGCTTTGTCACCCAGGCTGGAGTGCAGTGGCCTGATCTCGGCTCACTGCAGCCTCTGCCTCCCCAGTTCAAGTGATTCTCCTGCCTCAGCCTCCTGAGTAGCTGGGACCACAGGGGCCTGCCACCATGCCTGGCTAATTTTTGTATTTTTAGTAGAGGCGGGGTTATGCTGTGTTGGCCAGGCTGGTCTCGAACTCCTGGCTTCAAGTGATCCGCTTGCCTCTGCCTCCTGAAGTGCTGGGATTACAGGTTTGAGCCACTGTACCCAGCCCCTATTTGTCTTAAAAGCTTCCCAGGTGATTCTAATGTGCTGCTGCTAGGGGATGAGCACCCCTGGGGAATACTGCCTGCGGTTGATCTCCAGCAGATTCTCTTGTGTCCTCTGAGCTCTACCTTGGGACGTGCATCCTCACAGCCCGGTAACTCCCCTTCCTGCATGGGGCCCCTTGACCTCGCCTAGCAGTTGCAGTGAGGGGCATTGACTTCAGTGGGATCCTGTCATAAGACAAAGGCTTCTTAGCATCACGGAGCTGCGTGGATTTTTATAGAGGAGGGTTAGATGTTACCAGAGACCTTTACCAAGAGGACTGGGAGAATTGTATCAGCTTTTTAATATTAAAAGGGAGTGAGTCTTCCTGCTTTGGTGTTTGTCTCTTGTACTGTCATAATTGTGTTCTGTTGTATGAGTGGTTTGAAAATGTTTACATAGGATGTGTCCTCCTTGGGTTTAATTTCACCTCGTGCAAGTGCTGGTACTCTAGGTTTGGAGTTTCAGCCTGCCTGCCTTCTGCAGGACTCAGTTGGTATGCAGCATGTGTGTGCATTGTTGCTTTTAGTAATAGTTGCTCAGTTAATTTACCATCATTGGTTGAGGGGAGAACCTACTTATTGCCCCACATAGAATAAATTATTCTTTGTTGAGAGCCTTCAGCCCAGACTGCATTAGAGCTGCCAGGATAAACCACCACTCTTTTGTTTGTGGTCTTCAATTTCTAAGTCCCCTTGACCTGTTAACTGCTTCATTAGTGGGTGAGGGAATGGGGAGTTGGTTATGGGAACTGCTTTTCTCCAATGCCAGGAAAGCCTCTACTAAGGTATGGCCCAGCCGTATCTCACATTTCCATGGAAGCATTTGTTCTAAGACCCTGCCTGAGGAGGGCCTTGGAGAAGCCATGGGGTGGTGTCCTAGAGGTGACTCCCGCTGTCACTCCCTTGCTCCCTGCATCCTTTGAGGGGGCTGCCAAGTGCCTGTATCAAGGCTGAAAGTAGGGTAGGTACAGCCTGTAAAGGTTTATCTTTTTCCCTCTCCCCATTTCATTTAAATGTTTCAGCAGGCATTTATTAGGCCCTATACCAGACACCTTGGGAGGCAGAGAGGAGCAAAGCCGTTGCTGCCCTCCTGGGGCTGCGCCTCTAGTCTAGGAGCCAGGTCTGTACCTCAGTGCCTTGGTTCTGACTGGGAGGAGACAGACGGCTGCTGTGGGCTTTAACTGGCAGGGATTGGGATAGGGGAAAAGAGGTAATGTGGACAAGAGCCTTTTAGACCCAGACAGACCTCAGCCTGGTCCAGCTGGCGAATTCTTTGTATGGTAATGGGGACTAAGCCTCAAGTATGGAAATTTGCCTAAACTAACTCCTAGTCAGATCACTGGGGGCCCCGGGTGTGCTGGGAGTGAGCTGTTCATTCAGTTTTGTCTTTCCACTGTGGTTTCTAGTTGGTCCAAAGCTTCATGGTATTTTTTTCATTCCCTTGGCAAACATTTTTTTGGGAGGCCCTGCCTTGTGGCCAGTGCTGGGGACAGAGTTGACCACAGTGGCTGCTCTCCAGGGGCTGAGATTCCAAAGTCTCCTGGGCCAAGTGTGGTCTGGGAGCAGCTGTGTCAGAATCACTTTCTGTGCTTGTTAAAATGGCAGATTCTTTTGCCTCACCTCATGCTACTAAATCTGCATTTTTATTAGTAACAAGCCACCCAGACGGCCCCTCTCCATTTATAGCTTAAGCAAAAGGTAGAGAAGCTTTGCTCTGGTAAAGGTGACAGAAGGGGCTGGCTCAGTGATTCTTCAGGAAGCAGGGCCAGCAGAGTGTTTTGAGTGATTGGAGGTATCAGGAGCACCCCCGAGGTTATTGGCCTGGGTACTTCAGTGGCCAGCATCAGTGATGGGCAGGGAGGGTGTGCATGTTGATTTTGAGGTCTTTCTCTGCATGATATCCCTCTGGAACTTATTTTATATTTTCATCCACAAACAGGATTTATGGGTCTGAAGAGGAGGGCTGGGATAGTGTGTGTCTCCTGGGAACTGTGGGAGTAGTTTGTGGGTCCAGCACAGATCTATGGCTGGGCACAGAAAATTCTGTCTACTTGGGGTTACTTACTTTTATTCTCCTTGGCCTAAGCTTCTAATACCTTGTCCTTGGTCTAGTCCCTATTCTGAGGTGTCCTCCACTTGCTGAGTGACTTGGAGTGAGCCCCCCAAGTGGGACTTGAAGGTGGCAGGAAGAGGAAGGCAACGGGAGGAGGGGGCGAGGGGGTATGGAGTTGGGGTGAGAGCTGGGCAGGATTTAGCCATGTTTACCCTTGCTGGGCTGGGGGGTGGATGAGACCAGCCTGGCACTCCCACCCCTCCCCTTCCGCAGCAGCATCCCTTCCAGATTGCGACCCTCCTTTGCCCTCCAGACGATGCCCTTGGGATCTGAGTCCCTGGTAACCCTGCCATGTCTCTCTGGGGCAGTTGGCAGTTTCTGCTCCCTGGCCATGCCATGCAGACAACAAATATGTAAATTGGATCTCAGCTTTGGGGGTCTCTTCCTTGGGAAGCCTCGACTCCCTATTTGTTTCATCTTGGCTGTTGCCCTCCAAACTCTGTGGTAATTACCCAGCTTCTTACCTGAAAACTGTGAGGCTTGTTCCTAGGGCTAGGCAGTGTCAGATACGTGGAAGTCATCAATACTTCTTTGTAGAGGGACTTATGTGAGGTATATGACACATATCTTCCTCACTCTTCTTGGAAGGTAGGATCTTTAGGGTCTGTAAGTGGGAGAAGACATCAAGACCCTCAGCCTTCTGTTCTTGAACATTCATCATTGTGCCACCACCCCCCCTCCACAATTCTGGTCTTGGGTTTCACAGTCCCAAGAAAGGAGATTGATTTATTTATTGGAAGACAAATAAGGTTTAATAGTTCATAAATGTCACCTTTCCCAGGTAGGTTTGCATTTCTTACAGGGAATTTGAGAAATTAGGTGGAAGAGTAATGGGAAGAGGGATGGAGTCGTGTTTTGCCATGGTGGCCTTAACACCGGTGACAGCTGACCTGCAACTTGAGTCCAGTTAATGCACACAGTAAAGGTTTCCAACTAGAAGCTTATTTTGTTTGTTTGTCTTTGTGGATGCACAGACATTTCCTTCTTTACTTGGTTCCTGTGGTTTGCGTTTAGTGTAGACGTAATGTTTGTCCCTCTAGAATTTATTTTAAGAATAACAGTAGGAGCAGGATTGTAAACTTGGTTCAAGGAAGAAAGCACGTGAAGCCACGTGCCTTGATCGCCCGGCCTATTAAAGCCAATTTCACTCCTTGCCCGGTGTGTCTGGAGTGGGTTGATTAAGTTTTGCTTTCCATATTCTCAGGTGAATCTCTTTAGATTCTTTCCCACAACTGAATGTGGTAAATGCTTTTGAGAAGAGGAAAAGCTCTTTTTATGAGAGTTACCTGTGCTTATTTCTCTAAAGAGATGGCATGTGAAACCTGGCAGGTACCTCTGGGAAAAGTATACTGATGCATGTGCCAGGTGTCATACGTCGTGTGTTAAAGTGTGAATTCTGAGAGTGCCACTGTAGTTTCCAGTAGGTAATGTTATAATGTGTGCTTATTAATAATATGAATTTAGTATGCATTAATTCTTGATCCTGACTGATCTTCAAGAATCACCTGGGACGGCTTTGAATATCCAGATTTCAGAATCTCACCCAGACTCACTGACTCAGAGCTTCTGGAGTGGGACCTGGGGCCCTATTGAAAGCTTCTCTGGGGGAGACAGATATCATCAGCCTGACTTCCGTCTGGAGACCGGCCCTGGAGCAGCATGCCAATTTTGACAGGTCACCAGGCCAGAGCTTGTGGCTCTGGGTGGGAACCGGGGTTGGCGGGGGTTGGGGGGGTAGTGGTGAGCCCTAAGCAATCACTCAAGCGGGGTGCAGTGATCTTGTGATGGTACTGTTTCAGGAAGGAGGAGGAGAAGATGCCTGGTAGCAAACTGAGGAGAGGCCTGTGTGGTTGGATGGTTCTGCCTGGGATATCTGAGTTTGCTGTTCTGGGAAGCCAGGAGGATGAACTGATTCATCGGTTGGTGAAAGCCCCTGAACCTTTCCCTTTAGGTGCTTCGAAAATCGAAAGACTTATCGTTTATGAAAAGCACATGTGTTAAGATCGTGTCTAGCCAACTCTGCATTGTGGTTTCTAGCTGGTGAGACGTCTCCCCACCCGACTTGAGACCTGTCTTGGCCAGGGTTTAGTTACCCCCTCTAATTTTTTGGCATGCTGGGTTTGTAGTTTAGCAGGGAACTTCACTCTGGCCGATGTATTTAATTGCTGGTGTGTTTTGGAGAAGCTAGAGAGAGGAAGTAGTCTGGAAGTTTTCTTTAGACATGCCAACAGGTTTGGGTTAATTTTGGGGGTGGGAACTGGAAGATGCTGTGGCCCCTGGTCAAGGTGCCTGGGGTGGTTTGGTCATTTTTATTGTGAATTGCTAAAACATCAGGCACACCAATATCAGAAATACCAGAAACTTTCTAGAAGCAAACATAACTTAATGCTGAAGTGTTTGCATCTCTGTGTAGTTTCCTTGGCAAAGATTATTCAGGCCCATAATAATGTAATTGAGATAATATGTTTTCCTGAGAACTGTCGTGTCCTTTCAGCCTGTACGTGACTTATCCAAGATCACTGGTTAAGGTTTTTACATAACCGATATAAATGCGGAGACTTCCTGAGAGACCTGGCCCGAACTGATAAGAAAAAAGGTTTTGATTTTATGATGATTCCAATTTAGTGATATTCCTAAACTAGTTTATTCTAGTTCTCCTTTGAGTCCCCTGGAATGTATATATAAGTGTACAGATTTTAAAAAGGAAAAAATTAGGTCTTTGTGGCTGTGTTTACATATTCTGAACACTTATTGGACTTCTGTTGTAAGCTAGCATTTATTGGTGTTTCAGAGGTGGAAAATTCCATTACAGTTCAATTGACTTTGGAGAACATACCAGTGTCTAGAAAGTTAAACAACTGTTTTGTGTCTTAAGTGGAAAGCAAATTTGTATGACTTTGGAAATAGTGTATCTGTCTTATTGGGCCAATCATGGTTAAATTGAAGACATGGAAACTATCAAAAACAATTACAACTGTTATTTTCTGTCCAAACTCTTCCCGGTTAGAGGAATCTTGGCCTCAATTAGAACTTTAGCTTCTGTTTTGTTCGCTAGATGTTTTTACTCTCAATTACCCTTAATCTGGATTATTTGCGAGGTAGCAATTTTTGTTAGGAGGAGGTAGCACTTGTTTGAGTTAATGATTTGCACCACATTTTTGGGGATGGTGACTTTAATACTTTAATTCTGCAGGAGTTCAGATGTATAGTGGACAGATCTCATCTCTGTTTGAGACTTAGTCAAACGAACCAATAAATATTTATTGAGCATTTACTGGTACCCTGCATTGTGCTCAAACCCCATGTCGATCATGAGTAAAGTATAAGTCATGGCCCGGTATGTCAGATTGAACAGTAAGATGGTTAGAGGGAACAATCCACAAGGTAATGTAGAAGTGTGAGTAATTCAGGATAAATTGTTTGGGACAGTTACTGAGTGATACTCACTTTAGCCATTGGAGAGATCAATTTGGTCTAGAAGTCTCAAAGGCTTCCTGGAGGAGGCGAGAAAGATGATAAACAGGAAAAGCCAAAAAAAAAAAATACACAAAAACACCCAGCTCCTTCCAGGATGATAGTAATAATTTGGATGATCAAGCACAAGGGAGGATCTGAGAGACTGATACCTTGCTCTGGATTCTTGTTAGAAATAATGACCTTGAGCTGACTTTTGAGCTCCAGGCCCACTGAGTGAGGCTTGAGGGGAAACGACTTTTAACAGGTAAACATCTCTCTGAAGGGCTCCCAGGGTTTAAGCAGAGGACTCTGCCTACCATAGTGTCCCCAGTCCTTGGTCACAAGCCTGCTGGAGCATGTGAAACTGTGTAGAGCTTTTCCCTTTGGAGAAGGGAAATATACTTACATATGTGCATATACATTAAAGTGAACATTAAAAAAAGACCTAGTTCAATAACATTTTTGAATCTGAGATGAGAGCAGCACAGCAGTAGGGATAAACAACTAATTAAGGCCGAATGTTCTCTACATATTTGTGGAATATAATTTGACTGTGCACTGATGACATGTTAAACACAAAATTAGATACTTACATAATTAGGCAATTTAAACATATGTCATATCCCGAAGTCACCGGAACAGGTAACGGTAAATGTGACCATACTGCTTGTTTGGTTTCTCAGGGTTTGTGCCTGGAAGGATCACATGTAGCCTGAGACTCTGGAATTTTGAAACCAAACATTGACAAGTGGCTTGTTTGATTTGGTAGTTTAAGTTTGGATGCTGAAAGAATCTTTATAGCTCAGCAAACATGGACTTGTGCAGCTTTCTTTAGCTTTCTCCATTTGGAAAAACATTCAGAAAGAAGAAAGGGAAAATGGCATCAGTCGTTCCTCAAATATATAAATAAAATAAAGGAAATTTCTAAAAATGGAAGACCAGAAACCCATGTATATTTAATTCTATGCCTCTGTGCAGCTTGGTGTAAATATTTTGTGGATTTCATCTCTATTGGAACAAAATATCAGGGATACAAATGTAGAGTGGGTGAGCTCCAGGCCTTGGGCCCCGGGCATGGTCCCAGGCCCATCTCTTGCTCTGGGTTAATGGGACTTCTGGAACGCTCCTTGGAAAGGACGTGTTGCTCTTTTAGCTCCTGAATGCAGACAACAAATTCACTTGTGACTCAGAATCATAGCAGGCCTCGTCCTGGTGTAATAGCAGTTGGGCTGTATTCCTTCAGTGTCTCAGTGTGTGTATGTTTAATTAAATTTTTTTACTTTTTATTAGTGTATCTTTATTAGATTTTTTATCGAATTTTTTATTAGGTCCTCTGGAAAAGAAACACTCTGGGAAAGTAATCCTCTAATTGAAGACAAAATGACCATTTTAGTCTGTTTCATGATGCAAAACTAAATACCTGAGGCTGGGCAATTTTCAAAGAACAGACATTTATTTGTCTCAGAGTTCGGGAGGCTGAGAGGTCCAAAATCAAAGTGCTGGCTTCTGGTGAGGGCCTTCTTGCTGTGTCCTCACATGGTAGAAGGGCAAAAGAGCAAATCCACTCCTGCAAGTGCTTTTATAGTGGCATTAATCCACTCATGAGGTTGGAGCTCTCTTGACCTAAACACCTCTCAACACTGTTGCATTGGGGATTGTTTCTAACATATGAATTTTGGATCGTACACAGGGTACCATATTGAGATGATGTATGTGAAGGCACTTTGAAAAGAACCGGAGGCATGCTAATGTGTGTTATGTGATTTGATTTAATTTAATTTTTAAATGTTTTGAGGTTTGGGTTCTTAGAGGTGAAGAAACTGCAGGAGGTGTTTTATGGAGCTTTTACTGTGTTCTTGGCAATATACTAGGAGTTGTTTTGCTCCTTCGAGTACATGTATTTTGGCCATGACTAATTTAAGGTCCTTTGGTTTATGCCCTAGAATGCATATTTATAGAGTTTCTACGCCTCTTGTGAAACATGCTGACTCCAGAAAATCCCTCACATAACTGGCAGGGGAGAGAGAAGTGTCTGTGCCCTATTTTCCTACGAGCCAAGGAGAAGCCCTTGCCAGGCAGGCATGGGGAGTACTCATCCAGATGTGTTTGACATAGTTTCTGAAATAGACCACAGCATATGCCACTTGGTTTCTATTTTAAGATAGGTATGTTGACAGAGGCATTGGTCCCCAAATAGAGGGGCAGAGGGTGTGAGATGTGTACTCCTAGGGAGAGGAACTGGGTGTCTTTATTTGGTGATGTGAATTTCAACCTGAAATACAAATCATGGTGTTTTCTGGGAAGAAGACTGCAGCCCTGACAGGGCTCCAGCCTGGGCGTTTCATTCAGAGGCTCTCACCTATACCTGTTGCTGGCCACAGGGACCCAGGGGACAATCTGACACAGAAGCCTGAGGGTTTTTGCCTTGTAACTTCTTGTTGTATCTGAATTAAGTCAACTCTAAGGCTGTGGTATCCCTCTGGACTAATCGATTCCTGGTCCAGGAGGCCTGATTCCAAAGTTCTGAAACTCCATAGGGCCTGCTGAGAACCAGAGGACAAATCCCTGTACCACCTGACTGTCACCGAGGCAGACCGCTGGGGCATACCACCTCTGTTTCTAGTCTTGGTGTTAGCCAATCTCAGGGGTGTGAATTCTCTATTTAGTCCTCTTGACTATGGACTGTGATTGTGTTACCTGCTTGCTTCGGGTCTGCTCACAGACTGAGTTGTGTTTTCTGCTTTTGAGTCAAGGTTGTCACTCACTGGTTTTTTTCCCCCAGATGGCCTTTGTACATAAGGGCCCCTGTTCTGGTGTAAGGGATACTAATCTTATCATACCTGCCTCAGTTATTTGAAGCTTGAATGAATCGAGTCTCCTGTCCAGATTCACTTCCCTTCTTGTGGATCACTTGAGATCAGGAGTTCAAGACCAGCCTGGCCAACGTGGTGAAACCCTGCCTCTACTAAAAATACAAAAATTAGCCAGGAGTGATGGCAGGTACCTGTAATCCCAGCTACTCAGGAGGCTGAGGCAGGAGAATCACTTGAACCCAGGAGGCAGAGGTTGCAGTGAGCCGAGATCACGCCACTGCACTCCAGCCTGGGTGACAGAGCAAGATTCTGTCCCCCCGCCCCCGCCCAAAAAAAAGATTGTCTCCCTAATTTAGGCTCATCTGTCCTCCTTTCTTTTTAATACAATTTTAATTTTCAAAAAGTTAAATTTCACATGTAAAAATTTTAAAAAGTAGAAAGAGGCATGCAGTGAAAAGTAACTTTGCTCCAATCCATCCACTAAAAACTAAGGTCCCTTCCTAAAGGCAACCACTGTTAGTGGTATTTGTATATTATCCTGGAAGTGGTCTATGTATATGTGTCTTTATGTTCTGACTCCCTTCCCCTCTGAATATATAGTATATAAGGTGTGTGTACTTAAGCATCTTACTTAAAAAAAGTTAACATTGTAAGTTATATCCTATTAGATTATATAGAATAGCCTCATTCTTTTTTAACAGCAGTTTTATATTCCATTATAGTATATTCCATTTCGTCTTTTAACTGGCTCCCTATTGACATTTGGGTCTTTTTTTTATCTTTTGCTGATGTGTGTGCACTCTTGTGCATGCGCGCGCTCTTTCCCTTGCTTGCAAGTGTGAGTACAGCTGTGGGATAAAGTCCTAAAACAGTTAAGTCAGAAAGTATGTTCATCTTTAATTTAATATTGCTAAATTGTCCTCCAAAGAAGTTGTATCATTTTTAATCATTTAACCAACAATGTATGAGAGTGCCTGTTCCCAGGAGTCCTCGCCAACACAGTGTATTGTCAGACTGCCTATATTTGCCAGTCCGCTAGGTAAAAATGGAATCTCATATCACTTATGATGTGTGATGTGAGGTTGAGCATTTTCTTTTTCCTTCAACTTTTAAGTTCAGGGGAACATGTGCAGGATATGCAGGTTTGTTACATAGGTAAATGTGTGCCATGGTGGTTTGCTGCACAGATCAACCCATCACCTAGGTATTAAGCCCAGCATCCATTAGCTATTCTTTCTGATGCTCTCCTTTCCACCCCCAGACCCCAAAGTGTGTTGTTTCCCGCTATGTGTCCATGTGTTCCCATCATTCAGCTCCCACTTATCAGTGAGAACATGCAGTGTTTGGTTTTTCTGTTTCTGCCTTAGTTTGCTGAGGATGATGACTTCCAGCTCCATCCATGTCCCTGCAAAGGACCAAGATCTTGTTCTTTTTTATGGCTGCATAGTATTCCATGGTGTATATGTTCCACATTTTCTTTATCCAGTCTATCATTGATGGGCATTTGGGTTGATTCCGTGTCTTTGCTATTGTGAATAGTGCTGCAGTGAACATACGCATGCATGTATCTTTATAGTAGAATGATTTATATTCCTTTGGGCATATACTCAATAATGGGATTGCTGGGTCAAATGGTATTTCTGCCTCCAGATCTTTGCAGAATTGCCACACTATCTTCCGCGATGGTTGAACTAATTTACACTACCACCAACAGTGTAAAACCATTCATTTTTCTCCGCAGAAGTTGACTGTCTTTATATGCTTAAGTCATTTTTATTTCTTTTTCTCTTCACTTTTTGTGTCTGCTGTCTATTTGTCTATTGTGTTGTTGTCTTTTTCTTATTGATTTGTATTTGATTTTTAAAATTATTTTTATTTATTTTTTTGAAATGGAGTTTTGCTCTTGTCACCCAGGCTGGAGTGCGATGGCGCGATCTTGGCTCACTGCAACTTCTGCCTCCCGGGTTCGAGCAACTCTCTTGCCTTAGCCTCCCAAGTAGCTGGGATTACAGGCGCCTACCACCTTGCCTGGCTAATTTTTGTATTTTTAGTAGAGATGGGGTTTTGCCATGTTGGCCTGGGTGGTCTTGAACTCCTGACCTCAGGTGATCCACCCTCCTTGGCCTCCCAAAATGCTAGGATTACAGGCGTGAGCCACCATGCCAGGCCTTGCTGTTTATGTATTATGGAAATTAGCATCTGTCACATGCTGTGAATACTTTCCCTCATTTTGTCTTTGTCACTAGCTTTTTCACTGCACAAAATTTGTTTTATGTAGTCAAATTTATTAATCTTTATGAATTTTGGATTTTGTATCATGCTCCATGATATCACTGTTGCCTGCCTTCTCCACTCTATCAGGATGTTTCTTGTGCCTACTTGTTTCAAACTTACGTCACAAACACATTTCTCCGTACTTCCCATTGCTTTCTGCATCACAGATGTCCTGCTAACCTCCTGTTTGACCTGCAGTTCTAATTCAGTTGTCTGCCTCATCATTTATTCAGTCATCCATTGATCTATTAGTTCATTGATTCCACGTTCCCTCTGAGTTCCAGGCACTGTGCTGTGTGTTAAGGATACAGTGGTGCGTATCTGTCCTATGCTCAGGAGCTCATGGAAAGCATAGCCAGGCTTCCACTTAGGTGGAATTCAAACTAACAGTCCTTGGCAACTGCAGGGAGTGCTGTGCGGGAGGACCTGGTGTTCTACCCTGGCCTGGGGTGAGGCAGAGGGCGATCAGGGAAGACTTCCTTGAGGGAATGTGTCCAACCCTATAACCTGAGTGGGAGTTTGCCAGCCTTTCGTGAGCAGGTGGCAGGATGTCAGTGGAGGAGGAGGAAGAGAGCTTTCCCTATTGAGAAAGCTGCCTAGGGAAAGCCTTGCAGTGGACAGGAGCTCAATGTGTTTGAGAAACCAGTGAAGGCCAGTGTGGCTGGAGCAGGCCTATGAGAGGAGGTCTCAAGGGACTTGGAGGAATCAGGTTGTTTGAATTGTTGAAGAGTTGTGTATGGCTTGGTTATTTGCTCCATGATTCTTTGATTTCTCTTTATTTATTTATTTTTTTTAGAGGCAGGGTCTCACTCTGTCACCCAGCCTGGAGTGCAGTAGCACAATCATAGCTCACTGCAGCCTCGAATTTCTGGATTCAAGGGCTCATCCTTCCTTGGCTTCTGAGTAGCTGGGACTACAAGCATGCATGCACCATCGTGCCTGGCTAATTTTTAATTTTGTTTTGTAGAGACAGGGACTAACTATTTTGCCCAGGATGGTCTCAGACTCCCAACCCCAAGTGATCCTCCCGCCTTGGCCTCCCAAAGTGTTGGGATTAAAGGCGTGAGCCACTGTGCCCAACCCAATTGTATGATTTCTCTTTTGTATACATCCTCTAATATTTCAGTAGAATTCCCAACACATTGGTTCAATGGACTTTTTAATCACTTTGGCTTTCTTTCATTTGCACAGTTTTGTTTCATCTCTCATTGATTATGAGCCACTTGAGGAAAAATACCATCAAGGGCTCTTAGGAGGGCGTCTCCCATGTTGGTGTACAGCCTGCTAGAGGTCTAGGAATCCTTTCTGAGGAGCACATTCATCAATAGCAGTGTATTAGGAGTTATGGGGGACACATACAAGTTTCATCTTTAGTTTTATCTCCTGGTGATTGGTGGTGGCTGCTGAGAGAGATCATGAGGCCAGGTCAGCTAGCTGGGACTATAAGTGCGAGCCACCACACCTGACCTTTTTTTTTTTGTAGTCACAGGATCTCACAATGCTGCCCAGGCTGGTCGTGAACTCCTGGCCCCAAGCAGTCCTTCTCCCTCTGCCTTGTGAAGATTATAGGTGTGAGACATGACACCTGGCTGAAAGGTGCTATTTCATCCTGCCCCTAGGTGTTTGTTGGTATAGGTACATTTGGGCAAGAGTCATAATCATAGTACTGTGTGTCATCTGGAGCCATTCTCCTTACTGACATGAGCTTCTAGTCCTAGCCCTTGCCTCAGGATACTGATGCCTCTGTTTTAGGTCAGGTTTACTTTTTTCCTCTGTAAAACGGTACTTTCAAAAAACACCATGGGGGTGTGTGTGTGTGTGTGTGTGTCTGTCTGTCTGTCTGCCAATTGGTGCAGTGGCCTCTGCATCCTGAGCTATATTTTCCCCTTGAAATGATCAGGGTTAATAGCATCTGCAAAAATGTATTGATTAACATAGTCATGAATCATTTATGCAACAACTGGCAATGCAACGGATTGATTTACAGACTTCTGGGTGTAGGAGGAGCACCACACATCTATGGACCATCCCCTTTCCCACTCTCGCCTCTGGTGGCAGCAGATGCACCCTGGTCCCCAAGAGCTCACTGGGGAAGGCAAGTGTTAGAGAGGATGTAGTGGGATGAGCTCAGGGCCAAACAGCATTTAGAGAACCATTACAAGCCAGCCTTGGTCAGGTAGTCAAACTTACTTCCAGGATGTCTGGCAAAGAGCCATCAGTTGCTGCTCTAGAAAGTCCACAACATGGCCTAATCCAGTAGTGGTTATTTAAGGGAAAACAGGGGCACTGGGGAGCAGCCAGATCACATCCTTGCTTTTTGCACATTTGGCAGAATGTTTAAAGGGAGTGGGGGCTATTACACTTCTCCCTTGTGGAAATATGCCATATCCTTGTTAAGTTGAAGACAGCCTTGTCTGTAAAGCTTAGTCTATCTGAAAGGTCCTTTCCTATCCAAATTCCAGTCAGCCTCATTCCCCTCTGTAGATGGAAGTGCACCTTTATCTGCTGAGATTTTATTCTAAACATGTCAACCTTTAAACATTAAGGAGTTGGTGATCTCCTTACCTCTGACCACTTGCAGCATTTATTTATCCCATACAGTTCGGTGCATAATCAGTCAGCCCATGTTGTTTACAGCGTAGCAAGTGTAAGAGGGAAGTAGGGAGGTAGGTGGGGCCAACATTCATGTTTAGGTTCAAGCCTGAGAATAAGGATGAGCACAAGGCTACTGAGACCATATAAAACCCCTGGAACAATGCCTTGTCCAGTAAATGGCACTCTGCAGAGTCAGTCCTCTTCACCCTGCCAAGTTCCCCTGTGTATGATATGCCTGGACCAGGACAGATGCTCAGGTGATCCCAAGGACCTAGGGAGGGAAGGGTCCCCTGGCTGAGCAGGCCTCAACAGTTGGATCCTTCTAGCAACAGCTGTGCTAGCACATGCTGGACTCGGATTAAAGTCATACTTCCTACTCTTAATTTCCTGTTTCTTTTGTACTTAGGATTTAACAATACGGTTGTGATTTAGATGTTGCTATCTGTAATAGGGCTTTTCTTTATTGTTTAAAAGCTAATTAGGGAAAAAGATAATTATATGTGGTTGTAAATATATGCATTATATGTTTATGCATATGTATACAGTATAATTAGGATCAAGGATAATAAATGCCTGACCCCTGTGCCATTACTTTTTCTCTTGCTGTCATGGCAGACATCGCTAGAAGATTATGACACTTTACTATGTACCCTAGGAAAGGCAGCCACTGCCAATCGATTGGAGTTGTCACATGTGATAAAACCTATTTGTCAGCCTAGATAAAACCTGTTAATAGATTGATCCTGGGATACAGAACATTTGACCTATCTGAGCCAGTTGTTTTTTTTTGAGATGGAGTCTTGCTCTGTTGCCCAGGCTGGAGTGCAGTGGCATGATCTCAGCTCACTGCACCCTCCGCCTCCTGGGTTCAAGTGATTATCCTGCCTCAGCCTCCCAAGTAGCTGGGACTACAGGTACCCACCACCACGCCCGGCTAATTTTTGTATTTTTAGTAGAGACAGGGTTTAGTCATGTTGGCCAGGCTGGTCTCGAGCTCCTGACCTCAGGTGATCTGCCCGCCTTGGCCTCCCAAAGTGCTTGGATTACAGGTGTGAGCCACCGTGCGCCTATCTTAGCCAGTTTTTATGGATTGGGTCAGCATGCCACCAGCCTCTGGAAGCCCCACAGTGAGAATAAATGTTTATTTCTGGTGAATGGCCAGTCAGTGACTCTCTGATTGTGAAAGCCTCTGACTAGTGTTAGACTTTTTCCCTTTGGGTATGCATTGTCCTTTGTGAACATTGAGACTTTTGGCCTTCATTCCAGTGAGCTTACAATTTCGAAAGTTGATTTGGCTTGCAGTCAGAGGCCATTAATTAGGGGCAAGAAGATGTTTGGTGTTTCTGTATTTCAGCTGTCTCTGGGTTAACCAGGGTCAGGGTTTTTCTAGGGACAGGAACTCCCTGTGCTGAAACAGGGGCGATGATACCATGCAAGGCAGGACTCCCAGGGCAGTGACTGGATTTTAGACAGGGCAGGATAACCTGGATGGTCTCTTCATTTACTTGGTTTAGGCACGTTTGTATTTACTCATTTTACAGATGTTCATGAAGAACCCGCCATGTGCTGGACACTGCTGTCTATCCCAGGTTCGTTTTATACCTTGGCTAACCTGTCTCCTCGATCTCGTGGTCTTCCTGTCTTTCAAGTCTCAGTTTGGGCCTCTCACGAACTTGATTCTTTCTGCCTCTCAGAGGGAGAATGTAACTTAATGTTAGCATTTAATTAATGCTGAGTTGAAACATTGATTTATGGTATGACTTACCTCTTTAAACTCCTTGCATTTAAGATTGAGATAGAGACCAAATTGTCCCTAATTCTTACATATCTTCCCCCTCTCCTTTCTTAAGTATATGGTACAGGTTTCATTCATTGGGAGAACAGCACTGTGAACTTGGCAAGAGCACGGTCCTGGCTGCAGATCGGTAAATACAACCAAATGGCAGAGCATTTTTTCTGTAATAGACTCCTAACCTAACGGGTGGGGTGGTGTTTGTGCCAAACGTCAGGGAGGACGGTGCTGACTGTCCTCACTGTCCTCCTCTGCTTTGGTGAATGTTTCCATGGCAACCTCTCTTGCTGTTCTCTTATACCCCTATCCCTGTCTTGCCCTTGGCTGTGGCCTCCTGGATCCCCGCAGCAGGAATTATTGACCGTCCTACTTTTACTTAGGATTGATACCTCCCTTCTAAAGTAGAGCTGTCATGGAAAGCAGCATGTGATACCAGTGTACATCTCTTATCCCTTCAAAAGTTTAGCTCCTTGAGGCAGTTTCAACCATTTTTTATATCCTCCCTGTGTGGTGCTCAGCAAATACTGAAAGCACGAATGACTGTGACAGCAAATACTGCTCTGAAGGAAGCAGTCTATAAAACAGGCTATTTCTATCCTGGAAAACGGCCTGTGGAAACAAAGCCAGGTTCTGGTTATAGTCACATTGGTATATAATACATAGCTGGTTCATCAGGTGCTTTATCCATCTCCTGCTCACTTCACATTCATGCTCTGGGACAGCGTTTCCTGATGAAGCTCATTTCCTAGTGAAAATCCATCGAACTAATGATGGGTCAGATGTGGGTAAGTGTAACGTGGTTCCAGTACAAGCAGAGATGGATTGGTCATGAAGATTAGCTTTAGGGCCCCTCACATGGAGGGATCCCTTCCAAGGCCCTGTGCTCATTTGTATTATTTACTTATCTAATATTTTTGAGACACCGTCTTGCTCTGTCACCCAGGCTGGAGTGCAGTGGCACAATCATAGCTCACTGCAGCCTCGAACTCCTGGGCTCACGTGATGTCTGTGCTTCAGCCTCCTGAGTAGCTGGGAGTACAGCCACATGCAACCATGCCTGGCTTTTTAACTTGTGTGAGCTTCATGTGAATCCACCCCTGAATACATGTAAACAGAAAACACTGAGGTAAACTAAAGATAGAAGAAACCAAGATATTATTTCCTACTCTCTTTCACAGTCACTCAACAATCCTGACTCCATTGTCTGTTGGGGCGGGAGGACGTTCCCCACACAAAGCAATTCTCCGGCAGATTCTTCAGTGGACAGCAACTGGATGTCCTCTAATTTAACTCAATTTTTACACCATCTACCTGGAGATATAGGGTCAGATCCCATAGGTTGAGGGTTTAGCCCCACAAGATTGCCCACTTCAGATGCCAGTCCCCACTGCTGGGAAAGGGAGAGGGGCCAGAGGTTAAATTGATCAGCAATGGCCAATGATGTGATCAGTCATGCCTATTTAATGAGGCCTCTATTAACAACATGAAGGACTGGGTTCAGACAAGCTTCCAGATGGATAAACACGTGGAGGTTTGTGGCGGGTGGTGTGCCCCCCTAGAGGGCATGGAAGCTTCACACCCCTTCCCTCATACCTCGCCCTAAGCATCTCTTCTATCTGGCTGTCCATCTTTATGCTTGGTAATGTTGTTAATAATAAAAGGGTAAAGGTAAGTGAAGTGTTTCCTTTAGTGCTGTGAGTTGTTCTAACAAATTAAGTGAACCTAAGGATGGGGTCATGGGAACCCT
Organism: Homo sapiens; assembly: GCF_000001405.40. Lineage (NCBI taxonomy): Eukaryota > Metazoa > Chordata > Mammalia > Primates > Hominidae > Homo > Homo sapiens. Next base: position 62,442,081 of record NC_000015.10, read on the forward strand.
GATGTATAGCCTGTTGGTCAGAACACAGGTCACAACCTGAGGCTTGTAGGGGACAGTCTTGTGGAACTGAGCCCGCCACCCCGACACCATGTCCAGGTGGATAGTGTCAGAACTGAGTTAAATTAGAGGATGTGGCCTGGTGTGTTGCCTCATGCCTGTAATCCCAGCACTTGGGAAGGCCGAGGTGAGTGGATCACCTGAGGTCAGGGTTCCAGACTAGCCTGGCCAACATGGTGAAACCCCGTCTCTACTAAAAGTACAAAAATTAGCTGGTGTGGTGGTGCGTGCCTGTAATCCCAGCTACTCGGGAGGCTGAGGTAAGAGAATCGCTTGAACCTGGGAGGTGGAGGTTGCAGTGAGCCGAGACTACGCAGTTGCACTCCAGCTGGGGCACAGAGTGAGACTCTGTCTCAGAAAAAAAAAAAAAAAAAAAAAAATTAGAGGATGTCCAGCTGGTGTCTGCTGGAGAGTCACCTGGGAAACTGCTTGGTTGCTGTGTGAGGTTGCTGTGGGAGGAGAAATCCCCATACATTTTGGTGACCAGAAGTGTAGTATTGAGTGTACTGTGTGAGATAATAGAAAAAAAAAATTTGTTTTTTCTTTCTCTATATTTTAATACCCAACCTTCAAAATAAAATCAAAACAGAAACATTTTGCTGCTGTAACAAATTACTACACATTTAGTAGCTTAAAGCAACACACATTTATTAACTTAGGTTCTAGAGTTCAGAAGTCCTAAACTCAAGGTGTCAGCAGGGCTGTGATTTTCCTGGCGGCTCTAGGAGAGAATCCATTTCTTTGCTTTTTCCAGCTTCTTGAGGCCGCCTGCAGTTCTTGGCCTAGTGGTCCTATCTTCCGTCTTCCGAGCCAGCAGTGCCACATCTTCTAAGCTCTCTCTCACCTGTCCTTCCACTGTCCCACCTCCTGTCTTCTGACTTTGGTCCTCCTACCTCCCCTCTTTTCAGGACCTTTGTGATTACACGAGGTGCACCTGGATAATCCAGACTAATCTCCCCATCTCAAGATCCTCCTCAATCATGTTTGCAAAGTTCCTTTTGCCATGTAAGATACCATTCACAGGTTCTGAGGATTGGGGTGTGAATATTGTTGGGGGGCCATTGTTCAGACTACTGTAGTTATAATTTTAATATTAAATTTGTTATATTCTTTGGCAATCCAGCTTAATAAATGCCTTCTGTTATCTCTTCTGATAGCAGTGTTTGGTTTTTGTGCCCTTCCTGCTTCCTTAACTGGTTCTAATATAAAACTTTAATTTGTTTTATCACCATTAACAATTTCTGTTGGACACTGACATTAATTGGCAAAAGTTCTGCATCTTTGTTATAATACTAACACTTGGGCAATAGGAACGTATTTTGGGCTATGAATGAGCTTTTTATTAAAGCTGTAAAGGAAGATTTCTTTTCCTCTTCATCAATTTGTATTCCCAGCTACCTCAAAGGAGGCCCAATCAACGTCTATTAAAATTCCTGAACTTCAAACTTTAGATTAAAGGAGCATTGGAAAGAGATTAGATGAGAGTAGGGTATGGACATTCCTCCCTCATTTTCCCTGATTTCACCTGCTGATTAGAGAATCTGAGATTCAGTCTGTAGGGTGTGTATAAAATGGGAGTCTGAGCCAGATGCAGTGGTTCATGCTTATAATCCCAGCACTTTGGGAGGCAGAGGACAGAGGATTGCTTGAGCCCATGAATTTGAGATCAACCTTGGTAACGGCGAAACCCTATCTCTACAGAAAACAAAAAATTAGCCAGGCATGGTGATATGTGGCTGTAGTCCTAGCTACTTGGGACGTTGAGGTGGGAGGATCCCTTGAGCCCATGGCAGTGAGCCATGATTGTGCCACTCTGCTCCTGCCTGGGTGACAGAGCAAGACCCTGTCTCAAAACAAATAAAGGGGAGAATCTGTTTTCTAGCAGTTCATTGATGTTAGCAGTTTACCATCCAGTCAAGAACCTTTATTGAGCACCTACCGATGTGAGCCTTGGAGGGATTTTAATAGCTAATGGTGGGGTGGAGCCGTTTGAACCTATAAAGAAGTCTGAGAAGCCAGAGAGGGAGAAGGCAGGCCAGGGAAATATTGAGGAGGAGGGTGAGGCTAGTAATTCTGGATGCTGCTTAGAGGGCAGGACGAGGAGATCTGAGAAATGGGCCTTGGTCTTCAATGATGTGAGGTCACTGGTCTCCATGGAGGTGACAAATCCCATGTGGACCATATCTTCAGATGACTTCATTCTCTGGATGCAGTGGTTTGAATCTTATGTAAGAAGTAAGTTCCATGAAGCGGCATAGGCCTTTGTCTTGGAGCTTTTGTGAATTCCCAAATTTGTGAATACTCCCATAGCATATAACTTAACCTATAAAATGGAATAATGTAGACTTTGAAGATTTTGAATTGGTCCATATGTCTGCTTTCTAAAGAACCCTCATTTCTTAGTCCTTTTGCCTTTGTCTCCATTTCCGGCACCAGCACAAGGCTGTTAGTAACTGGTGCTGTCAGTGGTTCTTCACCGCACGGTCCTGACTCACTCTTGTGTCATGAACAATGGTGAGGCGTGTTGGAGTCATTTGCTTCTAATTACTGGCTAAGGCTCTAAACTTTTTGGATGACTTACTAGAAAAAGGCAGCAAGGCAACTATTGTATTACTGTTTTTCCCATGTATGTATTCCAAAGTGCTTTACTGAGTGCGGCAGGAGGGGTAGAAGCAGAGCCAGCTGCTGCTAGGGTGCATATGGTGTTGGATGCTGACAAAGGCATGTGGGGTTGTGCAGCATTGCCTGTCATCTGCAGTGTTGGTGCATGTGTATGTTTGGGGGTTGGTTGAGAGCCACTGGGCCTTACTGATGAACTAAAAGTACAAAGAACCACTATGCTTTAACAAAATTACAGTTATTATGTATCATAACCATGGAGTTACCAGGCAAATGCCCAGTGTCAGCTATCCAGGTCAAGTTCTGGGCAAGAGAGAGAATACCAGGCTTGGGGATATCAGGGGTCAGGGAGGCCTTACTGGCAGAATTGATCTTTAAGATAGAACTGGAGCTGTTGAAATGCCCAGGCTGCAGCACCTGCAGGTGTGACCCAGCTGACTCCAGGCCTTCAGAGCAGTCGTTCTTATCCCTGCCAGTGGATAGGAATCACCTGTGGCTTTACAGTGACCTCCACCTCCACCTTTGGAGGTCTTGAATCTGTATTAGCAAATAACAACTCCCTTTCTCCTGCCCCCAAGCAACTCTAATGTATATGCTATATACGTTAGAGTTTATCTCATGATACTTTTATGCTGGTGGAGGAATAAGAGGTATCACAGTGTCATCATTGGAACTCTTTAGAAACAAACAGTGACTCACATGCATAATACACTGGTGCACACACACACCCTTAAGTAGCATTTGTTTGAATATAATCAGGCCTTACATAGTGTATAAGTAAACATAAATGTAGCTGTTTGAGAAGTAAAATGCTGAAACTATTAATGTGATGTTCCAATAAAAAGTCAGTCAAGCGTCTTATTCAGCTATACAAATTACAGATGTCAGTATTAGATTTTTTTTTTTTTGAGGGTGGGTGTTGGGGGAGACAGGGTCTTGCTCTGTCACCGAGGATGGAGTGCAATGGCCTGATCACAGTTCACTGCACCCTCGACTTCCTGGGCTCAAAGAATCCTTTCACCTCAGCCTCCCAAGTATCTGGAACTACAGGCACATGCCACCACTCACAGCTAATTTTTAAATTTCTAGTAGAGATGAGGGCTCACTGTGTTGCCTAGGCTGATCTTGAACTCCTGGGCTCAAGGGATCCTCCCAAAGTGCTGGGATTACAGGCATGAGCCATCGCCTACTGGCCCTTTCTTGATATTCTTGATACTGAGCTCTGTAGTCTTTTTTTTTTGTATAAATTTATTTTTATTTTTATTTTTTTGAGACAGAGTCTCACTGTCGCCCGGGCTGGAGTGCAGTGGCTCGATCTCCACTCACTGCAAGCTCCGCCTCCCGGGTTCACGTCATTCTCCTGGCTCAGCCTCTAGAGTAGCTGAGACTACAGGCGCCCGCCACCACGCCCCGCTAATTTTTTGGTAGAGACAGGGTTTCACCGTGTTAGCCAGGATGGTCTGGATCTCCTGACCTCGTCATCCGCCCGTCTCCCCAAAGTGCTGGGATCACAGGTGCGAGCCACCGCGCCCGGCTTAAGCTCTGTAGTCTTAAACTCCTAATAAGCATCTGGAATCTTCTGAGCGCTTAACTCCCATTTTAGCAGAGCTTGGGTCTTCTTTTTGTATTTTAATTCCTTGTAATTGGTATGCCTCTGTCCTACTGCCTGTGGTATTCAGATCACTAGACTACCTTAGATTCCTTTACCTGCTGGAAAACCAGCTGGAGTCTAGAAGAGTGCTTACTTAAATCACAGAAGGAACATTAGCTAGTGAGTCAGACGACTTGGGTTCTAGTCATGGTTCTACTGTTGACTTTTTTGTGACTTTGGATGATCCGTTTTACATCTCTGGACTTCAGTTTTCTTATATAAAAAAATGAATGGAACTTTACCTGATCGCTGTGATTTTAAACATTTTTTTGTATTCTAAGACACATCTGTGATTTTTACCGTTGGGTCTAATACTTTCAAATCAAACAATGTATTCAGTATCTCTACAAGGGCTGGACTGGGGGCTGTAGGGTATTCAAAGACATGTAAGTTGTGCTTCTAGCTCAAATGAATATTCTACTTAAGATAATATGTAAATACACACAGAGCTAAAGAACACAAGATTAAATAACCATTCAAACCGGACAAGGCATAATTAGTTGTTAGATGAATGGAATAGATCAGCATTTCCCAAACTCTAACGTGGATCATCAGTTCTGCAAGAAGTTAATAGGGCTTCCTGAACAAATGGGTTTTTAGGTCAGTGGAGTTTAGAAAATGTTGGGTCAAACAAAATCAAACAGTTTATTTGTTAAAGGCTTCTTGGGGCCTTTAATAAATTAATCTCCATAATGAACGCATAGCTGCATAATCTTTGGTTTCCCAGACTTTGTTCAAGAAGCCTATATTTATTTATTTATTTGTTTATTTATTTATTTAATTAGGAACTATTCACTACTTGAATGAATGCAACTTGGGAAGCTGGTATTAGTGCTAAGTGTGTTAGGAGTTTAAGGTGAGAGAGGTAGTTTCGACCTGGATGGCCAAGGAAAGTTTTACGAGGTAGTGGGTCCAGAACGTCGGGGTGGGTTGCACAGTGGGAGAGGCTGGGAGGAGCACTTGGAAACAGCATGTGGCTGAGCTGTGAGACAAGTGAATGGAATGGAGTGGTGGATGCTTCACACTTCAAAATCTCTGAGGCTCAGTCTTTCTCCTGGAAGTGCTCCTTGGACAGAGTTAACTTTACTTTTTTTTTTTTTTTTTTGAGATGGAGTCTCGCTCTGTCGCCCAGGCTGGAGTGCAATGGCGCGATCTTGCTCACTGCAAGCTCCGCCTCCTGGGTTCACGCCATTCTCCTGCCTCAGCCTCCTGAGTAGCTGGGACTGTGGGCACCCGCCACCACGCCCGGCTAATTTTTTGTATTTTTAGTAGAGACAGGGTTTCACTGAGTTAGCCAGGATGGTCTCGATCTCCTGACCCCGTGATCTGCCCGCCTTGGCCTCCCAAAGTGCTAGGATTAGCCCGGCCCAGAGTTAACTTTTCTCCAGAGTTCCATATCCCCAGAGGCTATGAAGGGTGCTCGGCCCCGCCCCACTCACTCTTGTGCATTTCTGGTTTTGTTCCTGCTATGTCCCATTACAAGCCAATTCGTAGGCTTGCTCAGTCTGACAGGCTACAAATGAGGTGCTCGTGACACCAGAATAGAACTTGGCTATTCCTCACTGTGAGTGGGCCAGGACTGAGCTTCCAAAGGCTGGCCAAGGGCTGGCTGCCACTGATGCAGAATCCTCCCAGGAGGAGCCCAGGAATCTGTATTTCCAACAGGCCCCAACGCCTTGGATTTAGGAGACGAACTTGGAGCAGAAGCAGCATGGCTCTGACTGGGCCCAGGGAGCCTGCATAGTGCCTCCTTACATTAGATTTCACTGGATCCTCTCAGTTGTCCTGGGGAAGGCTTGGGTGATCTATGTGCTATCCGCTGCAGTCCACAGCACTGAGGAGTGACAGGATTCCCAGTCAGGGCCTAATTCCGTATAGCTGCTCTTGAACAAGTACATCCCAATGCTTTACAGAGTTAGGTAGCAGTTATTGAGTCACTCATTTGCAAATGTAGTTATAGAAATGCATGATCATATTAGAAGGATCCAGGGAGGAAAGAGTTAGGCTTGTACTGGGCAGGCTGAATGAGCTTCACTTCTGGATTCGGTTTATTCTGTTGTGTGTTTGCTCCTCCTCCAGTACCCTCTCTGTCATGTGCTGCTTTTCTAAAACCTGTGTGGAATTATTTATTACAGAGAGATACCGGGTTTATTATTTGTAAGGGCGAGAACACTTGACATGCAGGGGGAGGGAAAGACATTGACGTTGTAATCCTGTGGTGTAGCTTATTTTTAATCACAGAGAGAAATGCTGAGGTTTGTTTTAACTGAGATACAAAATGTTAGAAATAAGCTTTGGTTGTTAGGAATAGTAATTCACAGAGCGGTCTCTAGATTCACTATGTTAGCCCAAATCTGAGGCAAGCAAGTTCTTTTAAAGCCCAACATCAGAACTCATGTACTGACCTAGTTTAAAATGTTAAAAGTGCAGCTCATCCCATCAGGAGGAAACTACTATAGAGCGTGCTCTTCGAGTTTCTTCTTTATTTGTCTAGGGGGCTTCTTTTTTCCTCAGAGAGAGGGCATTAGTTGCATAATTTTGCAGGGCAACTGGCTTCTTATTCCTTTTGCACTCCTTAGTGGTGTCTCAGCTTTGCAGTTTTAGGGGGAAATGAGCTTTGATGTGTAGTAAAAATGATAACTGATTTTAATATAAAATAGTGAATGCTGGGTATTAAACTCTTGGGCAGCAGGAGACATAACGTGTCAGAGAGCATTAGTTTTCAAAACCTGAAATGAAGTGGCTTAACTCGTCAACAGAAGCCCTGGCGATGCAGCAAGTCTTAAGAGGAGGGGACCCAAATGGATTGGTGAGTGGTATGGGGAGGGGTGTCTGGGGCTATAATTCCTCCATGCGTAGGTCTTGAAAAGTCTTCTGCATGACCCAGATCTTTTGTTTCTAGGGGAGGGTCTTTGTCAGAGTTTGGTCCTGATGCTGAAGAGCTTTCTTCCTGTTCCTCTCTCCTCTGCTAAGATCCTTGGGGCTGCAGTAGTTGCTTCATAGCCCAGTAGATGAGCTAGCTGGCAGAGGGCAGGAAAGTTTACACATTCCTGTGCAGCACCTTTTGCATCAGGACTGCTCTAGTGTTGAGAATCACTGTCCTCCGAGTGCCAAATTCTCCTTTAAAAACAGGCTGGGTATGGTGGCTCACCTTGTAATCCCAGCACTTTGGGAGGCCGAGACAGGAGGGTTGCTTGAGCCCAGGAGTTAAAAAAATAAAAATAAAAATTGCTGGACATGGCCTGTAGTCCCAGCGACTTGGGAGGCTGAAGTGGGAGGACTGCTTGAGCCCAAGGAGATTGAGGCTGCAGTGAGCTATGATCAAGCCACTCCATCCCAGTTTGGGTGACAGAGCCAAACCCTGTCTGAGAAAACAACAACAAAACCTTGGCCAAAGCTATGCAGAGAAAGGACAAGAGAAAGTTGGCAGGTAGCCATATTTCCAGGCTTAGCATTCACAATGAAAAGTGCATGGTTCCATGATTTTCTGTCTTTATTTTCTGAAATCATGACTACTCCCTTGCTTCCTTCTTGCTGTTTCTTGTCTGTCCTGGTTGTAAAAGAATTTGGGCTCCTGGTGGAATTCTGCCACTGTCACTCTCTTCCTCACAAACCTTCAGTAGCTCTCAGTTGCCCCCGTACCTGGACCCCAACTTACTTTCCTAATGTTTTCTGCCGTCTCCTGCAGAATCTCTCCTCTGGCTTCCAGGCTCTCTCAGCTTCCAGGCCGGCCTCTCAGTGTGTGTCTCAGTAGAGTCTTCACCTTGTGGCTTTTACTCATACTCCTTGCCTGAAACGTTCTTCTCCCACCAACCACTAGATCCTACCCTTGGATGGAGCATGAGCGGGGAATTGCTGTTGCTTGTGCACTGGAGTGTGATACCTGAAGCCGAGCCAGGAGGCAAATCCAGAAGCTGATGGTGTATCCGAGTCACCGTGTTTGTAGAAAGCTTATCCTTTAGTTAACTCGGGCACGAGTTTAACTTGTATGTAAATACATATTCAACATAGATAGTCGCCTGTAGGAGATACAGTTGGGGATTCAGCTTTTTTTTAACCTACCATCTGTGAGTATAGCCCTACATCATTAAGTGGCCCCCATCGTGTATGTATGTATGTATGTATGTATGTATGTATGTATGTGTGTGTGTGTGTGTGTGTGTGTGTCTGTGTGTGTGTGTGTTTGAGACAGGGTCTGACTTTGACATCTGGGCTGGAGTGCGGTGGCATGAACGCTGATCACTGCAACTTTCACCTCTTGGGCTCAAGATATCCTCCTGCCTTAGCCTCCTGAGTAGCTGAGTACTAGCTCCTGTGTGCTACTATGCCTAGCTAGCTAATTTTTTAGAGATGAGATCTTGCAATATTGCCCAGGCTGGTCTCGAACTCCTGGGCTCAAGCTGTCCTTCTACCTCAGCCTCCTAAAGTGTTGGGATTATAGGCATGAGCTACCATGCCTGGTCCATATATCTATATATATATTTAGCTCAAATGTTGTTTCTCCGTTTTTGTTCTTTTAATGTATGGTCTGAGGATCCCTGCCTTTACAGTTGCCTGGAGTTCTCTCTCTTTTTTTTTTTTTGGTAGAGATGAGGTCTTGCTATGTTGCCCAGGCTGGTCTTGAACTCCTGGCCTCAAGTGATTGTCCTACCTTGGCCTCTGAGAGTGCTTTAGTGGATTATAGGTGTGAGCCACTGTGCCTGACCTGCCTGGTTCTTGCTAAATTTGAAGATTCCTGGGCACTACTGCAGACCCAGAGCAGAGTCCAGGAGGGACCAGGGCACACTGATGTGATTCTAAGGGCCGTGTGCACCACAGCCCCACTGCTAGCCCCATGTGTCTGCAGACTGCCCCATGTGTCTAGGGCGTGGTGTGAGGGGCTAGTTGTGGCAGTCTCGCCAGGTCAGGGTTGGGTGGGCAAGTAAGGGCTGCTGAGGAGAATCTGGATTCTTAAGAGGGGTTGGCTGGGCTGGGCACAGTGGCTCACACTTGTAATCCCAGCACTTTGGGAGGCCGAGGCGGGTGAATCACAAGGTCAGGAGATCTAGACCATCCTGGCTAACATGGGTGAAACCCCGTCTCTACTAAAAATACAAAAAATTAGCTAGGCATGGTGGTGCGTGCCTGTAGTCCCAGTTACTCAGGAGGCGGAGGCAGGAGGAACGCTTAAACCCAGAGGCGGAGGTTGCAGTGAGCCGAGATTGTGCCATTGCGATCCAGCCTGGGCGACAGAGTGAGACTCCGTCTCAAAAAAAGAAAAGAGGAATTGGCTCCACAACCCTGATTACCTGGCCAGGGATAGACCAGAACTGTGGTGAGGGAGCCTTTGCTGCTGTCCTCAAGTAGCTTTTGGGCCTTGCAGAGGTCCATGGGCTTCACGAATGCTTTCTGCCTTTGACTCTGTTTTCTCTTTTGATGGTACATATCAAGCCGCTAGAGTGCCCCAAGTCTTGTTTTGTGTCAAACACCCTCCAAGGCAGACGACCTGCAGTTTTAGATCGTATATTTATGTGACCTGATGCCTGCTTTGGGGTCTCCAGAGTCAAAAGGGGTGTGTGTGTGTGTACGTGTTGATATTCTTGGGCAAAGGGTGATTGTAACTGCAGAGACCATGCATCCTCCAGCCCCGAGGCTTTCCTGTCGCCTGTGGAGACAAGCTTCATTGCCTGTGGGGTTCTGGTCCTGGATCATTTCTTAGAGCTGAGCATGGGGTGATGCCAAGGCCCTTGGGACGCACCAAGGGTGAAAGAACAGTGGGGTTGTGAGGGTGCTTCTGCAGGGAGCCCTGAGGCCTAGACAGACAGGAGCCAGGAGGGCTTGCGAAAAGTCCGTCCTAGCTGCAAACCTGCTCCTCCCTCCGCCCTGGCTTTCCTTGCATTTCATTTGTATCCTGCTGATTTGATTTCCTTTTGCATTGTGTAAGGTTCTTAGTAGATACCTATTCCGTGAAGTTAGAGATGAATTAGACACAAGAGAGAGAAAGACCTGGCTAAACTGGAAATGAGAAGGACGTCGACAGTTTAAAAACACATTATGGTAAAAATAAACATAACACGAAATTTACTACTTTAACCATTTGTAAGTGTATAGTTGAGTGGCATGAAGTACATTCACATTGCTGGGCAGCATCACCACCATCCATCTCCAGAACTCTTTCATCTTGTAAAACTGAAACTGCCCATTACTGCTTATCCTCCTTCCCTCCAGCCCTTGGCAACCACCAGTCTACTTTGTCTTTGTGATTTTTGACTACTCTAGGTACCTCAATCAGTGGAATCATACCGCATTTGTTTTCTAAGTTCACATTTTTCTGTGTCGATACTTTAAGTCCAATAAGTTAAGAGGAGAAGGGACTTAACTTGCCTCTCCTTTGGAGACAGTCCTCCTGCTCCCTTCTGCCTGTCCTTGTTGCCCAGAGTGGCGGGGCCAGTGTACTGCTTTACCTAATCCTCTGTGTAGAATGGACTGGCAGCTGGGGGCTCTCGAAGTTTGCTTCCAGCTGTTCTTGGGATTTAGTGTTTTCCCTGGAATGAAGATGAAGCAGGGTTGCCAGATAAAATGCAGGCTGCCCAGGTGAATTAAATCTCAGATAAACAGTCTATCATTTATAGTATAAGTATCTTCCAAAGACTGCATGGGAAATACTTATACTGCAGAATTATCTGTGGTTTACCTGAAATTCAAGTTTAACTAGATTTGCTGCATTTTTGCTGCTAAATTTGGGTGATCCAGTGGTGAACACACAATAAAGCAGCTCATTGGTAAAAGGGCATGCGGTTGGCTAGAAAGATTTTGGGAGATGGGCAGATTTGATGGTGCAGAGAGAGAGGCCATTTGGCATTGTCAACCTATTTTTTTTTTTTTTTTGGTAGAATATTAACTTGGATCCTAAAAGTAGGATTGGAAAGTAGCTGCATAGACTCCTGTCATTTGTTCTTCAGAGAAACAAGCAGCTAGTACTGGCTAATGAGAATATGATCTGCACATGGCAGGTGCCAAAAGTGTGCTCTAATACAAGGCCCTTTCTTCCTTTGCAGGTGCTGGGCTACCTGACTGCTAGCAGGGACTGAGGGAGGGCATTTCTTGAAGAGTTACCCAGATCCAGCTGCTTATCTGCCCCTGGCCATGGTTTATGTTGTTGACTGATTGCACCAGCTGCTGAGAGGTGGTTTTATGTAGTGTGAGTAATTGAAACTTGGTTCTAAGTTTCCCTCTTGTCCCTTCCTGTTTAATGCAGTCAGCTGTCCTCGAATTTATTTTTTGGTGGTACTTTGAATCAGCCCCCTGTGTGAGAATTCAACAAAAACGCAACTGATACAAAGCATCTGCACTGAGTAAGTCCGGGCAGCATTGAATCCCTCTCTCTGTGTTTTCTGTGTGGCTGTTTTTCACTTACCTTCTCCCCTTTGGGTCTAGGTTCCTGTGGCTGGTTTGCTTTCTCCTCAGTGTTTTGGAGGACATAAAATGATAGTTCTCAGGGTTTGCAAACAGTGTGAGCCCTTCCTGCAGCTGCCGGTGGGTAGGTGGATAAAATCAGTTTTGCTGCTATTGTCCACGGGCCAGGCCCACCCCCAGGTGCCAGTGGCTGACCCCTGGCCACCTGTGCGGGAGTGTGAGTGGCTGCCTGCTGCAAGGGCCCCTGTGGCTCAGAGGAGACGGGCACACGCTATGCTCCCTTCAGAGCAGTGGTAGACATGCTTTATTTTGGGGTTTTGAAGCCCTAGCATTTAGTGGCTCATTTTGGCCTTTTTCTTCCCCTAAGGGATTCTGTGATGTTTAATGACTCAACTCTGATTGTACTCCGGATGTTTCTTTTCCACTGATGTCAGTTTATAGAGCAGTCCTCCAGCAAATGTTTGTGTGGGCAGGAGGCAGAAAGGGAAGGAAGAGGTGAGGGGGCACTTCGGGACCCCAAGAATAGGCTTCAACTGCTGCCCCACACACCAGGGAGGCCAGGCCCTGACATTTTAATGCCCAGTGCTTTTGCTTCCAGACCCATTGGAGGGGTCTGGTTGGGGCTTGGATGAATGGGACCTGAGAGCCGTCTCCTGCAGGGCTGCTGGTTCTCTGTGAGAACTTTGGGATGCCAGGTGGGGCACCGTCATGGGGTATGGGATTATTTGTAGGTCTGGTCATTAGGGGTGGGATGTCTGGCAGATGCCTTAGAGCAAGTGTATCAAGAAGTGGGGTACAGCACAGGACCCTGTGCCCCATCCTTCCGTGAGTCCCCTTCTGGCTTGTCTCCATAGGACTTCAGCTTAACACAGGGAGTGAGGGAGAGGGCAAGAGCATGGGCAAGAGGGAGGGTTTAGTTTTGAGCAGATAGATCCAGCTCCTAGTTTGCCTTAGACCCTGGAACACTGGCTTCTTTCATTCGGCCCTTTAGAGGAGTGGCCCAGAGTAGCCTAGCAGGGACTGAACTCTTTCGGATGGCTTCCAGAGCATTGTTCCCAAGACCCTCCCTTCTGCTGACCCTGTGACATCGGGGCAGGTGGGGAGAGAAGAGGTAGACACTATCATTCCCCCAGTCCCAGGTCCCTCCACACAGCTTATTCCTCACTTTTCCTCCCCCCGGGGGGCTGACAGAATCAAACTTGTGAAATACTGAACACTGGGGTTTTGTGGTGGGCAGTTATGTCTGTTACTAAGCACAAGGAATTTGAGCAAAGGAGGGAGAAAAATAAATAACTATTTTTAAAGGGAACCATTGTATTCAATGGACTCCTCCTTTTTGAGGGTCTGTCGTGGGCAAAAGATTGTGGTGCCTCCTGAGAGTGATACAGAGGCAGTGAGTCCCCGACTCTTCCTGCAGGAGTGTGTAGGTCAGCAATATTGCAGTTTCCAGGTGAGGAGAGAGGTGCTCGATGGAGGGGACGTGATGGGGAACTCAGGAAGGGGTTCCTGGAGGTGCACTTCAGCCGCGCCTTCAGCAATCTGCAGAATGTCAAAAAGCCAGTGGGAGAGGGTGTTCGGGATGGGAGAGACTGAATAAACCAAGACAAAAAGATGGTACAGCGCAGTAGGAGTCAGATAGCACAGGGGTTGGTTAAAGACTGGGGCACCGCAATGTATGGGGAGCAATGTTTTTGTTTGTTTTTTTAACCACTGGCCTAGTGTCGGTTGTGAGCTGTCTGTTGACTTTTAGAAAGAGTAACCTACACCTCGTTCCTACTCATCGACTTCTGCGGTTACCACTATGCCAGAGTGCCATTCTGGAAGGCCTCCAGCAACCCTTTGGTGGCCAAATCTCACAGTTTGTTCCCAGGTGCCCTGCTCGGGGCTGCCTGTCACGGGTCACTGCTTATCATCCTCTAACACCCTCTCTCCCTTTTGCCTCTGGGACTCCATATGCCTTGATGGGCCCTTTTCCAGTCCCCTTCTGCTATCTCTCTTGACTCTGACACACATCTCCATTCCCCAGCGTCCTGTCCTCCGAGCCAGTACCCCTTCTCTACCGCCGCCACCTGTTCCCTGTGCCTGAGCTTTACATCTTGGCCAGGTGCAGGGCGTCTGGCTGACACTTTGCTTTTGCAGACCAGTGCAGCCAGCCCTGCTCCTGGGGGTTACGAGTCTGCAGTTGCGAACCCCAGAAACCCAAAGAACTGAAATTCAGTCCACAGACATCTATTAACCTGCTGGGTGACAGAGTAAGACTCTTAAAAAAAAAAAAAAAAGAACCTTACTGGATCAAGCCCCCAAGGGGACAAGTGACAAGTAACAGCCCTGATCGTCCGGGGAGTACCTGCTGCTTCTCCAGCCTTCCTTTTCCAAGGGCCTCTTCACTGGAAAGCTCTGAGTCAGATCTAAATATCCAAGAAGGCCAGACTTCTTTTTGTCCTTTTCTGTAATCTGAAGCTTCTCATCTCTCTCAGCCTCCTACTTCCTAGCAATTTGACAAAAGGTGAAAAGCGTTTCATCGGCTCTTCAGAGCTGCAGCAGTAGCAGCTGCAGCCTCAGCCGCACGGAAGGTGGAGGTGCTCTTGAGTGAGTCCTCCCCACCGTTTAAAATGCAGGGCTGGACCTGAGGGATTTATGTGTTCCCTGGGTGTGCGTCTTGTGCAGGCGACTTTGAATTTGACACCTCTGTCACATAGCCAGTGCCTGAAAACCCTGAAATGATTCTTGGTATTCAGAATTCACATTGGGTAGACTTAGGTAGTATTTATAGCATTCCCAAGACAAGTTATTGCCAAAGGAGGTAGTGACACTTATCAGGGCCTGTGTAGGAGACACAGAGCTGAGTAGACTCTTTCTCTGGCTAATTTTAGATTCCCAGTGTTGAGGTTGGGAATGAGGGCTTGTCACATAGTTAGTATGTTTTCAGAGGCTCTGATCTCCCTGAGACTACAAGTACAAAGGCTGTGTGGCCATTTCTGTTTCCTGGGGTTTACTCTTCCATCCGTTGTCTCACTGCACAGGTTCTCCCTGGCTCTGTCTCATTCTGCTTGCCCCATGGCAGAAAAGGGGGGCGGTTCAGGGCTCCTTGACATTCTGGCATTAGGCCACCAAGCTGTGGGATGGGGGAATTCAGGGTGGGGGAGAATTTGACAGTAGGGCATCGTGCCTCACAAGCTACTTTTTACAACCTGTGAATGCTTGACACACTGTTTAGTTTGCCTGTGGCCCTGTCTACCCTTGGTCAAGGGGAATCTCCCTGGGGAAGGTATTAGCTCAGGTTGCTATTGGAAAATGCTGTGGACTGGATGGCTTAAACAATAGAAATTTTTTCACGGTTCTGGAGGCTGGAAGTCTGAGATCAGGGTGCTAGCATGATTGGGTTCTGGTGTGGGCCTTCTTCCTGGTTTACAGGCAGCTGCCTTCTGGCTGCATCTTCACATGACAGAGCGAGAGAGGGAGAGCGTGCGAGCGTGCATGCACAGGCAGGCTCTCTGGCATCTCCTCTTAACAGGGCACTAACCTCATCATGAAGGCTCCACTGTCGTGACCTCATCTAAACCTAATTATCTCCCTAAGGCACCAGCACCATCCCCCTTGGGTTTAGGGCTTCAGCATAAGAGTTTGGAGGGACATGATTGAGTTCATAGCAGGGGTTCTTGGAGGTTTTTGAGCTGCAGATTCTTTAAAGCAGAGGCTGGTGACTGCAGAGGAATTGGGCCCCGTCTTCCTTGGGGGTCAGACCTCCAGTGGCAGAAGTGCCTTTTCCAGTGACCCAGGGAGAGTTCTTACTGGGAGAGAGGGACAGCGTTCTGGTGGCGAGGCAGGGAGCTGGCTGGTTTGTGTCGGGGTTTTCCACATGTCTAGATGATAAAGCCACGGCCAGCAGAGGGACTTGACAAAGGGGAGGAGTGCAAGAGGGTGCACAGGCAAAAATGCTGCACCTGCGTGGGAGCTGGTTGGCAGGCGAGGGAGTCTTGGGGGCTGGATGGAGCATGAAGTCCCATTTTGCCCAGTTCATTGCTTGGCTTCAGGTCCCCTCTGCTGTGTCACCTCCTGCTGTGAGCACCTAGAATGGATTCCTACGGGTTTTCCTTTGTGTTGCTTGTCGTGACTTATTTACCTTGTATAATTAGCCATGTTTTGGAAGTTTGGGATGGTTTGGAAGCAACTGTGCCAGAAAACTGGAAAAAAATGTTTTTCAGTTGACAACGACATGATGGTCAGGTCTGGTCAATGGTCCCTCATCCACAGTTGTTGGGCCTTGGCGTCCCTTTCCTGGGATTCTGAAGTTTTTGTATGAGTCAACGGTAGAGCCTTTATTGCTGGTGGCTCTCAGCGCCACCTCTGCAGTGGTGTGGGCATCTCGTTGGTGGGAGTGAGGGCTTATGTAGCGATGACCAGTGGGGACAAGGCTTACTCTTGTGCCCAGGCCTTTTTTCCAGTGTCTCTCCATGCTAAGGGTCAGGCGGGGTCACTCCTCCACCCCTGCTGCCCGCCGCCTCTCCCTGATTCCTTGAGATGGGTGTTAGAAATAGTACATTTGGAATCTCTTTCACATTGGCGACTTGGCTCCTTGTGCCTTTCCAATTTCTCATTCTGAGCTGGGCTTAATGAGAGATGGCACATTGATTACTTGTTAATAAAGAGATGTTGCTGGTTGGTCATGGTTTTTCTTTGCCATTCCTGGAGTGTCTCACAAACCTCTAGGAGGGAGAGAGATTCCTCTTGAAGATACTTGATTAAGAAGTATCTTCTTGAGGGGGCAGCCTGGGGAACATGGCAAAACCTCGTCTCTACAGAAAAAAAAAAAAAATTTAGCTGGGTGTCATGGTGCGCACCTATAGTCCCGGCTGCTTTGGAGGCTGAGGTGGGAGGGTCACCTGAGTCCAGGAGGTCAAGGCTACAGTGAGCCATGGTGGCACTGCTGCACTCCAACCTGGGCAACATAACGAGACTCTGTCTCAAAAAGAAAAAATAAAAAACTCAAGGATGATGCAGGGCTTGAGTGCGACTCTCCTTGCATGTCCCTGCTTACTTAATCAGCATTTCTTCCTTTTTGCATCCCTCTCCTACCTCTGCCCTCCTCTCTGGTGGCTAGAAGACCTAAGGAGGGGAGGCTATTAGTGGCTAAACCTCTATTTAGGGGTCTGCTGGTTTATATGGCACTAGCTCTATGTGGAAAGCAGTAGACTCTATTTTTTTTTTCTTTTTTTGGAGACAGAGTCTCACTCTGTCGCCAGGCTGGAGTATAGTGGCGCAATCTTGGCTCACTGCAACCTCCACCTCCTGGGTTCAAGTTATTCTCCTGCCTCAGCCTCCTGAGTAGCTGGGACTACAGGTTCCTGCCACCAAGCCTGGCTAATTTTTTGTATTTTTAGTAGAGACAGGGTTTCACCATGTTGGCCAGGGTGGTCTCGATCTCTTGACCTCGTGATCCACCTACCTTGGCCTCCCAAAGTGCTGGGATTACAGGTGTGAGCCACCACGCTCGGCCTTTTTTTTTTTTTTTTTTTTAAGTAAAATGGAGATCAGTTTGCTGCTCTTTCTACCTCACAGGGCAGACATGTGAATAGGATGACAAAATAAGAATGCACTTTATTTTAAAAGGGGCTGTGTCTTATAAATCAGTAACGATACCTGTATACTATTCCTCAAGCCCTGAATGTCCTAGTAAGTAAAAAATTTATGATAGAGGAAAATTTACTGGAGTTTGAATAGGAAAGTGTGTGCATGCCTGTGTGTATGAGTGTGTGAATGAACATGTGCAGGTGTGCTAGGCAAGTCAAGTCTGAACTTCTATTTTTCAGGTTGACAACATCCAACCAACACTTGTTTGGGCCCTTTAGTGCAAAAGAATATGCAAGCCCTTTTGCTTGCTAACTTTGAGTTGAGTCTTAGTAGGTGTCCTGGGGCAGGCTTTAGTTGTTTTTCTTTCCTCCTGCTGAATGTGATCCTGTTCCAGGGGCTTGTTCTTTGGGTCACAGTTGGCCTGGGGCCACTTAGTGTCTGAGGTCCTAAGCTTTGGGGTGAGCCAAAGCTTAGCCAAAGCGATTGCTTTGTTACTCATGTAGTTTTTTCCCCCTACCTCAGAGAGGATTTTCCCCTTGAATGATCAATTTTCGTGAAATAATTTAAAAGGAAGAAATTACTAGAAAGAGGCAGCGGGTGACCCACGATTGTTACTCCCCCTCTCTGATGTGATCCAGGACCTCAGCTCTGTAGGCTCTGAGCAGAGTTGCGGCTTCAGATGTCTGCCGAGGTGCTGCATCAGCCTCAGGCAGTGACAGTCCTACCACCTGTTTCCATTTAAAGCCACTAATATTTATCAGGACCTATGCTTTCTAGGACTGCAAAGGTGGAAGAAGATTGCAGCAGCCAGCCATGTGTCCTAGCAGGTTTCAGCTTCGGGGTGCATTTGATGTGTTCACACCTCACCTGAATAAGTAGCCACATGGTTTTTTTTTTTTTTTTTCCCTTGAGATGGAGTTTTGCTCTTGTTGCCCAGGCTGGAGTGCAATGGCATGATCTCAGCTCACCGCAACCTCCGCCTCCAGGTTCAAGCAATTCTCCTGCCTCAGCCTCCCTAGTAGCTGGGATTACAGGCATGTGCCACCACGCCTGGCTACTTTGTATTTTTAGTAGAGACGGGGTTTCTCCATGTTGGTCAGGCTGGTCTCAAACTCCCAACCTCAGGTGATCCACCCGCCTCGGCCTCCCAAAGTGCTGGGATTACAGGTGTGAGCCACCGTGCCCGGCACTAGCCACGTGGTCTTGTACGAAGAGGCAGGTGTTGTGTGCCACTCATCCAAGGGAAGCTCTATGTCAGGTGCCAGTCCTCATGATGGACAGGAATCTTTAGCTGGCTTTATTAAGAAAAATAAGAATTCCATGTTTATTTCAGATAATGTTTTCTCTCTTTGCAATGAAGTTTTGTTGAAATAGAGCATAGAGAAATGAACACAAATCATAACTGGACGAGTTGATGAATTTTCACAAACTGAACTCACCTGTGTAACCTGCATCCAGCTCAGGAAATAACCTGATCAGTATTTCAGAAGCCCCCTGATACCCCTGCTGGTGCACCGCCTTCCCACAGTCATAATCTCGACTTAGTTTTGCTTGTGTGTGTGTGTGTTTATTTTATTTTATTTTATTTTTAAGACAGAGTCTCGCTCTGTTGCCCAGCAGGCTGGAGTACAGTGGCGCAATCTCAGCTCACTGCAACCTCTGCCTCCCAGATTCCAGTGATTCTCCTGCCTCAGACTCCCAAGTAGCAGGGACTACAGGCACACGCTACCATGCCCGGCTAATTTTTGTATTTTTTAGTAGAGACGGGGTTTCACCATATTGGCCAGGCTGGTCTCGAACTTCCTCGTGATCCGCCTGCGTCGGCCTCCCAAAATGCTGGAATTACAGGCGTGAGCCACCGCGTCTGGCCAGTTTTGCCTGTTTTTGAACTTAATGTAAATGGACCTGCCCAGTGTGTCCTCTTGTTTCTGGTTTTGTTCAGCATGATGTTTGTGAGATTTGCCTCCATCTTCGTGTGAGTTGTGGGTCTGTCATTCTCATCATAATATGGTACTCATTCATTTTGTTCATATTACGTACCTGTTCTTCTGTACGTAGGTATGTAGGCAGTTTCCAGACTCTGGCTGTGATGTATAGAGCAATACGAATAATGTTATTTATGTCTTCAACACGGATGGGTTTATACCTAGACGTAGTATTTAGATGTGTTTGCTTTGCTTTTCCTAGTGCATTCATTTATTGAGTAAATAGTTACTGAGCATCACTGCGGGCCAGGCTCTGGCTCAGGCCCTAGGGGTGAGAGCAGAAATAAGACAAGCAAGGTGTGTTAGAGGGAGAGGAGCAGTTGTTTTGGATGGTCTCTAAAGAGTCGACATTTCAGCGAGGGCTTGAAGGATGAGAGCAAGGCCAACAGGTAAGAGGCGCCTACTCCATGCGAGGGGAAGAGCATGCACAGGAGCACTCACAGAAATTGCTGGTGGCTCAAGAGTGGCCTGGTGAGCGCAGAGTGACCAGCTGTTGGCTAGACCCTATCCAAGCTGAGGAAGTCATGGCCTGGGACATTTAACTTCTCATTGTTGGAGTCAGGAGGAAGGGCTGTATCTGTCTGTACTTTTAACTAGGCTGGGCGTGGTGGCTCACGCCTGTAATCCCAGCACTTTGGGCGGCTGAGGCAGGTGGATCACGAGACCAGCCTGGCCGATATGGTGAAACCCCGTCTCTACTAAAAATACAAAATACAAAATACAAAAATTAGCCGGGCGTGGTGGCGGGTGCCTGTAGTCCCAGCTACTTGGGGGCTGAGGCAGGAGAATTGCTTGAACCCGGGAGGCGGAGGTTGCAGTGAGCCGAGATTGCGGCACTGCGCTGCAGCCTGGGTGACAAAGCAAGACTCTGTCTCAAAAACATAAATAAATAAACATAAAAAATCAATAAATAAAAATAATAAACTAAATGATGGAAGAAGGAGCACCAGTGTGGGCTGCTTCACAGAAGCCCCCAGGAGAGGACCAGGAAACATGTACTTTGCTTTGTGCTGTCCACAGTTGGCCCCCTGCCTGGGTCTTCTGAAAGGCCCGTGGGCTGTCCACTTGAGGAAACTGGCTGGACACATTGTTAGGGCCATCTGTTTTGGAAACCAGCACTACTCTTGGGTTCCTGGTTTTTAACCAGTGATTCATCTTCCCTGGACCCTCAGGGTCCAGATTGCCAGGCTGAGAGTGTGCCAGGCATGTTAGCATCTTGGGGATGGAGGGAAGTCTGGTTAGCCAGAGGGGACCCCTGTTTTTAGGAGACAAGTGAGGTAGTGCTATAGGCTGAATAATGAGAGACCAGAGCTGGAGGAAATGGCCTGGCGCTGTGGGTGTGGCTCTTGCCAGCTGGGCTCTGGGCTTCCCTTCCGGAACCAGAACCAGTGTGGTGTGAGGCTCTGGTGGGAATGAGACCCACATGCAGGCTGGACAGCATCCTCTGGCCATTTCTCTTTCCCTCGTTCATTGCCTTGTGTCTCATCTTTAATGAAAATGCCCTTGTTAGGAAATTGTCTGGTTCTGGGGAAAATCTCTCCTGACCGCACAGCTGCCACCCCCATAGGGAGGAGGATGTGGAAGGAGACACTAAGGACAGCGCCAAACTCTCTAGAGCTCCCTCTTTGCTGAGCAGCTGGCTGATGGCCGTGGCCACGGGGGTACTTATTCCCCGTCAGAGTAGGGGTGCCTCTTGCCTTTCCCCCAACCCCCCTGCCTCTGGCAGCCCTTTTCTGAACTTCTTTGGATGTTTTTCTAGTGTATATTTTCACCCTCTAATTTTATTAGTGAGGAAAGAAGATAAAAGGCTCTTGTGTCTTTCATGAAGCTCTTGAAACTGTCCCTCTTACAGAGCAAGGCTACAGCCACCCACTGACTTCCCACTTTCTGACCGTCCGCCCACCTCTGTGTTCCCTTCTGGATCTCTTCCTCCCTTCAAAAGTCAAACTGCAGTTCTGTGTTTTGGATATGAGTGGTGAGAACCGTTGTTGTTAATTGACAGGTCTTTAATTCCTGATTGATTTCTCTATTTCACTTAGCTTGTAAATCTGAAATGATGTAGAAAGCATAAAAGTTTGATTCTAGGGAAGCCTAGCCACCAAGAAGGTACCTTGTTTCCATGTTACCTTTGTTAATGCGATGTGAGTGCATTTTTAAGAGTTAATCTGGAGAAATGTAAATGAAAACCACAATGAGATACCATCTCACGCCAGTTAGAATGGCGATCATTAAAAAGTCAGGAAACAGGCCGGCGCGGTGCCTCACGCCTGTAATCCCAGCACTTTGCGACGCTGAGATGGATGGATCACGAGGTCAGGAGATCGAGACCATCCTGGCTAACACGGTGAAACCCCGTCTCTACTAAAAACACACAAAAAATTAGCCAGGCGTGGTGGTGGGCACCAGTAGTCCCAGCTACTCGGGAGGCTGAGGTGGGAGAATGGCATGAACCTGGGAGGCAGAGCATGCAGTGAGCTGAGATCGCGCCACTGCACTCCAGCCTGGGCAACAGAGCGAGACTCTGTCTCAAACAAACAAACAAACAAACAAATAAAAACCAGGAAACAACAGATGCTGGAGAGGATGTGAAGAAATAGGAATGTTTTTACACTGTTGGTGGGAATGAAATTAGTTCAACCATTGTGGAAGACAGTGTGGCAATTCCTCAAGGATCTAGAACTAGAAATAGCATTTGACTCAGCAATCCCATCACTGGGTATATGCAAAGGATTATAAATCATGCTACTATGAAGACACACACAAACGTGTGTTTATTGTGGCACTATTCACAATAGCAAAGACTTGGAACCAACCCACATGTCTATCAGTGATGGACTGGATTAAGAAAATGTGGCACATATACACCATGGAATACTATGCAGCCATAAAAAAGGATGAGTTCATGTCCTTTGCAGGGACATGGATGAAGCTGGAAACCATCATTCTCAGCAAACTATCGCAAGGACAGAAAACCAAACACTACATGTTCTCACTCATAGGTGGGAATTGAACAATGAGAACACTTGGACACAGGAAGGGGAACATCACACACTGGGGCCTGTTGTGGGATCGGGGGAGTGGGGAGGGATAGCATTAGGAGAAATACCTAACGTAAATGATGAGTTGATGAGTGCAGCAAACCAACATAACACATGTATACCTATATATCAAACCTGCAGATTGTGCACATGTACCCTAGAACTTAAAGTATATTTAAAAAAAAAAAAGTTAATCTGACACCTGACTTGTGAGAGGTAATTAGCCAGAAGTGTTCTTCAGTCTACTAGGGTACCCAAATACTTTTTTTGCAATTAAATAATTGCAAAAAATTTTGGTGTTGTTGGGTGATGGATCACTTTTATTCTTGTTCATGTTAGCAGCCAGCTATCGGGCATTCTTGAAGTGCTCATTTTAAATGCAAATTCTTTGCACAATTAGGAGGAAAATGAAATTGTTCTGGCTCCTAGCACTCACTCTGCATTTTTGCCATTCCTTCTGATGGCTGAGGGGAGGGCTCATGACTAAATCACTCAGCATCTTGATGATGATTTCGGATTTGTACTTGCTGAGAGGAAACTTTGCCCCGGGATGTTAACCCTCTGTTGCCCATGGGCACTATGGGGGTGCATGTGTGATTACTCAGAGTTTTCAGTAGTCTTTTTTCCCCCCTTAAATGATCTTTAGATTTCCTCTCTCATTTGCTCTAATGGATAATGCATGTACTTGGGAAACTTGTGGTGAGCGCGTTTTTTTTTTTTTTTTTTTTTTTGGTTTTTGTTTTTAAGGCAAATGAAATATGCTAAGCCCTTTAGTTCTTCTACTTGGCAGCAGCAGTATGTGCTGTTTCCTTTTAGCCTTGGAAGATTCCTCTGGTTCTCTCTCTTTGCTGGGAGTTATCGCTTACTTTCCCGTTGGCCTAGCCCCCCTATCCCAGCTTGCCACCTGGAGAATCCGTGGCTTGGTGTGTGATAATGGGATTCCTGTGCGGTGCGGCTGGGGAAGTGGTTCTGTCTCCGACTCTTTCAGAGAACGAGTGTGATGATAATTGTATGGAGGCAGTGAAAACCGTAATCCTCTCCCCTAGTCAGGCCAGTTATATTCCTTTTCCTGAACGTGAACATTTTACATGTAAAACAGTCCCTGTGTTCTGTCGTTCTCGAAACTATCGGGTTATGTGTGGAGGGGTTTAGCCTCTCAGCTAAGTTGTTGTCTTCCATGGAGCTGTGTAAACAGCTGGAGCCAATGGAGAAGGTTTTGGGAATGGCAAGGTGGTAGCACATTTTCTCTATCCATGAAACAATGGCTTTAATACTAAGTCTGTCCCCTAAGATGGGGTAGTGAGCTGATTTTATGGTTGCAAAGTATTATGAAAATGGAAAATTCTTACATGTACATTGAATGCAGTTGCAGCTGTGCTGTTTTTAAATTTTATTGTAAAGCATTTTTTTTTCTCTTCTGTTTATGCATTTCTGCAGAGCAGAACATAGAATTGGAAATGAAGCTTCCATGTCTGTCCTTAGTTTGTTGGCTGAATAGAATCATAGGTTTTAGGATTGGAAGGAGTTTGTAGAGTCCAGGAACTCCTTGTGTCTCATTCCTGTGGAGTAGGAGGTCGCGAGGGACTGGCGTGGTGGCTGGTGATAAGGAGAAAGCAGTTGCTTTTAGCATTGCTCCCTTTTCCAGAGGAAATATGATGGGGCTTTGAGAGAACTGGTGGGAAATGCCCCCTGATCAGGGGAGGTATGATGAGAGGCAGCGGCTGCCAGCCTGGAGAGCAGCCGTACTTTAAGCCCTGAATAATTAATGGTTGAACTCAGTCTAGGGGTTGCAAAACCTCCGAAACAGGCCAACCTCTCTGTTTAGTGACAATGAACCAGAGACCCAGGAAGGTCCGGTGGTATGTCTGGACCGAGGAGCCTATCAGAGAACGAACTAGGACTCGTGACTTTGTTCTAGTCTTCTTCCTGCTTCCTACATTTTAGGCTTTCTCAGTCCTCAGCACTGTTGCCGTTTGGGGCTGGATGATTCTTTGTTGTGCGGGGCTGGCCTGTGCATCGTAGGGTGTTCAGCAGCATCCCTGGCCTCTCTACCCAGTAGGTGCCACTAGCATCCCCACCCCCTTTCAGGTGTGACAGCCAAAAACGTCTCCAGACATTGCCAAATGTTCCCTGTGGGGTGAAATTGCTCCTTGTTGAGAACCGTTGCTTTAGAGGACTTATGATGCCCCTGGGAATTTGTAAACACAGCTTTTATATTAGCATGATCCCTTTTCTCCTTTTGCTTTGGAATATAAAATGCACAGCTGAGATATTTAGTATTTACTGTAGCCCTTCCAGTAGGTAACACTGGCTGAAAGCCTGTTGATAGGAAAGTGGTCAACACAGTTCTGTATTAAACCGCCTTGTGTTTGGGTTGACAGTTTTCCCCTAAGGAGATTTGATTTTGGTTTTATTTTCAGATTTGGGATGCTGATGACACTGACTCTGACCTTGTCTCCACTAAGCAGCTTGTACTTTTAATTTTTGCAAATGGCTGTGAATGGGGACAAACTGCCCAGTGGGTGGGGAAGTTGTCAAAATATTCCAAAAGCCAATGAGATTTCAGCATTCTGAAAGCCAGTGAAGAATTAGCCCTCCGTTTTGTGAGCCTTGCCTCAAGCTTGGGGGAGGACACTCACCAAACTAAACCTCCCTCGATATAGAGATGTGTGGGCAGATTTTAAAGTTGACCATTGCCTTATGAGTTACGGAATGGCTGTGGGTGCCTGTGAACTGGATGGATGTAAAGTGGCAAAGAGCCCCATACCAGGAGGCCGGAGTCCTGGGTTCTGTGCCTTGGCCTGCCTCCAAGTCTTTTGGTCAGGTCACCAAACATAATTGAGCAGTAGGTTATTGTCTGTAGGAGAAGGAGAGAGACAAAATTTTTGCTTCCCAGATAGGGGTGAAGTGCTAAGTGGTGAGCCTGGATTTGTGAAACCACAGGATAAACCTAAGATATCTTATTGGAGCCTTAATTTTACTCAGGTAATATGGAAGACAAGAGATTATTTTAAGGCCGGCTGTGGTGGCTCACGCCTGTAATCCCAGCACTTTGGGAGGTCGAGGTGGGTGGATCACCTGAGGTCAGGAGTTCGAGACCAGCCCGGCCAACATGGCAAAACCTCGTCTCTACTAAAAATACGAAATTAGCCGTGCATGGTGGTGCACGCCTGTAATCCCAGCTACTCGAGAGACTGAGGCAGGAGAATCGCCAAGAGGTAGAGGTTGCGGTGAGCTGAGATTGCGCCATTGCACTCCAGCCTGGGTGACAGAGTGAGACTCTGTCTCAAAAAAAAAATTAGTGTGAAAAAAAGCATGCACATATTGAATAATTGCAAAATTTGCATGACATGAATTTAAGCTAGAACACAGAACTTCATAAAGGAAGGAAACCTCAGACTTGCTGTGAATGGCTTCCCTAGTGTCAGGTGGCCCACCCCTTTAGTCCTTTGTGGAGTTTTGGCCAGATAATTTTATAATCCCTGCGGGGCCAGATCTCCAAAGTTCCTTCTGCATCTAAAATTTCTGGTTGGAGCAGAAAAGACACATCCTTGGCATAGTCTTGGGTAAGTTCACACACTTATCACCAGGCAGAGCCTTAGAAAGAATAAACAACAATAATAAAGGTTGTCTAGCTTTTAATAATCCAGACCCTTAAGTTTTCCTTCCATCCTTTTGGTGTAAATTGGAAAGCTGTTGCGAAGGCTTAAATAAATTTAATTTATTAAATAAATTTTTAAATTTAATTTATTAAATAAATTTCCAAAATAAATTTTGGAGCAGGCCTCATTTTGGTGTGGGACCCTCAGAGCTTAAGCATTGCCACCTAAGAGTTGACCTAAACTAGGAAATGAGCCAGAGGGTATAGCATGCTGATTTAAACTTCTTTGAAATGCCTGCAACAGAATGATGACAAGGGTGTTGGCTGTGGGGTCCATGTGAAAGTTAAATTACTGACATCCCCTGCACAGCTGGGATTTACTAAGCTGGGGAAAGTTAAGATGTTAAGACACTCCAGCCAGTCAGTTTTCATTTCTGAAATTATTTAATGTTACAAAGGAGTTGTCGGCTGGGTGTGGTGGCTGATGCCTGTAATCCCAGCACTTTGGGAGGCCAAGGCAGGCGGATCACAGGGTCAGGAGATTGAGACCATCCTGGCCAACAAGGTGAAACCCTGTCTGTACTAAAAATACAAAAAATTAGCCGGGTGTGGTGGCGGGCGCCTGTAGTCCCAGCTACTTTGGAGGCTGAGGCAGGAGAATGGCGTGAACCCGGGAGGCGGAGCTTGCAGTGAGCTGAGATTGCACCACTGCACTCCAGCCTGGGCGACAGAGCTAGACTCTGTCTCAAAAAAAAAATAAAAATAAAAAAAATACAAAAATAAAAAAAAAAATACAAAGGAGTTGTCTTTTGATGTTGATGTTCATGACAATTCTTTAGAAATGAATGTCAAAGGCTTCAGACAGGGATGCTCATTTCCATGCTGTTTTCTTGAGAGAGATAAGGCCAGGGCCTGGCAGGTGAGCAGAAGAACACCTACGAATACAGCAATTGCCCAGAAAACGGCTGCTGTAACCATTTGTCAACAATTTACCCTATGTGAGATGACTTTTCTATATGATGTAATAAAGATAATTTACAATGTTTTCGTGAAGGCAGGAGTAGGTGGTAGAGGGGGTTTTTCTTTGTCTTTTCTTGGCGTGTAATTGAAACAGAGCTTGGACTAAATGAGAAACATTTGTGTTGGAAAAAAGATTCCAGAAGCTTCTTGACTAGAGTCAAAAATTGCTTCCTTGTTTTATTGTGAGCATGTAAGCAGACTTCTCATCTAAGACAAGTGTTAAGAACATTGCCATTTCTGTCTGTTCATGAGCAGATGCATTTTCTGACCTAGGGAACTGTCTACATTGTAGACCAGATAGCACACACAGTGAATCAGAAGACAAAGTGTGTGAGTTGATCTGTCTCAAAAGAAATACATGGCTTTTGTGTGGATTTATAAATTCAGTCCCTTTCACAATGCTGCTTACCCAAAAGCTGTTCTTTATAAAGAAAAGTGTGCCCGTGCATTTTGAAGTCCCAAGCTTTTTTAAATTGGCCCCAGAGGAATGCTGGAGTTTGCAGAGGAAGACTAGTTGTTCTGCCATTGGGAAATAGGGCCTGAATGGATGGAGCAATGTGACTGAATACTTTGTGTTGGTGGAGTGTGCAAAGAAAAACTCTCCTCTTGTTCAGGCTGCTTGTGTGCTTGGCTTGATTCTGGAGTTGGCACTCTTGAGAGCCACCCACAAGCACCCTTAAAGCACTAACACACAGGCAATTCCTAAGTGGATGCCTAATGAAGGAAATATTTTAATCCCTTTGCTCTTACTGGCTCTCTTCTAGCTAAAGTCTGGTAGTTTAAAAAAGCAAAAGCCAAATTAAGAATACAGAACCCACTCCTCAATATGTCACCTTCTTCAAAAGTAAAACATCCCGGTGGATTTTGCCATCTTTCCTGAGCTCAAAATGGGCATGGCTCTTGCGTGTGGGTGTGTGTTTGTGTGGGGGTGTGTGTGTGAGAGAGAGAGCGAGAGAGAGAGCGCATGCACATGTAAGTCCAGCATTCTTCGTGATTGACTCAAAACAATAGCTTTATAGGGAAACCATTGCTAAGAGCTCAGGAAAAGTAAAGGCCTGCCAATTCCAGAAGGACAAAGGGTTTCAGCAACTAACATGGGAACAAAATGATCTCATGCCCCTTTCCCACTGAGACTGCACATAAGTGGGATCCTTCCCAAATTCTGAGGGCTCACTTATAGACACAGTCAGTGTTTCCAACCTATGGGACCCATTCGGGAGGATGGCCAAACCAGGAAACAGATTCCAGAGGTAGCTCTTTGATGTTTAACCCAGACAGTCAACCGACCCGGGCTCCTCAGCCAAGGAGGGGCTGAAACTCTTCAGTGAGGAAAACGAGACCCTGGCTTATGCTCAGGCATTAGTCACTACATCCAATGGCGAGTTCCCTTAAGTCAAAGGCCTGGGCCAGGGCTGACAGTGGACCTTTGATAACAGCTCTGCATCTCTGGGGTGCTAGGCTGCCAAACTTGAATTCCTAGTGATTCACACTAGCTGGCCCTTCACAGGCCTCAGAGAGCACGGGCAGGAAGAGGCCACAGGCTCCAGGCCTCCTGATGCCCCTGCCCCCAGCAGCCCTAAGAGTGGCCTGGAGCAGGTGCTGGGCAGGTGAGAATGGTATGCAGTTCTCAAGTGGCAGGTGAGATCCGCATGCAGGAGCTCTGGGACAGCCCCCAGCCACTGCCTTTGTTACCCACCGAGCCAGTGCAGGCACTGTGCTGGGAGAGAAAGGTGGGGGCATCTTTGAAGGTCTAAAAGTTTGGTGACACTTCCCTGCAGACAATAGTAGTTGTACTTTCAGTATCCTTGGAGAGAGAACATATCAAGACAAAAAGGCTATCGAGGCAATTCATATTTCATTAGTCATAGTAGGCCTTATGTACATTTTAAACGTAGCAAAATATAATTCTGGGACATTGCTAATTTGTTCTATAGACAATACTTGACATATATATGAAGAAGCTCTTGAATATCTGACACAACATGATAAAACTCCTCTGTTTTGCTCCAAACTGGGGTTAGGGTGGGGGTAAAAACAAACACAAGGCTGGGCATGTGTGGCTTACACCTGTAATCCCAGCACTTTGGGAGGCTGAAGCAGGAGGATGGCTTGAGCCCAGAAGTTCCAGAAGAGCCTGAGCAACATGGTGAAACTCTGCCTCTACAAAAAATTAGCTGGGCATGATGGCGTGTGCCTGTAGTCCCAGCTACTCGGGGGACTGAGAGGTGGGAGGATCACTTGAGCCCAGGAGGTCGAGGTCGAGGCTGCAGTGAGCCGAGATCATGCTGCTGCACTCCAGCCTGGGCAACAGAACGTGATCCTTCCTCAAAACAAAACACAAAATTGTTGCCATACTTAGGGGCAGTGCTGTTTGTAAGAAGCTTTAGGTCATATATGAAGATAAGAGTATGTTTTTG
Organism: Homo sapiens; assembly: GCF_000001405.40. NCBI lineage: Eukaryota > Metazoa > Chordata > Mammalia > Primates > Hominidae > Homo > Homo sapiens. The sequence goes on from NC_000015.10 coordinate 62,471,435, forward strand.
AAATAAGCTATAACCTGCGTCACCTCCTGAGTTTGGGTGTGCTCCAGTGTGCTACCCCAGCCGCACCCTGTATGTGCCTTTCCTGCATCTTTGCATGGCCCTTACAGGGAAGTCCCCTCCACTGGCCCCTTCATACTGCTCTAGGATTTTCTGTTCCCTTGTCTCTGTCAAACAAGAGTTCCCTGAGGGCAAGAACTACCCTTTTCTGCTGACACCCCAGCCCCTTATCTGGGGCCTGGCACCCAAGAGTCATGCTATGGAGGATCTGGAGGTAACTGAGATGAAAGATAAGAGTTGGTTTGGGGAAGGGTGAGGTTGGCCCTTTCACATTCGGGTTTGAAAACTCAGGACTGTAATAAAGACACAAGACAAATTCAGTAGTCTTCCCAAAGGCTGCAGGCAGGTGCACAGCCCAGCCTCCCTCATCAGTCAGTCAGATGGCAGCAGGAGGATGGGGGGCAGAGGCAGAGGGATTCCTTCTTTCTTGCGCCTTTCTGCCCAGCTCGCAGTGGTGCATTTCCTGCCTCCTTTCTTCCTTCTCCCCTGCGCTTGACATTCTCCACTGCATTCAGAATAAAGTTCCAATATCTTACCTTGGGATAGGAGGCCCGTCAGACTTAGATGCTCACCTGATTTCCCCTGATTCAGCTCCTGTTCCCACCTTTCCCATGCACCCACCCCCATGAGTCAGTCCCAAGGACTGATGTCTGGGAATCTCCTCACCCCACCACCTCCTGCATTGTATTCACCCACTTTGGGGTCTGTGTGCAAGTCATTTTTTCCAGGACCCCTCCCCACACCACCTATCTGATAGATCTCTTTCTTCCCCCAAACCCAGATCACATGCTCCCAGCCTTCGAGATGACTCCTTATATCTTCCTCATCTTTGTCCCATGGGGAGAACCCTCATGCCAGAGGGCTCCTTCTGTGTGCCTTTCACCCACGCTAGTGTGAGTTCCTGATAGGCAGGGATGCGGCTCCCTTCGCCTCTGGACCCTAGACAGCATCTGGCACGAAGCTTAGCAAACAGTGAGGACTCAAGTAGGCACTTCTCCCGTGCTTCAGCCCTGCACTGAGTATGGGGTGTGGGCCATCCAAAACTGGGTTCAAATGTTGCTTGATGTCATGGTGTCAATTTTTGGCTATTGTAACTAAAACATAAAAATGACAGCTTTGTTTACTAGTGAGATTTACCAAAAAAAAGTTTTTTTGGATGACATACTCTTGTTCAAATGATTAGGAAAGGAGTGTGCCTTCCTTATTTGGTCAAAATAGTAGTGGTGAGTGTGGGAAGGGTTAGGAATTGAGACACACTGATCATGCCCCTATAGCCTTTACCTATTTCTCCGACCGACGGATGACTTGAGCATTCGTTGAATGAGCAGAATTCCCCTGAGGAAGGTAAACTGACTGTGAGTGAGGTGCTTGGAGGAGGAGAGGCAAGGAAGCCAGGCCTCTGTGTGCAGCTGAGGAAGGGGGTGGCCCAGGGTTCCTCCTAAGTCTGTGGCCATGTCTGGTTCTTTGCTCCTTTCTTAGCTGTCAAAGGTGCCTTAATGAGACTGTTCCTGGTCACAGAATGTGCCACAGGAAATAGGCCTGCAGGGTGTGTAAGAGGAAAGACCAGTGGGTTTGCAGAAACCTGACACTGGCTTTTCCCAGACTGGGAGGCAGCCTCAGAGGTCAGCGTGGCATTAGCCCAGAGCACAGGACTGTCCCAGGGCGTAGACTTTTAAAAATGAAAGTGTATTTATAGATGGTGGCCCTGGGGACAGAACTTTCAACTGTTCCTTGTCAGGCCCCACCCCTTCACAGCACTGGGCTCACTTCAGTTTTATTGGTGTGTCTTAAAATGGGATTGGGAATAACACTGAGAATAATGCTTGGAGGTCCCTGTCACTAACACAAAACTGTCTTTTTTTTTTTTTAAGTGCTCGATTTCCATATACATACAGAAGAGTATGCAAAATGTAGGTGTAATTTAAAGAGTAACATGAACATCTGCGGAGCCAACAACCAGGTTACAAATACCTTAGAAGTCCTTCCCATCTCAACTTTTAACTGATCTTTGCTTTTCGTAGTTGCACTACCTATGTATGTGTTCCTAAACAATGTATGCTTTTGCTTATTATTCTTATTTTGAAAAATTGAGTACGGAGCACAAACCTGTGTTTGTAAGGGAAGGTTCCTACTGAAAACTATTAAGTGAAGAATCCTAGCAGAAGCAGAGGGCTTCAATAGTTGTGTGAGCTCAAAGGTCATACTTCTCTTTCATCAGTGCTACAAGAAGCCGGTTTCCTCACTGGATCCTGCTCTTCCTGTGCATCCCTTTGTAATTAGGGTTGCCATTCACAACTGCATTTACAAAGGAGTTGTACAGGGCCGGGCATGGTGGCTCACGCCTGTAATCCCAGCACTTTGGGAGGCCGAGGCAGGTGGATCACCTGAGGTCAGGAGTTCGAGACCAGCCTGGCCAAAGTGGTGAAAGCCTGTTTTTACTAAAAATACAAAAATTAGCCAGGTGTGGTGGCATGCATCTGTAACCCCAGCTACTTGGGAGGCTGAGGCAGAAAAATCGCTTGAACCCCGGAGGCGGAAGTTGCAGTGAGCCCAGACATGTGCCTTTGAGCTCCAACCTGGGTAACGAGCGAAAGTCTGTACTAAAAACAAAACAAAACAGAACAAACAAAGGAATTGTACAGCATTCAGAGAGACTTATAAAAGAGGATTCCTTTTAACATGTTAATTTAGCAGGGGTCCTAAACCTGAGGTTCAGAAAAGAAATTTCAGAGGGCTCATGAATCCTTGAAACTGAAGGCATAATTGTCTCTATGTTCTCCTTTTTGAGTGAAAGCATCTATCATTCTCAGAGGAATTTGTCATCCCTTCTCCACCCCTTTTTCACTCAGTAAGAATAAGGGATAATATGGGCCAGTCTTGGTGGCACATGCCTATAATCCCAGTGCTTTGGGAGGCTGAGGTGAGAGGATTGCTTGAGCCTGGGGGTTTGAGACCAACATAGTCAGACCCTGTCTCTACAAAAAATAAAATAATAAAATAATTAGCCAGGTGTGGCAGTGCATGCCTGTAGTCCTAGCTACTCGGGAGGCTGAGATGGGAGGATCACTTGAGCCAGGAGTTTGAGGCCGCAGTGAGCTATGATTGCACCATTGTCCTCCAGCCAGGACGGGAGAGTGAGACCCTGTCTCAAAAAAGAATAAGGAATAATGTGGAGGTTATGGTAGTGTTTTGTTTTTTAAATGGACCCTGAGGCTGTTGACGATTCCTTGAAATATGTTTGGTTTGCTTGTGTCTGAGTCGTCATTGGCTTCTCACGTTTGAGAGTGAAAGGAAAATGAGCTGTAGGTTAGACTCCGGGCTGTCCCAGGTGGAATCCTTGACGATGCTGTGGGTGGCCTTGCAGCCTTTGACTGTTCTCTGAAATCTGCATCTCACTCTCTTGACCCAGAGTAACTAGAATGCTAATGGAAAAAAAAAAAGTGGGACTGGTTGCTGCAGTTTCAAAACAAATGACCTCACTGCCTGAGTTCTACGCTATGCAAAAGAAACCCTAATTTTTGCCTTATAAATAATAATGGACCTTTGGGGAAATAGAGCCAAATACCCATTTAGTGAGGGTGGGGTATTTGGCTCTGTCTCCCTGAAGAATCGTTTAACGATTTGTCATTGCTGAAGCTTACTCCCTAGAAACAGAATGCAACCACTGTGACACCAACTTAGTAATTATTTCCTAAGAGATATGGTAATTTAAATTTATAATGACTTTCATTTCTTCAAGTTAAGAAAATAAACTTTGTATAAGCCGACTTAATGGGGACATTAATTTTCAGTTCTGTTCCAAAAGTGTAACAGAATTTTGGAATTTTCTAGCTGAAGGACACCTGAGTTTTATCACGCTCCTCGTTTTATAGATGAGTTGACTGAAGATCTGCAAAGTTAGGTGTGATCTGCTCGAGGTTGCATTGATGTGTCAGGGCTAACCGAAGCTAGAATGCAGGGGAAAGAGGCAACTATTTGGATGATTATATTTGAATTAATAACCCACCAACCTTTAAAATGCATGATTTTTTGTGGTCTCCAAGCATTTCCTGGGATGGTTCTGGTCTTGGGTGGGTAAACCTGATGTATGGAACAAGAGCTTTTCTTCTTGTTCTTATTCTTTATATCTCATAAATTCAGATTTTTGAAAAAAGTTTTTCAGTTTCCCTCTACAATTTTTAGATTTTCTTCCCCTGCTCAAATGTGAACAGTTCTTTCTTGAACTTTGTTTTTGACGAAAACCAGGAGTTTCAGTTTGGCTGGTGCAAGTCATTTGGGATTAAGGAGAGAGAACTGGGGGCATGGTTAAGATCTGGAACTGCAGGCTGCTTTGTCTCTTCAGTTAGGAGTCAGACAGAGTAAGAATAACATTTGTTTAGAAACAGAGTTTTATTAGAGTGGTAATTTACAGGTAAAATGTAAGCTTTATAGACTTGATTCTGCAATTCTATTCCTGGCCTTGCTGTTCCTCGCTGCTGATTTAGGGCAAGGCCTATCTTCTGAGTCTTGGCTTTTCTCATCTGTGAAAAGAGGGGCTTAGGCCTGAGTATTTCCAAGGACCCTTGGCAGCCATATGACTGGACTCCACGGTGGGATATTTGCAGAGAGGCTTCTCTGGAGCTGCTGCTTGTGGGCTGGCACCAAAACTGGAGGCAGAGGGTGCCAGCTGTGTTGCTGCACAGAGCCTCAGGAGCATGAACCCTGTGTGGCATTTTTCCCTCCTCCTGCTTTGTCACCTGAACCCCAGCAGTGTTGTTCAGTGCCGGGAGGATGTCGCTCACCCGCTGACACGGCTACCTGCACTGACACATGTCATTTGTGTCTTCTCTGCCAGTGCGCTGCTGCAGGGTGACATCTGGACTGGCCTCCTTGTCCCTCGGATGCTCGGCTGCCCAGAAGTTTCTGGATCAACTTGTTGAAGACCATGAGTAATCTTCATTTCTACTTCGCAAGCAGCTCTAGACCTGTGGCATCTCCAGCCAGGTCTGGCTGATGGACTCCTGCCCTCTGTGGCCAGCCTCTCTCACACCCAACTCCAAGAGCCTGGAAGATGGCAGCAGGGACTCCGTACAGGGCCCTTCTGTTGCCCCCAGCAGTCATAATGGTTTTGGGGCCTTCTGAATCTACCTTCTTGGAGCTACTTTGTTCCATCACCAGAGCCAAACCTACGAGTCCTGATTCTCTTCTTTGGCAGTTAGGGGAGTTTTGACCACTTTCCTCTCTTTCACTTTGCTCCAGCCACAATGGCCTGCCTTTACTGGCCTTCGAGAAAGCACCCGCTTTATGGTGGCAGATGCAGATGCCATTTCCTCTGTCCAACATCCTCTTGCCTGGCATGTACCTTCTCATCCATCATGTCTCATCCTAATGCCACCCCCTTTAGAGATGCTTATCTGACTACCTTGTTTCAATGTCTTCCTCCATCCCCAGGTATGCATCCTCTTTCTGTCTCTGATCCTTCCGTGTGTCTGTCTTTGCACTTAAAACAGGTTAGATCTCTTTAGTCGTTAGTAGACTGCCTATTCATCCATTCATTCAACAAATATTTCTTGAGTATTTACTATGTACCAGCAGCTGAGATAGGCACAGTCTATGCTGTCTAGAAACTTCCAATCCATGAAGAAAGACGAGATCAAGTAAAAGCCTAAGTAAACTGTCATGCTATTTGGGCAGAGTGCTTTGTTCTAATTACTCTAAAGCATCCTGGGCATCTTGTTAAAACACAGATCCTAACTCAGTAGGTCTGGGTGGGCCTGAGAGTCTGCATTTCTAACAAGATACAGGTGATGCTGCTGCCTTCTAGACCACACTTGGAGAAGTAAGGCTGTAAGCTTTTTGATGAAAATAAGACTTGTCCTGGAGTGTGACTCTTGCTGAACTGCCTGGGTGGATGTGGGTAAAGTTACTGGAGACCCTCAGGGTTTTGTCTGGCCTTGGAGTCTCTTCTAGCTGCAGGAGACTGAGTGGTCTGAGATGTGAGCCTGATTGAACAGTAGGGGAACCTGTTACCATCACCTGCATCTATGTGCTTGTCCTCCTTAAGGTTATCATAGGTTGTAGGTTTGTCCATTGAACCCTCCCTTAAATGTTGTGCTTTTCACATTCACTTGGTGGAATCCTATGGGCTCTCTCTGTAGGGTGTGTTCTGTATAAGTCAGCATTTCTGAAAATACTGCGGATGTTTGGTTTTTAAGAGCAGACTGTATCTGCTGGGCCCATGGGGCACTTGCAGTGAGATGTTGAGAATGGAGACCATACTGGAAGCTGGGGACTGGGGCAGAAACCTTCGAGCAGGTAGACTGAGGGCAGGTCAGATGCAGGGCACTGCTGTCAAAGGAGAGCCTGGGGTCCAAGCAGCAACTTGGCCCAAGGGTTGTGCTCCTGATACTGGCAGGTGGTGGGGGGGATGGAGGGGGGGGTGCAGCGGGGGCAGAGGGGAGCGGGGCGTTGCAGGCTCAACATTGTCCAGCTGCTGCAGTAGACCTTCTCAGAAACGTTGCTTTACTTTCATAAGCAGCTAAATTGATTCTCGCCCTAAATAGTTAACAGCTCTAACAGCATTCTCGGAGTACTTCCAGTGTCCTAGGCCTTGGGCTAAGTGTGTGGCACACGTTCTTGTAACTTAACCCTCCCTGCAGCCCAGGAGGCAGGTGCAGCCTCTGATTTACAGAGGACAGGACTGAAGGAACTCACCCAGTGGGTCACACAGCGAGAGTGTGCAGTCAGGATCCAGCCTGGACTATCAGACCTCATGTGGAGTTCCTTCTCTTGCTTTTAACCCCTGCATCATGACTAGAAGTGGGATTTTACAGCTAGTGGCGAGATGGGGTCGCTTATTATTTGCATCCTAGGTTATTTGTTACTTTCTTCTTTTTACCCACCCTCAGCTTAGACCCAGATAGGACCCTCCCCTGTATGGCAACTTTAAAATGTTGCTTCTATAGCACTGTGGCTCCTTGAGGTGGGGGAGAAACTTGGACAATGTGGGGGCAGTCGTGAACAGGGAAGAGAGAAAGGGTGTGTTCATTTTGGAGGCAGACTTCTTGTCTACCTCTGCCCACCTCCGCCAGGCTCAACCGGAACAGCTCTCCAGGGGGACTCGATTGTTTCTGGTAGTCTGGAGAGCCAGTGCCAAGACCTAGTCCTCGAGGGCTCAGGCTGGGAGGTAGGAGGTGAGGGTGGGTTAGGGGTTGATTCAGTGTGTTCTGATGACTGTTTTCTTGCCACTCAGTGGGATTTCTATGTCAAAGACAATCTCCAAGTGACCTCGCTCTGGTCAGAGTTATTTCGTCTATTTTGTATTAGATACGCAGTTCTAGTGTCTTAGGTGTTTTAAATTTTCATTAGGCTTCTCAACTTTTGGCTTCATGTATATGCTTAGTTCTGGGCTGGGCCAAGCCACCCACCAAATGCAGAATTAAGTTGAACCTACTTAGCCCGGCTTCCATGGCCAGGTATGTGTTGCAGTTCTTATGTTTTAGGCAATGGCAGATGGGAAACATGCTATCACTTTTGTGTTACAAACTGTGTTCCTAAATCCATGCGTATAACCCCTTCTGGAATGCTGGGATGTCCATCTAGTGACAGGATCGAATCAGATCTTAAAAGCAGCTCCTTCTTGCTTCTTTAGACTTAGTGGGGCTAAGCTTGTCTTTCCATCTAGTCAAGCCTCTGGAGCTTGGGGGAGCTGGATTCAAATCCCAGCTCTGTAATGTGATAACCTTGTGCCTGTGTGCATTTACCTGGGCCTCATATAGGCATCAAGGACTGGTACCCTCTATTCTCTGGGCTTATTTCCTCAACAGTAAAGGCGGGAGATGATTTTATTTTGCAGAGTTGTTTCAGAGCTATGCCCTTAGACTGGTGTGTACTTACCCTGGCTACTCATCCTTCAAGGACTGTCTGAAGTGTCCCCTTCCACTTGCGTCTGGCTGATCCCCTCTAATCAAGCACTTTCCCATTGTCTGAAGCAGACTTCTTTGTCTTTATTTTTATTTTTTTTTGAGACAGAGTCTTTCTCTCTCACCCAGGCTGGAGTGCAGTGGCGCAATCTTGGCTCACTGCAACCTCCGCCTCCTGGGTTCAAGCAATTCTCCTGCCTCAGCCTCCTAAGTAGCTGGGGTTACTACTGGGTGGTGGCTTGCACCACCACATCTGGCTAATTTTGTATTTTTAGTAGCGACGGGGTTTTACCATGTTGGCCAGGCTGGTCTCGAATTCCTGGCCCCAAGTGATCCGCCTGCCTCAGCCTCCCAAAGTGCTGGGATTACAGGTGTGAGCCACCATGCCCGGCCTTCTTTGTCTTTAGACAGTGAGCCCCTTGAGGGCAGGGACTGTGCTTCATCCTTGTGTCCCAGGCCCAGCACAGGACTGTGAGCTCGATAAACATCTGTTAAATAAACTCAACAAAGTAATTCCCTTTTTCCATTTGCTTGCCTAAAGCCAGCTTATCTGAAGAGTTACTAATAGGCACCACTGGTGAATACTTGAGCAGACCCAGGAGTGGTGATGGTGGGCCAGTTGGTCTCCTGTCATTGCAAGCCTCCTAATGAAAAGTCAGCAGGTGTTTCCTTGTCTTCTGTGGACTTCAGGAGTGAAGACCTCTCTGGGGTCTTCAGTTATTTGAGTAAAAGGGGAGAGCAGGTGGGTGGAAGGTGTTGGATGAGTGTCTTAAGAAGTGTCTGCTCCTTCCTATAACAGATTTTGTTTATATATCTTATTTGTTTATTGTTGTTATTTTGAGACAGAGTCTCACTCTGTCGCCCAGGCTGGAGTGCAGCGGCGCGATCTCAGCTCACTGCGACCTCTGCCTCCTGGGTTCAAGCGATTCTCCAGCCTCAACTTCCCGAGTAGCTGGGAGTATAGGTGCCCGCCACCATGCCTGGCTAATTTTTGTATTTTTATTAGAGACAGAGTTTCACCATGTTAGCCATGGTTGGCCAGGCTGATCTCAAACTCCTGGCCTCAAGTGATAACAGCCACCTCGGCCTCCCAAAGTGCTGGGATTACAGGCGTGAGCCACGGTGCCCGGCCTATATTTCTTTAAAATGTCTTCTTATTTTACAAAGTTAGAAAAGTAATTTACAACCTGTTGATATATTTAAAAATAAGACAAAGAAGTAAACATTTATAAAAAGGGAAACAGCTTTTTCCATAGTAGTCTTCATCACCCTGGTAAGCTGCCAGTGCTTCCAGTCTTCTGGTCCTGCGTTGCATGCCCTACGTTACCACACTTGGGACTGTCTTCCCTCATTGTGCCGGGATGTACTTTTTTTCTTTTTTTGAAGAAGTCACAATGTAATATAAATTTTAGATGGCCAGAGACACAAGCCCTTTCCCTTTCTGATACTGTGCTAAAGTGTTCAGACCTTTCCTGCATTGCTTTCTTTGCTTCCTGGCTCTGCCTCAAGGTGGGATTCTGTCAATCTCCCCTCATTCGAAATGTCCCCACCCCAGAGCTAGCACTATTGACAGGGCAGTTGGGATGAGGGGCACAGAAGAATTTTACCTGCAGCCTGTGGCTGAGTACCCATGCTTAACCCCATTCCAACGAACTAGTCCATTTTTTCATTTTATTACCTTGTCTGAAATTATGAGTCCATAGAGACGTCTAATCACAATTCTCTTCCTCATTGGGGATCCTGAAGGGCATGTTTCTCTTCATTAAAAAGCATGATTTTTCTAATGAAAGGGATGATTTAACTGAGAAGTTGCAAGTTGTTCTTTTTTCTTTTTTTTTTCTCTTGCTGAGAGAGTCTCACCTGGCTTAAAAACAACAAACTATTAATGTTAACCACATTTGCTTTTTGTGAGAAGGAAAAATATTTTCAAGGTGGTATCAGAACTCTATATTACATAAAACACTTGTGACCCCTTGTGTGTGGGAAAGTATGTGTATGTTTTTTATTTATTTTTTGAGACAGGTTTCAACCCATCACCCAGCTCACTGCAGTCGCGAACTCTTAGGCACAAACGATTGTCCTGCCTCAGCTTCTTGAGTAGCTGAAACTACAGGCACATGCCACCATGCCTAGCTAATTTTTTATTTTTTGTAGATACAGGGTCACACCATGATGCCCGGGTTGGTCTAGAACTCTGGGCTCACACGATCCTCCCACCTCAGTCTCCCAAAGTGCTGGGATTACAGGCGTGAGCCTCTACACCCAGCCAAGAAAGTGCTTTTTTTTTAAATGAAAATAATATTGTTTTTATATAATGCATTTAAAAAACTAATATGGATGTTTCTTGCTAATACAAATTTATCCCATATTTAAAGACTACATATTATTTTTCTTTTTCTTTCTTTCTTTTTTTTTTTTTTTTTAAGACGGAGTCTCTCTCTCTTGCCAGGCTGGAGTGCAATGGCGTGATCTCAGCTCATTGCAACCTCCGCCTCCTGGGTTCAGGCGATTCTCCTGCCTCAGCCTCCCGAGTAGCTGGGATTACAGGCGCCTGCCACCATGCCTGGCTAATTTTTGTATTTTTAGTAGAGACGGGATTTCACCATGTTGGCCAGGCTGGTCTCGAACTCCTGACCTCAGACGATCCACCTGCCTCAGCCTCCCAAAGTTCATTATAGGAGTGAGCCACCGCACCTGGCTATTTCTTTATATTAATTGTTGCAGATTATTGTTATATAAAACGATAAATTATGTAACCACTCATTCTTCCGTTCCTGGGTGTCCCCCACCCCTTGCAATATATAAAAACATATTGCATTGCACATTTCTGTAATGCCACACTGTAGACCCTTATGGACAATTCTATAGAATTTCAAGGTCAAAGGATATGCTCCTTTAAAAATGTCCCTTTTAAAAGATGATTGAATTGGCCAGGCATGGTGGCTCATGCCTGTAATCCCAGCACTTTGGGAGGCCGAGGCGGGTGGATCACCTGAGGTCGGGAGTTTGAGACCAGCCTGACCAACATGGAGAAACCCCATCTCTGCTAAAAATACAAAATTAGCCAGGCATGGTGGCGCATGCCTGTAATCCCAGCTACTCAGGAGGGGGGAGGCAGGAGAATCGCTTGAACTGGGGAGGCAGAGTTGTGGTGAGCCGAGATCGTGCCATCGCACTCCAGCCTGGACAACAAGAGTAAAACGTTGTCTCAAAAAAAAAAAAAAAAAAAAAAAGATAGAATTTACATCTCCAACCATGAGGGCCCTCATTAGCACAGAATGTTATTAATCTTTAAACTTTTTTTTGCCATTTTAAAAGCAAAATAAATACAAAAGAGTTAAAAAAAAATGGGGTTTCAGATCTGAGAATTCACAGGGCTTCAAAGTCTTCTAACCTGCAGACCCAGCGGTGGCCAGGATGCAATTTCTGGTCTTGTGGTTCAGCCTTCGTGGCCTCATTGTGGGGTTTCCCTGTACTTCCCCAGCCCTCCCTGAGGGCTTCTCTTTCTGCATCCCTCCTGTTCTTGTTGTATCCACAGTGCTTGGTGTTGACAGATGCTCAGGAGCGACCCCTTCTTGTGGAGGTGTGAATGAGAGCAAAGATGGGTGTCAGTGAGAGACTGCTTCTAGACTGGGCCTACAGCAGCCTTGCCTGTCTTCCTTGCCCAGTTCCCTTCCTCTGTTCTTGCTCAGAGGGAAGCTCCTTTGCTGGCTTGCTGTGGTCATCCTGGTCTGTCTGCATTAGCTGGGATCTCTTAGGCACCAAGAACTACTCCAATGTTGGTAGGAAGCACATTTCTTCACGGCAGAGTCACAGCCCTTCTCTGTCATTCTGCAGGCATCTCTGGCAGATCTTGCATTTAACAGGAATGGACAATGACAGGATTATAAAAGGCTGATAAGATTCCCTGCAGGGTGAGCTCTGCTGACCTGGCTACCCACCACAGGCTGCTTCCTTCTGTGTTGTAGTCAGCACCCTGCCTGGCCCATTCCTGTACCAAGGTGCTTAGAACAGACCTCTTTCGGGCCAGAACCATTTCTAGTGCAAGTTCTTGGTTTAATTGTGCTGTTTCCTTTAAAAATGATGTTCTCTATCTCTGGATTGATCTCTCAGACAGCCAGCCTCTGTTTTAAGTATGTGAAATGCAAATCATCAAAAGCAATTGCTGCTCTTTTTTCTGGGTCTACCTTGGGCCGCCTTGACTTCCTTCCTCTGGAATTGCTCTCCTGGTGGGTATATTCTCTCCAGCTGTTGGCAGACATAAGAAGTAGGAGCTCCAAGTAGGCTCCACTCTAAAACGTACCATCTTGATAAAAGCTATGAGTCTTGGGCATGGGTCTTATTAGTTGGGACAGTAGCTATCTCCCCCAGATGTTTTGTTCAATGGAAACATTTCAATGATAAAAATACCTTCAAACTCCCTTCTGAGAGCAGAGGCAATCAGTTAAGTAGCTCCTGCTGTGTAGCTGGAGCAAGCCACCACACCCATGGATTACATTTGGCAGCGTTTCTTTGGCCAGCTGCATGCCTCCCAGCAGATAAAAGGGCAGTGCGTAGAGAAGATGTTAGGGAAAGTGGTGGGGTGGAAGTAGGGAGGAGGTGAGCCTTGTGCAGCAGCTGAATTCCCAGGGTGAAGTTTGGGCCTTGCTGCCCCCAGTTTACTGTCCAGCTGCTGCTGCTGCTTGGGCCTGCAGTGCTGCGGGATGACTGGGATCTGGAAGGCGGCTCTGGTGATTTGTAGGATCAGAGGAAGGACAAAAGCTGGGTCAGGGTGGGTGTGGCTGCTGGGGGTAGTTTACTGATGAAGTGAATTGGACTTGGAGACTTGAATGCTAGTGCTCTGGGCCACTGGTGTCTGCCAATGACTTAGTCAAAACTGAGCAAATTTTATTACTAAAAAAAGAAATAATAGCGTTCTGGTGGCAAAGTATCCTACGAAACAAGAGCAGATGGTACCAAGTAAGTTCAACTGAAACGGAGGTCATTCATTTTGTGAATTATCTTCAGAGATCCGCTGGTCCAAGGACCATGGTTTTTTTTTTCTTTTTTTTGAGACGGAGTCTTGCCCTGTGGCTCAGGCTGGAGTGCAGTGGCGCGATCTCGGCTCACTGCAACCTCCACCTCCCGGGTTCAAGCGATTCTCCTGCCTCAGCCTCCCCAAGTAGCTGGGATTACAGGTGCTACCACCACGCCCGGCTAATTTTATGTACCTTTTGTAGAGACAGGGTTTCACCATGTTGGCCAGGCTGATCTCGAACTCCTGACCTCATGATCCACCCGCCTCAGCCTCCCAAAGTGCTGGGATTACAGGCGTGAGCCACCACGCCTGGCTGGACCGAGGTTTTTCTGCTGGTGCCTCAAGGGCTTTGTGGGGCCAAGAGTGGACTCCAGGCTCCACTCACCTAACTTCTCAAAAGGGATGAAAACTCGCTCATTTCTGGTGATGGAGTAGGGTCTGCTTTAGTTTTTCATTGCTGCTGCAACAAATGACCTTAAACTTGTGACTTGAAACAACCCAAATGTATCATCTTACAATTCTCACTGGGCTGGAATCAAGTGGAAGGCTGCCTTCCTTCAGGAAGCTCCAAGGGAGAATCCATCTCTTTTGTTTTTTTACAGCTTCTAGCGGCAGCCTGCATCACTCAGCTGGGGATACCATTCCTTCATCTTCAAATCCAGCTATGTGGTATCTCTCTCTGACCCTCCTTTCATCTTCACATCTCCCTTGGACCACAACTGGGAAAGGTTCTCTGCTTTTCAGGACCTTCGTGCCTACCTTGGGCACCTAGATTGTCCAGGATAATCTCTCCATCTCAAAGTCTTTAACTTGATCACCTCTGCAAAGTCCATTTTGCCATGTAAGATAACACATTCACAGGTTCTGGAGAATAGGACATGGACCATAGTTCTGGCTGCCACAAGGTCAGGTTTACCAGGCTTGCAGGGAGATAAGTGGCCGAAGCAGGTCCAAGGGTCAGGGCTTCAGCCCTTTCCTTTCTGCTGTTTGCTGTGCTGTTCGATGCCTGGCGGTGTGGTCTCCGTCTCAGGCTGCATCCTTCACTGCAGCTACTTTGTTCCTGGATGAGAGGCTGTGGACATGAGAACAGGAGTCATCCCTTCCCATGGGAAAAGGGCAGAAGTGCGGGGTGGGGGCAAGTGGTTGTGCTCTGAGAGCTTGACCTTGCTCTGGAATCCTTTATGGTGATTGTCAAACTAGCTTAAATGAAGTGGGTGGGGACATTCTCTTTCCTCCCCTCTCCCACTCCCCTGCTTAGTTAAATCAGGTAACCTTTTCCTATACTTCTTAGGGAGACCTCACGCTTGAAACTTGCCTCCATTCTGAGCTCCTCACCGCTTCCTGGCTCAATCTGTGTGTCTGTCTGTAATGCCTAGGAGCTGGATCTGTATGGCTGAGTTTGGATGCGTGTCCAGTTGGCTTGGGAGTGGAGAGGGGCACCATCACCTGGGTCTGTGGGTTGGAGGATGGTGACAGATGAATTTAATATGGGGTGCTTTGCTTTATTTAACAGACGTTACTGTGGAAACACTTGGTGCAAATCGAGTGTTTTGAGCGTGTTGTTTTAAAAGACTTTAAAATGATTTCAAACTTACAGAAAAGTTGTAAAAAAAAAATACAAAGAATTTCTATATAGCATTACCTAAATTCATTAATTATAAACATTTTGCCATACTTATCATTCTCTGTATTACATACTGTTTTCTCTGACCCATTTGAAAGTTGCACCATCATGCCCCTTTGCTGCTAAATACTTTAGAAAGTCTTTCCTAAGATCAAGGACATTCCTTTTCTTCTTTTTCTTTTTTGCTAGCCTGTCCTTGCTGGCAGACATTCCTTTCATAACCACTGTTCAATTAGTAAAACCAAGGCATGTAGTACTATTATCCAGTATGCAGTTCATATCCAAATTTTGCCACTTCACACAATAATGTCCTTTATAGTAATTCTTCTCCTGCCCTAGGATTCAATCCAGGATTACGCAGATTCTGTACTCAGTTGTCATGTCTCTTTAGTCTCTTTTAATCAGGAACAGTTCCTTTGTTTTTTTTTTTTTTTTTTTTTTTGCCATTCACAACATTGACATTTTAAAAAAATACAGGTTGGCTATTTGGTAGCTATTTTGGTTTGTGTGGTATTTTCTCACTATTAGATTTTCCACAATTCATCTATTTTTGTTGGGCATGCTCTATAAATTATGGTTTGCATCCTTCTCAGTCCATCACATCAGGAGGCACATGATGTCATTTTGCCTCATTACTGGAGACATTAGCTTCAATCCCTTGGTTAATGTAGTGTTGAATTTGCATAACATAATCTATCTGTTGTACAGGAGTTGAGCATTTAAAATCAGGAGTTTAAAGAGGGCATTGTCTTCTAAAGTTGTGTCTGGTTTGCAAGGTTTTTTTTTTTTTTTAATGTATATTGGATTTTCCTAAAGTGGGCATCCTTGTTCTTTGCAGGGTCTGCTCTTCGATACAGGTAGAAGGGCTAATGTTCACAGAGAGCTCATAGTGAGGAATAAATTGCCTGAGATTTGAACACACCGTTAATCTCTGCCCTTGTAGCAACTGTGAGATCCATCCCAGAGATAGAAGCATAAATGCAGTGTTCACAGTGGGTTCCCTTTGACTATATCTAACTATCCTGGTTGCCTTGGAGTTCCTAGGAGTGGAAAAACTAGATTAGGACATGGAAAAGTCTCCTCCTAGCACATTTGACAGTTCTGTCAATGCTGAAGATGATGGTCCAGGCTGCTGTCACTGCATTTTCTTCCTTGTGAATCTCTTCTCTTCTGTCGTTGACTTACTGGGTTGATTCCGTGTGGTCAACTTGCGTGATGTGTACATACCAGGCTAGTCAGACCTGCCCTGGCTGCTCATTCACCGATTATGAGATTCCTTGTAGACGTGATTCTGAGAACTCAGGAGGCCACCATGTAGGAAAGGTATGCTTCTTAGAGCTCTGGATGTTTTTAGTTTGATTATTGTCAGTATTATCTTGGGTCAGTGCTTCTCAAACTAATTCCAGTTTGTGAATCATTTTACAATTGAGTTGTTTACAAATGCCCAATTGTTGGGCATTTGACCTTGCTGACCCGCAGACCTATTGTTCCCACTTGTCATTATAGAAGCAAACACTTGCTGGGTGCGGTGGCTCATGCCTATAATCCAAGCACTTTTGGTGGCCGAGGTGGGAAGCTCACTTGAGCCCAGGAGTTCAAGACCAGCCTGGGCCACATAGGGAGATCCTGACCCTATAAAAAATAAAAACGACACTTTGGGAGGCTGAGGCAGGTGGATCATGGGGTCAGGAGATAGAAATACTACTAAAAATACAAAAAATTAGCCGGGCATGGTGGCAGGCGCCTGTAGTCCCAGCTACTTGGGAGGCTGAGGCAGGAGAATGGCATGAACCTGGGAGGCGGAGGTTGCAGTGAGCTGAGATCGCACCACTGCACTCCAGCCTGGGAAACAGAGTGAGAATCCGTCTCAAAAAATAAATAAATAAATAAATAAAATTGCCAGGCATGGTGGCACGTGCCTGTAGTCCCAACTACTCAGGAGGCTGAAGTGGGAGGATCACTTGAGCCCAGGAGAGAGAGGCTGTAGTGAGCTGTGATAGCACCACTGCACCTCCAGCCTGGGCAACAAAGCAAGACTCTGTCTCAAAAAAGAAGAAAAGGGAAAAAAAAGAAAACCACAAACACATGGTCACATGTAATCCACTTTAGGATTAATAGAGAAAATGGTACTTTGTAAAGTGAAATAGGATAATTGATCATACAAAAAAATAAAAGTACATTTAGGAACAACAGTGTGTCTTGACTGTCCTCCATAGTACAGTTATAAATCTGGGCAAACATGTAAAGGAGGAAGACACGGTCCCTGATCTGCCGAAGGAGTACAGATACTGGTGGGAGTAGAATGGGGACATCTTTTAAGCTGAAGAGGTCAGGAAAGGCTTAACCAAGCAGTGGGTCTGAGCTGAGCCTTGGAGACTGGAGTGAGGATGAGAATTGTTGGTAAGACAAGGGCAGTAATTATAGATTCACATTTTGTAATAAAAGTTCATCCTTGCAGACCACCAGCAGGATCCAGTGGGACTACACTGTGAGAATCACTGCAAAATGGCCAGAATTTATGTTTGTGGGAAAATCTGAGTAATTATTGAATGACTACCCAGCATTGCCAATTAAAACAAAACTTGGATGAGACCAGTCTTCCAATTCTGTCTGATGAAACATAAACGGAAAGCCTTTATAATGTAATATTACTGCCTGAGTGATTATTTTCAGAATACAATGATCAGCCAAATGGCTTCTAATTGATCTCAAAATATTTACTGAGCCTCTCAGTGTGATAATGTTCTGCTGAGTTGCTGATTTACCCCCAAAAGAAGACAGTAAGAATATGAGCATTCCAAGACTAATAAGATACACATGCCGTGAATGGTTAAATATATAAATATAGGCCAGGCGCAGTGGCTCACGCCTGTAATCGCAGCACTTTGGGAGGCCGAGGTGGGTGGATCACGAGGTCAGGAGTCCAAGACCAGCCTGGCCAATATGGTGAAACCCCGTCTCTACTAAAAATACAAAAATTAGCTGGGCATGGTGGTGCATGCCTGTAGTCGCAGCTACTTGGGAGGCTGAGGCAGGAGAATCACTTGAACCTGGCAGGGTGAGGTTGCAGTGAGTTGAGATTGTGCCGCTGCACTCCAGCCTGGGTGACAGAGCAAGACTCCGTCTCAAAAGCAAACAAAGAAAATATAAATATAGAATGCACAACTCCATGAATGACATGAAGGTATACACAGGGGTCCTCTTTTGCTCCTTTTCTTCACTTTTTCTAAAACAGTCCTTTGGTATCTTCAATGATTCATAATCTGTGAAAAACCAAACAGGTTACACAACAAACTCAGGTGCAACTTCTCAAACAGCCTAAGCACATGTGTCCCAAATAATTAAACAATTTATCTCAGAGGCACTTTTAAAAATAACGCTGTGCAACCATTCCCTTCTAAGAAACCTTCCCTGAAACTTTTCATATAAACCATTAGTAATTGGTGAACTGGTAATTTCTGGATCCTGACTTTATTTTTTAACACTCTCCTTCTCCCCTCCACCCTGCCCCCAAAGCACAAATACCTCATCCTGGTGGTTTCAAAGTAAAGTCTACAAATCTTCAGTTCTCCTCCCTTTAAGGGACAGAGCCTGATTCCCTTCCCCTTAGATGTGGGTTGGACTTAGAAGTGAATCACAGTGTATAGAATCAAGTGGAAAGGATGGCATGTGATCGCAGAGACCAAGTGACAAAAGGCACTGTGTCTTCTCCTTGTTCTCTCACGGATTGCTTCCTCTGAAAGAAGTCCGCTGCCATATTGTGAAGGTGCTTCAGCAGCTGATGGAGAGTCCCACAAAGTGGGAAACTGCATGTTGCCCATTGTCAACAGCCATGTGAGTACCCCATGTTGGAATGGGTCCTCAGCCCTGGCAAACCTTCAGATGATTGTAGCTCCTGCCCACATTCTGAGTCCAACTCAGTGAAAGAACCACCTAGTTATGCCGCTCTCAAATTCCTGACTCATGAAATCTGTGAGATTGTGTTTATGTGAAGGCATTGCATTCGGGGGTAATTTGTTATGCAGCACCTACAATAAGTAACAGACCTTAGATCTTCAGCAGTGATTTTAGCATATTCGTAGTGAGACTCAGTAGCACTGAGACATAATCCACAGGGATTTTACTATTATAAGCATTGTTTTGAGGCTTTTAAAGTGATAGCTAACATCATGCGATAGATATATTAACCACTTCCCTCCCCTGGTGTTTATTTTAAAGGGATTGTTACCACAATTAAATTGATTTATGGATTCATTTGTTTATGAATTTTTTAAAAATTATTTGTTCTGGCAGTTGTTAATGCTTGAACTTACTTATGGGGGTTATCTCTATGTGACTTGGGATACACGTTTGTCTCTATCCTCAGAGGAATTAGCTGTGGCAGTAGGGCCTTCAGCACATCCCAAAGACAGTTGGTTGGAAACATAAATATACTTGGGCATGTATTCCCAGAGATTGTGCTTGTGTCTAAATTGGAGTAAAAATTACAGGCAGCCTTAGGAAAATACATTTGGAGACATTCCGTCTTCCCCAAAAAGATGTTAATTATTTAATAACTCCTTATCTTACACCTTGGTATTAGCAGGAGCTTCTCGGTGTTGTGTGTGTTCTTACTTTTTAAAGACACAGCTATATGTCACTTGCTGTTCTACCTGTGGAATTTTTTTGCATGAGGAAGCTGCTTTGGCCAGGTATACATCACTTTTTCTACACAAGTCCTCTGTGTTTGATACAGAAATGCTAGGTAAATGTGCTAGTGCTAGAAATGCCAGAAATAATTTCCAGGTTCCAGCAAGATTGCTTTGGGGTCATTCCCACCTTTAACACTGAACCCCCCAAATCTGAGATAGGTCTCAGTCAATTTAGGAAGTTTATTTTGCCAAAGTTAAGGGTACACACCGTTGACATAGCCTTAGGAGATCCTGATGACATGGGCCCTGGGTGGTTGGAGCACAGCTTGGTTTTATACATTTTACAGAAACATAAGACTTCAAAATATGTAAGATGGTCAGGCGTGGTGGCTCACGCCTGTAATCCCAGCACTGTGGGAGGCCGAGGCAGGCAGATCACCTGAGGTCAGGAGTTTGAGACCAGCCTGGCCAACATGGCGAAACCCTGTCTCTACTAAAAATACAAAAATTAGCTGGGCATGGTGGCACATGCCTATAATCCCAGCTACTTGGGAGGCTGAGGCAGGAGAATCATGTTGCTTGAACCTGGGAGGTGGAGTTTGTGATGAGCCGAAATTGTGCCACTGCACTCCAGTCTGAGTGACAGAGCAAGACTCTGTCTCAAAAAAAAAAAATATATATATATATACACACACACACACACACACACACACACACACACACACACACACATTTATATAAGATGTACATTGGTACCTTCTGGAAAGGTGGGACAACTGGAAGTGGGTGGGGGCTTCCAGGTCAGAGGTAGATAAGAGACAAATGGTTGCATTATTTTGCATTTCTTATTAGCCCTTCCAAAGTGGGCAATCAGATATGCTCTTATCTCAGTGAGCACAGGGATGAGTTTGAGTTGTTTGTCCTTTGTCCACAAGGAAACTCCTTGTGAGGGAGGTAAGTAGATAGCTTTTTTTTCTTAGTAGCTATCTTTTTTTAGGAATAGAATGGGAGGCAGTTTTGCCCTAAGCAGCTCCCAGCTTGACTTTTCCCTTTGACTTAGTGATTGGGGGGTTCCAAAATTCATTTTCCTTTCACAACTCTTACAGTGTGGTAGTGCTTGAAGTTTCATAACAGTCAGAGCAGAATCTCACTGCTTGCTTCCTGCTGGAGAGAGGAATCTCTGTCCTTCAGTGGATGATGTTTTCTGTGGTCTTGTTCAGGAATTTACAAACTAGAGGAAGCCTTATCTCACCAAGGGAAAAAAAGACAAATAATTGGCCTCTGAGAATTGCGGCAGGGAGCAGGGAGTATTAGTGGGGGCGTCTTTTTCTCTCAATTTCTGGTATATACATATGTATTTTAATAATTACTAAATGTCTAACAGAATAAATTTATGAGTAAGCTAAGTTATTCAGATGTATTTTGATAACTTATTTATTATATAAATAATATATGCTATTATAGATAAATTAGAAGATTTAGTCCAGTAAAAGAAAATAAAAACTGGCCGGACGCGGTGGCTCACGCCTGTAATCCCAGCACTTTGGGAGGCTGAGGCGGGTGGATCATGAGGTCAGGAGATCAAGACCATCCTGGCTAATATGGTGATACTAGCCGGGTGCGGTGGCTGATGCCTATAATCCCAGCACTTTGGGACGCCAAGGCGGGTGGATCACGAGGTCAGGAGATCGAGACCATCCTGGCTAACACGGTGAAACCCCGTCTCTAATAAAAATACAAAAAAATTAGCTGGGCGTGGTTGGGAGTGCCTGTAATCTCAGCTACTCCAAGGCTGAGGTGAGAATTGCCTGAATCCGGGAGGCAGAAGTTGCAGTGAGCCGAGATGGCGCCCCTGGGCGACAGAGCGAGACTCTGTCTCAAAAAAAAAAAAAAAAAGAAAAAAAGAAAAAAAACTATTCCAATAATCCCAATGTCTAGAGATAGTCTGTTTTTAAAATAATGAATTTTGCCCTATGTCAGTTTCCTTTTGTGATTTTTTTTCAACGCATTTCCCCCCATAGATTCAGAATGTCCCAAACTGTGAAATTTATAAATTAAAATGTATAAGTAAGTTTTTATTTCCCATTCATTTATTCCAAATAATTGCCTTTTGTTATGGTAGAATTTGAGTAATCAAAGAATTCTACCATAACAGATTCCACAGAATTCCATAGCAGAAAAATCTTGGTAAATCCTTGTGTCTCTAATAGTCCTTGAAAGAGGATTTTCAATGCTGCTTTGGAAAAGTGGGGTAGCCCAGGACGTTCTGGCTACTCTTCCTGCTGTCACTGACATTTGAGGACTCGGAGAGTTGTTGTGGCCTTCCTGTTAGGGGTGGAAATATTGGAGGGATTGAAAATCTGGAACTCACTAATTGCATTTGTGTTCCCTCTGGCCTTCTTTGGGGGTGCTTGGTCGGATGTTCATGGTTCAGGGAGGGACAGATGAAGGGCGTAAATCATGATCTGGGAAGTCTGGTCCCTGAACAGCTGTCTGCCAGCTGCTTCACTGGAAACTGGGCAAGTACGAGTGAGCTTTCCTCTGATGGTCTGAAATTGCCAGAAACAGCAGAGCCATGCTCCAGGTGCTTGTTGCGGGAACTGAGTTCAAATCTTGCCTCTCCCACCTAATGGCACTGACTACAGGCCAGCTATGTTGAAGCTTCTGGGCCTCAGTTTCCTCACGTGTCAAACACTGGTGACATACCCACCCCTGTAGGTTTGTTGTGCGGTGGGTGTTAACAACATACATGCCTGGCTCATAATCACTCATAAGGCCCTGTCCTCCCCTTGCTGTTGTATCATTACAATTGAGTATAGGATGGGTTTGAGCAGGTTATTGTCAGGAGTGTCTATTCTAAGCTTTCGTTACAAAAGGTCCCCCAAATCCACTCAGCTTTCACGCTCTCCCACGTAGGAAGCTGGCCCAACACCATGGAGGTTCCCCCCCGCCGCTTTTTTTTT
This sequence comes from Homo sapiens, assembly GCF_000001405.40. Taxonomy (NCBI): domain Eukaryota; kingdom Metazoa; phylum Chordata; class Mammalia; order Primates; family Hominidae; genus Homo; species Homo sapiens. The sequence goes on from NC_000015.10 coordinate 62,493,628, forward strand.
TGAGATGGAGTCTCACTCTGTTGACCAGGCTGGAGTGCAGGGGCACAATCTTGGCTCACTGTAGCTTCCGCCTCCCGGGTTCAAGCGATTCTCCTGCCTTAGCCTCCCGAGTAGCTGGGACCACAGGCACACACCACCATGCCTGGCTAGTTTTTGTATTTTTGGTAGAGACACGGTTTCACCATGTTTGCCAGGCTGGTCTCGATCTCCTGACCTCAGGTGATCCACCCACCTCGGCCTCCCAAAGTGCTGGGATTATAGGTGTGAGCCACCATGCCTGGCCGAGGTTGCCTCTTAGGTAAGTAAATAACAATCTCCTTGTCTCAGGGGAGGACACTGCTGATGAAGAGTTTTTTTTAGATCTGTCAAAATTATGGATACCACCCCCCTTTGTCTGGGTGATCCTAGGATTCTTTTATTTTCAAGAAGACAACTGGGAGGAAGCCATGCAGGAGACTGGCTGTGGTAGTTTTCATGTGAATTTTTATCTTCAGTGCTTTTCATGTCTTCAATTATCCAAGTACCCCAAGCCTGTGGTTTGCCTCAGTTTGGGTGGGCATAGCCAAGGGGGTTCCAGGGCCGTCCAGCCTTCACTCAAGGATGACTTTCCCTAGGCTGAGGGCAGTGGACCCTTGACAAAATTTAATTACCGTCTCTGCTTATGGCTGGACCTCAGCTGGCAGGGTCTCGGGGGCTTTAAACAAAAGCAGGAGCCTCTCCAGAAGTAGATTAGGGAGATTTGCATTCAGGCCAGGGATTTGTACATGGTGTTAATTCTCCTCCAGGCAGATATCTGCTTGGGAAAGGGCTGTGTGACCCTATTTAGAAAAATGGCTACACTTTGTTAACCTTTTTTCCCTTAAGAAGGAAAAATCATTAATGGCAGAAGTTCAGGCCCCAGAGGGGATTTTCTGGGTGATTCTTTGTTTCAAGAGTCATGTTTCCCCAGATGTGATTAAATTGTCCGTAACTTTTAACTCTTCCCTCCCCCGTGCTTTAGTTGAAAAATAAAATCTCTGTTCATATTTCTTGCATATCATAGGCTTATGTCTCTTTCCAGCTCTATAAGTCAAGGCTAAAGATTTTTTTTTTAAGAAAGAGGAAAAAAAAGACATTTATTTGAGAAGACATTTTTGTGTGTGCCCTGCTCCCACCATGCATTCATTCGGTGCTGGAAAGTGGTTAGGGGATTCTAAGCAGCCCCCTTGCTATAGCTGGACTGTGACGCTGTCCCTTACTGTCAGTCTGCTTGGCTCCTCCAGACCTGATGCAGATGCTGCCCGCTCCCCACACAGCCCTCCTTTTTCTCTGTTCCCGGAACACTGTTTGCTTCTGTTACTGAGAAGGCAATACTGGGTAAAGGAGAATGATGCACGATGTGGAGCTGGAAGACCCAGGCCCAAAGGCAGCTTTTACCACCTCCTAGCTGTGCTACCCTGGGCCCCTGAGCCTAGAGTTCCTTCACTGCACTTGCAATTGCACTGTGCAATGCCTTCTCAGTCTCCTGGCTAGAAAATGGAACTCCTGGAGGACAGGATGTTTTTCATCCTATTATTTCCAGTCATTTATCTAGTCATTCATTTCTTTATATAATGACCCTCCTAGGACCTAAGAATAGAGAGATGAACGCGATACATGTGGTAGGAATTGTAAGTTGCTGCTTCTTTTTGTTTTTGTTTTGAGTGATCCACTGATGGTTGAGAAAGCCTAGGATCTTTCTCCCCAGAGAGAATGCCACTAGAGAGGGGGCAGAACATGACCCTGCCTGTTGACCCCAACTGTGACACTTCTGAAACCAATCTTAGGAAAGCCTCTCATGGGAATGGCATTTCCAAGATTAGGGGTAAAGTGGGACCTCCCTGTTGAAAAGTTGTCCTGCCCTCTGTCAGCTAGACATGCCATAAGCAAGGGAAAGAATGACTTTTAATGACAGGGGTAGAAATTGGGAGCAAGAGGCTGAACACATGGAACAGAATTTTTTGAAGTGCCTTGTTAAATGGAAAGTAGATGTAGGAAAATTTGAAATGCTGGTATTTCAGATGGGCCCAGGCCTATCACCTATTATTCCACCTGGAGAGGGTAGACTTATATTACTCCTCCTTTTTCCAGAAGCAGTTTGTGTGTAAAAGCCCTAAAGGGCCACATTCCACTTGATCCCTTTTATTAACGAAATTGTACTTTGCAGCAAGGTGGGGTGTGGCCACAGAGCTCTTTAAAGATGGGAGCCTGGAGGCGGGAGGTTGGCTAATTGCATGTTGCCTTTTGGCTTCTTTCCAGTCTTTAATCATGGATGACCTCTTATCTGTAAGTTCTAGGCCAAAAAAAAAAAAACAAAAACCAAAAACAAAAAAACCTTCTGTTTATCTTCTTTGTGTGCTTTTTATGAAGCTAAACAGATGATGATCATGATCTAAGCACTAGCTTTGGAAGGCAATTGTAGTGGATGGAAAGGGTCAGGGTGGATTCTACGCCAGATGTCAGCCTGCAGAGGCTGTGATTCCAGGCTTCACTTGGTTGAAGTGACCAGTCTGGCCAGCTTTGCTAGGCCTCCTCTTTCTGACTCACTGTTCCCATGGATCTCTGGAAGCTGCTGGTTCTTACGTGTCTACGAAGAGAAGCAGCTTATTTCCTGGGGTGAGGCATGCCCAGAGAAGATTTACTTCTCAAAAGGCCTACTTGAATGTAGTTCACAAGCCTGGCTGTGCCTCAGCATCACCCGTACAGCTTAAAAAGAAATTACACGGAACCACATCTCCTAGAGTTTCCCTTTCAGATAAGGATTGGAATGTGTATTGTAAAAGAGCTCCACCCGTGACTAGGATGGGTGTCAGGACTCAAGACTGTCTACCTTCCTCACCCACACTTTGCAGAGAGTGGGCTGTGGCCCAGCAGCTTCCCGTCTTGGAGCTTATCAGGAATGCAGATGCCCAGATTCTACCAGGCTTCTTGCATCAGAACCCACTGTTTAAAGGATGGAGAAGCCCTGCTCCAATATGGCATGTGGTATGATCAGTGCCTGATTGTTCCCGGAAATGGAACATTGACCTTATGCATTGATGGCTGTGGTTTACCAATACCTATGCTCCTAAGAACTGGGCCAACATCTGCATAGATCCAATTTTTAAAAATTATAATGTGAATCGTCTCTGTTATGGATCGCGACCAACTTCTAAGTTGCTTTGCCTTCTATTGTCCATTATACACACATCAATGGCATTCATTTAAATATACTTAATTTGTAAAATGAGCTGTGTTCTGTAGGCAGATAGGAGTATTTGTGTTCTGCCTTTATTGCATGTACACAGGCAGAGCACAGGCCTCTGCTCCTGGTGATGGTAAGTAGTCTCCAGTCGTGCCTCCCTCCCCTCAGATGGAGGTAATTTCTTCCTCCTCTGGATTATACCTGTCCCTTACATGTGTGACTGTGATTGCACTTGCCCTGTGTGTTGGAATTTTTTGTTGACATTTCTGACACCCGTGGGAATGAGGCCCTTTTTATTCATAGCTGCATCCCCTGTGTCTAAGAGGGCATACTTAATACATAGCAGAGATTCAATAAATGTTCGCTGAGGGAGTGGATGAATGAGTGGGGCTGATGATTGAGAACTCCCAGTATATCCTACATATGGACTTGTGTTTTCTCCATTCCTTCCTCCCCAAAATATCTGGGGCAGCATGTGAGAGTCTCTTCATTTTCTATTGGAAATTGGAGTACTTGAATCCAGAAGTTTAAATCTATGAAGGTGAAATGCGGTTAGGCTAAGTGGATGGACCCTTAGTTAGATCCTCTCTGGGTGATTTGTTTCCCCAGTGGTACTTTCCTCTGCTCCTTCTGGAACTCCAGCAGTTGCTCCTTGCCCTCCAATGGCTGCAGGATGCCTGCTTCCTCTGTGTGGGAAGAATCCTATTTCCTAATCCAGCAGGCATTTTTGTTGGTAATTCTGAAAATCGTTTCTCAGGGCTCTTTCCTAAAGTTGTGGCCACCCAGCAGTGAGTTAGCCACAAATGGCTCAGTGATAGCAAAGGCCTAGTTGCAATATGATTTTTTCTCCCTGAGGATGGTTTTATGCTGAGAGATTCTACATTTGGTTTTAGTAGAACTTTAAGCAATTCATATTTGAGAAGATACATTTATAGCTCTAAATTTTTTTAAGAAGAATGATTTCCAGTGCTTGTCTGGTTCCTTTTTTCCATGGTGGGGTTTTGGCTGCTTTTATGTTATATAGCATTCTGGCTTCCCCGTGCTGCTGACCAAGCGTGGACAGTTTTTGGTTTGCTGTTTTAAAGCCAAGGAAAGGCCCATGCTTCCTGTCTTGAGAAATTTAAAGTATGGAATTTGGCCAGGTGTGGTGGCTCACACCTGTAATCTCAGCACTTTGGGAGGCCAGGGTGGGCAGATCGCTTGAGCTCAGGAGTTCGAGAGCAGCCTGGGTAACATGTTGAAACTTTTGGTACGAAAAGTACAAAAATTAGCCGTGATCATGCCACTGCACTCCAGCCTGGGTGACAGCGTGAGACCCTGCCTCAAAAAAAAAAAAAAAAAAAAAGAAAAAAAAGTCTGGAATTTTATACCTGTTAAAAATATAAATAAGAATTAGATTTTTAAATTCTGAAGTAAATAACCTGGTTCTTCTTACTTAACCTGAATTTGCTAAGTATCTCTTCATGATTCTGAATGGTTAGATCCTGCCAAGGCTGACCCTAAACATTTGTATAGTTTTAGTATTCGATCCTTGAGTAGTCACTGGTCAGTTCCCCAAGGGTTGACTTGCCTGTTGTTGTTTTACTGGCTACTTGGAATCTGCCTGGAAGGCCTCCTGAGGAGTTTGTTGGAATTATGCATATACAGTAATCAGAGTTCTGAGTGTAGGCAAAAGTATCTGGATTTCCTAGAAAGTGAGGGGCTGCTGGACAGTCTCTTCATTTGCCAAGGGATATTTTAAAATAACATGCTTCTGTATCGGTGGCTGTGTTCTAGAGAGCTGGGGTCACCGTAAGTCTGATGATATCCCAGTGTCTGTCACAGGAAAGTGAGGTACATCCACGTATCTACTGACCCCCAGTATCTGGTGGGATATCTTTCCCACAAAATTTGCTTCTTAGGAGGGTTTTTTTTTTCCTTATAGTTCTTTTCATATATAAATACTAATCAGTCACCAATTCATTACATTTTAGGAACAGGAGAGTCTGTGAATGACATGAAAAATTATTAAAAGGAATTTGGCGAAACTATTAAAGGAATTTACCCACTCTAAAGAGAGCTGTACAGGGGTTATTGTTCTTGTTAAACAGAGTAGAGGTCAGTTAGTGGAATGTGGAGAGTTTAAAGTCATTGCTGACTTAATGACTAGTGAAAGACCAAGAAGATATGGTCTTTGCCACTGTACTTCTTAATGACAGAATCAAAGACTTACTGTGTGGACTTTATGGAAGTCTCTAGGAGTAAACTTGATGACAGAATTTTTTTTTTCTAGGCCATGTTTATATTTTCAATCTGTTCTTTCTGCTACCTGGGACATTATTTTTATTTATTACAAAACATTGACTAGAGGGGCTCACGCCTATAATCCCAGCACTTTGGGAGGCTGAGGTGGGAACATCACTTGAGCTCAGGAGTCCAAGATCAGCCTGGGCAACATGGCAAAACCCCGTGTCTACCAAAAAATACGAAAATTAGCCAGGCGTGGTGGTGCTCACCTGTAGTCCCAGCTACTCGGGAGACTGAGGTGGGAGGATCGCTAGAGCCCAGGAGGCAGAGGTTGAGGTGAGCTGAGATTGCACTACTGCACTTCAGCCTGGGTTACACAGTGTCTCCAAAAAAATAAAATAAATAGAGAAATGGCCTGGATATGGCTTGAAACCAAGCCTCTTTTAAGCAAACGTATTTTAAAACTGAGGGGAAAGGAGACAGGGCCAACATGCCAACTGATGAATGTAGTTTGCCCCACTTTACCAGTCCTTAAATTAGCAAGGTTTCTCTTCTTTGTTTTTGAGACGGAGTTTTGCTCTTGTTGCCCAGGCTGGAGTGCGATGGCATGATCTTGGCTCACCGCAACCTCCACCTCCTGGGTTCAAGCAATTCTCCTGCCTCAGCCTCCCGAGAGTAGCTGAGATTACAGGCATGTTCCACCATGCCCGGTTAATTTTGTATTTTTAGTAGAGACGGAGTTTCTCCATGTAGGTCAGGCTAGTCTCGAACTCCCGACCTCAGGTGATCTGCCCGCCTGGACTTCCCAAAGTGGTGGGATTACAGGCATAAGCCACCGCTCCTGGCTGCAAAGTTTCAAAGTTTCTTTAAAAACAAGCAAAGAAACAAACAAACAAACAAAAAAAACAGTCAAAATTACAATTCAGGTGAGGGAGGAGGAGTGAAGGTCCAAAACAGATGGTGGGCGTTGGTGGTTTTCTCTTGTTTAAAATGAATGTAGGCCAGGCGCAGTGGCTCAAACCTGTAATCTCAGCACTGTGGGAGGCCAAGGCGGGCAGATCACCTGAGGTCAGGAGTTCACGACCAGCCTCGCCAACACAGTGAAACCCGGTCTTTACTAAAAAATACAAAAATTAGACAGGTGTGGTGGCGCATGCCTGTAGTCCCAGCTACTCAGGAGGCTGAGGCAGGAGAATTGCTTGAACCCAGGAGATGGAGGTTGCAGTGAGCTGGGATTGCACCATTGCTCTCCAGCCTGGGTGACAAGAATGAGACTCCATCTCAAAAAATAAATAAATAAATAAAATGAATGCAGCAGGGCTTTCTGGCCCAAATTGCTCTACAGAACTTTGATTGCTAGGGAACAAATATTCATTGTCTCCAGTGTGCTCAGTACATAGGCATTGTGACTGGCCTCCATACTGCAAAACAAGAAGACACCTTTGCAGTGGATTAGAATGTTTAAACTAAGTTCCAGATGGGTCAGGCAGAGTCTAACTGGCCTTTGGACCCTTGGTGTCTAGACAAAGCCAGGCTTATAGTAGGCAAATGTAAATGGAGGCAAGGGAAGAAAGATTTCATTAAGCAGAATTATCTGAGAAATGGCTGAGAAAAGACCCGAATATCTGCTATGGCAATCTCAAGTGACATCAATGCCCACTTGGAGTTGGGCACAATGTGAAATTCCTTCTTGAGGGAGCGCTGTTGGGAAAGGAATTTTTGCCTCAATTGGGCAACTTTTTCCTGCTATTTAATATGCATACTCTTCTTGAGCAGTTAAAGACGCAGAAGAAAGATAGTATTGTTTCAAGACAATTCTCCCAGGCTGCTCTTGGCCATCTTTTCTGAGTGTGCAGGCCCCACCACAGTCCCTGCAGCAACACAGTTTTGTTTGCTTAAAATTTGGTAACCTAAGGGGGCTTGAAGTCCCGCCAGGGCACTTCTGGTCCTCACAAATAGTGCCACTGAAAAACGCATCTTGTGCAAGTTTCAGAGCTTAGAAATATTCTGCTTAAATGTGCAATGCGCCATGGGGCATGTTATAGACCATCTCATTGAGCAAAAGATAAATGACCTTTCTCAGAAGGCTGAAGGAGCTTGGGACAGGTAAGCCTCCCTCTGTTCATTGTTTAAAAAAAGGAGGAACTTTTATCTCTACTTCTTGCTTCTACTTGGCCAAAAGAAGTGGATTGGGTCATCTTTTGGCATCAGGGCTATGCAAGTCCCTTTTGTTCCTATTTCTCCTGAGCAGGCCACATGTGTCTCTCTTTGCCTGAATTTCTCAAGCCTCCAGCTGAGGCCAAGGGCAGGGCTGGGGTGGACACTCATGACTGGCCATTGAGAACCCCCATCAATTTCATCCTTGATAGACTTGTACCAAAAGAGCGACCCTCCCACAAGGTTGCTGGATACACTTAGTTGTTTGGTTGGCTCTCAGAAAATGAAGCTTGCACTCACACTGCCCCGGGAAAACGTTAATTCCTGGTTAGGGCTTTTCATGATTCTGTCACACTTTGAATAGTAAGACCACTTGCTGTGGTGCAGAATATCTGGATTTCAGAAGTGGCTGACAAATATTTTTTGGAAAGGAATAGTCACAATTAGAGGGACCCATCCACACTGATGTGACAGAACCTTTGGATGTTGTTTTTTGTTTAATTGGACATAGTTATATCAACAGGATTTGAAGGTGGCAGATGATTGCATGCTCTGACTAATGAAGGCTCACTGGGCTTTTCATGTTTTTTATTTAATTTTAAGTATCTATTTTGAATAATCATGTAAGCCTTATGCCTGATTTTTGAGATGATTATTTCCAAGGTAGGGAACTTAGTGAATGGGCATCATTTCCATGGAGGGTCAAATACCAAGATACTAGCTGAAAGCCAATTAAGATATAGTTTGGGCACCTTGGTATCAGTGGGTTGGATACCACTGCATGTGATATGGCTTTGTGACCTTCCTCGCTCTCTTTGTCCTAAGCCTATGATGGGCCTTATAGGAGAACTAGTCACAGGTGGCTCTACCTTTAAGAATATGCCTGTGTAATGCATGGATGATTGGAAGGCATTGCCACAAGTTTCTTCAGCTGAAGGAAGCTTTACGGAGTTGTGGGGCTTATTCTCCTTGACATGCTGCTGCTCCTTTTGTGTTTTCATTTTAAAACAAAATATGTATTGTTTTTCTAGGGAAAGGCACAGTAGCTTGAATTTACTATATTTGACAGCTTTTCTCAAATGCTTTCAAAACATGGAGTTGCTAGAAAACAAAGGTTTGAACTGCTGACTTCTTCTTGTGAGAATATTAGTTTAGTTTTGGAGTTTTAAAATTTCTAAGGAGGAAGAATGTCTTTGTGACATATAGGACAAGCACTGGGAGGGGAGTCAGCCAGGGTGTCAAGCCTGTGCAGCTGCCTGGTGCCTGACCTGGGACAGATTGCTCTAGGCTGCAGGCATGGGGGTTTATTGCCGAGGCACTGGGCCTGGTGATACGAGGGGTCTAAGTGGTGAGTTTCAGACAGAAATCATCTGTACTCTTGATTCCAAAGCTGGTAATCATGACTGTATTGATCCATAAAGACTCATGATGTATCATCTGTGCTTGGCTTCTGGCCTGGCTAGGGGAGAGGAGACGGGGCGTCATCTGGTTCTGCATCTGGATTTGGAGATGGAATTTGAAAACACACAGGCAGGTTATGAGAACTGCCACTTGTAAGAATGCAAGTGAGTGTGAGATAGAAAGGCCCGGTGATAGATGGTCTTGGGCTTCTCTGTTTTCCTATCACCTGTGTCTCCCTTCCTTGCTCTTGTACTGTTTGGTAACAACTTTGAGGTGAGTCCTTTCCTTTTGGCTGTTAAAGAGCCCAGAGGTGGGTTGGAGGAAAACAGCTTTGTGAAGCCTGCAAGAGTTGACTTCACAGTTCCGTTTGCTGCGTTTTCAAATACTGCTTTATTAGCCACCCCCTCTTCCAAGGCCAGGTGATTTGTGCCTTATGGCCTGGCCACTCTGAGTCATAGTGCCTATGTTTGTGTGGCCAGATTGCAGACTCTGCTACAACAGCGTCAACAAGTTCCCTTTATAGCCATTAAAATATATGTACATCTATTATTCTTTATTATAAAAGTAATATGTGTTCATGGTAGATAATCTGTAAATATAGAAAAATAAAAAAATAATAAAAGTCACTTACTCAGTGAAACCAATGCACCTACCCTCCTAGGAAGTGGCCATCAGTCCTGTGTCACCAGCACTAAGATCTGAACTAACCACGTGCAGATACCTGGGATCAGTAGGATTTCTTCACATCTTTGTGTGTGCTGTGTAATTATTCTACCCTGAGCTCGAATCCTCCACTTCAACTTTTAGCACTGATTTCTCCGCTTAACCCATGTGTGCTTTATACACAGAGAGACTTCTTAAGTGATTAGTGGTTCAGTCACTGCCACAGTCTATTAAAGCTTCTTAGGGAAGTGATTTTCTTTCTGTGGTGTGAAAAGGAAATAACAATGTCTGTCTTGCTCTTTAACCTGTCTCTTCTTGGAAATTCCCAGGCATCTTGGAAGCCATGTGTCTGCCCTTGGCTGTGCTCTGTGGACCTCCTGCAGTATGCTTGCCCCATTTCCTCTCTTGGCTCTTTGCCAGCTTGTGGCCTTTCTAGAAGGATATTGTCCTGTTGTGAATTTTCATCATCTTTATTGGTTTCTTCTCATTCCTCTCCGTTCTGTGAGCTTGTCAGAGAACCTGGAAGCCTCACTTAGCTTCTGGGAGCAGGTCCTGGAGCTGGGCTCACACCCCTTCCCCAGTTGTTTTTCTCTCTCCTGCCAGCCTCCCTTTGATTCTTAGTTTTCAGTGAACTGTACAGTATCAAAGACCCTGGAATCTCACGTAGAAAAAAGAGTACCGGGATTTGGGCGCCACATCTGCCTGTTTTTTCATCTGTGCTTTTTTGAGCCTTTTAAAAAAATCAGTGGCATCAGTTGCATGTAAGGTTCATGAAAGAACTGTGTAAAATTGTAAATTATTTTGCAGAGATTTGCTGTTTTCCAGCAACTCCTCCCTTCTTGACACACAGGTAGTAGCTCTAGATTTTGTTGTTGTTCTTGTTGAACTCTGATAGGTCTCTCAAATAAAAGGAAACAGATACCGTTTTTATAGATTAGAAGACAACATTGTTAAGATGTCATCTCACCAAATTGATCTATAGGTCCATTGCATTCTCATTCAGAATCCCAGAAGGGGGTGTATGTGTTTGTTTTAATAAATCAACAAGCTGATTCTAAAATTTACATGGAAATGCAAAGGGCTCAGAGTAGCCAAGTTAGTTTTGGAAAAGAACATAGTTGGAGGGCTTACACTACCTGATTTCAAGGTATACGTCAAAGCTATAGAAAGCAAGACAGTGAGGTATTCGTGTAAAAGCAGCCATATTAGATGGATGGAACAGAATAGAGTCCAGAAATAGACCCACACATGTATGATCAATGGATTTTCATCAAAGGGGCCACTGTAATTCAATGGAGAATGGATGGGCTTTTCAACAAGTGATGCTGAAACAGTTGGGTATCCATATGGAAAAAAGTGAACCTTGATCCTTAGGTTACACCACATACAAAAATTATCTTGAAATGGATCGTAGACTTTAAGTAAAACTTCCAGTAGTTCCATTAGGCTATTTATTTATTGTTGTCAGTGCAAGGGAGGAGCCAGAGTGCTAAGTGCTGAGAGGGTAACAGGAAGAAAGGGTAACAGAAAGTAGTTGGTGGGGTGTGTGTGTGTGTGTGTGTGTGTGTGTGAGAGAGAGAGAGAGAGAGAGAGAGGGAGACTCTGGGCCATTCTAAACTCTGCCCCACTGCTCACTTTTTTGTTGGGTAATAACATTAAAAAACAGAAACATGTTTTTGTTGTTGTTGTTGTTGTTTTGAGACGGAGTCTCACTCTGTTCCCCAGGCTGGAGTGTAGTGGCGCGATCTCAGCTCACTGCAACCTCCGCTTCCCAGGTTCAAGCGATTCTCCTGCCTCAGCTTCCCGAGTAGCTGGGATTACAGGCGCCTGCCACTATGCCCAGCTAATTTTTTTGTATTTTTAGTAGAGACGGGGTTTCACCATGTTGGCCAGGCCAGTCTCGAACTCCTGACCTTGTGATCCGCCCACCTCGGCCTCCCAAAGTGCTGGGATTACAGGCGTGAGCCACTGTGCTCGGCCAAAAACATGTTTCTTACTGGTACCTTCAGAGGATAATTTTTGGTTCTCCCACCTTGCCCTCCTCTTCCTCTTATTTTGCAAGCAAATCTTACTTTAGCTTACACACTGTGCTGATGAAGAGTTGTCTTAAATCTGGCTTACATTGATTTAAACCTATTTTAAAATGTGCTAGGAAATCCTGGCATCATGTTAGTAAGCAAGGAATCCTTCTATTTAGCCAGTGTTCTTCCAGAGTTCCTGTCCTGAGTTTCTGCCCACTGGAGCCCACCTGCCCTCTAATTGGGGTCTGCAGGCGTACATCCTTGCACAACTCTGTAATTTATCTGGTAGCCTCAGGCTGGAGTGTTTCCTGGACTTCTCAGAACTACAACGTTGGCTCTGTCTTACGCACAAATATGTTAGGTAAAATTTCAAGTCAATCTCCCTCTTCCCTGTGCTTGGTTAAGAATTGATTTGTGACATCTGTAGGGAGCAAATTAAGGAATTTACAACTGGTACATGAGGAAGGTGGAAGGAAGTTCTCCCTAAACTTAATCTGTAACATAGTTTTTGACCTTGTCTGCCTCTATGATGGGGGGCGGACGGGGAAGGGGAAGGGGAGTGTCTGCCTCTTTGGGTAGCCTGAACTTACATTAGCCAAATGTCATTGAACCTCCATGACTTGAGGCTAGTTACGTGATGGCTGAGTCAATGCCAGGTCTAAGATCATTCTTTCCTTTATTCTATTTATGGAACTAATATCAAGAGAGCATTTACTTTTTGGCAGGCATTGTTCTAGACGCGGGGAAAACAATTTTGAATAAGACTCATAAAGATCTGGCCCGAATGGAGCCTATATTCTGGGAGTACAAGTTTCCTGTTAATTTTTCTCTCATGTCTTTCTTTAAAAGCCCAGCACAAATCTAGGAAACTGTGATATCTCCAGGAAGAAGGGACCTCTCTGTCCTCTGAAATCATTTGTGTGTTGCAGGTTCCAAGAGTGTGGCAGTGGTTATAGCACATTATCTAGTGGCTGCTGGTATGAGGGTTTAGGCTACCCTCTGGGAAACTGGACTGGGTCAGACCTTTTTTGGGTGTGATGAGGGGCAGAGAGTGAGGAGACTCTGCTATGGTGCCTTCCAAACAGGAAATGTTCAGCAAATATTTATTGAGCAAATGCATATCTGCATGAGGTAGTCACATGGGTGGTATTACAAACACCAGACTGGATTCCAGCTCTTCAGATTAACATTTGGAATTCCTAGGAACTGTGCTGAACCTGGCAAAGATGAGAGCCCTCCTGCCAGGAGATCCTTTAGTTTGTTTCTGGAGCATTCCCAACATGAAAGCTCTCCCATGGAGGTTGGGGGAGTTTTAAATTGCCAGTGTGTTTGAAACAAGCAACATTGTCTTCTGACCTTTCCCTAGGGTCTTGCATACTTTGATATGGCAGAAGCAGGCGTTGCTCTGAAGTTATAAATAACTAAGCAACTTGAGAGTTACACTCTAGGGCCCCAAGTTAAAACAGCTGATTCCACTCTTGTTGTAGAGCAGGAAACTATCTTTTCAAAATCATGTGTGAGCAGCATGGCATTCAAACGGGATATTAATCTTCCTAGAAATTTTACCAGGAAAGCAGAATGCTTCCTTTTCCTCCACCCTTATTTTTATTTTTTATTTTTGCTTATGTGTATCTGTCATTTCAGCATATGTGAAGTGAATGACAAGATATTTGTTGTTTTTACTGGTGACAGATGATAAATATCTTCATTTCTTTTTAGCTTAAAAACACTTGCTGAACTTTGGTCAGCTGATATAAGGATTAGAAATAATTTTAAGATTATTTAATCTCGTTTTCCCCCAAAGAATTGATCCAGAAATTGGTATAAAGTCAGAAGGAGAAAAAGAAGGATGAGTTTCTAAGATAAATGTGCTCAGATAATTGCTTTTTATTAAAAGATACTGTTCTTTTTACTTCTTAGGTGTTGAAATGTCTGTTTTTAATGAGATCGTGCTTCGAGGTTGGTTTCTCAAGACGAAGTTATCAGTCAGCACAATTTGGGAAAGGTGGGGGTATTCTGCTATGGAATACCAAAGTCTGGTAACTGGTCATCTCATTGAGACCCCCGTGTGATGCTTGAGTTGCCCACCTCCCGCAACCGAGTCCCCATCAAGTAGGGATGTTTATACAGTGAGTCCCTTGCCCTAAGGCTGGTCCTTCTTTGGGCAGCTTTGACTGAGTTTGGAGAATAATTGCTATTCTGTGGAAATTTCATAATCATAACCCAGGCAAGTGCCTGGGAGGCAGAGCACAGGTGGGTGGGGGTAAAATGCAGAGTGGGCTTTGGATATCAACTCTGTGATTTCTGTGGCCAAAGCAGAAATGCCCATGAGCTTGAGTTAGTGCAGTGAGTTAATTGCATGGTAATTAAATGCTAACATGATTGATCAGAGGAACTGTGTAATTGAAGCATAGTAAAATGTGGCATGCTTAGTAAGCAATTGAGTTGTCTTCCCAAGGATGTAGGCAGTACTGGGCAGAAGCACAGATGTCTTGAACAAGCTGTGCAGTGCACAGTTTTGCCCTTTTGTCTTCTGAGGAAGATGTATGGGACTCTAAGGAGTGAAATCCCACATTCCGTACCTGAGAACGAGATTCATAACTGTATGTGAGATATTCTTTATTTTGTAGTACTTTGCATACTTTTTGGTATATAGAATATTTACTTGTTATCATTGGTGAAATTTCAAGGTTTTTTTTTGTTTATGGGTTTTTGGGCTTTTCTGTATGTATTCTGGAATCACCAAGAGGCTTCCATATTGAATTTTCTACAGTAGCTCTCTGAATAAGCCTTAATTGATATATTTGGTAGAGATGAATGAAGATACCATTTAATCGTGGTGGTAAATTTAAATATATGATGTTTCCTTCTGGATGAGTGACTATTTAAGCCCTATAGATGATTTTTTAAAATTATTTTATTTATTTATTTATTTAAAGACAGAGTTTCTCTCTTGTCACCCAGGCTGGAGTGCAGTGGTGTGATCTTGACTCACTGCAACCTTCGCCTCCCGGGTTCAAGCGATTCTCCTGCCTCAGCCTCCCGGGTAGCTGGGACTACAGGCGCGTGCCACCACACCCAGCTAATTTTTGTATTTTTAGTAGAGACGGGGTTTCACCATCTTGGCCAGGCTGGTCTCGAACTCCTGACCTTGTGATCCACCCGCCTCGGCCTCCCAAAGTGCTGGGATTACAGGCGTGAGCCACTGCACCCGGCCAAAGCCCTATAGATGATTTTTGAAACAAATTTTTCATTTCGAAAAGATCTGGACAGTTTGAAATAAAAATGACCAAATTTTCTATCAAGTTGAAAAGAAATTTAGAGAAATACGATTTATCAAATAAAAAAGGTAATACCTTGGAATGAATGAAAAAATTAGGTAAATTTTTCATAACTTAGGTAGCTGTCTTAAATTATCCTGGAAAATATGGGCCAAACTTTGAGTTGAATTTTTAGTACAGCATTTAGATTCATGTTTCTCTATTTACGTTTTTGTGTGTGTGTGTAATGTTACTTTTAGAGCAGTGGAGGTCTCTACTATCCATTGTTTAATCTCTTCCTTTTGTGAATAGAATAATAATCAATTACTCCTAATCAGTATTCTTGGTATTTTTGTATATACATGTGATAGTAAGAGTTACATTTATGTGGATGAATTTACTATAAGCCAGCCTGTAATCTTAGTGTTTTACTTATTTAGCTTCCTAACATTCCTATGAGGTAGGTCCTGTTTTTATCTCCATTTTACAGATAAAGAAACTAAACTATAGAAAGCTTAAGTAAGGTGCTTAGGATCCCATAAGCCAGGGGTTGGACCAAGATGGTCTGGCTCTAGGATCTGTGATCTTAACCATTACCCTATGCTTCCTGTCTGCGTGTACTGGACATTCTGACTATGATGGCTTTGGAGTGGTTCAGGATCTTGGACTAGCTACTTCATAAAAATGGATTGGCTTATTTTCCGTAAAATGTCTTGTGTTTGTTTTGTTTTTTTTGAGAAATGACCTTTGTATGTTAATACTTTAGTTTGCTAGTAGAGCCTATTTGTTTAGTCATGGCTAACAGCATTTGTTGCGAGTGATTCCATTGATTGAGCTCTATTTCTGTTACTTTCTAAGTGTTTATCGTGTGATAATAAAAACATACCCAGCTGGCATCTCAAATCTGACTTAGCAAACTTTCAAGGTGTCTTCTAGCAGAATCTAGATTCCAAATAGCAGCCCAGCCTTGAGATTGAACTTCTGACACAGCAGTGTGGGTGCGAGGGTCATCCTCTCTCCTATCTTCGGCATAACTTGCCTGGAATGCACATGTGCTGCTGAGAACGGCCCCTCCTGGTCCTCTGGTCCCCTCCTTGTAACGTCTCACTGATCACACAGAACCAGGGAGGAGAGGGGCTTTCGGGGGCTTGTCAGGTCATGGCCATCCGTGCGCCTCCTTTACAGACAGGACCACTGAAGCCAGGGGAGGCTGTTGGGCTTGCCTGAGCCACCTCCCACTTCCCTGCCTGGAACTCCCTCCCTCCGCTCTGCCTCCTAATGCCTGGGCTCCGTTGAGGTGGAGAGAATCCGGTGGCTTTGGATTCCGTGTCCACACCCAGTTGTTTCCCAGTCAGAAAAAGAAATATTTAGTTTGGGGTTTGGATAAGGATATTAGTTTCAAATTAATCCTGTACTTAAAACATTTTATTTCTGTAAGTCATGTGAAAAAAAAATGTTTTTAGCGAATAGGGAAAGTTTTTAAGACAATTGGGATCTTCCCAGTAGTCTGTATTCTCTTCATTCTTTGTGGGGTTTGTTACTGGCAGCCTTAGTAAAGCATCTTGCAAAACGGGGGCTGGTAAGATGTGGTCCCAGTACCCCAAATGGCTCGTGTTCAGCTTCCCTTCTCATGACAGGTGCTGCCAGCCCCTTTGGGTCAGCACTGGGCACCCACCAGAGCATGCCATTTTCCTCAGGGGCCCTGGAGAAGGGTTCTGAAGTGGTGGCTCTTGAGTGGTGAACCAGAGGGTGGGGCCCTGGGCTTTGGGATCAGCTAGGCTTGGGTGTCGCTTAGTAGCTTTGTGCAAATCATTTCATCATTCTGAGCTTCAGTTCCTTAAGCTGTAAAATGGTGCTTACCTTATGCAGTAGTTGAGATAATTTAGATGATGAGATGGCATAGAAATAGGTATATGATGATAATATATGTATCATATTTAAATCTTGCCCAACACATAGTAAAACATACTACTTTGAGCTGGGCCTATGGCTTAGCATGTCATTTAATGTGTAAGTTATGGGTATTGTAATTTGGGAGCCCCTATGGAGCCTCTGTTCTTTTATCCCCACTAATTCATGCATGGTGATGTTTTGCCTGCTCCAGGGCGATGCTGTGGCAGGTGACTGAGGGTTTGCTGACCTTGCAGGAGAGACAGTGAGTGCCTGGGCACCAAGCAGTGCCCTTTCTCTGCCCTGCCTGCCCCCAGTGCCTCCAGGTCCTTGGAATGACTCTCTGAGAATTAATAGAATGTGTTTTTATGTATGTGAAAGAAGACAACCCCCAGAGAATCCAGTTACGTGCTATAGAGTGATACCACATGCTCTTCCTAAGTCTAGGAAAAGAATTGTATCTGGAATGAAGTGTAAAAGTTAAGACACAAAGATTGTCCTTTGGCCCCAAGTACAATTCGAAAGCATTTTGACAAGAACGTCTTACAATATTAGTGGCTTGATTATTTATTTTGTGCTGTTCATATCTCACCCAATGCTAGGCTCTACAGCTAAGTCGTCTTTCTGTCTTCACTATGGAGTGACCTCCAGACATTGACCCCTCCTGTGGTTGTACTGTTTCAAGCTGTTTTGATAAGGCTGAACTAGGATGATCAGGGCATGGCAAAACAGCTATTAGCAGCACTTGTTATTAATGACATATGAACGTGGTAAAATATACGGGCTTCCGATGAGTCTATTAGTGTGTTTTTTTATGTTTAGGAATGTTTCTAAGTTGAAGAGCTGAGGAGTATATAAGAATGACTCCATACTTTTCCATGAAAATTCAACACCTGTCCTCAAAACAGCTGGGTCTAGCTCCAAATTGCCCACTGTAGTCTTGTGAAAATTTCTTTGAATTCTCCCTTTTTTTCTCAAAAATACTTGGATTTCACATTCTATCCCATAGTGCATTTTATTTGTTTTTATGTTAAAATGCTACTTTTCTTCGCAAATGTTAGAGGAGGGTTGACTTGCCTGGAAGAGGTGCCATGTTCATCTTGCAGCTCCCCTACCTGCTGTAGGCCCTGGGGGAGTCTCCCTCCCCACCCCACCCCCAGCGTGAGAAGCGGAGTCCTTTCTGCCACTGACAGAGGGATGTTTCTGGGAGTAAGCGGTATGCTTCATGGAGTTCACCCCTGAATTTTGAGGATTGACCCCAATTTCCTTAGTTATTTTGAAATTTCTAGAGATTGGTATATCTAACTCAGGATGAGATCATTTATGTTTAAACCATTCTTTTGAGCTAGAGTGGAATGAGTGACCCCATTTTTCTGAATTTCTTGCCTTTAGTTAAAACAAAAATCGGTGTTTAACTTGCCTTCAGATGATCTCTTCTGGGTGTTTTTCTGAGAAGACACTCTCAAAACCCAGCAGTAACCCTGGTCGATTTTGCACCTGTGCCTGAAATGCTCCCTTGCCGTGCCCTGGTGTCTAGTCCTGGTCAGTGCACTCAGGAGGCTTGCAAAACTCAACTCTAGTCCTAAATACTCCTCTTCCAGCACTTACTTCTTCAGTCACAAAGTTGCTTTGCCCACCCAGCTGCTGTCCTGGGTCACAGCTGGAAGCAGAAAAGTCTAAGCTTAGTATACTTTGGATGATGTTTTTTACACTTTTGCCACATGACAGACTCTAGAGCCCCTCAGCATCTTTTTGTGTGGTTTGGATCTGCCACAGGAATGGGGAATGTTAGTCTTTTAATGGTGAAATTACTACATCATTTCTTGGGCCCTCTGACTGAGTCGGTTGTCTATTCTCAGAAGAGGCTCACTTCTGGACCTCTCGGTTCAGAAATCTGCTCTCTCTTAGTGGAAAATTATTTCCCTTCCTTTCTTTGTTTAACCTTTCCCCCATTCTGGATAACATATTGATCCTAAGTAGCATAGTAACTCTAAGAAGTCACCCAAAGTCCCACAGAAACTTAAATTGCTGTAGAGGCTACTCATAACTAAATAGACCACTCTGTCTTGCCCTTTAAGATACTTATAGTAGACTTAAAAAATTTAGATGGTAATTGCTGAGAGACATGATGTGCTCTTTCCGAGTGTACATTTTCTTTCTTCTCATGGATGGTATTTGAGGTTCTGTAATGACATTAGTTTGACAGACATAGAGCCAACCATAAAAAAATTCATGGGTTACCCTTGCATTGAAGTAAGTCAGTGAAATGAGTGGCTGTTTGTCCAGATGTTATTTGTCCACAGTGTGTTCCAGTTTCTTGGAAGGAGAACCATCCTACACAAATCCTCCATGCTGCTCTGCTGGTTTGGGTCAGGATGTTTTGGGCATCTTCAAGACTTCCCTCTCCTGTTTGGATTGGTAACAGTATCTGTTTCCCATTCATCTGGCTTGCAAAACTGAACTCTAGTCTTAAATCCTCCTCTTCCAGCACTTATTTCTTCAGTCACAAAATTGCTTCAAGCCTGCTTTCCTGACCTCCTGATTCAAGGATTCTAATTTCTTCTAGTTAGCTTTGATTGGTGCCCTGACCTCTAATCTCTCAATATCCCCCTTTCATGCATCCAAGTGGCAGCTGCTACATAGGCATTCCCAAGTTCTCCACTTTGCTCCAGCTGTCCTTCCTGCCTTAGGAGCCTCTGGTCATGCTGAGTCCTTCTCACAATGATGACCTAGATCCTCCATCTCTCCCGACATGGTCCAGCCACAGCCCCCTCCTTACTGCTTTGCAGGCCCTTTGCTGTGCTTTTCCTTTGCTTGCTGTGCCTGTCTACCTGTTGCCAGATGTTGAGGGCCACCTTGTTTCCCAAAGCCAGCTCCAGTGATCCCTCTTTTGTGGTCCCTCCCAACACCTGCCTGCCAGGTGGGAAGTGATAGCTTTCCTGCTCAGCATCTGTGATGCGTTGTCTCTTCCTAGTGCTGGTGTCCTTTGCTTTGTGTTAGAACTTTCTGCTCTGTTGTAAATGTTGGATTTCCTTCCTGTTTCGACAGGGAAATGTCTTATAGCCTGGGGTCAGCTGGAACAGTGGAGGGAGTGTATCCCATAACCTTGTAGACCTTTACCTTTTGCTAAGGGCAAGTCACTTAACCTCCAGTTACCCATTTGTGAAATGGCCCATCATTCTTCCCCTGCAGGGTGATAGTGATGATGAAAAATGAGGTGTAACAGATACTAAAGGGTCTAGCAGAGTGTCTGGCATATGGACAACTCAGTAAATGCCAGATCCTTCTCTAGGTTTCAATCCAGATAGGGTCTAGAAGAAGTTCTACACAAAATTGGTGCTAAATAAATATTGATGGAATTGCAAACCCTTTCAGAACCTGTTTGGCATTTTGTAGCTGCAGATTAAATGGTGTAAAAGCCTGTAGCCTTGTGTGTTGGAGCTGTGACTCTGGCTCTGTTACACTGATTTCTGTCTTTAGTCTAGGGCGGAGAATATTCCAGATCTCTTACAAGTTAACCCCTCCGCCCTCTACTAACCAAAGCAAAAGAAATTCTTGTCAAGGAGTTGGCAGAAACCTCAACATTAGCTTTGCTATAACTTGAAAGACACAACTTTCTAGTTTTTGCATAATATATGCGCACAGCACACACTGTACCTAGCTGCTTTACTTTGGTCACCAGTTGCTTGTTGGCTACTAGCCTAGTATGCGAACACCTCCAGCTTTTTTAGTTCTTGTTGGTAATTAATTTCCTAGAGGCTCTTATTACTTGTGAACAAAACTTTTGAATACATTATGAATGAGGTTTTACCTGATGTCATTATGTCAGTAGTGTTATGAAAAAAATAACCATAAAACTTTCTTCATTGTGGCAGTGAAGTATAATTCTGTTAAAAAGATCAAATGTCTAATGCTCTTAAGAAAAATCCTGAGTCTCCCTTTACAAGTACGTATGGCATGTTGGGAACAAAGTTTTAATACGGTGCTTTTTTCCCCTCTCAAAGGTCTTTTATAACCTGTTTTAGGCAGATGAGCTTGTTTGATTAAGAGTGGTAATTAATTCACAGTGGTCATTAGCATGTAAATATAATGTGACCTTCACATACTGTAAGAAGAGATTTTATTTTAGCAGTTCATGGGCATTGACTTTTGACAGAGGGAAAGAAAGGGAAATTGTATCAGTTAGTTTGGTGTATTATTTCAAAACATGGAAATTAATTTTGTGTCAGGTTGTAATTGTAATTGAAGTGTTAAAGACTTCGAGAGTGGTAAATTGCATTTAATCTCTCAGTAGTCCTTAAGTGAGTATTCAACAGTTATCTTCCTAAATAATTGGCATTGCTAATGAGAAGAGTTAAATCAGTTTCTATCTTTACCCTGTTGGAGTGTGGAATTAACAAACTGGGAAAATGAAAACTTTCAACTTTCCCAGAAGAGAGTAAATATGCAAAATGCCATTTAAAAAAATATAACTCACTTACACCAAGGAGAGCGGAAATGTAAGTCTGGAACATTTTGTGGAGAGGAGCAGGTATGAGGCAAAGGTACAGACCTAGGAATTAAGAGCACGTGAACCTTGGAACTCCCTACACACTCTGTTTCCTTCTCTGTCAAATGAAGCTGCTTAGCTAGAGAAGATCTAAGGCCCATTTTAATGCTAAGATTTTTATTATTTCTGTTTCTCTGATTTTTTTCATCTTCTATTTAAATCTGTGTGGTAGATGGCTATCTTCAGTCATACTCCCAATATAATTTTAATCCCCCCAAAAGTATATTTATCATATCAGTTAGCTCTTGCTATTAGCTCAGCACTGTGTTGGTGAGATTGATCCATGTTGTTGTTTGCATGACTGGTTTGTTCATTTTTATTGCTGCATAGTAATCCATTGTGTGAATATACTATAATTTATCCATTTTACTGTCACTGGAAATTTGCATAGTTTCCAGACTTTGGCTACTCCAAAGAGCCAGCAAGTTGTGGTCT
This sequence comes from Homo sapiens, assembly GCF_000001405.40. NCBI lineage: Eukaryota > Metazoa > Chordata > Mammalia > Primates > Hominidae > Homo > Homo sapiens. Next base: position 62,515,432 of record NC_000015.10, read on the forward strand.
TGTTTTCTGGCATACCTGTGTGCAGGAATTTAAAACTTTCTCTTTCTCCTTTTCTTTGAAATATAACTATAACAGATCCTATTATGTGTTGGGTTTAGTAAACTTTGTGATGAGTGTTCTCCCTGAAGGAGAGGGCATTTCTTACTTAGATACAAGAAATTATCCTTAGGCTTATCTGTGTAGACATACTACCAGTGACTAAAGGATCACTGAAAACATGCATACAGTTTCTAGTTTTTAATTTGATCTTCATTTTAAGTGCCTTCTGTGCATGTTGGGGTTTTTGGTGTTTTTCACACATCTGATTTTTTTTCAGACGTGTGTTTTTATATCAGACTCCAGTGAATTCTTTTGGTAGTGGACAGGTCGTAAAGTATAAATAAATCCAGCAGAACATACTTGCCATTCCTCTTGTAGGCACCCTCTGCCTGTCCTTTATGTGTGCTGGGCTTGCCCCATAGCAGCTGTGGTTGCTGGCATGTCCCGCTGTGCAGTAGCTCGCTGCTGCTGAACCCCCTATGCAACAAGATCCTGGGTGGGGAAGGGCAGCTCAGGTATGATGTGGCCAGGACTCGAAGGGAGCCAATCAAGTGTGAATTTCAAAACTGAAGACATTTGATTAGTGTGACTCTACTTTGTGGATCATCCAATGCAACCATCTCTTTTTACAGGTGGAGACCTGGGTTTAGAGAGGTCAAGTGACTTGTGCAAGTAGAGACCATGTCTTTTGCTGCCGTTTCCGTTGCAGCTTATATGAAATTATTATTTATAGTTGAGAGGGTAAGGCAGTATGAAAAGAAGACAGTGTGCTCACAATTTATTATAGTTTTTGGCAATAAGAGCTTCTAAATTAGGTCCAGAACAACATGTGAGTTTGCCTTCTCCTTTTTGCAAATGACATACAGCATCCTTTCCTCTTTGGATTATGTTTTCAGTGTTTTTATATGGGTCATAGGTTTATTTTGGTCCTAATCACATTATGCAGTTAGGAGTTTTGCTGCTCTGCCTGAAGAATTCTACATTTTACTCTATTTGTTTTGACTACAAATAAGACAAAATGTGTCTGTCAGGTGAAGGAACATATTCACTCTATGGTGTTGGTAGTGACCTATAATTATCTCAAATCTTTTGATTTCAACTTTGGGTGCATGCTTGCTTCTGGACAGCTGTTGCAGCCTTGATCCGCCTCTTGTCTCTTTTCTTCCCATGGCTGAAGGCCTGGTGGTGTCCTTCTGCCTTTGGTACCATCAGTCTCTGCCCACCCAGCTTAATTGGACAGAAGCTCTAGGGGGCAGGTGATCAATCATACCACGACTCATTTGCCTGTGCAGTCATTCTTAGTAGCTTTGCCTCGTATCATTTTGAGAGCAGAAAGTTTTTTTGGGGCTGCTTATTTAAGATTTTAGGTAGGAGGTGAGGTAATTGCATGAGGCAGAATTAGGTATTGATAAACTTGGTCCTGAGTTTTATTGGAAAGGTGTAGGTTGACTGGAGTGGAGGGAGATGTGGGTTTCACTGGAACTATCCAGTGATGGGATTGTTCTGACTATGATGCTGTAGATTGAAGATATTGCTGCTCCGTCACCATGTGGCACCTCCTCACTGTTACTATTTCATTGAAGATCAGTGGATACGGATGAAAGAGCTAATAATATTTCAGTGGCTGGTGGATGTTCTGAAGCCAAGGATGGCGAGAGGTTGCTGCTAATTCAGAGATTACCAAACCTTCGCCGTTCCTCCCACTTTGTGCCTTGGAGTCCCCACTTTCTGCACCTGTGCCTTTCATCCTTTAGCCTCTTTGTCCAGTCTTTACTACTCCTTAGGCTCACCCTTGTCCCTTTGTCCTCTTCCTTTTCCTTCATACCCTGAACTGCTGTTAGTAGAAAATCACAGTAAAGGTTCACACATTTGTTGTACTTGGAATAAAATGGGATGTTTCATGTTTTTGCTTGAAAAATAACTGAGTTAAATCCTTATAGATACAAACATAAAGATATCCCAAACAAAATTGTTTCTACTTTTAAGTTTGCTTGGGGGCCATGGTGGTTTACCCCCACTGCATTTGCCGAGCAGTGGAGAAAAATGAGGTGGTGATTGCTGTTTTGCAATGAACCTGAATAATTATTCCACACCCCCAATATTTTAATTTTGTACCCCTTTTGTAAACAAAAAAATGACATTGGCCAGGAGAATGAGGACTCTACTTACATTCTAATTTGTTTTTTAAAAGTCAAACACACCGCTAATGTTATAAGAGAATTGGTGCTTTGTGGCTTACCACATTACCCACTTGGAAAAACAAACATGTTAATTCTAAGGAACATACTGATTTGATGGTACAAAAGTTTCCCAGACCTGTTGGGTAAGTCTGTTTGTCTCTTTCTTTTTTTAAATGAAATAATTATGGGAGACTCTGTAGCCATGTCCCAGCTCTGCCACTTACTTAAATATCCCTGGACATATTACTTGAACTATTTAAGCCTGAATTTTCTCATAAGAAAAATGGGGTTAATGATTTTACTTAGCCATAAGATTGTTGTGTGGAACGAGAGTAAAGCACTGACGTCAGACTGAGCACATAGTAAATGCTCATTAAATATTAGCTAGCAGCAGTTTTTTTTTTTTTGAGATTGAGTCTCACTCTGTCGCCAGGCTAGAGTACAGTGGCATGATTTCGGCTCACTGCAACCTCCGCCTCCTGGGTTCAAGCGATTCTCCTGTCTCAGCCTCCTGAGTAGTTGGGACTACAGGCATGCGTCACCACGTCCCGCTAGTTTTTGTATTTTTAGTAGAGTCGGGGTTTCACCATGTTGGTCAGGCCGGTGTTGAACTCCTGACCTTGTGATCTGCCTGCTTCGGCCTCCCAAAGTGCTGGGATTATAGGCGTGAGCCACCACCAGCACATTTCTTTATAGTTATTTGTGTCGGAGGCAGGAAGGAGCCACACAGCTTGGAGAAGTAGGAGGAGCGTAGGTTTTGAAGACAAATAGACATGGGTTCAGATTTCAGCTCACTAGCAAGTTTGGTATGACTTTAAACTTGTCTGAGCCTCAGGTTTCTCAACTGAAAATTAAATTTCTATCTACTTTATCAGTGTTTTGAGGACTAAATGGGCTAGAACATGCAAAATATGGTGAACGGTGGAGAGCCGTGACCTGCAATGTTTTTTTTGTTTGTTTTTTTGAGATGGAATTTTTGCTCTGTCACCCAGGCTGGAGTGCAGTGGCGCGATCTTGGCTCTCTGCAACCTCTGCCTCCCAGCTTCAAGCAATTCTCCTACCTCAGCCTTCCCAGTAGCTGGGATTACAGGTGCCCGCCATCACACCCGGCTAATTTTTGTATTTTTAGTAAAGACAGAGTTTCACCGTGTTGGCCTGGCTGGTCTCGAACTCTTGACCTTAAGTGATCCACCAGCCTCAGCCTCCCAAAGTGCAGGGATTATAGGAGTGAGCCATGGCGTCCGGCTTGCAATGTCTTTTTTAGTGTGGATTAGTGGTATAATGATTTAAGATTTATTGGGCACTTTACATGTGCCACACACAGTTCTAAGCAGGATTAGAAATATTAACTTGTTTAAACTTCACAGCAATTCTAAGAGGTAGCTACTACTATTGTTCTTATTTTATGGATAAAGAAACTGAAGTTTAAGTGGTTAAGCAACTTGCCCAGGGTCATAGACCTCTATGTTATAGAGCTGGATGAACTTGATATGAAGGTGGAGTCCACAGTATTGACCACAGATCTGGGGCTTTTAGGTGAGACAAACCCTTTCCTCCTGAGTGTGCTTTTTATATAAAAGGTAGACATTTCCCCAGCAATTGAAGTTGGCCGTCTCAGTACCTTTGGGTGGGGGTAGTTAAGTACCTCTCACTTACATTGGTAAATAACTCATAAATATTAATGACAGCCCAAGTCAACTCTTGGCCTGGACCATGTTGATTTTTCTGTTAGTGTTCACACCTTTATTTTAAGCTTATCCCTGGTGGCTCATAAATGAGACACTGAGGGAATTTGTTTCCTGTGCCTTTTCAATGTAAATTATTGGCTGGTGATGATGATAGCATATTAAATAAGCTTAACCTTGGAAGCTTAGCCTCTTTGCAGAATAGAGAACTGTAAATTGAAGACTCCAGTGTTCTCTTACTTTTACAGGCTGATACAGGGTATGCCAGCTGCTAGGATTAGGCTAGGAAGCAAAAGTGATTGGTAAAGGAGAGTGGGTCTTGTCAGTGGTGTATGCAGAAGGAAGAGTATAATGTGTAGCAGCAAATTTCTGTTTGATGGTTGAGGACTATAAAATTGGCTACACAGTTTTCAGTGAAAGACATTTTCTAGAAAGGAGTGTGTTACGTGCATATGAAATTGAAGTTGTATTTCTAGGAAAATATTCCTGAAACTTTAAAAAAGTTTTTTAGTTAGTGTTTGTATTACTCCGTTTTCATGCTGCTGATAAAGACATACTTGAGACTGGGTAATTTACAAAGAAAAAGAGGTTTAGTGGACTCACAGTTCCATGTAGCTGGAGAGGCCTCACAATCATGGTGGAAGGCGAAAGGCACGTCTTACGTGGCAGCAGACAAGAGACAGTGAGGACCAGGTGAAAGGGGTTTCCCCTTATAAAACCATCAGATCTTGTGAGACTTATTCACTACCATGAGAACAGTATTGGGGAAACCACCACCATGATTCAGTTTTCTGCCACCAGGTCCCTCCAACAATATGTGGGAGTTATGGGTGCTACAATTCATGATGAGATTTGTTAGGGACACAGCCAAACCATATCAGTGTCTAAAATCAAGTTTTGAACTAAGAGCTACGGAATGTATGCCATTTCTCTCTGGGGATCTGAAGTCTTCATTGTTGTACAGTTGTATGCCTCCCAAAGTTGTGTTTATTAATTGTCACTTCTGATGGAAAATGGCACATTTCCATCTCCATGCTTCTTAGAAGAGCCTGCAATTTACCCCTGAAGTTTGTTGAAGGCACAGAGCTGAGTAATGTCTACATGTGTGTAAGTGTACATATATGCACAGGCATACAGCCTTTCTCTAAGGGGTTAGAAAAGATAACCTTGATAGCTTTCATGTTGAATGTGTGAGGAATACAGAATTGTGAATAGGTTTTGTTATATCTACCCCTCTGTTGGCAACGGGACACTAAGTCAACCTTTTCTTATTTCTTCTAAACGGGAAACATAACTACAGCATAGAGACCAAGGAGGTGGTTGGAAAGATAACCGTATATGTTGCTAAGCGGAAAAAGTAGCATCATATTGCAGATTTAGGAGGTCCAGTATTACTTACTTAATAGTTGTTTATTTTTTTAAAGTGTATATCTGTTTTAGAAGTTCTATCTCTTAAGGGAGATAGAGCGATTTAAAAAATAATCTCTGAGGGCTATCTGTTCTTACTCAGATATTTTTTAAGGACCTTTTAATTTTTATGTACTTGTTAAATTTTTGAAAGGAGTGTGTGTTTAACTCCTTACATACTTAGTCCTTGCCAGGGTGAATGGTTAAATTAGACGTGCAAAAAGCTCCACATCATTGCCTGCTGTTGGCTTGGGTGGAAGTAAGGAGAGTATACTACTTTAAGTTTTCACTTTCTTTTTGTCTTCTTACAGTGTCATTCCTTTGTCCCTCCCATAGATTGACAGGGGAGTGTGTCTGGTCCCTTGACTTCTGGGCCAAACATGCTTAAACTGCAAATCTGAAGCTTGAAGGGAAAGAGGATCATAAGAATAGTTTTGTGGTGAATTGTAGATCACATCCCACCCTTCTCTTTCTCCTTTATGGCTGAATTTTTGACATCTGTGCAGTGCTGTTGAGAGCAAAGAATGGCTGGGGCTGGGTGCCGTGAGGGTGGGGGGTACAGGGGAAAGCCCTGGAATAGGGTTAGGGTGTTGTTAACCAAAAAACCTAACTCTGTAAAATATTTAAAGAGGTTTATTCTGAACTGATATGAGTGACCATGGCCTGGGAAACAGTCTCAAGAGGTCCTGAGAAAGTGTGCCTGAGGCAGTGGAGTTTAGGGAGACAGTTGGGGGGCAAGTTACAGGTCATAAGTGGATTCAAAGATTTTCTAATTGGCAGTTGGTTGAAAGAGTTAAGCTTTGTCTAAAGACTTAAGTAGAAAGAAATGCTTGAGTTAAGATGAGGGGGGTTGTGAGGGTCAAGGTTCTTGTTTTGTTATGCAGGTGAAGCCTCCAGTTAAGCAGCCTTCAGAGAGAGATGGTAAAGATCTCTTTTCTGATCTTAAAAGGTGTCAGACTCAGTTAATCTCTCCTAGATCCTAGAAAGGCCTGGCTGCATTAATGGAGATTCCCCCATGCAAACGGACATTTTCCGCATGCAAATTTCTCCCATGAAAGATGGTTTTGCAGGGCCATTTCAATATATGTCAAGGAAATATATTTTGGGGTAAAATATTTCCATTTCCTCAGTGTCTGCTCTCTGCCGTGTGACGCTATACCACAGTCAGGTTGGAATTTGGTATCTTATTGCCGCAAAGAGTCTGTTTTGTCAGTCTTTGATCTCTATTTTAGTGTTAATACTGGTCGTTTTGCCTAAACTCCAAAAGGGAGCTGGTATAAAGAGGCGTGTCCAACTTCCCTTCCCATCATGGCCAGAAATTCAGTTTTTTCAGACTTCTCTGGCGTCCTCTTGGCCAGCAGGAAGACTGTTCAGTTGGTGGAGGGGCTTAGGGCTTTGTCTTTGGTTCACAGTGTGGATGCACGACTCAAGGGGTTGACGCTTAGCTCTTTGACATGTGGTGAGACCCTCAAGGATCGAAGAAAGCAGGATGTGTCCACAGCTTGAAATAATCCCTCTTCTATTTTAGAGGGAAGATACCAAGAAATAAAAAAAGAGAATCTGTGTCAGTAAATCCTTTAAAAAACACTGGGGGTGGTTTGACAAACTGTACAGTTCGTTGGTTTCTACACTTCATCCAGGATTGGTTTCTGAATAAAGTTTTGGCTGTGGTGGTCCATTCTCGTGGATGAAATACGGGTCAGCTTGCTGAAGCATTGGCACAACTGGCATATGGATAGGTCTGTGCTGAATCCTGGCTGCTAGAACAAGTACGCTGTGAGCTTTTTGCAGTTACCTGTTTCTGATGAATTTGTAGCTGAAAATCTTGTCACAGAAGTTGCTTTTCAATAGAGGTGGGTATTTCCTTGTTGTTGTTTTTTTAAAAAGCAAATTTCTGACTTGTTAACCCCCGAGGCTTTCTAAGAATGTTCTTCTGTTTGGCAGGTTTTCTTGCTGGTTTATTCTGCCTTTTCTTGTTGTATTTTTTTCTGCCCTGCAGCTGACATTTTGAGGACAGGACGACTCCCAGGCGTCAATTTCAGAGTTCAAAAACCAGAGAAGAAAATTGCATCTTCTCTCTCTCATGTGCAGTTAACTTTGACTTTGACAAAGATTCACTCACCCACTGGGATGTGAGAGAATGTTACAGAGGATTTGGAAGCTGCTAATGAAATGAGTGGTCTGCCCTGAATGTGGCTTACACACACACACACACACACACACACACACACACACACTCTCTCACTCACACTCATTCACTTCCCTCTTCCCACCCCCGACAATTCTATGGATCCTAGGGCTGGGATAAGTCCTCAAAGGTTATCTATAGTTTAGATACAACTCTTGCCTGCCTTAAATATGCTTAAATATGCCAAATATTTCTCAGGACCAGAAGTTTATATAAAGTACATCATGGCACAGCTGTTCTTACAGAGCCCCGAAGCCAGCAACAAGGGGAGATAAATTCCAGAGAGAATGAGTTAAACTGGGCAATTAAGTTGGGGAAGATAAAATGTTTAGCTGACATATGACTTAAGATTCTCAGTGAGGTATGGACATGGTGGTGTTCTCCTGCACTTCTCTAACCATAAAGTTCTGGAATAAATACTTTGTACAAACCTGCCTTCCCTTCTGCCCCATACTGCTTTCTGATTAAGAGAAGGGGGTCAGAGGGCTTTAATTCTATGCTAGTGAATAGCTGTATGTCCTTAGACAAGTCCAGGACTATTTTATTAGCAGCTGGCAGCTTCAGAGCTGAACACTATGCTAACTATGTTATATGTGCTTTATATAAGGATATATATAGAGAGAAGAAGTTGGCTGAATCTTGGAGGGAAAAGTTCACAAATCCATTGGCGTAAGTGGGAGAATTTATCCCAGTAATTGATATATCAAATGGGCAGAAAAATAAATAATAGAGAATAACTAGCTTGATCTAGTGGACACACATAGAACACAGCTTTCACAACTTGGAAAGTACATATTTTTAAAACGTGGTACATTTATGAAAAGTGACAGTGTACACACCTCAATAAATGTTAAAGAGGCAGTGTTGTGTGGGCCACTTAAGTCAAAACCAATTAAGTTAGAAATTAAAGACAAAAGGCAACTAAATTGCACAGTGCTGTATGAATGCGAGATATGCTTTATTCCTTTCCTGTATTGAACATACCGATCCCAGCTGGGAAGAGCTCAGTCTTGGGGAGCTAACCCAGAACAGAGCAATCTGAGCAAAGCAAATTTATCCAGGTTACTAGTATTAGATGCTGCTCCTATGTCCTTTTGAGGGACCTGGGGTGAAAGGTGGTTTGTGGGAACCACTATCTGCTTCCCAGTTAGGCATTTTGTAAACATAAATCCCAATCCTTCCATTTTCTTAGGAGGAGAGCCCTGAAAACCACCTGGAATTCTTTGTGTGTGGGAATTCTGGGCTATTCCAGCATTCCTGTGCCCTGATAACATAGCCTTTTCAATGCTGGGAAATAAAACTGTCTTACTGTTCATGTTTAGTTTAGTTCATAAACTAAAATCATCAGCTTTCACAAAGCTGTGAGTAGAAGCTTTGTCAATGGCAGATTTTATACTCTGAGTTTTTCTGTTAACAATTTAACAATTCTCATTTTAGAGGGTCTTGCAGGTGTGTGCTTGTGTGTGTAGGAAGCAATTTAGGCATGGACCTGCCTCATCGGGGTGCTGAGACAGCGTGCTGTAGAGAGAAGACGCTGGGCTCAGAAGCAAGCGAGACTGTGTCCCCTGGAACAAAAGCCAGTCGTTTCTCCTTTCTGAACCTTGGATAGGACTTCAGATCCCTACCTTGAAGTAGCCTCCCTACCTTGAAGTAGCCTCAGAAGGAGTAGATGAAACCACCATGAACTTTAAACAGCCCTGTTTTGGCATATAGTAAATGTCAGTAAATGATACCTATTGAGATTGTCATCTGCAGCTTCATTCATTCAAATTCACAGCTTTAGAATTCAGAATCAGTTGGGCTGCCTCATACATGCATTATATGCTTGCTTTTATTCATTCCTACAGATGTTTGAGAAACAGTGGTAGGATCTGGAAGTTCATGTTGGTATCCTTTGTCCATGGTGAGTTCCCCCAACAAATGAATAGAAGAAGAAATTTGATTGAAAGGATTTTGAAGTTGGAAACGATTTTCCTTCTTTCATTTTGCACTCAAGGGGAAAAAGGTCCATAAAGTTAGAATGATTTACCTTGAGTCATAGTTAGCTAAATAGGACAAGAGCAACATGGTGGAGCTCATCCTCATAGTCATCGTGATAGCATCTCTGCATGTGAATTCATTTCACAACCTCCTTTTGTGAACACTATTGCAGTCCAATTTTACATGGTGACTGTAAGGCACTTGCCCAAGGTCACACGATTCCTTCCCTGAGCTGTGTAGCTGCAGATCTTACCCTTCTACTCAGAGCCCTGTGTGCATTGTCTCTCACATGTGTTTAATCAGTTTATTAAAGTTGATTTGCTAAGGCCATCCACGTGTCCTCAGGCAAGCTGTCATTTTCAACAAAATGAGGGTGATGTGTAAAATGTTCTCAGATCTCCCTGAAATGTATACCAATCTCTTTGAGATGATTTAAAACCAGCATGGGATTAACTTGCATATACAGATTTATGCAACTTGGTTCTTCTGAAATTTATTGAATACATCCTGCTGTTCACTTCCTAAATGGGGTCATTCACTCCTCCCCTGGGGACAACCATACCCCACCTTCTCTAATCATATTTTCTCTGGCCATTGGCAGAACAATGTGTGAGGTTAGTACAATGTCTTTTCTGTGGTAATGTTGCAATTTAGTTTGATCTTTTTCTTGGGTATCAGAAATTGGTGAAAACATAACTGCAGTCACCCTTTTCTTGTCAATGTTGGTTTCCTCCACTTTGTTCCCTTTTATTACTCCTTCAGTAACAGGGTTCTGGATACCTTATAGAAAATAGGACATTTGCTTAGACTTGTGGGTCATTCTGTCTGTAAGGTCCCTTTAGGTAGTGAAAGGGCAGCTGGATGCTGCCCTCACCTGTTCCCCCCAGCCCACACGGCACCCCTGCTTCTAGCTCAGGCCTCCTTAGTCAGTGTGCCCCTCATGCGTCTTGCTGAGGAATTCTGGCAGTCTGTCAGAGCTCTTGGCAGTGTGCTGTGGGATCTATAACTCTGCCACCAGTGAGAACTGCTGCAAGGGAAGCTGGAAGAAGGGTAGATTAAAGACTTCAGTTTTGCATTAATGGTGCAGGTGGGGCAGGAAGGGTGGCTTGGAGTAGGCAATGATGTGGTTGGTCATGTAGATTATATATTTATTATTTTTTCTTATATGTTACATACTCAATTAACAAACTCAATAAGCAAAAGATTTAAGGGAAAAATAATTATTTCCTTTTTATTTGAGACGGAGGCTCTCTCTGTCACCCAGGCTGGAGTGAAGTGGCGCAATCTCGGCTCACTGCAAGTTCTGCCTCCCAGGTTCAAGCGATTCTCCTGCCTCAGCCTCCTGAGTAGCTGGGATTATAGGCATGTGCCACCATGCCTGGCTAAGTTTTGTATTTTTAGTAGAGATGGGTTTTCACCATGTTGGCCAGGCTGGTCATTATTTCCTTTCTAATGGTAATTAAAACATTGGTACACTTCCTCTGAATGAAACCATATGAACACATACAGCCATCATTCTTGTGCACTCTGACTCAATGATATGCGTCGCTGGAACTTCGCTTCCGCATCTCCTCACAGTCCCTTCTGAGCCCCAGTGAAGCCAGCACTGTGAGCCAATCCAGGCCCCTGGTTTGGAATGCCTGGTTAGTTACAGTCATCTCAGGGGCCCTTCCCTCAGCAGGTCAAGAGACATTCTCTGCTGGGCAGGACCCCTCAGAAATCTTAAAGGTGCTCTACTTTCAAACAGAAGCAAACATTTTAAATCTCATGTTTTCTCTATCAGCTTAAGATGCTGGCCCAAAAGGATCTCCCTTAGACCCTATCCCAAGTAATCTTTATTTCCATTTGGAAGTTGGGAAATATTCTTTATTTCCATGTGAGAGGTAATGTAGGGGTTATAGATGCCAGCCCCTGTTCTCAGGGTCCTTATCCTATGTGCCTACAGACAAGCCATGAATACTTGGAAAGTGAAGTACTAGCATTCACAAAAGTGAGGTGTATGTTTTGATATTGTAGCATGTGTGCACATGTACCAATCTACAGTCTATAGTTAGAGTCTGTATGTATAGATGTATATTTACAATATACATACATGCACCTGTAGACAGGCACGTGTTGTACCAAAGAGACATGACGTCGAGCTTCCTTTTGATGCTTGGGAAGGCCTCCAAGGGTTAAATTGTTGAGACAAGTGCCTTCAGGGATGGGTTGGATTTTGAGATTGTAGGTGAGGAGTGCATACCATAGCCAGTGGGATTGGAGACACGGTGTCGGGTGTTTGGTGTCAAAATCCGAAGTCTTCTTTGGACTCCTCAGGGATCATTTTAGGTGGTGATGATGATGAGCGAGATTTGGCCTCTATGAAATATATGCTGGGTTCCCTTGTGGGTTTCTTGGCTGGTTGAGCTGGGACCTTTATCCTTGTATTGCTGAGGCTGGGGATAAAATTCCCAGTGCCTCTGCATCAGGAAACCGTTAGCTGTATTATGCTAAAGCAAACCCTGTCTAAGGAAAAGCCCACCTGGTTTATCACCCGCTGTTGGGTGGAGGTGTTTGAGCAAGACAGGAGGGTCCCTGGCCTCTCACGTTGGTGACAGCAATATGTCACAGGCAAAAATGATGACCTCATAGCCTTAGAAATAGTGGTAAGTCATTCCCAAAGATGGACATGCCTCAGAAATTTTACAGAAAATGTCTTTCATGTCATTCCTGCAGCAAAACAAGTAGACCCTGTTTGACAGATTTTACTTCAACTGGGAATGCATGCACAATTATGTCTGTACACAGTATGGCTTTAACTTTCAATTCCAGGGCTGGGCTTTTAGCTGGTGGGTCTTATCCACTGCCAGCCTCTTTGTCTCAAGGGGAAAAATGCTTTTGTGATGATAAAAGTACAAGATGACCATTACTGAAAGTACTATAAAAGTGGAGGAATAAAGTAGTTACTCTGAATCCTATAGCCACTAACCATTATGATAGATTTCCTCCTAGTCTTTTTCTCTGTGTATATTTAAAAGTTTATGACTTTTCCAGATTATAAAAATACATGTGGAAAATATAAAAAATACTTTAAAAAATCACATGAATATATGACTTACCCTGGAGATAACCACTGTTAACATTTTAGTGAGTTTTCTTAGTTTTAAAAATAGATGGATATGTGCATATACTTTTGTTCATTAAAATTAGTTTATTTTTATATAGTTTACATTCCATTAAATTTTATATTTTTCAAATATTGAGAAAGCTTATGAGGTTACTGAAGCCAAAATATAATTTAAATTGATAATTTGTTAAATGGATATGTCAAAACATATGTAATCATTTCCTGTATTTGTCATAGTGGGAAATTATCTTAATGCTATGGTAGCCTCCAAGGACACTATCCCAGAAGTCACTAACAGAAAGGCTTACAGATCAGATTAAGGTGATTGAGTCATTCGATTGATTAAGTGAATTTAAGCATACAAGGAGAAGCAAGAGGAAGGAGACGGAGTAGGTTAACAAACTTAGGTCCATCAGGGTAGATGGACCACACTGCTTGTATCCTGGCTTGGGCATGTCCAGACTCTATGTCTGCGACACTCTGTTCCACACCAGTGGCATGGTCCTGAGGGCCAGATCTGAGAATGAGCAAGGGTACTCAAGAGACAGAAGGTGCCAGGAGCCCACATACTTCCTCTGTTAGAGAAATGCAGGGGCTATGTCTGGCAAAGGTATCACTTATTGACAGCCCTTCTTGAGTGTATCCAGAGCTTGCTTTTTTTTTTTTTTTTTTTTGGCATGTCTCAGGCAAACAAGTCGGGTCAGAATGTCACCACTGGGTGGCTGATCTTGGATATCGATGAAGACTGAGCCACCACTTGGTTTTTCTATCCCTTCCAATCTGTGTTCAGACTGCATACGCTCTTCTGTCTTCATCTATGGCTGATGTCTCTCAGCTGTGTGCTTGTTTACTTTCTGTACTTCACACACCTTAGGCGTTTCATCTGTCCCATTTGGTTTTGTTGTCTTGTTCTCTACAGCATAGCTGAACATCCTTAAAACACACATTGCACTGGTTATTTCAACTTTTTACTCATAAGTAATACTTTAATGGAGTCTCTTCATATAAAGCTTTATTAGTATTTGGGGATGGATTATCAGAAGTGGAATTACTGAGGCTAAAGTAACATTTACAGGGCTTTTTTTTTTTGTGTGTGTGTGACAGCTTTGCTCTGTTGCCCAGGCTGGAGTGTGGTGGCATGATCATGACTCCCTGCAGCCTCGACTTCCTGGGCTCAGTTGACCCTCTTACGTCAGCATCCTGAGTAGCTGGGACTACAGGTGTGCACCACCATGCCCAGCTAATTAAAAAAAATTTTTTTTGTAGAGACCGGGTCTGTGTTGCCAGGGCTGGTCTCGAACTCCTGGACTCAGGCAATCTTCCCACCTTGGCCTTGTGTTGGTATTACACGTGTGAGCCACTGCGCCCAGCCTTTTTAGGGCTTTTATCGTCTACTGTAAAGTAACTATTGAAGAGAGAAATAGGAGAGAACTCGTATTGCAACTTTACACTCAGGTGGTCTCTCGTGCCCCATCCTGTCTCCAATCCCTGCCCCTCCCTTGCCTCTCTTGTTTTTTTTATTTTTTTTCTCTTACTTAAAAGCTTAAAAAAAAAAAAAAAAAGGACAGTACATCCACAGAGGGTGGATAAGTAGGGAAAATAATTATGACTCCTACCTCTGTCTCTCAGGTACCAGTTTCCTTCCTCACAGGGAACCTTCCCTCATGGTTTATGTGTGTATTTTTAAGCACAAGTGATAGTATACCACATTTACTTTTCAGTATTTTGCTTTATATTTTGGAAATCTTTGCACATAAGTAAATATAGGACTTCTGGTTCAGGAGATTTAAAAAATGGCTGCATAGTATTCTATCATATGGATGCACTGTAACTTATTCGCCCAGTTCCCTGTTGATGGACATACTTTGGTCTCTGATATTTTGTTATTCTTAGGCCAGGCACCAATGGCTCATGCCTGTAATCCCGGCACTTTGGGAGGCTAAGGGGGGCGGATCACCTGAGGTCAGGAGTTCGAGACCAGCCTGACCAACTGGTGAAACCCCTTCTCTACTAAAAATACAAAAATTAGCCGGGCCTTGTGGCTTGCGCCTGTAGTCCCAGCTACTTGGGAGGCTGAGGCAGGAGAATTGCTTGAACCCGAGAGGCGCAGGTTGCAGTGAGCTGAGATGGCATCACTGCACTCCAGCCTGGGTGACAGAGCGAGACTCTGTCTCAAAAGATAAATAAATATTTTGTTATTCTTAATATTGATGAACAAATAACATTTTGCATATTTGTGAATTTATATTTAGGAGAAATTCCTAAAAGTAGAATTTTTGGGTCAAAGGAATATAAATGTATTTGTTTGTTTGTTTATTTATTTATTTATTCATGTATTCATTCATTCATTCATTCATTCAAGATGGAGTCTCGCTCTGTTGCCCAGCCTGGAGTGCAGTGGCACAATCTCAGCTCACCACAACCTCCGCCTTAGGGGTTCAAGTGATTTTCCTGCCCCAGCCTCCAAGTAGTTGGGATTACAGGCACGCGCCACCATGCCCGGCTAATTTTTGTATTTTTAGTAGAGACAGGGTTTCACTATGTTGGCCAGGCTGGTCTCGAACTCCGGAGCTCATGATCTGCCTGCCTTGGCCTCCCAAAGTGCTGGGATTACAGGCGTGAGCCACCATGCCCGGCCCTAGAAATACAAATTTAAAAAATGGATAGGCATTGCCTAATTTTTCTTCTTGGGGAAAAGATGTAAGAGAAGTTCTGTTCCCAGGACTTCTGTTACCTACACTGTTGTACTTTCTGATCTTCGTCTTTCTGACACATGAAAAATAGTATCTTTTTTAATTTTGCATTTCTCTAAGTGGAGTTGAACGTTTTTTGACTTGCTTGTTGAAGAACTGTCCTATTTTCTTTTCTAACAATTATTCATACTTCTGTGCCTTTTTTCCCTATTAGGTGGTGTTGGGGTCTATTATTCATTTGTTAGAGCTCTTAATTAAGTTAGTCTATTGTTTTAGTCGTGAATAATTTTTCCTATATCATTTGTCTTTATAGTATGTATTGCCATTCAGATTTTTTATTAGATTTAGACCCAGTATTCCCACTTTTGAGTGTTTACCCAAAAGATTTGAAGTCAGTTTATGGAGATCTCTACTCTCATGCTCATTGCAGAGCTATTCACAATAGCAAAGTTCTAGAATCAACTTAAGTCCCATCAACAGATGAATAGATAAAGAAAATATGGTGTATATTCACAGTGGAATACTATTCAGCCTTAAAAAAGAAATTTGTCATTTGCAGCAACTTGGGTAGAATTGGAGAACATTATGTTAACTGAAATAAACCAGGTACAGAAAAACAAGTACCATGTGTTCTCACGTGTGGAATCCTTGATCTCATAGAAGCAGAAAGTAGAATGGTGGTTACCAGGGGTTGGGCTGGTTGGGGAGATGATGGTCAAAGGGTACGAAGGCTCAATTAGAGGAATGTCTTTTTTTTCATATGCTTTGGGTATATTGCACAGTGTGGTGAAGTGAATATAGTAAATAAGAATGTATTGGATGTTTCAAAATTTCAAAGTAAATTTCAGATATTCTCACCATAAAAATAAATATTTGAGGTATTGAATATGTTAGCCTGATTTAATTATTCCACATTGTGTTCATGACATCACATATACCCCATAAATATAGTTGTAATTTGTCAATTTAGAATTTAAAATAAAACATTTTAAGTTTAATTCAGTCGAAGGTATCCATCTTGTCTTATGTGGCTTCTAGTTTTTGTATTATACGTGGGCCTTCCCCACTGAACCTGAAAACATGGTAGATTTTTTTCCCCCTAATACTACTATGGATTTGATGTTCATCCCCAAATCATTATCTCTGAGAGGAATGGGCTAGAAGCCTGTTTTTAGAGCCTCGGGTGAGCCTCCTGAAGCCGTCTGTTTGGGAATCATTGTCTTGTTGTTACGTGTGGGTGTCCCCCAAGTGGTGTGATCCATCATGGAAAGAAGAGTCTGAACTGCTTCAAATATCGCACACTGGGAATAATTATTTTTTTTACTTTTTTCTTTTTCTCTTTTCTTTTTTTTTTTTGTGAGACAGGTACTCACTTTGTCACCCAGGCTGGGGTGCAAAGGGGCAAACAAGGTTCACTATAGCCTTGACTTCCCAGGCTCAGGCAATCCTCCCGTCTTGGCCCCCTGAGTGGCTGGGACCACAAACACTTGCCACCATGCCTAATGTCGTGGGTTGTTTGTTTGTTTTAGGGTTTCTTGGTTTTTTTGTTTGTTCTGTTTGTTTTTTTAGTAGAGACAATGTCTTGCTATGTTGCCCAGGCTAGTCTCGAACTCCTGGCTTCAAGCAATCTGCCCACCTTAGCCTCCCAAAGTGCTGGGATTACAGGTGTGAGCCACTGCATCCAGCATTACTGGGAATAATTTGAATTTACTGAAAGTTCATGAACTTTCATCAGGCCAGTGGATTGTTATGTGGTTCCCAGACCCAGCCAGCAGTGAACTGCTCTCCAGAGCCCTTTACGACATGCTGCCCACTGTCCCTGTTGGCAGCCACAGTCCTGTCCTGGAAATGGGACCCAGAACAGTCCCTGCAATACCCTTGCAAGAGAGACCAGACCTTAACCTTTTTTTAGAAAAGCATTGCTCTTGCTTCACGTGACAAATGGTGATTTAGCAACAAAACCATGCCTCTCTGTTTGTTTGGTTTTTGTGAATTTGCTTCCATGGTCTGTTGAAAGGGCCTCAGCTATAGTGTTTTAGCCACAATCATTTACCTGCTGTGTGACCTTGGGTAAGAATTCCACTTCCCCAGTCAGTTCTTCCTCAGAACAGTGGGAAACGAGATGCCCCACAATTATGAAGATTAAGTACTGAGTCTGATAATTTTCATGTAACTGTGTATCTAGATCAGATGGCAGTTAGCTTCAAATTTTTATGTGTGCAGGAATTCATGGGGAAGGGGTTGTTAAACATGTGGATTCTAGGCTGGGCGCGATGGCTCACACCTGTTATCCCAGCACTTTGGGAGGCCGAGGCAGGCGCATCGCTTGAGGTCAGGAGTTTGAGACCAGCCTGGCCAAAGTGGTGAAACCCTGTCTCTATGAAAAATACAAAAAATAGCCAGGTGTGGTGGTGGGCACCTGTAATTCCAGCTACTTGGGAGGCTGAAGCAGGAGAATCGCTTGAACCCGGGAGGCAGAGGTTACAGTGAGCCGAGATTGTACCATTGCACTCCAGCCTCGGTGACAGAGTGAGACTCTGTCTCAAAAAAAAAAAAAAAAAAAAAAAAGTGGATTCTTGGGCCCAGGAATGGGATCATCTTCAGTGATTCTAAGGCAGGTAGCCCATGTTCCACACTTTGAGAGCCTTAAGTTAGATTCAGGGAAAGCTGGTCAGGGGGATGTTTTCCATGATGGCTCCCCCATCCCCTAACCCCTCCCTCAACAGTGATCTGTCTGTTTGTAGCTTATGTTTAGTTGTAAGAGCCCTAATTCAGGTTTTTAGACTCCAAGGATCATTATAAATATATATAATAATAGATAAGCACATCTATATAGAAGGAGAGGGAAGCAGACAGACACTAAGAGGATTAGCTGCTTTTTGTTCTGAGAGTAATTGTATTTTTCTTTCTCATCTCATGGGTTACTTAAAGAAGTGAAATTTACCCCCCATAAAAAATGCCAGGAGGGTTTGAATTATGATGGCAGGTATTTAGATGTCTTTCTTGGTGTTAGCAGATGCTAGGACCAGGGCTGTAGGCTTCCCTGGTGCTTTGGCTAAGGAGAGAAGTTGGTCTTTCTGTCCAGCAACCTGTGGGCAGCTGTGTAGAAGGGCCCCATGCAGCAAGCCCTGTGGATTACTCTGAGTCTGTGGTGTAACATGCATCCCATCTGGTAGCTTTTAGGCTCAGGTGATTGGCTGCTGTTTGCTTATGGTGTGAGCCACAGATGGTTGCCCATTGTCTTAATTAACAAGAAGCAGTCACTTGGCTCTGGGATGGGGTTACTCCGGTGCTTCCAAATGTTAGTGTGAATATCAGTCACCAGGGGTTACAATGTGGATTCTGATTCAGCAGATCCAGTAGGAGCCTGAGGATCTGCATTTCCAACAGACTCCCAGGTCTAGTGTGTAGGGATTTCTCCCCACAGTGTGTAGGGATTTCTCCCCACATACTCACCAAGCAATTCTCCAGGGGATTGATTCTCCTGCAGACACCAGCTGGGTATCCTCTAATTCAATTCTATTTTGACACTACCTAAAGATAGTGTCAGGTCCTACAGGTTGATGGCTGAGTCCCACAAGACTACTCTCCACTTGAGATGCCAGTGGCCAGCACAGATTGTGGCCTGAGCTGCTGACTGACAGGCTATATGCTGGGGGTTCCCATGACACCCTTTTCGGACTCAATTTAATTTGCTAGAACAGCTCACAGAACTCAGGGAAACATCATGGAAAATATGCATAGGGTGAAGTATGGGAGAAGGAGCTTGGAGCGTCCATGCCCACTCCGGGTGGATGCACCACCCTCCAAGAACCTGCATGTGTTCAACTATCTGGAAGCTCCCAGAACCCAGTCCATGTGAGTTTTTATGGAAGCATCGTTGTGTAGGAGTGATTGGTTAAATCATTTGCCATTGATGATCAAGTCAGACTTCAGCCCCGCTCCCCTCCTCTGAGGTTGGGAGTGGGCCTGAAATCAGTCCCAACCTTCTCATCAGGTTTTGTGACCAGCCCTTATCCTGAAGCTGGCTAGGGGCCCCTAGTCATCAGTCATCTTACTAGCACACAAAGGCACTCTTACCACTCTGGAGATCCCCAGCACTTCAGGAGCTATCTGTCAGGAAACTAGGAACAAGACCAAATATATATTTCACAGTACTGTGAGGCAGTTGCCTCTGTTCTTTCTGCTTCTCTACACAGAATTAGGAGATGGTGGGTTCTGATCCTGGCTCTGCCCCTAAGTGGCATGCGACTTCCGGGAAGTCCTGCAGCTCTGGGCCTTTGCTCTGCCTAAGCTCTGTGAGGGCACAGGGTTTGTCTGCCTTATTTGCTGCTAGGTATGGTATCATTTTGGAAACTTGAGTAGATTTTAGTGAACTTCCCTGTGTGAGTAGAAAGTAGGGTAGATGTGATTTTACTGTTTGGGAGCCACATTCCTTTGTGTTAGCTGTGTGTTAAGAACACTTGCTGTTATTCTTCCTACTGTTCTACAGGAAATTAGACGTGGCTGCCCATGGGAGTCATCTGGCACTCAAGTGCCACTGGGGCACTTCCAAAACTCAGAAACCTCCCCAGCACTCCCAGATTCTGATGTAATTGATTTGGGGTACAGCCTATGCGTCAGGATTTTTAAAACCTCCCTAGGTGATCTATGGCAGTGGTGTGGTCCTGGCTACTTGGGAGGCAGAGGCAGGAGGATTGCTTGAGCCCAGGAATTTGAGACCAGCCAGGACAGCATAGTGAGACCCTGTCTGTGTGTACACACACACACACACACACACACCCCTCTCTCTCCAGGTAATTCTGGTATTTAGCCAAGATTGAGTAGTATTGGGTTAGATAACTTGATTTTTTTTTTTTTTTTGGAGACAGTGTCTGGTTCTGTTGCCCCGGCCAGAGTGCAGTGGCACAATTGCAGCTCACTGCAACCTCTGCCTCCCAGGTTCAAGCAATTCTCCTGCCTCAGCCACTGGAGTAGATGGGATTATGGGTGCCTGCCGCCACGCCCGGCTAATTTTTGTAATTTAGTAGAGACGGGGTTTCACTATGTTGGTCAGGCTGGTCTCGAACTCCTGACCTCATGATCTGCCCGCCTCAGCCTCCCAAAGTGCTGGGATTACAGGCGTGAGCCACCGTACCTGGCCAGTATGTTTTAAAGTTATTTTAAATTTTCATACAATAACTCTTATGTGTGTGTATGAACCGTTCTCACTTTTGACAAATGCGCAAAGTCTTGTGACTGCTACCGCTCTCAACATTTCTAGCATCCAGTTTTCACAAATGTACTTTTGGAGTTTTGCTCCTTGGAATAAACATTCGGCCTTCCTTTGACATTTATTATTATTGTTACTATTATTGCTGTTACTTCTGAAATCCAGTATCTTAAATATTGTTTAAATTTCAAAACTGTTTCCTAGCCCTTCTTTGCCATGTAGTTTGGAGACCCTCATAATCACTGGTTTAGTGGTTTACAGTGTTTGCTGCACAGTAGAATCACCGGGGGATCTTTTACAGCTACAACAAATGCTCAGGCCTGGGCTTTTTTAAAGCTGCTCAGGTGTTGCTAATGGGCAGCCAGGCCTGAGAAGGATTCTCTAGGATTCTCCCAAGGCACTCACTTCCAGGTTAGAGGTCACAGGTCACAGGTCTTGTCAATTCCCTCTTCCCTTCTCTCATCCGTAGGGGCTTCTGATATCTTGTTTTTTCTTCTGTGGCACCAATTTGGGTGCATTTTTGAAAAGAAGGAATCCAAGAACAGGACTAATTAGTACATATTGATTATTGGAGATGGTTAAATGCTGTTAATAAATTTTTGTATTTTTGCCTACCTGCAGTGGAATCCTGCCGATCTTGACAGCACGTGTGTTTTGTCTGTCCTCCCTAGGGTGTCTGAACAGCGCTGTAATAGTGTAGATGGTAGATGTGCCATCTGTGCGATGTGATATCATCTGTGGGCATGAAGGAAGAGATGGATGCCCTCTCCTTGGGCCTTGTAAAGTCAGCAGGATGCTTTCCTGACCGAGCTATTCGCAAGAATAGGTGCTCTAATGGTAATTTTTAAAGAACTGTTTTAAAAGTTTTAGTAGACATGGAATAATTGTACATGTTTATAGGATACAGAGTCATATTTTGATATGTGTCATTATCAAGTCAGGGTAATTAGCATATTCATCACCTCAAACATTTATCATTTCTTTGTGTTGGGAACATTCAAAATCTACTCTTCTAGCTGCTTGAGAATGTACAATAAGTTCTGGTTAACCACATTCACCCCACAGTGCTGCTGAACACTAGAACTCACTCTGTCATTGTAGTGTTTTTTTTTTTTTGGACGGAGTCTTGCTCTGTCGCCCAGGCTGGAGTGCAGTGGCTTGATCTCAGCTCACTGCAAGCTCCGCCTCCTGGGTTCATGCCATTCCCCTGCCTCAGCCTCCCGAGTAGCTGGGACTACAGGCACCTGCCACCACGCCCGGCTAATATTTTATATTTTTAGTACAGATGGGGTTTCGCCGTGTTAGCCAGGATGATCTCGATCTGACCTCGTGATCCGCCCACCTCTGCCTCCCAAAGTGCTGGGATTACAGGCATGAGCCACCGCGCCCGGCCTGTCATTGTAGTTTTTAAAAGGCGTTTTCTAAACAGGTGGTGTTCAAGGAAAACCTTCACCTCTAGGACTGACAAGCTCCTTGATATTTGGGGGTTGGGGTCTAATCTTCAGTAGTACTTAGTCCAGAAGCCAAACCAGTTTACCTGGAGGTCTCAGCTCCTAGAAAGTGGAGTAATGCCATAAAGTATCTAAAACACTGTAAAAAAGATGATCTTATTTGATATTTATATAACAAATCTATTTTATGGATGAAGAAACTGAGCCTCAGGGAAGGAAGTGATTTACTTGCTTAGTCCCTCAGCTGAGCTTTTCTCTTTTCTCTGCCCACAGTCTTGATTGCTCAGCCAGTGTAAGTTAGGGTTATCTGAGAGGTGGAATGATGGATGAGAATGTTAAAGGATTGTTTGAAGAGTGGGTTGGGAGGTGCAGTTCTAGCAACTTCAAACCTGATTGACTTCTCTGCTCCTGTGCTCTGGGGAGTTTCTGGTCTCAATAGCCCAGTTCAAGCATCTAAACAGGGCATCCTTTCCTTTTGATAGTGTTGAGGAGGCTCCTCAGTGTCTTGCCCATTCCCTCATTCTGCCACAGTGCTCCACCTCCCACACTGTTAAGAGCAGCAGCCTTGGCTGGTCGTGGTGGCTCACGTCTGTAATCGCAGCACTTTAGGAGGCTGAGGCGGGTGGATTGCTTGAGGTCAGGAGTTCGAGACCAGCTTGGCCAATGTGGTGAAACCCCATCTCTACTAAAAATACAAAAATTAGCTGGGCATGGTGATGGGCGCCTGTAACTCCAGCTACTCAGAGGCTGAGGTGGGAGAATTGTTTGAACCCAGGAGGCAGAGGTTGCAGTGAGCTGAGATTGCGCCACTGCACTCCAGAGCCTGGGCAACAGAGTGAGACTTTGTCATACACACACACACACACACAAAAACACCAGCCTTTTCTTTGTTTTTACCAATCTAATATCCTCTCCATTCTTCCATCAAGAGCTCAAGAGTAATATAGTAATGGCCCTTGGATATTAAGCACCTACACTTCTGGCCTATTAGCCCTAATTCTTATAGGACCACTTCAAACTATTGTCATCAATACTTTGCATTGAATGCAATATAATTACCCAAGCCCTCAGAGCCTAAAGCATTAGATTGGAACTCAGCTGTGTCAGATGAATAAATTATTTTCAGGTTGTATAGCAGAAAGTTCCTTTCTGGGACATAGGTACATATAGCAACAAATTCTGTCCCTGTTGTGTAGGCTCTAGGACCCCTTTCAAACATCCTTCCTCCTTGGTTTTAGATTTGGGGTTTTAGTTTGATTTCTGAATCTACAGGATTTAATGTGCAGTTTCTAGGAGGCAAAAAGAAGTTAGTTGTACCTGTAAATTAGAATGTTAAATTCTCCCCTCTAACCTCTTTCTATGTAAGGAAGTATATATCCACTTGATAGACTCAGGCCATTTGTGAATCAATAAACCTAGGACTGTCATTCTGAAAAATTGTTACAATTTCTAAGAACAAATGGAATGCTTTAAAAAAATGTAGGGGTAAGTATATCCCATTTGATCTACTTTGGAGAGAGGGTAAGTGCTTTATTACCTGCTGATTACCATAATAAAACATCTCTGTTCTTCAGAGAAACATAAAATGTAAAAGATCTTAAAGTATAGTAGCTTACTTCTGGTAGGGGATTTAGGAGATTCAGTTGTGATTTGCAAAGGGAGAATACCCATGGAGTCTAAATTTCAGGGCCAACCACAGCAAAAACCATAGCTTACCTGCCGGCAAAGATTTGATGACTTTCTCTCCCTGCTCTTCCCTTCTCCACCCTTAGCCAAATTAGAAGCAGACATTTTAGGGAGCTTAAGCAATGAAAATCTGAGGCAGTGCTGATAGAATTGAGGCGTGCTTTCTTGGAAGCATTTTCATTTTTATACAGGTAAGATGTTGGGAGTGGGAGAAGGTTGTCCTGTTACAGTAAATCATGTGTGTGCCAAGATTGAGTGGTGGGTGGGGTTGAAACCTTGGCTCGCTGTGCTGTGAATAGTCCTTAAGGTGGTGATGGTGGCATTCTCAACAAATCTGTCACCTAGTGGGCCCATGTCCAGAAAAGGACAGCATATATGATTGAAGTGATAGTGCACCTTCACTGGGAGGGGCTGTTCCAGAGATTAGAGGTCTATAGGCAGACTAAGACAAGGGCCTGAAGGAGGATGTGATTAAAGTCAGCATCACTCTGAAAGGGCATCAGCAGAGGGAGTGCAGTTTGTCTACCAAATACCTGAGCACTGGAATTAGTGGGCATCTTGGAAACTAGAAGAAGGTAGTTCCAGTGCCTGGTGGGGCCGGGTGGGTAACCCGAGGGGCTCATTATCTCAGGTGAACCACTCGGACATTGAGCATCTACCTGGCATGAAGCACTCATTGGGAGAGATTTCTAATGTTTAAGGAGTGCTTCTTGCTGTCTATCTGGCCATCATCTACCCTTTTGTTTGCTTCTTTTATTTATTAAACACTAACTGAAGACATACCATGTGCCAGAAGACCATTAACTGATGACATCCAGGCCCCTTTTAGGCACAGGAGACCAAAAAAAAAAAAAAAGACTAAAAGTCAATTTTGACTTAACTACTAAACCTCCAACTGCTCATTTTGCAGATGCATGTAAATACTTACACTACAATAAATAAATTCAAACGAACTCATCACTGTGCCCCAGGGGTCCATTAAATATAAAAAATAAAACAGGCTGGGTACAGTGGCTCACACCTGTAATCCCAGCACTTTGGGAGGCCGAGGTGGGTGGATCACCTGAGGTCAGGAGTTCGAGACCAGCCTGGCCAACATGGTGAAACCCCGTCTCTACTAAAAATACAAAAAATTAGCTGGGCATGGTGATGGGTCCTGTAATCCCAGCTACTTGGGAGGCTGAGGCAGGAGAATCGCTTGAACCCGGAAGGCAGAGGTTGCAGTGAGCCAAGATCGCACCACTGCACTCCAGCCTGGGTGACGGAGTGAGACGCCATCTTAAAATAAATAAATAAACTTTTTTTTTTTTTTTTTTACATGAGTAAGCGTCTTGGCCTTCAAAGAGTGCTCTGTAAAACTGGGAGTGACCTAAGAACCAATTACATAAAATGAGGTATGCAGGTAGAGAGAGGTGCAGGGCGTTATGAGAATATGGACAAGCAGCCCTTTCTCTGAAGGAGGGGAGGAAAGAAGTGTTAACCATAATCTGGCCATTTTGGGACTGTGATGGGTGGTGGTGAAGAAGGCAGGAGGTGAGAAAATGCTTGCAGAAGCCAGGACCTGGACTTTGGAACTCTGAGAAGTCCAGCATAGTGGGAGTTTTAGGAGTGGTGAGGGACTTGAGAGATAAGCATGTGCCAGAATGCAATGGGCCTTTCTGCCTAGGGCGGCATTTGGATTTGATCTCGAAGGGCCTTAGTCAGGGGATTCACTGGGTCAGGATGCATGATCCGGGTGGAAAGGCAGAATTAATATACTCATGGGGAAGATCACCAGGGAGTTCAGACAGTAACAGAGCCAAGATATGCTCATATGTCCCTAATGCTTCATCGGGGCACATTGGGATCTGGAGGTATTTCCCCAGTCCAACTCAGCTCTGTTATTCCACTGAGGTTTGCTCTGGTCCCTGCTCATGACAGATCAAGAGGATGACTACCCAGGTCAGGTGAGAGTCATGTGCTTTAGGAACTAGGCTGTGAACTTCTAAAGTCAAAATAAGAAACTGACTTAAATTTTCGCACGGGGCTGGGGATGATGGGCAGTGGTGAAAAGTGGGTAGGTAATCAAGAGTCACCCCGAGTAGATGATTTTTATACCTGTGTTAGGGGTATGAGGTTTCACTGAACTATTCTCTCTACTTTTGTATATGTTTAAAAGGTTCCATAACAACATTAAAAATAGGAAGAATAATAGCGTCATGGATTTTCATGAGAATTAAATGAGGTAACACAAGTAAATATCTTGTATTGACTATTGCTATTATTGGCCACTGTCTTGGCTGAATTTCACCTTCCTTCCTCATTCTGTTATTTCTTGCTCTCGACTTTCTTGGCCTATTCTGTTTCCGGCCTGGAATTTGCCTTGTGGATTTTGGACAGTTTAGCTTTTCTGGTTTTGACCCTGGATGGTGCTCCCAAGGACACTGCCTGTGTATCTTCTCTGGTCCATCCTGCTCAGGGAACCACCCCTTCCAGCTCCCCAATCGTATTGCCTACCTGGGGTCAGCCCCACTGGATTGAACCTTGTTTGCTCAGGGGTGTGTGTGTGTGTGTTGGAGGGGAGAGGAGGGGATTGAGATGGAAAGAGAATGAGCCATAGACGGCACACCTGACAATATCCCCCTTTATACAGTGGGTAGCTTCCTGAAATGTTTTGTGACAATTCAGTTTTCATTGCATTATATTTTTATATATAGGTGTGTATATATACAACAGTAAAGTATGTGAATCTGTGAGCCCATAGACATTATTACATGGATATTTATTGTAACTTCAAGATGTTTGTTTTCATTTTGGATGGGCCCTCGACTATCAGTGACTGTCAGCCTTTTTATGTATTTATTTTTGGCTACTCCAGCTGCTTTGCTATATTGTGGATTATTTGTGAACAAATATTTTAATATACTAGATAAAAAGACTATTTAAAGGAACCCTTGGCGAATACTTTCATAAGATGCAAAGAGTGTTTATTTAGGACTCGTTAAGTGCCAGACATTATGCTGGGCCCTTTCTTGTCCCTCACTGATCTGTAAGATAATCCTTTTGAAGTAAGTGTTATCTTCATTTTTACTTTTTCAAAATCACATGCTTAATTCAGTTGTCTTCCCTTATTTGAGGGGGTTACGTTCCATTTAGTATTTTCTTTTTTTTTGAGAGAGAGTCTCGCTCTTTCGCCCAGGCTGGAGTGCAGTGGCAGGATCTCGGCTCACTGCAAGCTGCACCTCCCGGGTTCACGCCATTCTCCTGCCTCAGCCTCCAGAGTAGCTGGGACTACAGGCGCCTGCCACCGTACCTGGCTGATTTTGTATTTTTTAGTAGAGACGGGGTTTCACCATGTTAGCCAGGATGGTCTCGATCTCCTGACCTCTTGATCCACCTGCCTTGGCCTCCCAAAGTGCTGGGATTACAGGTGTGAGGCATCGCGCCCGGCCCCATTTAGTATTTTCAGACCACAATTGACTGCAGGCAACTGAAACTGCAGATAACGGGAAAATACTGTATATACTAGGATCCTTTTGGTTGCAAGTAAAAGAAGACCTACCCCAGACTGATTCAAATAACAAAGATAATTTACTGGTTTTTGTGACTGAGAAGTCCAACCATGGGGTGTGTTTCAGGTATGGTTCAATCCAGGGATTCGTGTTGGTATTAGGGATCTGATCCCTTGTCCTAGGACTGTCTTGGCTCTGCCTTCCTATGTATGTGGGCCTCACCATCATGCTGTCTTCAACTCATGGTGACAAAAACAGCCTCAGAAGATTCAGGCCTTACGAATGAACGCCACATCAACCATAGAAGAGCCAGCAACTTTGACCCAGGATTACAAGCAGAAGTCATGAAATTCACTAAGACTAGATTGACTCAAGTCATGTGTTTGCCTTAAACCAGTCATTGTGGCCAGAGAAATGGACTGGCTACAGTGACTTGGCTTGACCTAGGATATGTGACCTAGGACATATGTCAGCTTCAGAAATATAATCAAGGAGAGATTGTTTGCTAGGAGGAAATGAGTGCTGGAGAGGCCATCCACAGATGGCCACTACAGGGACAGGGCTAGGATGGGCATGTATTGCTCTCTGTCTGGCTCCAGAGCCTTTTAATTTTCCCCATAGCAGTGTTTAATAGCTTCTCTGTTGGTGCCATTCCTCAGGAAGCCTTTGGTCTTAAGTCACTCCCTAGTGGTTGCCCACATCATCAAATTGTTCAGAAACTCTATATTCTCAACTCTAAAACAAGGAGGTTGGACTTCATTAATTCAGCATATATTTGCTGAGTACCTACTATGCCAAGCTCTAGGACAGGGGCCGGAGATATAATTATGTGCAATGTGGACATGTCCTCTGTCCTTTTAGGGCTTATTGACTAGTAGAAGAGACAGGAATGAAAAATGATGAGACAGATGTAAGATGGAGCTCTAGGCCAGACGCGCTGGCTCACGCCTATAATCCCAGCACTTTGGGAGGCTGAGGTGGGTGGATCACAAGGTCAAGAGATTGAGACCATCCTGGCCAACATGGTAAATCTCGTCTCTACTAAAAATACAAAAATTAGTTGGGCGTGGTGGTGTGCGCCTGTAGTCCCAGCTACTGGGGAGGCTGAGGCAGAAGAGTTGCTTGAACCCAGGAGGCGGAGGTTGCAGTGAGCCAAGATCGTGCCACTGCACTCCAGCCTGGTGACAGAGCAAGATTCTGTCTCAAAAAAAAAAAAAAAAGATGGAGCTCTAATACACGCCTGGCTCTTATCCTTATCAAATAGTTAATGAATGAAATAATCACACAAATATATAATATTAAACTGTGTTAAACTGTGTTCAGGCTACAATGGGGAGCTGTGAGAGCATCTCCAGGGAGGACTGTAATAGTAAGCTGAAAACCCAGGATAGGGCCTTGGGCTATTCAGGGGCTGGGGCTGGCGTGGAGGGTAGTAGGGCCCATGAGGTCCTTTCTGGCCTTGACAGACTCTGATGTCGTCAGAATTAATGAGGCCTCGGTCCTGATCTCTGAGAGAGCTGTAAGATAAGTTAGCTATCACGCTTTGTATAATAATCATTTGTGTTCTTAGAGTGGCGAATCTCCATTTGAGCCTGCTCTTCATGTTCATCCAAATTTCAGATTCCTTAAAAATGATATTTCTTGTTTCTCCAGACCTTTTAAAAAATATTGTGGAAGGTTCTTCCCTGTAATAGGTGAGTCCTGGTTGGTCCAAGCCCAGTTCAGTGCCTCTTCCCTAGTCTCCCCCAGCCTCCCAAACTCATAGCGCCTCTTCCTCTGGGTTCGCCAACACTCGTGGTCTCTGCCTCCTGTGGGGCATCTGCTTCCTTAGCCATCTTTCTGTGGGACTTTTCCAAAAGGTTATAAGTGGTGATTACTGGAAAAGGAGGTGTGGGTTGCTCATGGATTCCTAGAATGGCTTGTTTCCACAGACACCTGGAAGAAAAACCAACACTGTGTGTACAAGGAAGGATCATGCTTTCCTGAAAAAACAGACAGATTCCATAGTCTTTTAAAGGTTCTAAATTGAGGCGTGCTTTGGAATAGTTTTCATTTCCTGGAGACCGCTTCTGGCTTATCTGCCACTGCGCCATCCTACATTTTTTCCATCAACTCTGTCATCATCATCTACCCTTTTAAGAGAAAAATCTTTTAAAAGCAAGTGGGAGTAGAAAAGCTTTTTTTTTTTTTTCTTCCCCCCCTCTAATCACAGCCTGAAGTTTCCTTCCATTCCTAGAATGGCAGGTTCTAATGGAAGTAAGAGATGGTGTCAGGATTAGCTAACTTTATTCTTAGTTTTTTTTTCCTTATCAATGCTAGTGGCAACACATTGATTGTGTTAATAACCCCAGACTTGTGCTAAGTGGAGATTTGGGGATGACCTCACTTTTTTTTTTTTGAGACGGAGTCTCGCTCTGTCGCCCAAGCTGGAGTGCAGTGTTGCGATCTCGGCTCACTGCAAGCTCCACCTCCTGGGCTCACACCATTCTCCTGCCTCAGCCTCCCAAGTAGCTGAGACTACAGGCACCTGCCACCACACCCAGCTGATTTTTTTTTTTTTTTGTATTTTTAGTAGAGACGGGGTTTCACTGTGTTAGCCAGGATGGTCTCAATCTCCTGACCTCATGATCTGCCCACCTCGGCCTTCCGGAGTGCTGGGATTACAGGCGTGAGCCACCGCACCCGGCTGTTATGCTTTTTCTTTTATTGACTGATGTGTACAGAAAAATTGGGGGGTGAAGAACAGTACATTTCTTAACTCTTCCAAAAATTGCTTGTTGCAATAACAAGGCACTGAAACAACACAAAAAGTCCACATTTGTCTGTTGAAGAGGAAAGAGGGAAAGAGAAAAAGGATGGAGGAAAAGGTGGGTTATCAGGCTAGGCAACATTTCCAGTGAGGCAGCATCTTTTTAACCTTGCATTTGCATAGTGTCTCTTGAATCCAACTCTCTTTCTTTCTCTTTGTGTGTGTGTGTGTGTGTGTGTGTGTGTGTCACTGTGTCTCAATGTGTTCTTTCCTGGGTTTTGTGGCAGGGTTCCAGGGACAGCAGAGCTGCAAATCTCCTGCAAATTTGCATATCCTTTTTATGCTCAAGTGAATCAATAGTGAACAATTGTTCCCTGTTCTTGGACAGCAGCCTGAAATCCATATTGCTCTGTGTGCATTGGTGAAATTTGGTAATCTCAGAACTCAGAACTCGAGCCCATCCTGGCTGAGGTGTAGTGGCAGGGCCTTATTCTGATTGGGCACTCAATAAATATTTGTCAAATGGATATCCGGAATATCAAACCAAAGTTGGGGGTGTTTGTATCCCAGACTGGTGCTGTCAATTCTTTCACCATGCTTGGGAGAGAGTGCCAGAAGAGGACTTGGCAATGTCTCAGCATTCCAGGTCTTTGGACTGTATTTCCTTTCTGTGCTCTGCTGGTTCTATGAAGCAGTAGAGCCAGAAATTCAGGACATGAGGTGGGGCTGGAACATTCTGGAATCTTGGAAACTTGATGAAGTGGGAGCAGCTGTTTCTGATTCTTGGGGGAAGAGCAAGTCCTCTGCTTTGACACAGTGAGGCTGGCCTGCCTGGCACAGTGTGGAGAGGGAGGTCGGCACTGATTTCTGTCTTCACTACCTCTGACGGGGGCTCTTTCCTGACCTGTTGGTGACAGAAGGAGTTGCTGCAAACCACTTGGCTTTGATGAAATCGATTCTTGCTGGAGATTTTCCTTTAAGAAGCCTCCAGACAAGTGAGCTGGGGCACGGCTAATCTTCATCTGTGTTGGGTTCTTGGAGTGGATTGAAAAGTGCTGATAGAGATATTGTGATTGGTGTTTGGTTTGCTTTTTCTCTGATTGAACAGCAACTATTTGGATTCAGCCTTTTGCTTGTGCTGTGTTAATTTTGGTATTTCATTTCTTGCTCCATAGTTGTGAACTACTAAGATGTTCTGGAAAGGCAAACCAGAAAGCTGGGAAGTGTTCTGGACTGGCTTCTCAGGAGATAGTCTTCCTGGGGGCATGTTGTCTGAAGGTTTGTTTTTTCTATCCAGTTGCAAGGACAGCATAGAGAGCCCCTCTTAGCATAAAGCCAATGAGAGTGTGAGTAGTTCATGAGGCCATCTTGGCACCATGGCCAGTGTGGAGGAAAGGCAAAATCAGTTTGGTCAGTGGCCACACAGCGAAGGCGGAGTCCTTTAGAGCAAGGGGAGCTTTGAGATCTATCTCTAGCAGCCACATGGCTTACAATAAAGCTCAACCTTGAAAGCATTTACAGACTAGAGCAATGAGGAGAACAAATCTCCTGGTAGTAATGTGAGATGCAGAGGCCATGAGGAGGCATGCTGCATTTCTGTTGCCAAGCCCTTGGTCCGTAATACTGCAGTTTGTTTACAAGCCCCTGCTGATAGTCTGTGGACCTCTTGAGAACCTATTTAGGAACCAGGAAAAGACCAGCGTTAATCAGGGAGGAAAGGGGATAAAGAAGCAGTATTGAAACACTGAATCTGGCCGTTTACCAAAGAAACTGCTATTCCTTATGAAGGGAGGATTAACTGTTAATAAGCTCCCAATTATTATAGGTAAATATGTATTTGTAAAGATACCTGCTTTATTCTGTAGATCACTCATAGTGATTTTTAAAATTTTTCAGCCCTTTCATTTCTCTACTTTGTTGAAAAACATGTTCAGATACTGTTAATGTTGACCCCAACTGGGATGTCAAAATCCTTGTGCAGATAAGGGACATGTCATGCCACACATACAAAAGGATTAGACTGTCTAGGATAGTATCAATCTTGTGGCTACGTTGACATCTTTGTGGCTCGTATGTGAACACACACACACATTTTGTCATATTCAGTGGACATAGTACTGGGTCCTGCATGACCCCTCAACTTACTCATGAGCTCCTGATCATCTCTGTGATGGGGGTAAATCCCAACCTCTGTTTATTCATGTTCCTCATTTAAATCTCACAGATGTACTCCCAGAGTGCTCCGAAGGTATCTGGAGCTACAGGTATGAAAGGGGATATAAAAGACTTTGAAGGTGGCTGGAACCTATTGTTCGGTGGATGCCTTGGGCTGTGTTTTTTCATGTTTTCCATTCTGGTGTTGCCCCCAGGATGATATTTGAAAGGTGTGGATGTTTACTTTTTAGAACACAGGAGTTAGTCTTGCATCTTCCTTGGAAGGACTTCAGCAATCTGCAAATGGAAAGTAGCCTGATAAATTTCTGATCCTCATCCAGCTGTTACTGCCAGTCTGGTTGTGAAATGTGACAGGGCCGTGGCCAATTGTGTGATGTTGGAATATGTTGCCTCTGAAATTGCTGTCTATCCTCTACATTGCTATGTGAATTAAGAAGGAGTGACTGGCAGTGATCAGGAGGTCTAAATCGCATTTTGCATCTGCCTATACAGGAGTTATTGGTTTTCCATTTATCACAAGATATTCTTCCAGGGGCCCTTTGCAAGGGGTTGCAAACATATGGAGCTT
The DNA here is from genome assembly GCF_000001405.40 of Homo sapiens. NCBI lineage: Eukaryota > Metazoa > Chordata > Mammalia > Primates > Hominidae > Homo > Homo sapiens. Next base: position 62,548,042 of record NC_000015.10, read on the forward strand.
CATTCCAGCCCGAGACTATGCTTGTGGAAAGATACTTAAAAGTATAAAATAGGACACAGATGACAACTAATATCGATAATGAGACAAGAAAATTATGGTCCTGGATGTCTGCCCTCGGAGGGATTAGGACTCCAGCCTGAGTCTGGAAGACCAGACAGGATTTGAAAAATGGAGAGAGCAAGGGAGGAACATTTCAGGCAGGGGAATGACACACAAATGAGGAGCTAGGAGTAGATGGAGTATGTTGGGGACAGTTATAGAGTCTTACAAAGTGGGTTTATGTATGTCCTAAGAGAATCGGGTAAAATGGGATGGAAAAGTAGGAGTGGGGTAGACATCATAACGCTTTGGATGACAGAAACCCCAAATTGGCTTAAACAATAAAGACAATGCATTGGCTCAATAACTGGAAAAAGACCTACTTTTCAAGTTGCACACAGGGTTCTCTAGGTGTGTCTTCCTAGGCCTAGATTTCCTGGTGCTCACCAGAAGGCAGCTAGTAGTAGCCAGGGTTCCCTGGTTGTTCACTCACACCCATAACCATCAAACAAAAGACCTGACATTTATTCCGCCTAACTAACATGGCAGCCAGGGGAAATGCCATGTGCTTAGAATTGGGTTCCTGTTCATCCCACAGCTAATCAGAATACGGTTGAAATTGTGCTGATTAGGTTATGCTGGTAAACATCAACCTCTGGAGCTAAGTTTGGGGCCAGATCCTGTGGCTGCTATGTAGTGATTTCCCAAAGGAAAATCTATCCAGGCAGAAAGGAATGGTAGGATGGAGGGTGGATTTACAACAAAAATAATGTCGACTCAAGGATAAAATTATGGGTGGATTTGAATCCTAGGGTAAATAATCTTGAGGAATCCAAGACTTTATTCTATAGTTAGATCCACTTGGAGTTATTACTGTATCTGTCTTGGTCCTTGATAGGAGTGTGTAATGGTTTGCCACTGGTCTTAACTATATCTGCTTATGCCCAGAAAAGTTCTTTGGTAGCTAGTTTGCTTTCTTATCCTCATCTGCTTTAGCTGTTTAGTAGGACTGTACATGTAGAGTCAATTAGCTGCCTTTAATTGAGACCCTACGGAGTGTAAAACATGAATGGCTTTGGAGGGAGACCTTTCCTTCTTCCTGTAGGGCTCCCTGAGAGCCATACTCCAGTTACTTAAGATTCTTCTGTTCGGTTATTCCATTTAGTCTTCCATTTGTTCAGATTAACACTAATCACAAATCATGTGGGATCGCTGAAGTTTATTTATTATTATTTTAATTGAGACAGGGTTTCACTTTAATTGAGGCTGGTTTCTAATACCTGTACCCAAGCAGTCCTTCCACCTCAGCCTCCCAAAGTGTTGGGATTACAGGTGTGAGCCACCGCCCCTGGCCACTGAAGTTTAATAGTGCCACTCAGAGGCCTGCCATGCATGCCATGCATCCATCCATCCATCCATCCATCCATCCATCCATCCATCCAGTGAGTTCCTGCTATGTGCCAAGAACTCTGCTGGCCACTAGAGGCGAAATCTAGGTATGGCACATGGTCCCTACTCAAGAGCTCCAGTCTGGTTGGGGAATTTGACAAATCTACAATTTTGAATTTATGTGGTATATACTGTATGTAGTGTGCTGTGGAAGTTTAGAGAAGAGTGGTTTCTCTCAACCGGAGGTGTCAGCTGATAACATTGTTTAGTAGAAATGATGTTTAAAATGGGCTTAGGGAATTGGATAGGGCAGGGGGCAGATGTTTAGGCAGAGGGAAACATGATAAATGAATCAAGGCCACAATGATGTCATTTCCAGGAAGCCACAGGTGTTGTTTTATAGCTAAGTCTTAAATAGCTGCGAGGTGGAGTGGAAATGCAGATTCCCAAGCCTGCCACCTGAGATTCTGATCAATCGATTGGGAATGTGGTCTGGGCAACATACTTTAATCTACACTTTCTAGCTGGTTCTGATGATGGTGATCCAAGGAGTACCAGTCTGGGGTAAGAATTCAGGTATGGGGCTGGGAGGGTTGAGGGATGAGGCTTCAAATGTAGGCTGGGGTAGGGGAAGAGCAGGAGTCTGGAGAGAGTGGTCAGAGTGGTTAAGGAAGGATGGAGGAGAGCTTCCAGGTCTGAGTGGTCAGCAGGATCTTGTAGGAAGTTAAAGGCATCAGCCAGCAGAGTATGTAATGTCCAACAGAGCATACTTACAACAGGAAATAATAGTTTAGGTTTATTTTTGCAGAGATGAGCTAAAACATATTTACAGGGGGGAAAATACCTCTCGGAATAATGACTTGGCTCTAAACTCATGCAGCCGAAAATTCAGGTTCCAAACTTCAAGTGCAATTCTTAGTCTGCAAGTCGGCCTCCCAGTTGGAAATTATTTATCTTTGTTATATTAGCTCAGTGATTTTGGAATGCTCTTGAGTAACTTTGGAGGCCACTCTACAAATTGCTTGATTCATTATTTAAAAATATGATCGATTCAAGACAGAATAAATGTTCAGAATACTGAGTATTTTTCAGTATTTAGAATAATACTGAATCCACATGGGTGGTGCATTAAAGGGGGTGTGCAGCATTTATGCAGTAAGGATATTTGGGGGGTCACTTAAATTGGGCCTCTTTTCATAGAATTGTTAAGACTTTGCAGGACATTTTAATTTCTTCCCTTAGACAGGTAACCACAAGAATCTCCTCAAACTGTTCTTGATTTATTCTGCAAACTGCTTGGAGTTCCCCATCTCATGGATGGTGTACTGTAGACTAGAGGTCCCCAACCTTTTTGGTTTTGTGGAAGACAATTTTTTCCTGGACCAGGGTCTGCAGGAATGGTTTCAGGATGATTCAAGCACATTATCTTTATTGTGTACTTTATTTCTATTATTATTACATTGCAATATATAATGAAATAATTATATAACTCACCATAATGTAGAATCAGTGGGAGCCCTGAGCTTGTTTTCCTGAAACTAGAAAGTCCCATCTGGGGTTGATGGGAGACAGTGACAGATCATCAGGCATTCGATTCTCATAAGGAGTGCACAGCCTAGGTCCCTCGCATGGGTGGTTCACAATAGGGTTTGCAATCCTATGAGAATCTAATGCTGCCACCTGTCTGATAGGAGGCGGATCTCAGGTGGTAATGTGAGTGATGGGGAGCAGTTGTAAATACAGATGAAGCTTCGCTTGCTTGCCCACTGCTCACCACCTACTGTGTGGCGTGGTTCCTAACAGGGCACAGACTGGTACCAGTCCATGGCCTGGGGATTGGGGACCCCTGCTGTAGACTGTACTTCTTAATTCCTGTGCAAGGATGATTTTTACTTACCTGGTGTTAAGAACCAGAGTTCAGGCAGGGCGTGGTGGTTCACGCCTGTAATCTCAGCACGTTGGGAGGCCGAGACAGGCAGATCATGAGGTCAGGAGTTTGAGACCAGCCTGGCCAACATAGTGAAAGCCAATCTCTACTAAAAATACACACACACACACACACACACACACACACACACAAATAGCCAGATGTGGTGGCAGGCACCTGTAATCCCAGCTACTCGGGAGGCTAAGGCAGGAGAATCACTTGAACCTGGGAGATGGAGGTTGCAGTGAGCTGAGACCGTGCCATTGCACTCCAGCCTGAGCTTCAGAGCGAGACTCTGTCTCAAAAACAAAAACACCTAGATTTCTGACTGGCTCTATGTTTTACAATATTATTACCCAGCTACCATTACAAGCTCAGTGGAAATGACTCAAAAAGTCACACTTTTCAGTAGAGCTTTTAACTGCTTTGTGTCTTACATTGCATTGAATTCATTAGTTAAGTTTGAGAACAAGGGGCCACCTAGCAATAAAGTATGACAGCTGCTTCATCCTTGACATTAAAATTATTTATTGTTTTAGGCTTTAGAGTGTGGGTTGATAGAAGGTACAAGAAGGCACACTTAAAGACAAAACATTGACTTTATTCGTCAGTTAGCCCAGTTAATCTTGACATTGTTCGCTTTTTGAGTCAGGTACTTCTTTGTTGTCGTGGGCTGTCTTGGGCTTTGCTGGATGTTTTGCAGCATCCTGGTTGCTATCTGCTAGACCCAGTTTTGACAATCAACAGATTTCTCTAGACATTATCAAATGTCCCCTAGGGAATAAAGTAACCCCTGGTCGATAATCACTGAGTTAGCAGAGACAAGAAAGCCTTTTATGGGCTATATTTTTATTCTATTGTTAATCTGTCTTTTGAGAAATTTGTTTTGACTATTAAATACATACAGTTGATTCCCATTATTCACGGATTCCATATTTGTCAATTTGCCTACTTAGTGAGATTTATTTGTAACCTACAAATTCATGTTTCAGGCATTGCTGTCATTCATTGACTTATGAAGCATGAAAAATTTGAGTTGATCAATGTGCACATTCCTAGCTGAGATCACACAAGAAAACACTCTACCCTCTTGTTTTAGCTCTCATACTGTACACAAGTGTCCTTTTTGTGGTCTATTTAATGTCATGTTTTTGCATTTTTATACTTTTGGGTGATTTTGCTGTTTAAAATGAGCCCCTGGTGTAGTGCTGAAGAGCTGTCTGGTGTTCCTAAGCTCAAGAAGGCTGTGATGTGCCTTAGGGAGAAAATATGTATGTTAGATAAGCTGCATTCATACATGAGTCACAGTGCTGTTGCCTGGGTTAAATGTTAGTGAATTGACAATATATTAAAGAAGGCTCTTTAAATAGAAACACACATAAAGCAATATTATGTATTGATTGGCTAACAAAAATTTTGTGATCAGAGGCTTGTAGGAACATAACCTTGTATTTCCCCTAGGAGCAGAGGTTCAGTATTTGCTAATTCAGTATTCACAGAGACTTCATAGAATATAACTACTGCAAATAATGAGAATTGACTATGTGTTTATTTTTCTAGCCTGTATGTCAGAAGCCTGCATTTTAAGGATCTCACGTGATATGTGATTAAACAAGATTGCTTTTCTTTCTAAAAAATAATATATCCACATTATAAAAACTTTTAAAATAAATAATTGCTGAGTCAAAGGATGTCAGTGTCTTTAAAGCTCCTACATACATCATGAAAAAGGTTGAACTGATTTACAGTGCCAGCTTCAGTATATCTTTGCTGGCTGGCATTATTTTGCATTTTTCATATTATTTAAGAATAATGGCGGCTGGGCACAGTGGCTCACTCCTGTAATCCCAGCACTTTGGGAGGCCGAGGCAGATGGATCATCTGTCAGGAGTTCGAGACCAGCCTGGCCAACCTGGTGAAACACCATCTCTACTAAAAATTAGCTAGGCGTGATGGTGGGTGCCTGTAATCCCTGCTACTCAGGAGGCTGAGGCAGGAGAATCACTTGAACCCAGGAGGCGGAGGTTGCGGCGAGCCGAGATCACGCCATTGCACTCCAGTGTGGGCGACAGAGCGAGACTCCGTCTCAAAAAAAAGAAAAAAAAAATGGCAAAATTGATTCATGTTAGAGAAAATTCAAATTACACAGATATATTTAAAATACAACTTAAAATCCTTTCCCCTTTTTTACTTTTTCCCACCTTTTCCTCATGAGTGTTAAGAATTTGGTACATGTAATTTTCAGGCCTTTTCAGAAAATGCACATAAAAATAAATGAATTTTTTAAATAAATGCATCTATATTAAATACCCCTAATTTAATATAGAAGGGACTGAATTTTTGCCTATTATGTGCCCTTAGCATTATGCTTTGTTATTGCATATAATTTAGGTGGAAAAATGCTTCCTTATTATTTATAAAATACTTATTAAAATGCTTAAGTTGTCAAGAGAAATTATATAGTGATGCTTCTGTTTAATAGCTGTGGTTTACTTTTTATGCTGTGCAATTAGCTTGGGATGCATATCTTTTAATCTAATCTTTTTTTTTTTTTTTGCCAGTAGCTAGAGCTACAGAACATAACACAGATTCAGTCTTGCAGTTTTATTATTTTCTTTCACTAGACTTGACAGAGGATTTCAAGGACTCAATTTTCAGGTAGATAAGTAGTTAATGACTAGATGCAGTTGGGTAAACATTATCTAGGATCAACCAAGATGCTTAATCTAAATTATTACAACAGTTGTTTCTGGAATGAGTACAATGTGAGGAAAACACTTTAGTGTTAAAGTGATTCTCTAACCCCTGCCCCCCTCACTGTGGCAGGAGAAAAGAGGATATTAAAGCTTGGTTGATGCTCATTCATGTATTTCAGGGAATATAGGGACTATTTAATAGTATGAATAGAATTTCCGTAGATAAAGATTTCCTTGATCTAGTATGAGGAAGTGAGACCTTGTACCAGCTGTTGATACCAGATATAGAATTTTGGTTGAGTTTTAAGCCCTATTTATACCAGAAAGCTGTAGTTTTAACTTAAGATGACTTAGACAATGAAAACGCTACTGGGAAAGAGATACTAAAATGTTCACAGTTTTGACTGACAGAAAAACTCAGGAGAATTGTAGAACTTTGAAATAAGTCAGATAAATCCTTTCTAGGATGATGGGACAGAGAAATTGTAAAGGTTTAGGATTACCTGTTTACTGCTTAGAAAAAAATAAAAAATACACTTTTACCAAGGCCAGTAAGAACTATTTTCTGGAACAAACGGAAAAAGCTGGATAATGCTACTGACTGAGTTAAGGGGATAAGCCACCCAGTACCCAGGCCTCAGTTTCACCTAACAAGGAGACAGGCCTCGAGCATTGTTAAGAGCCATAGGATTCTATTTTCCAGTGAGAGAGTACCACTTACGTGATAACTTTGCACCTCTGTCCCAAATTCAGCACTCTAGCAAGATGCCAGGAGTTCTCCTTGCAGGTGTGGAGAAAACTTAAGGGTCTGGCAGAGATGTAGATTTAGAAAATTCGTGTACACTTGCTTTGCTGTGAAAAATTCACAGAATTTTTGAAGTTTATAAATTCTATTTAGAAAGAAAAAAAAAAACACCCTTCTCACTGGTTAGGAATTAGGAGATTTCTTCCCTGTGATATTCTTAGTTTACTCTTGGGGTGATTTTTGTTTGTTTACTAGTGCAGGTATTCAGATAGTCATCTAAATCCTACAGGCACACCCTTTGAAGTGCGAAGCTTTTCCTGCAGAACATCTATGGGAGAGGCCCTTAGTAGAATGTTTCAAGGAAAAATATTTCAGATAGTTGTCCATGTTCCTTTCTTAATTTTATTCCTAAAAAATAGCAAGCAAACTTTTTTTTACGTTACTAATTTTTCATTTGTGAATATTTATGAAAAGACTCAGTTGAAGTGTTCCTTTATATTAACCTTTTTTTGTCTGAAGATTTTTATTTATAGCATGAATGAATTCTTGCTTGCTCTGAAAGATTTAAACATTGTAGAAAGCTTCAGAGTAAAAGTAATAGATTAGATTGTGTCCCTCCTCAGAAGATCCTTTGTAAATAATGTCACTTTCTTGCTGTCTTTGAACTTTGTTTATGAAATATAGGTTTTAACTGTGGCGTTTGCCACACCTGTGAACTTTTCTTTATGTCTTCTGAGTTTTGTAAATATACTTGATATTCTTTGTCTCTTTTTCTGGTAGTTTTAAAAATATTTATCTGTCTAGTCTACCTAGGATTTGTTCTTGTGTATGATAGCAGTAGAGCTGCAACTTAATTTGTATGTGGATTTTTACTTTTCCCGGTATAATGTGTCAAACAGTTTGCTCTTTTTGTGCCAGTTTTAAATATCTTTATTGTATCCTAAATATCAATGTATTTGCTTTCTATACTCTCCTGTTCTAGTGATAATAGAATATGTCTATTTTCATAATGCTGTCACTCTGTTTTTGTTACTGTAGCTTTGTACTATATTTGATTTTATGAGGATATTTCCTTTCATTATTCTTATTTTTTAAACTTTTTTTTTTTTTTTTTGGTCATCCTAAAGGTTTTTCTCTTCCAGTTGGACTTTAAGATTAGTTTTCTGAGTTGAGATGCTCGTTGACTTAACGTTGACTTAGTTGACTTTACAAACTGAGGAAGAATTGTTGTCTTACAATATTGAGTCTTCTCATCTGGGAAATGGTAGTTCTCTCCATTATTGTATCTTTTTGGTTTTTTTTAATGTCATGTAGTAAAATTTAAAATAAGATTGGTTTGGCATATATATGGGTAGGTTTATTTCTTAGGAGTTTTTTTTTTCCTTTCCCCTCCTACCCTTCTTTCTATTCCTATTTGCTATTATGAGTAGAATTTTTTTAAATGCCATTTTCTTTTTTTTCTCTTCTCTTCTCTTTTTTTCTTTTCTTTTACAGGGTCTCACTTTGTCATCCAGGCTGGAGTGCAGTGGCACGATCAGGGCTCACCGCAGCCTCAACCTTCTGGGCTTGGGTGATCCTCGCACCTCAGCTTCCTGGGTAGCTGGGACTACAGGTGCACGCCACCATATCTGGCTAATTTTTTGTACTTTTTTTTTTGTAGAGATGGAGTTTTGCCATGTTGTCCAGGCTGGTCTCAAGAGATCCTCCTGCCGCAGCCTCCTACGGTGCTGGAATTACAGGTGTGAGCCACCATGTCCAGCTAAACAAATGCCATTTCCTAAATGGTTCCTGTATCTGACCATTTGTAATCCACTAGACTCTAGGCAGACAGGCATTCCATTTGCAAATATAGAAAGTTTTACTGCTACTGCCTTCTTTTGAGTACTTTATTTTGTTTTTCTGTCTGCATTGGTTAGAGGGTGAAATAAAATATTGAATAGTAATAGCAGGCATCCTTGTCTTCTTCCTGATTTTAATGGGGCACTATGTATAACTCACCATTTGTTTTCTCATTTCCATACATTTCTGAACTTTTCTTTATAAGGAAACATTTTGATAAGAAAGTATCAAATTAACTGTAATCAGGGGAAAATATTTAAGTCATTTTTCATTTTTTTCAAAGGATTTGGCAGTGATATGAGATGTGCCAAGAAATAGATTTTATGATTGATCAAAAACAGATTCTCATATTTGTCTCTCCGTTGAGGAATTCCCCATGTATAGGAGCATGTTAAAACATCTGAAGACTCAGTGCACTACACAGAACCTCTGAGAAACCCTAGGAACACACTTTGAGCAAGGTGGTCTTATTTTTCTTCAAGGAGGATGTGAGCGGGATCAAGGGTTCTCACCAGTGGCAGTGACCCAGGCTGGGGTGGAGTCTTGGGGTATGGAAGTCGTGTTCTCCAGAAGTAGATGGAGCCACCTAAGTGGGCCCTAAGAGCCAGTTGGTAGGGCTGAAATTGAGAAAATCTTCACTAATTGTCAGATCCAGAGGGTCTTTGGAGGCCGCATGGAAACAGTGAATTTAGAGATGTCACGTACCAAATATAAAAGAGGAAGAGAATGACACACAAGATGTGTGATGTGATAGTGCAGGACTCTGGCACTTTTACATGGCAGGGGTCCTTATCTGTGTTACTGAAGAGTGGGCTGGCAGAGTTAAAGCCAAAGGCTTAGAATGTAACCTCAAACCTTGTCACAACTATTCTTTCTTGCTAGTAGATTCAACTACCTGGGAACACTGCAGTGGCGTGATCTCGGCTCACTGCAACCTCCACCTCCACCTCCACCTCCCGGGCTCAAGTGATTCTCCTCCCTCAGCCTCCCGAGTAGCTGGGATTACAGGCACCCGCCACCACACCCGGCTAATTTTTTATTTTTAGTAGAGACGGGGTTTCACTATGTTGGCCAGGCTGGTCTCTAACTCCTGACCTCAAGTGATCCACCCACCTTGGCCTCCCAAAGTGTTGGGATTACAGGCGTGAGCCACTGTGCCCAGCTGGGAACACTTTTATTAGGTAAACTTCAAATTACTGTGTGTGCCTAAAAGCCACAAGCCCTAGTACCTTTAAATGAAAGGTTTTGCGCCAGTGGTTCTTGGAGCCCTGTGTTCTGCAGAGACGCCTCAGTGGACTGCAGGGTTGTACAGCTCCTGATCTCATTGCCTATTTCAGCCAAAGCAGCTCTGCTTTTATGCATCTCTGTTGCTTATTGGACTTCTAAGTGGAATTATATCTGAAGAAAAGACTTTGCTAAAAAATTTGAAAGCTATCATTGTAATTCGTTTTACTAATTTAAATCGTGTTTGTATGGGTGATACTGATCTTGTCTACATAACTGTGGACATTTTGTATCTCAACTCAATTTTGCATTTCTCAAGGAAAATTTTCTGGCAGGAAGGATTTAAAAATGACTTTGTCATCCATCTGATGTAGATATTATAGGATTTCGAATGTGTAGGCATGTGTTTGGGTCAGTTGTGTGCATGTCTTATTTCCTCTAGTAAATGGTGAGCTTCTTAAGGACCTGCTTGTATCTTATTTATTTTGTTTTGCATTCCTGCTCCCACCATTACTCCTGAGCACCTACCACATATGTTCAGGATGTAGTTCCTATAGAAGAAGAAAAATCATTTTCTTCTTCAACCTTCATAGATTCTTAATTGGAACAGACCCCGTTCTTAGTTGGAACAGACCCCCTGTAACAAAAGACAGATTTAACAAGAGAAAAACCAAATTATTGACATGTATATTTTATATATACGTGGAAGATACCCAGGGAATGAGTAGTTCTCAAAGAGAGGTGGCTTTGAATTCTAGCTTATATAGCATCTTCAACAAAGAACAGTAGGTTTTTAGAGAAGTGACAACACTAAGGAAAAGGATTTTGAGCCTCTATGGGCAGCAGGTTGGGGGAAGATAAGTAACTGCAGATAACGGCTAGTTAGCAAAGTTTGTTCACGTAGTTCCCTCTGGTACCATCTCCAGGCAGAGAAGTGAGAAGCATCTAAAGCTGTCTGCGGTGGTTAACCTTTGTTCTCCCTGATAAAAGAGGGGGCAGGATACCTTTCTTCTTTGTAAACACATATCCTGCTTTTAGGCAGATACAGGGAGAGCAGAGAAGCTTTCCTGCATTTGCTTCTTCTTAATTGTCTTCAGCCCAATAATCCTTCATATTTTGGGGTGGCCTATTCTGGTCTCCCACATTCCTGATTCTCTTCAAACCCCTGTGAATGAACATCCACTTTCCCTTCAGCTAGTGATGTCACTGAGAAGGCAGGAGAGGAGAAATTCAGAGGGAGGAGTCCTCCAGCAGCCTGACTTCCCTCTTGACTCTCAGTGTGCAGGCGAGTTGTTAAGAGAGCTCTAAATAGCCTCTTCTGGGGATTGCTGCATTTTACTAGGATCACCGAAAATTGAGGCGGGAGAGCTTGCCAAGAAAACCTCTCCCAGTTCTGCGTGGGCTACAATCTAAGTAACTGAGGCCAGCGGATGTGGACTGAGCCTAGAGGAATTGTGGTAAGGAAGCCTTGTTTCATGGTGGGATTATCAATGTTGTCCCCAATGTTCAGCTACACCCTTCCTACTCTTCATGGCCAAATTGGAGAACTGTCTCTTCTAAGCAGCTTTGTTTGGCTCAGAGTGAGCTGTGCTCTTTATTCTTTAGCCAGACCATGTGCATTATATCACTAGCACTTTCTTGTGCTCGTGCCACCTATTCTGCAACTATCTAATAGAGGGTTTGGTCTTCCACACTAGCTCTGAGGTAGCACTGTTGCCATAGCACCTGACATATACTGAGTGCTTATTTTAGGCAAGGCTCTTTGGTGGCAATGGAAACCCATTCATACCAATTTGGTAAACAAGGAAGTTTCCTGTATGCTTTTGGAAACAAAGGGCCTTGGGGATCACCAGAACTGGGGACTGAGGCACTGAAGGTGCTCTCCTGGGCTCCCACGTACCTGGTCCCTCTTTTGGTGGGGGGGTGTGCTTTATCTTATTATCCAGATGAACTTGCAAGGTCATTATTACCTCCCAGTTTCCAGTAACCTTCTGTGGCTGTCCTAATCTTTGTGACTTCGTAATCTTCCAACCACTGAACTAGAGTTCCACCAAATAGAATGGCTCAGTTACCAGGAAGAATTCCACTGGCCAGAATTGGCCTATTTGACCGAGACCACACCAGTATTAGATCCCTGGCCTGGAAATGGATTAACTGCCATAGGGTCAGGGCTCTACCCCTGCCTAGATGGCTTCGGGAAAGTGGGAAGGTAGGGCAGGTCCCTGGGGACCAAAGGCAGCTCCTTTGGGCTGGGCAGACCACAAAACACATCTCTTACATTATTTAAGTATTTGCTAGAGAAAATGATTCATCCTATTTTCCAATTCTAATACTCCGTGTTTTTTTGTTTGTTTTTTTGAGACAGAGTCACGCTCTGCCACCCAGGCTGGAGTGCGGTGGCGGTATCTTGGCTCACTGCAACCTCCACCTCCCGGGTTCAAGTGATTCTGCTGCCTCAGCCTCCCAAGTGGCAATGACCCAGGCTGGGGTGGAGTCTTGGGGTATGGAAGTCATGTTCTCTAGAAGTAGATGGAGCCACCTAAGTGGGCCCGCCTAGCTGGGATTACAGGCACCCGCCACCATGCCCAGCTAATTTTTGTATTTTTAGTAGAGACAGGGTTTCATCATATTGGCCGGGCTGGTCTCGAACTCTTGACCTCAAGTGATCCGCGCGCCTGGCCTCCCAAAGTGCTGGGATTACAGGCGTGAGCCATCATGCCTGGCCAATACCCCATGTTTTGATGTGAAATTTTTCTGTGCCTCCTGTCTTTGGTTAAGAATTACCAGGCATTCTAAAGTATGTCTTCACCTGTCTGGACGATGCCCCTGCCCTGCTCCTCAGCCCTTCTTTGCAGGGTGGACTCTGCCTGAATTGCATAATGAAGGCTGTCAGAGAGGAGGGCAGCTCTGCAGGTGATGAGACTTGAGGACAGTGTGTCACCCCTTTCCACTCATCGAGTGTGCAGAACTGCAACCGAGGCAGCTGGAGCCAGGAGGCAACGAGGGTGCTGCAGACACAGCCTAAAGAGTGGTGCCCACTTGCGTGGCTCTTTCCAGAGGGAAAAAATGATTTGCCTTTCCATTTGTACAGAATGTCGCTGCTTCCCATTCTTCCTCTACACAGAAGGAAAGGGAAAAGAAATCATTATTCCAAAACAAGACGGAAGAAAGAGAACTAGCCCCATTCAGGAAAGTCAGGTTTCTGGCAGGGCTGTGCCTTGCGACTTCATTAGACCCATGTGTTATTTTGAGTGGCGGGAATAATAGGACTTGCACCTAATCAAGGAAAGGAATTCCAAACAAAAGCTTGGGTGGGGTTTCCTGGGCAGAAGCGTGATATTGTAATAAATGGGAAGCAGGGTTCTACAGTCCAATCTCTGGTCTGATTACACAAATTATAGCAAAGGGCCTGTTTTCAAAGGAATGTAACACACCCCGCCGAGGCCCCTCCTCAGCGGGTGTGTCTTCATTTCCTCAAGCTCCCTCCTTAACAGCTAACGCCTTCGCGAGAGGAGCTGAGGGCCCTATGCGGAATAATTAAGATGCCTTCTTTAGGGTCTCTGCCTTGGGGCCATTTTACAGGTGAGTTTACCTTATGCTGAAGTCCTTTAGGGACTCCTGTGGCTAACTTCTCCGCCCTTCTCTTGCATTACTGAACAGAAAGCTAGTGCAGGAGCCTGACCTTCCAGTCACAATTGCGAACATTTCCAAGCACTAATGAGCCAAGCGCTTTCTATGGAGTTGAGGAAAGTCTGTCTCTCTCTCTTTTTTTTTCCGCAAAAGGTGTATCATCCCTTGCCACTGTGCCTGATCGCCTGCTGCTGTCCTTGGTCTTCAGACCCCACCCTGGCCTCCTTCCCTTTCCGACTCCCTGGGCCCAGCCAGTTGAGCCACTGAGGAATTCTCCCTGCTGCTTCCTCTTGCAGTATCCTGCTCCCTACCCCACTTTTTCTTTCCTTTTTTTCCCATCTTCAGATTTTAACATGCTCTCCTCACGAAAGCTCCCTGTCCTTTTCCTTCCTGGACTGTCCCTGAGTCTGTTAGATCCCTGGAGCACCCTGCGTTCACGTTTTGAGTTGTTATCTCACCTAGTATTAAATGATACCTTTGCTTCTTTTTCCTTTTCAACTTATAAGCTCCTCGAAGTCTAGAACTGTCCATCTTCAAATTCGCGATACCTGGCACATAATAGATACACCCGAATCGTTTGGAGATATTGTCTCTTAAACAAATGATATATTTTGATTTTATTTTTTAACTACAGCCAATTTATGCCCCATAGCAGATGTATTTCTATTATAGCCCTATCTATGTAGTATTAAAGATTTTTTATACCATTTTGGTTTGTTTTTACCCATGTATCTTGCTGCCTTGTCTCTGTTTAACTTTAAGATTCAAGGAGCCCAGTAACTGTGCGGCAAGGCATCGTGGGACAGTTGCCTGACACCTGGCATCCTGGGTTGTGGCCCTCGTCCTTCACTGGGGATGTGTTTGGGTTACTGCAGAATCTGAAGGGCAAGATGAAATCATACAGGTGCTGGTGCCTGTCTCCTCCTTGCCTGTCTGATGCAGCCTCCCTCTGCTCCCTCTTGGCTCTGCCCCTTCTAGCCTTCCTGAACATCTCTCCTCCATTTATTTATTTATTTATTTATTTATTTCCATAGGTTTTTGGGGAACAGGTGGTGTTTGGTTACATGAATAAGTTCTTTAGTGGTGATTTCTGAGATTTTGGTGCACCCATCACCGGAGCAGTATACAGTGAACCCAATTTGTAGTCTTTTATCCCTCACCCACTTCCCACCCTTTCCCCTCAAGTCCCCAGAGTCCATTGTATCATTCTTATGCCTTTGCATCTTTGTAGCTTAGCTCCCACTTACGAGTGAGAATATATGATGTTTGGTTTTCCATTCTTGAGTTGCTTCATTTAGAATAATAGTCTCCAGTTCCATCTAGGTTGCTGCAAATGCCATTCATTCATTCCTTTTTATGGCTGAGTAGTATTCCATCACACACACACACACACACACACACACACACACACACACACACACACACACACACACACACACACCAGTTTCTTTATCCCCTCGTTGATTGATGGGCATTTGGGCTGGTTCCATGTTTTTGCAGTTGCGAATTGTGCTGCTATAAACATGCATGTATAAGTATTTTTTTTGTATAATGACTTATTTTCCTCTGAGTAGATACCCAGTAGTGGGATTGCTGGATCAAATTGTAGTTCTAATTTTAGTTCTTTAGGGAATCTCCATCCTGTTTTCCATGGTGGTTGTACTAGTTTACATTCCCACCAGCAGTGTAGAAGTGCTCCCTGTTCACCGCATCCACACCGACATCTATTATGTTTTTTATTTTTTGATTATGGCTGTTCTTGCAGGAGTAAAGTGGTATTGCATTGTGGTTTTGATTTGCATTTCCCTGATCATTAGTGACGTTGAGCATTTTGTTCATTTTGTTGGCCGTTTGTATACCTTCTTTTGAAAATTGTCTATTCATGTTCTTAGCCCACTTTTTGATGGGCTTATTTGTTTTCTTCTTGTTTATTTGAGTTTGTTGTAGATTCTGGTTTTTAGTCCTTTGTCAGATGTATAGACTGTGAAGATTTTCTCCCACTTGGTGCGTTGTCTGTTTACTCAGGTGACTTCCTTTTGCCCTGCAAAAGCTCTTTAGTTTAATTAAGTCCCACCTGTTTATCTTTGTTTTTATTGCATTTGCTTTTGGGTTCTTGGTCATGAAATCCTTGCCTAAGCCAATGTCTAGAAGGTCTCCCATTCCTGTTTCTAGCACACTTTGCACATGCTGGGCCTTGTCTCTCTCCCGTTGGGCACAGTGACCTGTCATCCTGCGAGGGTTGGCTTCACTGGCTTCCTCTGGGAAGCCTTCTGTGATTCCTTCAGCTTCCTCTGCCCTGCCATGAACTCTATGGGTGAAAGCCCCCAGTGTGCATCACGTTTTATTGTAGTCATTTGTTTATGGGTCTCTTCTCCCACTGGATGGAAGGGGGTGGGGTTCTCAGGAAGGGAGACCTGACCTTACTCCTTTTGGTATTGCCCAGCATATAGCCGAGTGCCAGGCATGCACTAACTACTAGGTGATCCAGTAAGTTATTTGATAAGGGGCATTTTCTTCCTTAAATAATGAGTTTTTAAAAACTTACTGGTGGTGTTTTGAGTTTTAGAATGATTGCACATGTCCTAATATAGTCAAAGTTTGGGGCTCTGCACTGTGCAACTCTGTTTTACACATGAGGGAATGG
Organism: Homo sapiens; assembly: GCF_000001405.40. Lineage (NCBI taxonomy): Eukaryota > Metazoa > Chordata > Mammalia > Primates > Hominidae > Homo > Homo sapiens. Next base: position 62,564,175 of record NC_000015.10, read on the forward strand.
AGACTCAGAATCCTTAGCCACACAGCTTGCAGGAGGCAGGATGGTGCCTCAGCCTCAGGCCTTCAGAGTCTTCCTCTGGTGGGCTTCTCCCCAAGCAAGACAGAGTCCTGGAGACTTCATAAAAGTGTTATGCTGGCAGGAGATTGCTGGTGTGCCCGTGGGGTGGAGGTAGACTGGACTCCAGGGAACAGGAACGGCTTTCAGAATTATCCCTGGTAGAGCTGACCTTTTCACACATTGGTGGCAAGACTCATTTCAATCTGCAAAGTGGGAAGATTTCAGAGAATGAGAAAGGCGAGATGAAGTTCTGTGAGCACTACAGAAGGTTGTGCTGAGGTTAGCTGCACCCCTGGATTGTATACCTTATACATTTTCTTACAGATTTTACTTTTGTGGTGTTTTTCCTGTGTGCATTACTTTTCCTATGCTGTGTAAGATGTTGCATTCCCAGGCCAGGCACAGTGGCTCATGCCTGTAATCCCAGCACTTTGGGAGGTTGAGGCAGGTGGATCACTTGAGGCCAGGAGTTCGAGACCAGCCTGGCCAACATGGCAAAACCCCGTCTTTACTAAAAATACAAAAATTAGCTGGGCATGGTGTCGGGCGCCTGTACTTCCAGCTACTGGGGAAGCTGAGGCAGGAGAATCGCTTGAACCCCGGGAGGTGGAGGTTGAAGTGAGCCGAGATTGCACCACTTCACTCCTGCCTGGGTGACAGAAAAACTCCATCTCAAAAAAAAAAAAAAAAAAAAATATATATATATATATACTGCATTCCCCCCACTGACACACACATACTCAGAAAAGCTTATAAATATCCCATTGTTGCCTGCATAATTCCCCCAGAGGAGGAGAGATGCATGCAGGAGCTGCTAATTTGTGCTTGTCTGCTTGCTAGAGACTCACCAGCAGCAAACCCAGACAAGCTGTTAATAAGTGTTAAACACCCCAGAGTCTGCATGCTGGGTGAAGTCCCAGCCAACACTCAGGAGACAAAAACCTTTCCCTTGAGGTAGCCTGTCTTGATTGCTATGGTGAATAAAGTTCATAAATACCATTTTGAGAAGTATTTACGATATTCTTTTGGTACAGTAAAATTTCATTAGTTTGGGATAATGAAAGTCATCTAACTTAGAAGATATAGGGACAATTTAAAAACATTAAAGTATATACATAATAAATTGCACTAGACTGACAGATGATATTTCTAAAAGAGGTTTCTGAAATATGATCTATGACACAAATTTAAGGCATCATTGCCCAATAGAGGGATTTAGGGGATCTGTGCTAATGGATATTTAAGAGCAGCAATTAACATACCACTTCGTAATTAAGTACTCCTGGATTGCTTAAGGGGCACTGCCTGGCAACAGTTGGACCCTTCAATTCCTTACGTAGCCCAGTGTTCATCTGAATGAACTTAAAACTATTTGACTACCCTTGTTTTGCTAGGCAAACGCTTTAAACTTCCAGTTGTGAGTCTAGGGTTATCTCACATTATGAATTAATGTGGTCTACATGAAGGACATCCATCCTCTTACGTTTCAAATCAGCAAATATTTGAATGTGTGCTATGTGCAGCAGTGTTAGTCAGCTTTCAAATAATAAAATGTATTTCCCGCCCTCAAGAAGTTTGCAGCCCACTGTGTAGGATAGACAGAGAAACTGGCATTTGGCCCTGGCATAGCATTGTCAGGGGCTGGGCTTTGGAGTTGGATGGCTCTACTGTTTACTAGCTGTGTGTGTGTGTGTGTGTGTGTGTGTGTGTTTTACCTCTTAAGCCTCAGTTTCTGCATCTGTAAAATGAGGATCATGATACGTCTTAGGGTTATTGTGAGGAAAAGCAAGGTAACCCATGTAAACTCTCAAGCATAAATGTTTGTTGTTTATCTGGTATGGCTGCTGCTGATGCAGTAAGGAAATGACTGAGATAAAGCATGGCAAATGTTCCATTAGACTAGGTATGCGTTATATCCCTGAGAACACACAGGTGTGAACAGGATAACTCCTGTTGGGGGCTTGGGGTGCGGGCAAGAGAGGCCAGTAGCTGGGGAGAAAGTTAGAAGGCTACAGATGAGCGGGACATCAGTACTTCTCTGTTCGTTCATTTGGCAAACATTTTTGAACATTTTTGGTGTGCCAGAGACTTCACCAGGCACTGGGATTATAGGAGTGACTCAGAACAGATTAAAAACCCTGTTGGAGCCTGCATTCCCAGGGAGAGAGAAGGGAAGTGCACACCCACGTGTGTAAGAACACTGAGGTGAGGGGTATAAGGCGAGTTCTAGGAATGTGGAGTAATTAAATATGGCCAGAAAATAGAGGGATGTGCATGGGGTATAGGGGAACTGGATGACCAGGCTTAGGAGGGAAGTGAGCACATATTTGCGAAGGCCTGATGAGTCTTTCTAAAAAACTCCTGGCAGCATTGAGTAGCCACAGAAACCTTCCTTTTTTTTTTTTTTTTTGAGATAGGGCCTTGCTGTGTTACCCAGGCTGGAGCGCAGTGGCACAAGCACAACTCACTGCAGCCCCAAACTCCTGGACTCAAGAGATGCTCTCACCTCAATCCAGGTCCTCACTGTGTTGCCCGGGCTGGTCTCAAACTCCTGGGCACAGTCTTCCTGCCCCAGCCTTTCAAAGCACTGGGATTATAGGCATGATCTGCTGTGCCCAGCCCACTTTTTTTTTTTAATATATAAATATTTTTATCTGCTGTCATTGTAACCCTTATTTCTTATAGAAAATATATACAGAATTAGAAAGTAAAAGCAAAATACCCATAGCCCCCACCTCTCAGGAAAAAATTTGTATTTTGACCAACTTATTTTCAGGTTCTGCCCCATGGCATTAATTTATTTCTTGAGTCGACATAGTTACGATCATAAGTACAATTTAGTTATCTGTTTTTTTCCCACTTATTATAGAGTGAGCATTTTCTCAAATTCTTGTAAACAGTATTTTACTGGCTAAGTAGTATCCACTCGGGAGTATGAAATATGGTTGACTTAACCAGCTCTTTCTTTCGGATCATTCAGTTGTTTCCAAGACCTTATTAGCATAAAGAATGAATGTTTAGCATCTTGATTTGTGAAAGCATTTCTGCACCTGAGATTATTTCCTAGTGTTAAATCTGCAACATTGTGATTACTAGTTCAAGGCAGTGGACATTTTCAAAGATGTTTGAAGTTTGGAACACATTGTCAGAGTCCTTCCCTAAAAGATTGCACTGACCGAAAAATAGTGTAAAGCTCTCTGTGTCATGAGGCACCTGGAGGCCTGGTGAGGGTGGATTTGAGCAGCAAGATGCTGGTGGGAGTAATATCCAGACAAAGCCTCCCCCAAGGCGATGGCATTGCTGAGAAAGAATGAGGGGACCAGCCAGGAGCTGTGGCTCACGCTTGTAATCCCAGCACTTTGGGAGGCCAAGGCGGGTGGATCACTTGAGGGCAGGAGTTTGAGACCAGTGTGACAAACATAGCAAAACCCCGTGTCTACTAAAACTACAAAAATTACCCGGGCGTGATGGCGCGCGCCTGTAATCCCAGCTACTTGGGGGTGGGGTTGAGGAAGGAGAATTGCTTGTACCTGGGAGGTGGAGGTTGCAGTGAGCCAAGATCATGCTACTGTACTGGAGCCTGGGTGACAGAGTGAAACTCTGTCTTGGGGGAAAAGACAATGAGGGGACCTTGCTTGAATGTGAAATGTGTAGGCTTGTGGCACATCATGAACTTCGGCCAGGCATGCTAAAGATGATGCCTTTTGGTTTAGGACCTCCAGAATTCCCTCTTCCCGTTCCCCCTGTAATCTGTACCTTGTAACCATTTGCTTAAATGTCACTTTCCCCTACTGAGTTGAGTTCTCTGAGCCCACGACCACAGATATTATTAGCATTTTTATGTCCCTAATTATTATTTAATTAAGGTCTATAAAATGGAAGCGGGGTGAAGGGAAAGGGGGCTGGGCATGGAGTGTGGCTTGGGCAAGGAACATGGTCCTTGTCCCAGTGTGGCTGGGGCTGGCAGGGCTGGGCAGCAGGAGGGAGCGGCAGGAGGGGAGGGGACAAACCTCCCTGCCCTGGGCGAGGTAGAGTGGAGCCCGAGCAGGCAGAGGTGGAAGATTTGACTCTCCATCGTGGCCCTGGTTTCACCACTGAGTGATCTGGGGCAAACCATCGCATTCTGTCTATGCTTCATTTTCTTCAGGAGGGTGCCAGCAGCAGCAATCTCTTTAAATGGAACATTGAACGATTATTTTTGGTCTATAGGTAAGAGGTACAATTTAAAGAAAAGGTAGGGAGTGATGAACTCAAACTCAGAAGACTCACAAGTAGTCCTCTTCAGAATGTTGGAAGCACAGTGCGTGGCCCATGGGGAGTGCTCAGTCTGTGTTAGCAACGGAGATGGATAATGACAGCCACTCATCAGAGGGTACCTTTCTCACTGACCAGCTGGGAATAGTGTGTTTCTTTGGGTAGTCTCTGCCCCTTGACAGATGGAAACACCTTCTCTCTTGACCCTGCCCCTGAGCTTGTCCTTTGGAAAACATCCTTGGCCTGGGCTTTTGGGGGTGGGAACACATTCCCCAGCCCTGTCCTCCTGAGCTCTCCTGCAGCTGCTGGAAGAAGCACCTGGAGGATGCCCAGCTGTGTCCTGCCCAGGTCCTTCCAGAATCTCGAGGCTAGATAACCCCAGTGTTAGAGCATGTATGAGCTTCTGAGGGCTGCTGTAACACATGACAACAGCTGGTGGCTTGTAACGACAGGAATCTATTCTCTCCCAGTTCTGGAAGCCAGAAGTCCCAAATCAGGGTGTCTGTCGGGCCATGCTCCCTCCAAAGGCTCTGGGGAGAATCCTTCTCTGCCTCTTTCAGCTGCTGGTGGCTCCATGCCTTCCTCGTCTTGTGTCTGTGTCACGCCGCACTCTGCCTCTGTCTTCATACAGTCTGCCTGTTCTTTGTGTTTTTTCTCTGTCTCTTCTAAGGTCGCTTCTCATTGGATTTAGGACCCACCTGTGTAATCCAGGATGCTCTTCTCTCGATATCCCTAATTACGTCTGCAAATATCATTTTCCAAAATAAGGTCACATTCACAGGTTCCAGGAATTAAGATGTAGGTATATCTTTAGTGGGGGCCACCATTCAACTCCTACAGGCCAGAGGCAGAGGTATGCTCTCATGGGAAGACCAAAGGGTCCCCTCTGGGCACCCAAGTGACAGACATTTGGCCTGACCTGGCTCTAGAGTCTCTCTTCCCTCTTAGGAGAAACTGGGAGATTCAGAAAGTTCCCCGCGGGAGGCAGGGGTTAGCCCGGCATTTGGTGCCCAGGATTGCCTGGGTGCTAGGATGGTCTTCTCAGGCACACTCTGCTACCCAGACTTTCTGGAAGCATGGCACTTTCAGCTCATGCATGAGGTTGGTGCAATCTGGAGTCGGATATCTCTCTTTGCTTCTTGTGTAAGCCGGTGAACTCAGTGGCAGTAATTGTAGCTGTGGTTGGATTTTTGTGGTAAAGGGGAATGGCTGTGGAAAACAGAAGTTGGGTAGCACGTGAGAGAAATGTTGTGATCGTGTAGGATAGGCACGGCTGAATTTCAGTTACCAGAGTAGTTTTATAAACACTCCACATATGTGAATGCAGACAGTTTAATTCAAATGAGAAGCTATGATTTGGTCTTTGTGGAGGTCAGACATGGGTTATATTTCAGGGTTAATAATCAAGCTAAAGTTAATCCCTGGCTTTAAAGCTACAGTTGATGAAGCAGTAATTTTGTGTGAGTTTTCCCTTTCTGCCTTGTTCCGGTCAAGGCTGTGTTCAGTTCTCTGGTGATAACTGTCCTCTCTCTTCCTTCTTCTCTATCTCTCCTTTCCCTTTGCTTTCCCTTATGCCAGCGCTCCTCCTCTTTCCTCTTCTTAAGACTCTTCAGGGCTGTTGAAAATACTAACAAGATTGCCCTGTTGATGTGTATGTGTTTCCAAAGTGGTTTCAAAGTGGCTCCATCCAAAAGTTTAGGAAGTCTTTAGGGATTGGCCTTTCTGGACCACATTCCCCCGCCTCACCCACGGGGAGGGTGCCAGGCGGATCCCTGGCTTGGTTCCAAGTGTGTCAACAGCCTGTTGCTTTCTAGTTCAACAAGAGGGAATAATCTTTGGTAAACATGGCCGTTGGAAAAAAGCAAATATTTGTCTTGGCAGTTGTAGTCATTCAAATATCTAGACCCTCTTGTGTTCCTGAGGGAGCTATGCCAGAAGTCATGGCATCAAATCCCACATCTGGTTAAGAAATACTGGTAAGAATAGATAAATAAAGGATGTTTGGAAGGCAGTGCTCTTTCTCCTTTCTTGTCCGTCTTTCTCTTTCTTTCTTTGTCCCACTCTCTCTCTTTCCCTCCCCTCTCTGAACAAGTCTGAATATTCTCTTTTCCCTAATTTTGGTTGCTTAAGCTAGTGTTTCTCAAGTTTAGCCTGTTGACATTTTGGGCCGGATCATTTTTGTCATATGGTGCTGTTCTGACCATCAGAGGATGTTTAGCAGCTGCCTCGGCCTCTACCCACTATGCCAGTAGCACTCGGCCCCAGTGGTGGATACCAAAAATTTCCCCAGACAACACTGAATGTCTCCTGCATGGGAAAATTGCCCTTGGTTGAGAACCACTGGCTAAGCCAATCTTCTCCAAGGTGGTAAGCGTACTACTGGTGGCATAGTGGAAGAAGCTTCCATGCACAGGCATCTGTGTGTGTGTGTGTGTGTGTGTGTGTGTGTGTGTGTGTGTAGGGAGGAGTGGCAGTTGGGTTCCTTAACCTTCACACTTACTTAAGGATCACTTTCAACCCAGCTGTAGTCAGCCTGGTCATAATGTGGGTCTCACAGCAGTGAAGGCAGCTGGTGATGATCAATCAACATGATTGGCTGTTCACTTTTAGGGCATGTCTTAGCTATCTTCCTTTTCAGGCTTATTGCCATTCCTCCAGTGGTTTTAAAATGTAGATGCCAGTTGCACTGAGGGTGCTCGGGAGATGAGCCTGACACTTGGCACCTTTTGCTTGCGTTATTCCTCAGCCAGGCAGCAAAGCATGACAGGAGTCTATTGCCCATCACTCCTGCGAGTCAGTCCAACTTACTTCATGTCATCTGGGGGGACGGTGCCAAACTGTAATGTCAAGGTGACGTGCTCTTTGGGTGAATATAGTTCCTGGACTTTCTCAAGCATGACTGCACTTTTTACAGCCAGCCAGTCTTGCTTCTTTAGAAAACTTAATAGACTCTATCCCTACGGAACTGTCCGTCTACCCTTAAAACCTTACATATTTTTATCATTTTTTAAAAACATGCTTTCAGAGTTTTGAGCTTGTTGTAGTAATGTCATACTAATACAATTAAGTTAAAAACAAGGTACTTTACCTTCATGTGTTGCCTCCTGTTTGTTTTTAGTTTGTTATTGGGAATTCTAAACATCTGCAGGAGTAGAGGCAATGGTAGGCTCCCATGTACCAGCTTATCTCCAATTTTCAATGCATGACCCATCTTGTTTTTTCTAGAGTCCCCTTTCTCCATTCACTCGATTATTTTGAAATAAATCCTCAACATCACATCATTTCATCTGTACATATTTCAGTATACAACTCTGAAGGGCTTTTTCTTAAACACAATTATAATCCCCCCAAATAAAGGAGCCACCATTACACCTAAACATTCCTCAATATTAAACATTTGTTGTATTTGGTTGATGTATCTGTTACATATCTTGTGGTCTATCCTGTAAGGCCTCTTCATGTAATCAAAATCCTCAAGGGCAGGACAGACCTGGAAGTCATCTTTTGTGCCTTTGTGTCTGATGTGCTGATATGGGAGGGTGCGGAGCCTTGTGCTGGGCACCTGGCAGGAACATCGTAGATACCTGCTTTTCCTCTAATTCCCTGTTATGCTCTTCTTTCCAGGTTCTCTAGCTTGACACTGGGCATAGCACTTTCTTAAGGGCAATGCTCAACTGGTGGGTGTCCTGAATTGCTTGACAGTTCCTCCCCCTGTGCCTGCCCTTGGGAGGGCTGCTGTCATTGTCACCTCCTTTTTTTTTTTATTTTTAAATAAGACAGGGTCTTGCTCTGTTACCCAGGCTGGAGTGCAGTGGCACAATCATGGCTCACTGTAACCTCGACCTCCTGGGAACAAGTGATCCTTCCACCTCAGCCTCCTGAGTAGCTGGGACTACAGCTGTGTGCCACCACACCCAGCTAATTTTTTGTTTTTATTTTTTGTAAAGACAGGTTCTCACTCTGTTGCCCAGGCTGGTCTCGAACTCCAGGGCTCAAGCTATCCTCTCGCCTTGTCCTCCCAAAGTGCTGGGATTACAGGGCAGCCTTTTTTTCCCCCTTAGATGGAGCCTACTCTCCAGATCTACTCTCTGCCAAACTTTTCTATGCCAGTATCTGGCACCAGCCTGAGTTCTGGATGTACGTAAAAATGTACTAATGCTCAAAGCATTGGAGACTAAACTGAGTCCGGATCGATGCTTCCTGACACTTTCTTTGCAAGCTACCTTTGTGGCTTCTGCCTTTCCTTGCTGTTGCCCCTGCAGGCCTCTCTGGAGAGGCTTTGTCCTCTCACACCCCCACTGACCCTGGGTCTGGAGGCAGGATCTGTGGGCACCTGACCCCCTGTTGCATTTTGGAATCCCGCACTCTGTGCTTGTTCGCCACCCCCTCCTGCTGCGCTCTTCCTGTCTTGCCCCCATGGCTCCTCCCAGCCTTGTGCTGTCCTCCCCTGGCCAAGTCCCGGCTTCACCATGGAGCTGGTGCCCTGCTCACGGGCCTTCCCAGTTCCCACACCTCTCTTCTCATAGCTAGTGGCTCCAGTGCCCCTGCAGGCCAACCCGTAACAACTCAGCCCCCAAGCTGACCCTTACCTGTCTGTAAAAGCCTTCCCTTCCAATCAGCATCCGGTGTTTATAACCACATCCTGAGCCAGGTGTGGTTTCCCCAGAAATGCTACCCCCTTGACATGCTCTATCCACCTTGATCACACCCCTCACCGGCTCTTTGACCTCCTCAAAACCTCCCTGCAGAACTCCTCCTTGTCTTCTCACTCTGGCAGCCACCCCTGTCTTCACTTCCTTCTTTACCTGGCTCCACTGAGAGACCTGAGCCCTGGGGAATGCAGGTGTTGTGCCCCCCTCTGCCCTCCCACTGGCCCAGCCCTTGGATGCATCATTAGAGATGGGTGCCAGCTCACATGAGGACCCACTACCTTGGCTCGGCCCTCTTCCTGCATTCATCCTTCTAGGGGCCCCAGTGAGCACACAGGTTCTTCAGGAAAAATGCAGCTCCTTACCCCTCCTCTTCAGCACCTGCTTTTCATAGAGAACCCTCCTTCTATCTTGCATGCATGACAGGGGTCCCGTGGGGCCATGCACCCAGCTTCCCTCCTCTCTCCCTGGCCATGTTCCAGCCTGGGGGTGGAAGAACCTGCCCATTTCCCATCTCTTCCAGAGTCTCCTTCCCCCAGGAACCCCCTTCCCTCCCTAGTGCATGGTTTCTGCTGTCCCTTTTGCTCCTTCCCTTCAGTCTACAAGTTGCCCAAATCCCTGAATTTCTTTCTTCCTTTTTCTTTTTTTTTTTTTTAAAACAACAGAAGGAGCCCTCCCCAGAACACTGAGAGGGATGCATTATTATTCCTTTCTATGGATGGGGACACAGTGGCTTAGTGGGGAAATAGCTACCCAAGCTCACAACTATCTGATGAAAGTTGGAGGCAGGTTGGGAGCTCAGCCGCCTGACTCCCTGCACATGCCTTCAACTTTGAGTCAAAGGCGGGGAAAAGATGCAGCCCTTCCTGGGTGTCCCATCTTTGGTGCAGGGTTAAGGAAGGAGCCTTGGGACCAAATGAAGTGACTGCCAGTGCAAGTCATCTGAGGCTTTAAGCTGCTTAACTCTCAACTCCTCGGTATTTTAGGTACCATCTGTCTTCCCATCTCAATTATGAATTCTCCAGGGACTGTCACTTCATTTTTTTTTTTGTCTCTTAGGATGCTTTGTGCATAGCTGATGCTTAGTAATGGGCTCTTATTCATCTAGAAATTTTTTTTGCCTTTAACTTCAACCTGGAAGGCTTTTAAAAAACATGATTAGCCAGGCGCGGTGGCTCAGCCTGTAATTCCAGTGCTTTGGGAGGCTGAGGTGAGAGGATCACATGTGGCCAGGAGTTTAAGACCAGCCCAAGCAACATAGCTAGACCCCGCCTCTTCAAAAATAAGGATGAAAAATTTAGCCAGGCATGGTGGTACATGCTTGTAGCTCCAGGTACTCAGGAGACTAAGGTGGGAGGAGTGTTTGAGCCCAGGTGTTTGTGGTTACAGTGAGCTATATCGCACCACTGAACTCCAGCCTGGGCAACAGGATGAGACCCTGTCTCAAAAAAAAAAAAAAAAAAAAAAAAAAAAAAAAAAAAAAAAGACTATTTCCTTTTGTGTGTGTAATGAGTATAATGAATACTTGATGTTTTTGCTTACTGAGGTATGATCATTCCAGACTTGAACTTTAGTTTGCATAAATTTTTCTATTTCTGAAATCAGGACCCATCAACACTGTATTATATGTCACAGTGTGGTTTATAATTCATGGCATTTTATAATTGAAGAAATTTGGCATTTTAGTTGTAGATATAAAAATATAAGTGTTACAGATCCTAATCCTAGCTTTTTTCTGTCTAAAAATACAGAGTCTCAGCTCACTTTCTCTGTTTATCTTGCCACTCCCTACCTCCTACAAATGTAGAGGGAGATTGCCAAAAAAAATGGAGATTCTGGTGGGTTGACTTAGATGAGTGCTTCTGAAATCATCTGAAAGTTTATTATCTGTTTCAGGGCTGGGCGCAGTGGCTCATGCCTGTAATTCTAACACTTTGGGAGGCTGAGGTGGGCAGATAGCTTGAGCCCAGGAGTTCAAGACCAGTCTGGGCAACATGATGAAACCTCATCTCCACCAAAAATTTAAAAATTGGTCCAGAATGGTGGCATGTGCCAGTAGTCCCAGCTACTTGGGAGGCTGAGGTGAGAGGTGGGAGGATCGCTTGAGCCTTGGAGGTTGAGCCTGTAGTGAGCCGAGATTGTGCCATAGCACTCCAGCGTGAGTGACAGAGCAAGACCCTATCTCCAAAAACAAACAAACAAAAAAATTATTTTCAGGCTGATAAACTTTTGCAAATTCAATAAAAATGAAATATTTGAAAAAATAAAATACAGGCACGTTTTAAAAAATCAGAATCAGTGTAAATCACTTTGTCCAATTGCTATATAGAATTTTCTAAGTGTTTACTCTCAATTTCTGTACTTACTGTGGACCAGTTACAAACTGGTGAAGGCAGACCACCTCTTGGTAGTGTGAGCTAAATAATGGAGGTTTTACTTAATTCATCAATTTCCATGGAATCACTTAAAAAACACACACACACACACACATACACACACACAGAAAAATTAGTCCAACTTCTTCTCAGAAGACCATTCAGAAAACACTGCTTGGAAGCACACTAAAGTCCACTGCCCTGCAGAGGTCAGGCCTGAAGGTTTGTGTGACTTAGATTTATCAGTGTTCAAGCTATAGTTTAATTCCATGTTCGTTACTTCATCCACGGAAAACCAGTGGAAAGCAAGTGAGTGGCTATTCTCCAGGTGTATGGAAAATGCCCAGCCCTCCCTGCCTTGCGGTAGAATCATGGATTTGAATATTTTCCCAACTGTGTAGAGTGAAATTTCAGTATTCCAAGTCATAAGTCAGATGTAATTTTGTCTTATTCTGTTTATTTGTGAGGTTAAAAATAGGAATTGGGAACTGCTTTTTAAAATAGCAATAGAGTGTTTTGACTCTTGGTCTGCAGGGGTCTGTGGGGTGATTATGTGATATTTTATGTTCTAAGGTAGTGGTGATTGTCTTACTAGAACATGTAAATATTTAAATCTTAGAATTGGCAGGGCATATTCAAGGAAGTATACAAAACAATTCAAAAACGAAGTCTGAGTTAATTTTTTTGTTTTAAAGTTGTGCTCGAGATCACGCCATTGCACTCCAGCCTGGGTGAAAGAGTGAGACCCCGTCTCAAAAAAAAAAAAATAAATAAAAATAAAAATAAAGCTGTATTCAAATAATATCATTTATGGGGAGATGATATGTAACATGTTTATGCATTTGTGAAAAGGAATTAGACTCTAGAGGAGCACTGTCTACTTTGAGGGGATAGCAGTGGACCCTCAGGGGTTGCACCCTCCCCAAAGGCACCTGCCAACCTCATAGGTTATTTTTTAGCAGGTGAGTTGTATGGGGTAGACTGGCCATCTCATCCAAGGGGCAGGGAGGGAGCGCGAGAATTGCTGATACTTGCCCCATAAGTACAGAGACCCACAGAGAGACATGAGTAAGACATTGCTCTGTATTTTTTTTTTTTTTTTTTTTTGCATTTTAAGAGACTGGAGGGGAAAAAAAGATAATGGAATGATTCCCCCCCCCGCCCCCCACATAAAAGAGTAATATGGAGGAAATTTGTTCCTCGAGAAGACTTTGCTGTTTGAATATATATATATTTATTCATTCTATTTTTGACAAAGAGCAAGTACGAGCTAAGTTACTCTGTCTAGAGGAGCTGATTCTGGAAATCCGAGGGAAACACTGAGAACATAAATAGGGAAGTAGAAAGTCCTTGCTGTCCCGTGAGAGCAGGGGCTCATGTAGGCGAGTGGAGTAGGATTCCTTATGTCCTGGTTTTAGCCCCAGGGAGTGAGGTCTGGGAGGGCAGGTGTCCTGCCCATGGTCACCTGGCCAGCTGTGTGCCACCAGGAATCAACTAAGGCCTGCTGTGTCTTTCCTGGGTCACCTTTATCTTACTGTGTGCAACAGGGATCAGATAGAGTATGATGGCTGTAACTTTATTTAATGAGTAGAGAATTTGTTTTCTTAGGGAAAACAGCTTTGTTATGCTTCTTATTGTTGAAAATACTACTTTGCCGGGCGCGGTGGCTCACGCCTGTAATCCCAGCCCTTTGGGAGGCTGAGGCGGGCGGATCACCTGAGGTCGGGCATTCGAGACCAGCCTGACCAACATGGAGAAACCCCATCTCTACTAAAAATACAAAATTAGCCGGGTGTGGTGGCGCATGCCTTTAATCCCAGCTACTTTGGGAGGCTGAGGCAGGTGAATCACTTGAACCTGGGAGGCGGAGGTTGTGGTGAGCCGAGATCGCGTCATTGCACTCCAGCCTGGGCAATAAGAGCAAAACTCCATCTCAAAAACAAAACAAAACAACAAACAAAAACAAAAAACACAAACAAAAGAACTACTTCATAAAATTCTTATATTTGAATCTGATATATGATACTTGCTTCAATATAATCTCCAGTGATTTCTGGGAAGGAATTAAATGGGGGCCTAGGATGAAATAATTTTGGCCGTGAGTTAGTAATTGTTGAAGCTGAGTGATGAGTACATAGGGGTTCATGATGATGTTTTCTTTGTTTTGTATATATTTAACTTATAAAAATTTTTTTTTAATATACTTTAAGCTCTAGGGTACATGTGCACACCGTGCAGATTTGTTACATAGGTATACATGTGCCATGTTGGTTTGCTGCACCCATCAACTCGTCATTTACATTAGGTATTTCTCCTAATGCTATCCCTCCCCCAGCCTCCTACTACCTAACAGGCCCCATTGTGTGATGTTCCCTGTCCTGTGTCCATGTGTTCTCATTGTTCAACTCCCACCTATGAGTGAGAACATGCAGTGTTTGGTTTTCTGTCCTTGTGATAGTTTGCTGAGAATGATGGTTTCCAGCTTCATCCATGTCCCTATAAAGGACATGAACTCATCCTTTTTTATGGCTGCATAGTATTCCATGGTGTATATGTGCCGTATTTTCTTAATCCAGTCTATCACTGATGGACATTTGGGTTGGTTCCAAGTCTTTGCTATTGTGAATAGTGCCACAATAAACATTGTATGTATTTAACTTTTTTAAAAGAAAGTTTTAAACATGTATATGGTACATGACGTGGTAAATAAGTTACAAAATCTCATCACCCAACAAGAACCAGAACCACCAGGAACTGGAAAACATTGTTTAATACCATTGTGCATGGTGTCTCACGCCTGTAATCTCAGCACTTTGGAAGGCTGAGGTGGGCACATCACCTGAGGTCAGGAGTTCGAGACCAGCCTGGCCAACATGGTGAAACCCCGTCTCTACTAAAAATACAAAAATTAACCAGGTGTGGTGGTGCATGACTGTAATCCCAGCTTCTCGGGAGGCTGAGGCAGGAGAATCACTTGAACCCGGGAGGTGGAGGTTGCAGTGAGTGAGATTGCGCCACTGCACCCCAGCCTGGGTGACAGAACAAGACTCCGTCTCAAAACAAACAAACAAAAACCCCCATCTCCTGCATATTCCACTTCATGAAAATGCTTTAAAGAAATACAGGAAAGGTGTGAATCCCCATCCTGCTCACAGAGATTTTATTCCAGGTAGAGAGCTGAGAGGCCGCATGTGGGGAGGGGGGTAAAGTCCACATTTATTGCAGGTGTGCTGTGCTCGTGTGTCCCTCGCATCAGCTCGTGAGGGAGGCCCTGGCATCGGCCTTTTACAGGGGAGCAGAGTGAGGCATGGAGGACTTAGTCAGGGAGCAAGGATGCCCCTGGCCTTGGGTGACCTGGTGCCAGGCTTGGTGCTGGGTGCTTGAATATTCCTTCTCTGTGTAGTCTTAGCACCCTATGTTGTGGACTGGTGTTAGAAAGAATACAACATGATAGAATGAGTTGCCATTTTATGCAGAGAAACCTACAAAACCCATGAAAATTTAGAGAAATGCAAGAGTAGGAGGAACCACAGGGGAAAGAGCATCTTAGAAAATGGGGGCCTTGGGTTGACAGGAGGAGGGAAACAAGGCTGAGGAGAATTAATTTTCACAATATACTGAGAAGAGGAAGTACAGTTTGTTAGAAGGTGTTTTGGTTTTGCATGAAAGGTGCCATAGCGAATATGCAAAAAAATCACTGGCCATGTGAGGAAAGAGAAGAGGAATTTAGCTTTTGGAGAAATACATCAGGTGGCAATTTTATGAAAACCAGCCTTCACATGGTAAGAGAGAGCAGCATAGAAAAATCACTTGGGAAAGATGAATTTTGAGGGTTACAATAACTGCTAATCAGGGCCAAGTGGTGACAGGTTCTTATTTATGGAAAGTGAGTATTCCTGATTTCCGCATTATGTATACCTGAGTATCTAATTCGGTCTTGATTAGCAGAATCCTCTCAAATGACCTCGTGTTCTTGTTTGTGATACTTATCTTAGGTTGCTGGGGGCTGAGAAGACTCACAGTACACTTTGATTGTTTCTTCCTGTTGCATTTATGCTGTGGTGTGTTGGCTCACGGCATCAGGCAGCCAGGCTTTGCAGGCTGGAGGATGGAGCCAGTGTGAGTATTCATAGGAACGTGTCCCCTGAAGAGGATGCCCCTCCTTCTCCTAGCTACAGACCCGAGATACTTCATTACAGATGACAGAGTTTCCACTGGCAAGGAAACTCAGGTGAGATTCACCACTTGAGGAAGTCACATTCTCTCTCTGCATGTCCTTCAGCTGGATTGTGTCACTGTAGAAGCAGTTGCTGAGGTTACGAGCATGTAGGAATAGTCCTCGAGCTAATGGTCAGGGTGGCAGTGAGAATAAAAATGGAGGAGCATGCACCTTCCCAGGGTCAGTTCTAGCAGCGTGGAGCCTTGTGTGTGCAGCACCTGTTCAACCCGAGTGCTCTGATACAGTCAAAGGATCTCTACCTGGCCAGGAGGATCCCAGATCCTCCATCGCTGCTTCCCCAGGCCAAGCCAACATGTGTCACTCTACACCTCTCCCAGGCCCTGGCCTGCAGTGGGGAGATCTCCCACAGGGAGTTCCTTGGCTTCAGTGCCTGGGTGGCATCTGCAGCACCACACCTCTTTCTCTCTGTATTTTAAAAAATATTTTGTTTATTTTTAACAGGTTTTATTTCTTCGGAGCAGTTTTGGGTTTACAACAAAATTGAGTGGGAAGTACAGAGAGTTCCTTTATATCTACTGTACCCATAGCTTCCCCATTACCAACATCCCATGCTAGGGTGGTACATTTGTTATAGTTGATGAACCTATATTGACAAATCATTACCACCTAAAGACCATAGTTTACCTTAGAGTTTCTCTCTTCTCCCCTCTCTACCTCCCTCCCTCCCTCCCTCCCTTCCTTCCCATTGTCTTGCTCTGTTGCTCAGGCTGGAGTACAGTGGCGAGATCTAGGCACAGTGCAGCCTTGACCTCCCAGGCTCAGGCAATCCTCCTACCTCAGCCTCGCGAGTAGCCGGTACTATAGGCGCATACCACCACACCCAGCTAATTTTTGTATTTTTTGTAGAGATGGGGTTTTGCCATGTTGCCCAGGCTAGTCTCTAACTCCTGAGTTCAAGTGATCTACCTATCTTCGCCTCCCAAAGTGCTGGGATTATAGGCATGCACCACTGCACCTGGCTAGGGTTTATTCTTGGTGTTGCACGTTCTTTTGATTTGGAAAAATGTAGAATGATACACATCCACCTTTATAGTATCATGCAAAGTAGTTTCACTGCCCAAAAAATCCTCAGTGCTGCTTATTTTTTCCTGCCTTCGCCCCGCCCCCTGACCCCTGGCAACCACTGATTTTTTTTTTTTTTTTTTCTTTTTGAGACAGAGTTTCGGTCTTGTTGCCTAGGCTGGAGTGCAATGACAGGATCTCGGCTCTCAGCAACTTCCGCCTCCCAGGTCCAAGTGATTCTCCTGCCTCAGCTTCCCAGGTAGCTGGGATTACAGGCGCCCACCACCATGCCCGGCTAATTTTTGTATATTTAGTAGAGATGGGGTTTCACCATGTTGGCCCGGATGGTCTCCTAACACCTCAAGTGATCCGCCTGCCTTGGCCTCCTAAAGTGCCATGATTACAGGTGTGAGACACCGCGCCCGGCCCAACCAGTGATCTTTTTACTGTCTCCCTAGTGTTGCCTCTTCCAGAATGTCATCGAGTTGGAATTGTATAGTATGTAGCCTTTTCAGATTGGCTTCTTCTGTTAGTAATGTGGATTTAATTTCCTCCATGTCTTTTCATGACTTGATAGCGCTTTTCTTTTTAGCACTGAATAGTATTCTATTGTGTACATGTACCTTCTTGCTCTTTTTACTGGAACCTCTCATTCTGTTTTCCCAAAAGAAAAACTCAAGTAGTTGATGAATAACACTTACCTATGGTGTTCATCAGGTTCTACTGTTGGTATTCTTTGTGGCTTTGTGCTCTTTTAAAGGGTCCAAGTTGGAATGAAAGAGAATAAGAGCACGTTTGTGCTCTTAGGGTTCAGGGATGAGGGAATAGTGTACAGAGGGGAATCTTTTTGTTTCATTCTCCAATTGTTATACCGTGAAAGCCTTTGTTTGCTTTGGAGGTGGGAAGGAAGGCATAAATGTAAAATAGTGTATTTCCCTAGTTGACAACAGACCAAAGAGTCGAGAAGTTTATTCACAGACCCCAGGTTTGTAGCAAAAGAGTGAATAGTGGGCCGGGTGCGGTGGCTCACACCTGTAATCCCAGCACTTTGGGAGGCCGAGGCAGGCAGATCACCTGAGATTAGGAGTTCCAGACCAGCCTGGTCAACATGGCAAAACCCTGTCTCTACTAAAAATACAAAAATTAGCCGGGCGTAGTGGTATGAGTCTGTAGTCCCAGCTACCCAGGAGGCTGAGGCAGGAGAATCGTTTGAACCTGGGAGGTGGAGTTTGCAGTGAGCCAAGATTGTGCCGCTGCACTCCAGCCTGGGCAAGAAGAGTGAAACTCTGTCTAGAAAAAAAAAAAAGAAAAAGAAAAACATGTGAATGGTGGACTAATCACTGGGACTGAGAGAGGAAAACGAGGGCTTAAGCTGGTACCTTGAAGTCCCAGGGAGAATGATCATAGAATCAGCCAGCCATAACTTCAGTGCATGTGTATGCATACACACACACACACACACACACACACACACACACACACACACACACACACACATTCATGCCTGACCCATTCCTGACCCTGCTGCTGTACCCCAGTTTTTTGGGGCCCCCTGTGTCTGCCCCAGTTTCTTGGAGTCACTATTTTTCAGTCATTCATTGAGCACTTAATGTGTATAAGAAACTGCTCTGAGCTGAGGATAAAAATATGGGAGAAGCCATAGTTCTTGCCCTGTAAGAGCTCACAGTCTGTGGCGAAATACAGACATGTAAATAGATTATTTCAACAAACTTTTGTAAGTACAGAAATTGAGATGTGGTCAATGAAGTCTCCTTGGAGCAGGTGGAACTTGATGGACAGCTAGATTGAATGGGGGTGTGGGGACGGCATTGTAGACATGTAAGAGTGGGCATCAAAGCCCTCTTAGGGGAAAACAGCTCAGAGGGCAGGGGACATAAGGTGCACTGGCTTAGTGGTGGTAGAGCACAGACTCCCAGGGCACGCCAGGCAGGAGGTGAGGAAGTGGGTATCTGCAGCCCAGGAACTTGGCCTTGAGTTTGTAGGGACTGGTCCCAGTGACTGTGTTACCTGATTTAACCTGTTGGAGGGAAGCTGGCAAGCAGGTGGGCCTGGGAAGGCTGCCACGGTAGATCAGAGTGTAGCCCAACCAGAAGTTGAGGATTGCCAGTAGGAAAACCCTGGCCATTAACTGCTTTGTATAAGGAATTGAGGGTGGGGAAGGGTTTAGTTAATTTAATTTGCTGAATGACCAAGGAAGAGTTAGACACTTTATCCCTGCTCTTTCCTCCATTGCCTCCTTAAAAAAAAGGAAAACAAAAATTGTTTCAAATTTTTCTAAAATGCATTGCCAGATTTTGTTATAATGGAGTTTAGCAAAAACATTTAAGTTTGTAATTGTCCATTTGAAGGTGTTGTAACATCTCAGGGTTATTTTAAACATTATGTTCAGAATATTAAGTGTAATTTAATAGTATAGGATATTTCTTGATACCCATATTCCATGGCCAGTTGCTTTTTTCAGGAAATCAGTGTTAAAAGCTTATTTTTGTAGAGTTGCCTTTTTCTGAAAAATGAATGCATTTCTTTTTCCTTCCCCCAAAGGAGACCCTCTGTGTTGGTCTGACTAATTGAAATTCCTAGGCATTTGAATGTTAGTTAATTAGACTTCTATTGAAAACAATTGGCTGTAATAATGTACTGAATATCATAGTTGGTCTAGAGACAAAAAGTTTCTTCTAACCCAGAAGTCATAAAGAGAAATACTCTTTTCTCCTCTCGCCCTTCTTTTTTTGTTTTTTTTTGGATTACAAAAGATGGGAGACTATGCTGAGAAAAAAATGGGGGAGAAAACTTCTTTCAGAAAAGAGAAATAAAAATTGATTTTATTGTGAACATTTCAAAGTCAATTTAAAATATAAAAGTGTATAAAGTATATTTTGGCCAGTTCATAAAATGAGGTAGTAGTAGTATGTTTAAGAACAGCTTATTTATTCATTCTTAGATTCATGTAGTCAAATTGTTCAAGGGCTGGGGATATGGCTTTGTACCAAGTAGAGTTCCTGTTCTCATGGAGTTTGCATTCTAGTTACACCTATTACTAATTGATTTTTATCATAACTGTTTTTAAAATTTTAAGAGAGGAGGGTCAGTGAATTAGTGAACAATAAAGAATTCATGGCATCTCTGTTTTTTTTGGTTGTGAAAAGCTCATAAAGACAGTGTGAATTAAAGCAGTGCAATGTGATCTCTTTTCTTGCCCTCCTAGTAAGCATATATTTTACACTACTTTGCATTGATATTGTTGGCACCATTACCTGATCACTTATATGAATTGTGCTTCATCATTTAATTGTGAATGTAGTGGTACAAAATGAGCTTTCAACAATTATTTACATAAAAGAACTAATTATAACATTATTTTTCAAAGTATTGCGTGGGACACTGGTCCCAAGACATAGACCACAAAAATAAAGGAACTCTGTGCACACATAAGGTTAGAGCTACTTACTCATAATCAACATGAGCAAGTGAAAGCATCCAAAATATTCTGCATTGGAGAAACTCCTTAATTTTGTTTAAACCAGCTTTTGCCCCCTTTATACTGAGAATCTTTTTTGCATGTAACACTTTTTACCTCCTAGTTTGCTGGAATGCTGTTTTTAGAGCAATACAAAAGGATTTCTGGGGCTTTTCTACTAGGACTCTTTTCTCTTTGTCCTGCAAAAAGGCAACGTAGCATATTGTCATCTCTGAGGTCCTTGGGTGTTGACGCTGTCTACTTGCTCTTCATTGAGTTTCCTTTGACCCTGGCCCAACCCCCAGCCTCTAGCTGGAAAGTCAGTGCAGGGAAGCCATGAGCAGAGAACTGGGCATCTCCCCTTGGAGTCTCATATCTTCTGACCTAGCAGAGCTGGACTCTAATCATTGGGCTACACTTCAAATTATAGCATTCCCAAGACTTCAGCAAAAACAAGTAAGTCCTTGGCAAGTGGTGGAAGTTGGGACATTTTGTTTTCAAAATTGTTCCTCGGCTTCTCCCATGTCTGTGTACGGCTGCCAAAGAACTTTTGGTTTATTCGTTTGCTTCTTGGATTTTATGATTTTGAATAATTAGTAGTAAATGTGTCAAAAATTAGTGATCACTTCAAGCCAAGAGTAATGCTAGTTCATCCTCAGCTAATCCTATTGGATTTTCTCTGCTTTACCTGGTCTTAGGTTATAAAAGCTTTTTTTTAACTTAAGAGAGCAAAACACTTGGGCTGGGGCCCATATGAGCCCATATTCTGATTTTTACACACATGCAGTTGATGTCAGGGCAAAGCCTGAGTGTGGTGTCACACTGTTCCCTGCCTTTTAATGGAATTTGATGACAAATGGGTTCTTGGCTGCATGGGATCTAAAGCACATAGTGAGGGTTCAGCTGCATACATCCTGCACACTCCAGATCCCCTTCAACTTACACCCACATTCCTGTGGGGATTACGCCAAGTAAAACGAGGAAAACCAGTCTATAAAACTCTCATGGTGAAAAACTGCCAGGTATGGTCTCCATCAGATTACTTAATGGGTGTCTTTTTTCTTTAATGCTGTTGAGATGATAATATTAGGTGTATCATTTACCAAATACTTATTGGATTCCAGACACCATGCTAAAAACTTCACGTATGCTCTCTCATTTCATCCTCACAACAGTCAAAATAGCTAAGTATGAGTATGATCATTTCTGCTCTTACGATGAGCAACCATGTACTCCGAGAGGTGTACTTAAGCTTCCCTGAGCAAGTAGGAAGGGGTTGGGGATGCAGGAGCAGAGTTAAGGCCTGCATTAATGTCCTGCTGTTGGTGACAGGCATTTTAGGTGTAGCTTTTGCTGATTTTTGTTCACATCTTTCTGTGCTTCTCGGAATACTCCAGAAAAGGCGCATCATGGGAGCTGCTAAATGATTTATTGTATGTTACTCTGGAGAAGGCTACTTTAAAGCAAGTTTACTTTAAATAGCAAGCTCCTGGTCCCTTTGAAATAAGCTCCTATTTGCTTGGATAGATCTTATCCATATTCATAATAGGCATTTTAAACAGGTAGGTGTGTTTCCATTGGAGACATGTTCTGTCTCAGCGTTCTCTAGGGACCTTGTTATGATCAGGCAATGAATGAGTTTCTAGCATGAGCTGTTTCCATCATGGCACCCCCTGAGCTGGAGCGCAAGGGAGCTCAGTGACTATTGAGCATTGCTGATTGCATCAGACATATTATCTCCTTTAACCTCACAGCTGCCCTTGGCATTATTACAGAAGAGGAAACTGAGGCACAGAGAGGTTAAGGCATACCAAGCCGGATGACTAGTAAATGATCCAACCAGGATTGGACACCTTTCTCTTAACTGCTGTGCTGTTGCTTTCCCTAAATGCAACGTTTTGTCTCTTAAATCCCGATGCATCTCCGTCGCAAATGTGGACTTGTTTCGCACTAAAGGGGGTCAGAACAGAGAGGCCAGCAATTCACACTGGGTGGCCCATGTGTTGTGGGAAGGGGTGTGTTGTACTTTGGAGTCGCAGATGCTTAATCTAAGTTAAGTCTCATGATTGCTCATCTCTGAAATTGGAGAGTGGTTCTTGTCCTTTGTCTAACTTCTAGGGAAATTTTGTAGGGAAGAAGGAGCTGCCAGCAGATGAAGGGGGTTAATTAGATTTGTACTTTATATCCAACATATCTATAAAAAGATTTGTGCATCTACAAGGAATTATGACTTTTTAGCCAAGTTTATAATTATGCCGTTATGAAGATACATGTATTACATGGGACTCCTAAACTTTTACAAATAAAGCAAAATGAGAACAATAAATTTGTTTGCTAGAGATAAAGTTAACGTTATGGGCCCATTATGGGGATACATTTCTGTATTTTATAATCTCCATAGAAAACATTATTTCATATATAAATATAACCCAATAAAAATAAATCTGTGAAGTGGTTACACATGTTATAATGGAAAGTATTTTAACCACAAGAAATGGCCCATCTGTACAATTATGTCTCCTTTGTTTTTATTCTTCTTCAGAAAATCTCTTCATCAATTCCCTTGTTAGTCAGGAATGAATCTACCTGTCTCTTGAAATAGATTTTTGCCTATTTTCATAGCGGCTTTGAGCTTCTTCAGTTACTTTAGCTGTAGTACATAAACATTAGTTGAAATTGTGTGGTAAATCTTCATTCTTATGACTACAGGATTATTGTGTTTTCAAATGGTATGGGATGATTGAGAAGATAGATGGAAAAGAGAAAGATAGATGGGATTCCATTGGTCACAGTAACACACTCACTCTAGCCAGCATAAGTGAAAAGGGAGACTTATAAGAAGGTTATAGAGTATCTTAGGGACCCAAAGGCAGGGGTGACATGACCCTCGGAAATGAATGGCAGCTGATTTGAGGAAGGTAACTCCCTACTCAGTGTTCACTAAGAGCACATGTGTGCACGAATGTCAGTAAAGTCAGGGAGGAAAAATTGTGACAGAGAAGGAGAGTGGACATTGATATCGTGTATTCCTTAACTTCAACACGAGATTTTAAAAGTTAAGTAGCTCCATTGTATTCTTTAGAAAAATAATGATTGCTCATTTTATGAAATTTAAACAGTATAAGAAGTAAAAATCATCTAACATTTTGATAACCAGAATCATAACTATTTTGATAAACATCCTTCTAGACATCTCTCTGGACATCCAAGAATACACACACACAAATGAATCATACTGCATATGGTCATTTACCTATTTTATTCACTCAGAAGTATATAATGGATATCTTTTCATATCAATAAATATAGACCTCCAACATTGTTTTCAATGTCTATGTGGTTTACTCAACATGTCTCATATCTGTGGGCCTTTAGGGGCATTTATCCTCCTCCTTTCATAATTATAAACAATGCCATGTGTATCCATCTCCCTGCTTCCATAATTATCTACCTTGAGTGAATTCTTAGAAGTAGGATTGCTGAATCAAAGGGCATGCCATCTTATATGCTGACATAATCTCCCAGGTGGCTACAGAATGACGTTTCCAATTTATATTCCGTTCATGAAAGTGCCTATAACATTGGTTATTTATTGTCAGTCTTTGTCATCTTTACCAATCTGATAGGTACAAATAAGGTCTCCACTTTCTAAAATTACTTTTTTTTTTGGAGACGGAGTCTCACTCTGCAGTCCAGGCTGGAGTGTAGTGGCGTGATCTCGGCTCACTGCAAGCTCCGCCTCCCGGGTTCACACTATTCTCCTGCCTCAGCCCCCACAGTAGCTGGGACTACAGGCGCCCACCACCACCCCTGGCTAATTTTTCGTATTTTTAGTAGAGACAGGGTTTCACCGTGTTAGCCAGGATGGTCTCGATATCCTGACCTCGTGATCTGCCCGCCTTCGCCTCCCAAAGTGCTGGGATTACAGGCGTGAGCCACCGCACCCGGCCTAAAATTACATATTTTTATTGTTAGTATAGTTGCTATCTTTTCATATGTTTCTTGCTGTTATATTTTTTAAGACATGAAAAATTTGTTAATTTGCTTTATCCATTTTGAAGGGAATATTAATTTTCTTGTTTATTTTTAAGACTGTTTTAGTCTGTTTTTGTTACTATAAAGAAATAAGGGCGCAGCGGCTCACACGTGTAATCCCAGCACTTTGGGAGAACCAGGTGGATGGATCACCTGAGGTCAGGAGTTCGAGACCAGCCTGGCCAACGTAGTAAAACCCCGTCTCTACTAAAAATACAAAAATTAGCTGGGTGTGGTGATGGGCACCTTCCTAGCTACACAGGAGGCTGAAGCAGGAGAGTTGCTTGGACCCGGAAGGCGGAGATAACAGTGAGCCGAGATGGCACCATTGCACTCCAGCCTGGGCAACAAGAGTGAGACTCCATCTTAAAAAAAAATACATATATATATACATTTTTTTCATATATATATATATATATATATATATATATATATATATATATGAAATATACATATGAAGGCCTTTTTAAGAATGACACCAAAATATGCAACTATAAAGGACTGAGACATGTAGCTAGTAACAATTTTTTTAATCTAAAATTTTTGAATGGCAAAAATAGAGCAGAAATTTTAAAAACAATGATACTTTTGTCAAAAAATAAAATAACAAACTAGCAAATGAGTACTGGTACTCATTTGCTTTTATTTTGAGTTTATTCTTCCATAAGTAGGGAGAGAGAGATGTAGAGTTTTCTTTCCTAAATGCTAAACAACACCATTTGTTAACTAGTCTGTCATACCCACCCAGATTTGATTGCACGTACTTGGGACTGTTTCATATGAATCCTGTATCTGGATGTTTATTCTGTTTCGTAGATAACGTGTGTGTGTTCTCACACAGGCGCCTGTTCCTTTACTGTGGCTAGGCCATTTTGTTGATTTCTACAATTGATTATAGTGCTTCTCTGCTTCAAATTGGGTTTCCATGGAGCAAGTTCCCAGTGCCTTAGAGAACCAGGAGCCACATGGGAACAGCAAAATCAAGAAGGGACCACTTCACAGATGTGTTAGAGGAGCTAAATAGGAAAAAAAGAAGACAAGAGCACCTCATGTAAACTAATTTTAAAAAGAAGCAGAGTGCAATGCCTGAGATTTTTGTTTTCGACATTGAGGGAGGTGGATGTCTGTATTTGGTTTTTGTTTAAATTCAAAGCCATTAAAGCATTCCT
Source organism: Homo sapiens (assembly GCF_000001405.40). Lineage (NCBI taxonomy): Eukaryota > Metazoa > Chordata > Mammalia > Primates > Hominidae > Homo > Homo sapiens. The sequence continues at coordinate 62,589,434 of NC_000015.10, forward strand.
ACCACAAGGAAGAAGAAAATGTGTTTTGTCTCTCTGCCAGCAGTAACATAATTTTGGTCTTCAAAATAAGTGTCTTGGGACCTGAATTCCCTGTGGGTAAAGAAAATTCCCAGCCCATGTGTTGTGGCAGAAATTCATTGTTTCCTGAGTTATTTCCTTTCATGCTTAGTGTGGGGGAAATGACCAAATGTATAGATTGAGATTCTTTTTCAAAAACATTACTTGATTCTGATGATTGTTATTATGATTTTAGGTGCTGCAGGAGGCTTCTCACATGCTTTGGGATATCTTCAGGGAAATACGCTCTTAATAGAAACTGAGAATTTAAGGTAAGTCCTTTCGCAAAGATACTTTGTTCTTATCAATTGGCCAATCCCCTGCATTGGTATAGTTTTGTAAAGTGTTAAAACTGCTGTCTGTTATGCTGTCTCGTTTCATCTTCACTGTGGTTTTGCGAGGCAGGTGTGAAGAGTGCCCGGTCCTAATATTCCCATTCCTGTCTGATTTTTCCTCCTGGTAGCTTGGTGAGGTGATGGTAGGGGCCCAGAGGAGGAGCTGAGTAGCTGGGTTTTTGTTTTTGTTTTTGTTTTTGTTTTAATCATATTGGACCTTATAGTGTGAATTCTCATTCACTCACACTGGTTTGCTTCATAAATCTTTTCTTAGTGTGACGTGAGGGGGTAAGTGCTGGGTAAGGAATTAATGTAGAAACTTCTAGTGGTCTTTTTTTTAATTTTTATTTTAAGTTCAGGGTACATGGGCAGGTTTGTTTCGTAGGTAAACGTGTCATGGGAGTTCATTGTACAGATTATTTCATCACCCAGGTATTAAGTCTAGTGTCCATTAGTTATTTTTCCTGATCCTCTCCCTCTTCCCAACCTCCATGCCCCAGTAGGCCCCAGTGTGTGTTGTTCTCCTCTCTTCCCCATTGTTTCCGTGTGTTCTCATCATTTAGCTCACATTTATAAGTGAGAATATGTGGTATTTGGTTTTCTGTTCCTGTATTAGTTTACTGAGAATAATGGCCTCCAGCCCCATCCATCTTCCTGCAAAGAACATGATCTTGTTCTTTTTTATGGCTGCATCGTATCCCACGGTGTATATGTACCACATTTTCTTTATCTAGTCTGTCATTGATATCTCCAGTAGTCTTTGAACTGAAACTGGTTGGTGGTTGCTGGAGCCCTCCATGGTTGGGAAACAATTGTTCTAGCATGAGATAAAGTAAACTTTGGTTGTAGATTATTGTTTTCCAGTTTTGGTTGTCCTGGGGGGGTTGTGTGATCCCAAGTAGTGTGTACGAAGCATCCTGGGCAGAGACACAGGGTTCTTCTGCCGGTCTTAGTTGATGCTCTTACTCGGTAGCTGTATCATGGCACACCCAGATGTATCAGTTCTGTTCCTGACCAGCTGCAGAACTTGGGACAGGTTAGTTAATCTTTGTTTCCTTCTCTTCTTTGGAAATTATGTAGATTGGTCTAACCTGGTCATGCCTCTACTTTAAAATTTTGTGGAATAGGAAAAAAAAAGTCAGGACCTATTTCTATTTTTTTTTTTTGGCTGTATATAAAGAAAGTTGATGATTAAAGCTGGATAGGTGAATGAGGGTTCACTATATATTTACATACTGTTCTTTGTATTTTGTGTGTGGAATTTTTAATAATCAAAGGTTTATTTTCACAAAATAACTACCATCTACTAATATAATTTTGCCAAAGAGAAAATAATACTAAAAGAATAGGATTATTCCTAAATTTGTCTTTAGATTGTATGTATTTAGCATTATGAAAATGCTGTTTATTTCCTATGTCTTCCTCATTTCTCTGTAGTCCAGTGACTAGCAGCCATAGACTAACCAAAATTGGTCTGAGAACTGGTGTTTGGGAAATACTGGGACACATGACTGCTGAGGGCTCTTCTGCCTCTAAGACTGTATCATTCCTCTGAAGCAGGAAAGAAAGGTACTTTACCTGTACATTGCCTGTTTCCAGAAAATGCTGTGACATCTGGCATGGTCAAACTAGAGAGGTCAGAGGGCCATACAGAAGGGATTCTATTGGGAACCTTGAGTAAAAATGGCCCATTTGTGCGAACATCCAGTTTAGCTTTGAGTCACACCATGGTCAAGGTAAAGACAAAACTTGACAGTTTTAAGTAACCTGATGGAAGTGTACAGACTCCTTCCTTCCCACCATTGTGGGGCAGCCTCTGGCCAGATGTGATCTGACAGATAAGTATCTGACTGGCATGTGGGGATGCTGAGAGCCAGGGGTGAGGCGGGTAGAATACTGGACTCCAAGGAGACCAGTGCATACCTTGGGTGTGAGGAGCTCCAGGCTGGGTGTGGAGGTCGAGGGCACAGCTCAGAGTTCCGAGCTGATGGCAATGGGATCAGGTGTGCTCAGGATGGAGAAGAGCTTTCCTGACCAGAGGACCGTCTGAGAATCCAGGGGTGGATATTGTCCTTTGAGGACCCCCAGAGGGTGCTGAGTGGTCCAATCTGGCTAAAAGACCTGGGGCACAGTGGCCGGGAAACACATCAGATCTATGCCGTTACCAAGACTTCAGATCTGAAAGGAGTGTTCTGGGTGGATTCTTAAGCCGTTATCTGTGGGAAATGGAAAACTGTGCTTTCTGTTTACTTCCCCTTGGGGTATGGGGATGTGTATAAGGAGGAGGGTGGGAGGAAGACAGAGGGAATAAAGGACTGAATTATTTAGCACAGTAAAATGATGTGGGGAAGAGCAGCAATACCTGTTCCAAGAAGCCTGCACAATCCTAGCTGCTTCTGAGAGTCCTGAGAAGTTATGTGTACTCTGCGTTGATTGGAATATGGTGATTCAGTCCTTTGGAATTGTCCCTTAGTGATTTCTGGCTTTCATTTGTCTTAACATTCTGATTTTCTGGGAAACCCAAATGAAATTTGACAGACTTACCTAGTTGTTTTCTGTTGTGTCAACTCTCGGTTTGCTGCCTAATTGGTATGCTTCACATGGGTTTCCTCTACCCAGGAATGTTTATTCTCTTCCCTTTTTAGGAAAAAGCTGTATTGAACAACAACAGAAACATTTGTTTTAAATGTATAGTAATATGAGAGATTACCTGAAGTCCTAACATGTCTGAAAGTATATAAAGTCTGAATAAATGCTAGGAGGAGCTTTTATTTTGACATAAACCAGAGGAAGGAGAATTGCTTTAAGTGATGTGGACCAGTCCAAAGTCTGAATAAAAGTTAATGAATGAACAATGTAACCAATCAATCATGCTCTTGAGTCTTTCACAAGGCTAAGACATTCTGGATGAGATCTTGTAGGGATGAGCAGTTGAGAATTTGAGACGGCCACGCTTTGCAGGAATAAACATGATGCTTTAAAGAGTTACATGCATTCATGGATGTGTGTGCATGTGAGAAAAGGGTGATTGATAGATGGGGTGGGGGAATGATAAATGATTTGTTTGGCATTTTATGTAATGACTTGTGATATATTCTGGATTTGAGATTAAATGCAATATTCTGACCTTATCTCTGTGTTCCCTGAAAGCTTGTAAGAAAAATATTTTAAAATCTATTTTCAATGAAAAATATTGTTTTTGGCTCTCAGGGAATTTTTAGTTCCCACTGCTATTTAGGGAGAATTGTTGAATCTGTGAAATTCAAAGGAGGATCTTTGCAGCTCTTTGTCATTCTGTACCAGTCATTTAAGGGCTATGACGTCAGTGAAGAGAAGTTGTTCCATGCTTCCTTCATTAAAAATGTAACCTGTTATGCACTTTTGTCTTCCTGCCACCCTCCATTAGCTGATTCTTTGGATTATGCTTCTTGATGACTGTAGGCATCATTTGGTCTCCCACCTGCAGGCTCCCTGAGTGACTGAGAGTTCTTCTTAGCACTGTCAATCAAGATTCCTGGACCTAGGCTGCGCTCCTCACTCTGCTGTTTGTGCTTAGTAAATGTTTCAGAACAACAATAACAATTTCCAGGCTATTTTTCATAATTAAACTTACTAAACCATGGTATAATAGGGTATGCTGTTTCCATGCATTTTTTGGCTAATTATGTTCATCAGTTAATTTCTTTCCACATTAAGAAGCCCCCCTGGAGAACTCAAGATCTGAGACTTTTCTATGTAAGAATTGATTGGATTTCATGGACTCGATGACTCTAGAATACATTTATCTGCAATTGAGTATTTTTCTATAGAACTTGAACCTTTGAAAACAATCACTTTTCTTTTTTAGCTGCGAAATTCCATACTGGGAAGATCTAAAATGGCCATTAAAGCCATTCTATTCTGTTTACAACAAATCAGAATTGGACAGCTTTCCAAATCCATAAAATAACTAGTGTACTACTTATAGAGTGTAAACATGACTTTACCAAGATTAAAATAAACACATGTAAGGCCAGCTGCAGTGCTGTCAACACACCACTATAAAGCCTGATAAACGTTGAGGAAAATCCTGCTGCTGTGATGTAAACAATGATCTTATGGAGGATCTTTTATTTAAAAAATTTAATCAAAATATTGCATGCAAATGGATAAAAATAAGAAACATCTGTATGAAACCACAAAAGACCCTGAATAGCCAAAGCAATCTAGAGCAAAAAGAACAAAGCTGGAGGCATTATACTACCTTACCTCAAAATATGCTACAAAGTGATAGTAATCGAAACAGCATGGGTACTGGTATAAAAACAGACACATAGACCAGTGGAACAGAATAGAGAGCCCAGAAATAAATCCACACAGTTACGGTCAATTGATTTTTATTGTTGTTATTTGTTTGTTTTGGAGACAGGATCTCTCTCTGACACCCAGGCTGGAGTGCTGTGGTGAGTCCTGACTCACTGCAGCCTTGACCTCCTAGGCACAAGTGATCCTTTCACTGCAGCCTCCTGAGTAGCTAGTACTACAGGCATGTGCCACCACGCCCAGCTAATTTTTAATTTTTTTGGAGAGAGAGGGTCTCCCTATGTTGCCCAGGCTGGTTTCAAACTCCTAGGCTCAAGTGATCCTCCCACCTCAGCCTCTCAAAGTGCTGGGATTACAGACGTAGCCACCATGCCCATCTCACCCACCTCAATTGATTTTTGACAAAGGTACCAAGAACACACAATGGGGAAAGGGCAGTCTCTTCAATAAATAGTGTTGGGACAACTGGATATCCACATGCAGAAAAATGAAATTAGACCATATCTCACATTATATACAAAAATCAACTGAAAATGGGTGAAAGACATCTATGTAAGACCTGAAACAGTAAAACTGTTAAAAGAAAACATAAGGGAAAAGCTCTGTGACATTGGTCTGGGCAAGGATGTTTTTGGATATAAACACAAAAGTGCAGGCAATGAAAACAGAAATAGACAAATGGGATTACATTAAACTAAAGCTTCTGCAAAGCTTAGGAAACAAGAGTGAGGAGACAGCCTGCAGAATGGGAGAAAATGTTTGTAAATCATGCATCTGATAAGGGGTTACTATGCAAAATATATGAAGAACTCAAACAATAGTAAGAAAACAACCCTATTAAAAATGAGCAAAGAATCTGAATAGACATTTCTCAAAAGAAGATACACAAATGGCCAACAAGTATATGAAAAAATACTCAACATCACTAATCATCAGGGAAATGAAAATTAAAACCACAATGAGATAGTACCTCACACTTGTTAGGATGGCTATCATCAAAACAATGAAAGATGGGCTGGGTGCGGTGGCTCACGCCTGTATCCCAGCACTTTGGGAGGCTGAGGTGGGGGATCACTTGAGGTCAGGAATTTGAGACCAGCCTGGCCACATGGTGAAACCCCGTCTCTACTGAAAATACAAAAATTAACCAGACGTGGTGGTGGGCGCCTGTAATCCCAGCTACTTGGGAGGCTGAGGCAGGAGAATCGCTTGAACCTGGGAGGTAGAGGTTGCAGTGAGCTGAGATCGTGCCATTGCACTCCAGCCTGGGTGCAGACTCCGTCTCAAAAAAAAAAAAAAAAAAAGGATGAAAGATAACAAGTGTTGGTGAGGATGTGGAGAAAAGGGAATGCTTGTACATCACTGGAAAGAATGTAAGTTAATATGGTCATAATGGAAAACAGATTAGAGACTCCTCAAAAAATTAAAAATAGAACTTCTATATGATCCCTTAATCCAACATGTCGAAGAGATGTCTGCACTCCTATGTTCATTGCAGCACTGTTCACAGTAGCTGGGATATGGAATCAACATAAGTGTCCATCATTGGATGAATAGATAAAGAAAATGTGGTATACATACACAGTGAAATACTATTCAGCCTTCAAGGAAATTGTCATTTGTAGCAACATGGATGAACCTGGAGAGCATTACATTAAGTGAAATAAGGTAGGCATAGAAAGACAAATACCCGTGTTCTTAATTACATGTGGAATCTAAAAAATTTGAACTCAGAAAAGTAGAAAGAGGTGGTTACCAGTGCTGGGGAGATGTTGTTCAAAGGATACAAAATTTCAGTTAGATATAAAGAATAAGTTCAAGAGCTCTGTTGCACAGCATGGTGACTACAGTTAATAATGTATTCTTGGCCAGGCGCGGTGGCTCACGCCTGTAATCTCAGCACTTTGGGAGGCCGAGGCAGGTGGATCACGAGGTCAGGAGATCGAGACCATGGTGAAACCCCGTCTCTGCTAAAAAAATACAAAAAATTAGCCGGGCGCAGTGGCAGGCGCCTGTAGTCCCAGCTACTCTGGAGGCTGAGGCAGGAGAATGGCGTGAACCCAGGAGGCGGAGCTTGCAGTGAGCCGAGATTGCGCCACTGCACTCCAGCCTGGGCGACAGAGCAAGACTCCATCTCAAAAAAAAAAAAAAAAGGTATTCTTGAAAATTGCTCAGAGTAGATTTTAAGCATTCTTATCACAAAAAAAATACGTTAACATATGTTAACTAGCTTGATTTAGTCATTCTATGATATACATATTTAAAAATGACACATTATAGCATGTTCTATAACTTTTATTTGTTAATATATTTTAAAATTTTAATTACAAAGCTGGGTGCAGTGGCTCATGACTAATCTCAGCACTTTGGGAGGCCAAAGTGAGTGGATCACCTGAGGTCAGGAGTTCGAGACCAGCCTGGCCAACATGGCAAAACCCCGTCTCTACTAAAAATACCAAAACTAGCCAGGCATGATGGTGCGTGCCTGCAGTTCCAGCTACTCTGGAGGCTGAGGCACGCGAATGGCTTGAACTTGGGAGGTAGAGGTTGCAGTGAGCTGAGATCATGCCACTGCACTCCAGCAGCCTGGGCAACAGAGCAAGACTCTGTCTCAAAAAAAAAAAAAAATAATAATAACTATGAATTTTAAGTCAAAGTATTGCATGCAAATGGCTAAAAGTAGGAAACATTACAGAAAAGCTTATAGTGAAAAGCAACAGCATCTTGCCTTCCTTCACTTATTTCTACTTCTTAGAGCAACTACTTTTTTTCCTGTAGATTGTTTTTGCTTCTTTTACGGGGGCTTCCACACGTAAAAACATGGTGCTTGCAACTCAGCTCCTCACTTTGTCAATCTTAAAGGCTGTTTCATGGTAGCTTGTTGGGATGGCAGATCACGCTGTTAGTTCTCTCTAACCATCCCCATCTCCCTGCCTCCCTAAAGCTGATTCTTGCTTTCAGTCCTGCTGTTCCCCTTTGCACCCTCAGATGACACAGGCAGCCAGCCTTTTTCTTTTTCTGTCTCCTAGATACACTATTTGTTGTCTCCCACCAACATGCTCCCAGTCCAACCCCTCAATTTCAGGCAGCTGTACCTTTAATTTTATATTCTGTTCTTCAATCTCACTCAGTAAAGGCTTCCATGATTTTATCTCTAGATTCTGAATGTTAAAAACCAGTAAGTGGTATTTCCTCTATTATGATTAAGTAGATGCTGTTCCCATCGGAACCTAGTTGTAGAGTGGGATTCTAATCCTCAGAGCCTGAAGTCCTCACCCTTTTGCCCCTCAGTGGAGTATGTTTAAATGGATTCCCCTTTTATACTGCAGCAGCTATCTTGAAGCTAGCCTCCAGTTCTTCTGGGTTCTCAGTCACCCCATCGCCTCTCTCAGGAGCCCGCTTTGTTTCTGGAGGTCTTGCTCTCACAGCCCGCCCTCCTTGGTCAGGACAGGTTGATCTCTAGGTACACTGCACAGGGCTCAGCAAATGCCAGTGGCCAAGGAAAGCTCGTGATTACTACAGCTTGAGCATTCCTTATCCAGACTGCTTGGGTCCAGAAGTGCTTCAGATTTCATTTTTTTTTCCAGATTTTTGGAATATTTACATATACATAATGAGATGTCTTTGGGATGGGACCCAAGTCTATACATGAAGTTTATTTATGTTTTACATATACCTGATACACATAGTCTGAAGGTAATTTTATACATCATTTAAAATAATTTTGTGCGTGAAACAAAGTTTTACTGTATGTTGACTGTGACATGTCACATGAGTTCAGGTGTGGAATTTTCCACTTGTGGTGTCTTGGCAACACTCAGAAAGTTTCAGACTTTGGAACATTTCAGGTTTCAGATTTTCAGATTAGGTATGCTCAACCTGTATTGGAGAATCACCCCAGGCTGTCGTGTGTTGGATGGGGCAGTGGCCTGATCTATAAAATTTGCCATCATTTATTGAGGACTTGATGTCTTAGGCACCTACATCCTTGAAGCCTGGTGTCTCTTGAAATTCTCACACAAGCCTTGTAGAACAGATGTTATCACTGACATTTCACACACAAAGAAGTTAGACCCTGGGTGGGTGACTTCTGAGACCTTTCCTGTAGTGGGAAGTGCTTCTTGGATCCTGGGGCAGGCTGAGAGCGTGGTGGTCGGCTGTGTTTTATAGGTGGGAAAAGACTTCTCTGTCTCTGCCACGTCTTGGACACGTTCTTCCACAGATCTCTGTCTTTACCCCAGAAAATCGCTGCTTCTCTAGCAGAGTCAGCTCTGCCTCGTTCCCAGCCTTGTCCTTGTCGTGGGTGTGCCTTATGGCCAGGAGCTCATTCTAAAGAATTCTGCTGTGCGTGGACAGGGGAACATCCTTCTCTGCTCGATGTTCCCTTGGTGAATTTGATGGGAGAAGCTGGACCTCTTACCCAACCCTGCTGGTAAATGGGAAAAGGTGTTTTATCAATGACCATTATTGTATTTCCTCATAGCCTGAAGTGTGTGTGTGTAAGTCAAGTACATTTGATTTTTTTAATGCCTCATATATTTTTGTAGTTATTTTGGAAGGAAATTTAGAAAGATAATCAACTTTTCTCTCCATTCCTGAGAGAAATGGAATTTTCTCTCAGGAATGGAGAGAAAATAGAAGTGCTCAAAGTAAATTCAGAATGGTGGTCTGAATAAATCTTTTAGTATCCTGGTATTTGTGAGTTACCTCCTATGGTAGTGACCGGATGGATGGCAGGTGCCCTGGGCGATGGGACCCGTGCACAGTGTTGGTGTCCTTCCCACTCCTCCTCACTAGACAGAACTAGAGGAAGCCTTGACCATGGAACCAGGAGTCTTTCCACAGACCTGTTACCAAAGAATTCTTCTCTGTTTTCCCCTGGAATAGCACATTGAGGATGGGGTGGCTGTGGATGGAGTTCCTCCTTGTCACCTCTGTGTCAGGCCAGGGTGGTGGCGTTAACATGTGCTGTCTCTGTGCAAATATACTTCTTTTCCAAACATCTTGGCCAATGATGTTTATGCCCCCAAACAGGTATTGAATAAAAGGAAACATCTTTAGAGCTGGGCCTCAGTTACTTAAGGAGGAGACATTTGGCTTTAGTGAGGTCAAGTCTAAAGGGATAGAGGGGAGTCAATATTTAACTGGTTGCAGTGATGACCAAGGGTGATGTCCCACATTTAAACTTGTTAGTGATAAGCAGTCCGAGGTTACCCTACCATTAACTTACAGTGATCTCACTGTGACTTGAAATTTTTTATATTGATTGATTGTAAGGACGGGATAGAATGCTGAGCAAATAGACTTGTAATCTGTATGTGACAGCTTTTACTCTATTATACAAAGATCAGTAATCTTCACAGCTTTACAAATCCAGTGAAAACTGGATACAAATGATTTAGTGGCACAAATCTATTTGGAAAATTTAAATCTGAGGCAGACCCCAACCGTTCATCAAGAGAGGGAAACATCAGTGAAGTTTACAAAGCCTTTTTACCTGATCCTAAATATTTCCCAGATATGTTCTATATTCTTCAGTTTATTTATCTCTAAGGGATGAGGAGTGACTCAGTCTCTCCTGCAGGAGAACTTTTGGCTCTGGTCACCCAGGTGGTCCGGATGCTTGGTTCATTTGCCTTCCCTTTGGAGAGGTTGTTGCCGGCACAGAGGGTGAGCTGTGTGAACGTGGGAGTGAGCGCTTGCTGTCCCTGTTGGCCACTCTTGTCAGAAGTTTGGATTCAGAGGAGGTGGATTCAATACCCTAAACTAGGAAGGAAATAAAAATTGACCGTGGAGGATACAATGACTTGGGCGTTGTTCTGTTGTGTTTACATGTTTCCAAAAACACTGCAGTGCCGAGGGGTCTCTGGTAGATGACAAATGAGCAGAAAGAAAGTTGAGAGGAAGGAGGGGATATTGCTAGAGCGGGTAGAGCAGCTTTCCAAGAGGAGGTGGGATTTCCCGCTGAGTTGATGTGAGTTTTTGCTGCTTGTAGTTGAAAAGACTGAAAACAACAGTGGGTTATACAGGACAGAAGTTTAGTTTTCTGTCACCTAGAATGAAGTCTTGAAGAGGGCTGTTCAGGACTGATGGGAGAGCTCACAGAGGTTGTGCAGCGACTTGGGCTCTTTCCAGGATGAGTAAAATTTTGGTGCGGTGCAGTGAAACCTTACTTGGCATGAACTAAATTCAGCACATTAGGCAAAAATTCCTTATAGACAAAATTGTTCGTGAATACCCCTTAGGAAGGTGCCACATTAGAGGCCAGTATTCTGTCTCCCAGTGAGTCCAGCAAGTGGACTTTTCCTGCAGTGTTGGAGTAGCCTGCTGCTAAGCAGTTGGCCCCTGTGTTTAAGGACCATGTTTTCAACAATGGACTCACTCTCAGCATCAAGACAGGATCCCAAGAGGCACTGACAAGCCCAGGGCACTATAAATTCCTATATTCCCTCCCACGGTCATGTGGTCTCACATGCTCACTGAGAGGAGTGGGAATGGAACCGCCTGCCAGATTTGTTTATTCATAGTTTTAAAAAAGGAAACTTTCAAACATATTCAAAAGTGAAGAGAATTTTATGGACAACTGTGCACGTATTACCCAAGTCCAAAGATGATTAATTCTGAGCCAGTCTTTCTTCTGTCCCCTTCCCTCTTCCCACCCATTATTTTGAAGCACCTCTTTATTATTTCCTGTCACTATTTCAGTATATGTGTCAAATAGATAGAACTTAAAAATTATCTACATTATGTTATTGTGCCAAAAATGTAAACGTTATTAATATTTTCTGAATATTATCTAATATCAAGCTAATGTTCAAATTTTCTCAATTGTCTTATTTTTTACGTTTCCTTAAATCAGGATCCAAATGAGACTTATTCATTGCAGTTAGTTAATATGTCTCTAATATTTTCGTCTTTGGGCTTCTTCTCTATCTCTCCATACCTTCTCTGACCCTTGTGATTTGTTGATGAAGCTGGGTTGTTTATTTTTTAGAGCAGAGATTCTCAAACAGGGATAATTTTCCTTTCCAGTCTTGGGATGTTTAGCAATATCTGGAGACATTTTTGGTTGTCACAACTGGGGGATGCTACTGAGATTGAGTGGGTAGAGGCCACAGATGCTGTTAAACATGATACAACCCATGGGATACCCCCACAACAAAAATATATCTGACCCAAAATGTCAATTGTGCCAAGGTTGAGAAACCCCACTGTAGTTTTTTGTTCTACAGTCTGGATTTTGGTGGTCGGTTTCCCATTGTGCTATTTAACATGTTCCTCTCTTCCTTGTATTTTCTATGATTTCTTAGTTGAATCTCAAGGTTTGGTCAGACTCAGATCTCTTGGGGTATGTTTTTTATTTTGTTAGTTTGTTCTTTGGCAAGAATACACGTAGGCAGGCTACATATTTTCATTGAGAAACACATAGTAACTGTAGACTCTTTGTTACATTACTGGCAATTGATGATCATTGCCTATATCTCTTAATTCATTAGTGATTGCAAAATAGTGGTATTCTAATTCTATCATTCCTACCTTGTTTATATACTAGAATACTTATATAAAGAGGAACTTCATAACTTTATACTCTCATCGTTTATTTGTTCACACTGAAATTTATCTTGGAAAGTCGGGATAAATATGTTCTTTTATTTTCAAGGCAGCAGCGTCCAAAAGAGATCACTGAGACTTTATTTCTTTTTTTAGCGTAATTTAATTGATGCGTTTCAATTTAATATACTTATTGATGCTCAGATTGTCCCATATTTGGCCAGTGGAATCTAAATTGGCTCCCGAGTCCTTTAGACATGACTCATGAATTTTTTGTATTTTTGTTTACTTTCTGGTGAGATCAAATGTTACAGGATTGTCTTACCCATTTCTTGCCTCAGACTGAGATCTGCCAGTTCGTCAAGGAGCCCTGGTTTCCTTGAGTATTTAGAAGGCACAATATAGAAACAAGGCATGTTTCTTGCTACTGTATTTATCATTATTTCTGGATACTTACAGTGGACAGAACTAGGATGTGTGTGTAGATTATTAGTTCATACTGATACTTCCATGTGAAATTCAGATGGGCAGGATTTTTACTTAGTTTCATCAATTATATACTCTGTTCTTTCATCTGTGCCAAAAATCCAGTTCTCAGTGATACCGTCATATTTTTTCATCTGCTTTATCTCATGCTGCATACACAACAGTATATTCGAAAGATATTTTGAATAGGACTTCTCTCTGTGATTGCGCCACCAATTGGATACATAGTTAAGTTCATTGGTTTTTATTTTATGTTTTTAGAGGTTCCTTTTTTCAATTTCAATTTTAAATAATTATGTACAGTATTGTCAGGGATCCAGAGTCTCATCTATGAAATCTTACTCTGTAGTCTCTTAGTCCATTTGGGCTGCTATAAACGGAGTGGCCTATAAACAACAGAAATTTTATTTCTCATAGCTCTGGAGGCTGGGAATTCCAGGATCAGGGCACAGGCCGATTCAGTGTCTGGTGAGGGTGCACTTGCTGGTTTACAGATGCAGCCGCCTTGTTGTATCCTTACATGGCAGAAAGGGAAAGGCAACTCTGGGGCCTCTTTTATAATGGCACTAATTCCATGAGAGCTGAGCCTTTATGACCTAATCACTTCCCAAAGGCCCCACCTCCAAATATCACAGTATTGGGGATAAGGTTTCAGCATATGAATTTTGGGGAAACATTCAGTCTATAGCTAGAGGTGTTTGCTTTTTTTTTTTTTTTAAATTTTTATTTTTATTTATTTATTTTTTGAGACTGAGTCTCGCTCTGTTGCCCAGGCTGGAGTGCAGTGGCGCGATCTTGGCTCACTGCAAACTCTGCCTCCCAGGTTCATGCCATTCTCCTGCCTCAGCCTCCCAAGTAGCTGGGACTACAAGCGCCAGCCACCACGCCCGGCTAATTTTTTGCATTTTTAGTAGAGATGGGGTTTCACCGTGTTAGCCAGGATGGTCTCCATCTCCTGACTTCATGATCCACCTGCCTCGGCCTCCCACAGTGCTGGGATTACAGGCGTGAGCCACCGCGCCCGGCCGAGGCGTTTGGTTTTACCCCAGTTCTCTCTCCATCCTGTTTTCTCCTACCCCATAGGTAACAATGGAAAAAATTACGGTTTATCGTTGTAGTGGTTTTTTTTTAAAATGTGTGTAAGCAAATGTGTGCATACTTTTGTATTTGTATCTCCTTCCCTTCTTAGTTAAGCAAGGCATACTCTATGCACGTTTCTCTGCTCTGCTTTTTTCATTTAATTTCCCCTAATTCTTCTTCTGTAGTGGCATAGAGAGAGAGAGAGAGAGAGTCCTCACTCCTTTGTGTATCTGCCTCTTCCTCCATTATGTGGATTTGTTCTCCCTTATTCAACCTGTGCTGAATTGATGGACATTTGGGTAGTTTCCATCTTTTACAATTACAAATAGCTTTGTGGAGAATAGCCTTGATACTCTTAAAATCATTATTCTTTTTTAACCTCATGGAAGTTAAATGTATATACGAGGTGACTCCTTTTGTAAAGACAAAGCAGGATGTCTACAGACTACTGGGATTGAACAGAGCTTTGGAGCAAGAAAGGAAAAGGGAGTCACGTTTGGGAGAAATAGAGAAGGACATTTCGGTGGAATCTGTGTTATGTCTTCAAGTAGCAGTAAATAAGGTTTATAGGAAGGTCTGTTAGATATTTTGATGACCTGTATTGCTAGGCCAAAGGCTATGGATTTTGCAATGTAGGCCAGAAGTTAGCAATCTTTTCTGGCAAAGGACTCAACTACAAATATTTGAGGCTACTGCCTATGTTGCAGCTATTCAACTCTGCTGTTGGCACACAGAAAGCAGGCATAGACAAGTCATAAATGGGTGTGGCTGTGTTCCAATGAAACTTGATTTATGGACACTGAAATCTGAATGTCATATAATTTCTATGTATCATGAAATATAATTCATTTGGTTTTTTTCCTTAACCCTTTAAAATTATAAAAACCATTCTTAGCTTTTGAGCCATAGTTTGTCAACCTGTGCTCTAGGCATTCGGGAGCCATAGAAAATTCTTGCACATATGAGGGAGCTGCTCAAAAGGGTTGTCAAGGCGGGGCATGGTGGCTCTCAACTGTAATTCAGCACTGTGGGAAGCTGAGGTGGGAGGATTACTTGAGCCTAGGAGTTCGAGACCATCCTAGGCAACAAAGTGAAACCCCATTTCTTAAAAACAAAAACAAACAAAAAATACCACACACAAATTAGCTGGGGGTAGTGGGTAGTGACATGCACCTCCCGTCCCAGCCACTTGGGAGACTGAGGTAGAAGATTTGATGGTGCAGTGAGCCATGATTGAGTCACTGCACTCCAGCCTGGGTGACAAAGTGAGACCTTGTCTTAAAAAAAAAAAAAAAAAAAAAAGAAAAGGGTGGGGGGCGATTGTCAACAGTATATTAAAGAGAGCTTCATAAGAGAGAGGGAGCCCAGGTTCAGGAGGGTGTTGGTGGTTGCAGTGTGTAGTTGGAAGGAGGCCGTGGGAGTGGAAAGTGGATTTCTTCTCTTCGTCTTCTTTTTTTTTTTTTTTTAATTATTTGAGATTATGGAACTATTAGGAAGCATGGAGCTCATATTATGCGATAAGGGATTTATATTAATCTCTCAAAGCTGTGTTCTCTGATTTTCCATAGATTATACACAGACGCAAGCCTACCATCCTGTAGCGTGTGGACCTAGGGCAAAATTTTCTCATTATTTGCCGCTGCCGCCGCCTCCTCCTCCTCCTCCTCCTTTCCCCCATTAAGAAACCCAAGACTGAGCCCCATCATAGGTGAACTTTTTGTATCAGCTGTCTTGTATGTCTTGTTTCTTACTACATTTGCAGGCTAACTGTTGAAAAAACAGTATTTTGTTTGTGGGAAGAAAATCAAAGGTGATGTAAATGAAAAGTGCATTTTCATATAATGGAAATTATTAGAGGAACTTTTAAAATGTCACTGCAGATTAATGCAGACAAGGAGCTGAATATATTAGAAAGTAGGTCAAATTTTCTCATGTTTATGAATGAGGTGAATTACAGTGTAGGTTTAAGTTTATAAAATTGGGCAATACTATAGTTTATATGAAATATCCTAGCCTAAATGCTATTATACTAAAATATAATTAAAATAAATTGAGTTTGTTTCCTTATCCTTTGTGTCTGAGTATTTTATACGTAACATTTTACAAATTTAATAAACTAGTAAAAGCGATGAGCTTCTTGTTGTTATTCACATTTCCTGTATTGGACACAGAATCTACTCTAGGGAATTAAAGCTGGAGTCGATTTAATCCATGGGCAAGCGAATCAGGAATCCTTGGCAGTTTGGGAGGAACAGGCTCTGGGCTGAGCTTCCAGTCTACTCCCTATCCCCAGCACCATCTTTTCCTACCAGAACCAGGGAAGTTAGGCTGTGGCTGCTGCTATGAGAGGCTGTTGAATTGAGAATCCGGTACTTGACCTGCCAGCTCAGAACACACGCCTCCTCCATGGGGAGATCTTGCTTCTTGTGGATAACCGTGTGCTCTGCTTTTCTTCCTTGTGACTCGGTTGAACACCAGAGTCACCTATAAGCCCATGTCATTGGTGTATCTAAGTCACGTTGGACACCGTAGCAGCAAAGAGATCTGGGCAATCAATATATGATGTTTAGACCTGCAGCCTCCCCAAGCTGCAAGCGAACTACCCTTCCCATCTTCACGAAATGTCTCTTCAGATGTGCCTGGTACCACAATCAGGGGCAGAAGGGCAGTCTGTCAGAATTTCCCTTCTTTAGATACATTTCATGTGATACATTTTGATAGACTTGTCTAGAGGTAGTAGTGTTACACCAGTGTCACTAGTTAAGTAGTGTTAGTCGATAGTGCTAGTGATGACTGATAGAACTTAATAAGAAGACAGTGTTTACCATTTCAAAAAGATTTTTTTTTTGTTTTTTGAGACGGAGTCTCACTCTGTCGCCCAGGCTGGAGTGCAGTGGTGTAATCTCAGCTCACTGCAACCTCCGCCTCCCAGGTTCAAGCAATTTTCCTGCCTCAGCCTCCCATGCAGCTGGGACTATAGGCACCCACCACCATGCTTGGCTAATTTTTTTTTTTTTTTGTATTTTTAGTAGAGACAGGGTTTCCCCTGTTGGTCAGGCTGGTCTCGAATTCCTGACCTCAGGCGATCCACCCACCTCAGCCTCCCAAAGCGCTGGGATTACAGGCGTGAACCACCACGCCTGGCCCCAAAAGATATTTTTTTTAGGTTGAAATTATTGTAAATAATACCAGGAAAGGAATGCCTGTGGTTTAACAGTAAAAAAGTTTAGCGATGATAGAATCCAGCTAGGCCTAATAGTATTTGATTTCCCCCATGGAGGATGATGAGTCAGAACATGGTCCTGGTCATCCATTACTGAAGCTTTTATTGTGCTAACCCAAGTATAAGGTCAGCGATACAGCATTCCTTCACCCCAGTATTGCTGGCTGACTTCCTAACCACCAGACACTGCCTTTTTTCATCTGGATAAGTACAGTCATTCACAAGTAACTGGGAACAATACTTCAAATAGAAGGCCATTGATTTTGAAATTGGGCAGACTTGGGTTGAAGCCCTGACTCCTACCACTTTAATAGCTGTGTAGATTGTAGTGTCAGTCTTTCTATAGCTGTGTCATCTGCCGTGTAGTGTGGAGTGAAGTGAATAGCACCCTCCTCGCAGTGTTTGTTGTAAGGTGATGCTCAGCGCAGGCTTGGCACAGAGCAAGTGCTCCACGGTGGGCCACTGTTGTTGTGTGGTCCCTATCACCACCTCCGCCGCTGCCACCATCATCATCCTCCTCCTCACCATCACCACCACCGCTGCCTGTAGTCTTCCGCCCCTTCCTCATCTCCGGATGAGTTTTCCATATGGTTGGGCCACTCATGCCTCTTCACAGCAGTAATTTTCTCGCCCGTGATCCTGGGTCCCTTGGATGTTACTTCCTTTTTGAGCTTGTGGGGCTTGCTCCTGCCCTTCAAGCACCCTTGGCTTCCTATTAGACTTTCTCTTTCCTCTGGGGAAAAGATCTCTCTTCATGCTTAATAGGCATCAGAGCAGCCTTGGGTCACAGAAGTCATGGTAGCTTTCTATTTGTCATCCTGACAACAAGGCCTCTCTGAGGCTTGAAAGGATGATGCTAGCCCACCCGCACCACCTCCCTTCTTAATTAGATTACTGATTCCATTTCCCTGATGGTTTTAAGCTAAAAGAGCTTTATTCTGTTGCCTTTGGATTGTTCTTTCTTGACTCCATCTCTCCTTTGATTTGCAGCAATACCTGAAGTAAAGTGGATGACAGTAGTTGGGAGCATATTGGCTGCTATTCTTTAGCAAAGCCTCCAGAATGGGTGTATCATAATGGAGTTTAGAGAAAATATAAGGAATAATAAACGAAACGTCCAAAAGGATCCCTCCTTTCAAACTGTCATGTACCAAGTGAGTTTCTGTAGAAGGGGCCCTTTTGGTTTTTAGCTGTGATTTTGTCTTCATTCCTTAGGGTTTATTTGACCCCTGTGTGGAAAAGGCCCGATTTCCCCACTTCCCCGCTCTTTTTTGTGTGTGTGTGCACAAGTCCATGTATGTGTATGTATGCACATACACCTCTCTTTCTGAGTTCACCATCCACATGCCATGGGGAGTGCACCCACACATTAGTGGAACTGAGTCATGCTGTGGCATGCAGCAGCCAGCTGTGGTGTAACTGCTGCCTGCTTGACTGTGAACAAGTGTTTCCCTTCTTTGCTAATGTCTAACCTCAAGGACCTTGAATTTGAGCTGCCAATTATTTTATGCAGACTCTCTCTGACATTTTTGTTAGGCTTTTGCGAAGGACATGTGTTGTATCTTTAATACTTTGGCGTATCTGAAGATTTGAGTTTGTGAAATATTAAGTTGGTCTACTACCCCCATCCCCCCACCCCACCCCTGCATCTAATTGACTCTAATTGACATTCATTTATTCAACAAACATTTATTGAGCATCTACAAAGTGCCAGGCAGTCTGCTGGATGTTGGCAGCATTGTTGGAAAAGGAAAATATGTTTATATCGTTGGTGCAGAGGGTTTAAGACAGAGAGTTAGGGTTGATAAATGGATTTTGGAATATCTAATAAGGGGTGGGGGTGGTGTTAGACTTCTCCCTAAGAATAGTGGGCATCCATTATAGGATTTAAGTGTGGTGAGCTGTAGTCAGATTTGAATTTTCAGAAGTCCACTGGCTGGGATGTGGAGAGTACACTGAAGAGCGTAAGAAGAGATGTGAGGATCCTAGCTGGGAAGCTGTTGCAGGAATTTGAGCAGGAGATGATGGGATGGCAGTGTCGTAGAGTAGGAGGAAAGCACAGGTTTGAGAGTGATTTAGGAGTTAACATTGGTGTCAAGGATGACTCTCCGTTTCTGGTGTTGGGAGGTGGGTGGATTGTGAAGTTACTGAGATCAGCGACACAGGAGGGAAGCAGGTTGGGAAGACACGGGGACAAGGGAGAGGTGATGAGTTTATTTTTGAATAAGAGGAATTTGCTATGCTTGTGAAAGACCTTAGGGAGGTCGGGGGTAGACTTGGATAAGGGGTGCAAGGGAGAGATCTGGCTTCTGTGCAGAACTGGTGAATGCAAGTCCTGAGGGTACATGGGATGGACCAGCAGGAGTGGGGGACTAGGAGAGAACTTGAGGAGATTATTTCTAAACGAAGGAGAGCCTGTGGGATTAGGGGTGGAGTGGTGCTGGGGCCGGACAGAAGTCAGAGGAGGGATAAGATGGGTAATAGGAGGTCTGTTTGGGTAGAGAATTCCCGTAGGCATTGAGGCTGTGCAAGGGAGCATAGAGGCCGGGCACTAGCCTGGAGAGTTTGTGGGCTTGTGATGGTGGTGGTGGTGGGGTTACGTTAGGGATAGATGAAGAAACAAAAATGAACGTTCCCCCTGGGCCTCCTCCCTTGTCACACTGACTGTTCTATGTTACACAGCCTTAAAAAAATACTTTAAAAGGTTTTGAAACAATCACAGACTCACAGAGAAGCTGAAAATACAGCACAAAAGAAGGTTTCTGAACCATTTGATTGTAAGTTGGTGACCTAATGCACAATCACCCACCATTTCTTTTATGTTAACAGGTATTTCCTACAAAAGGATATTCTTGAACACAGCCACAGTGCAATCATCAAAATTGCTATCATCTAATTCTCAGATGCCGTTCAGGTTTTACCAAATGTCCCAGCCATGTCCTTTATAATGAAAGGGTCAAGTTCAGAGTCATGTGTTGCCTTAACTTGTCTTGTGCCGTTAGTCTCCTTCAGGCTGGAACAGTTCACAAGCCTTTCCTTGACCTTCATAACCTTGACCCTCTTGAAGGTGAAAGGCCAGTTATTTTGTAGAGTATCCCTCAGTTGAGGTTTGTGTCTTTCCACATTCTTGAATTCAGCTGATGCGTCGTTGGCGGGAATATCACAGAAGGGATACCATGTTCTTTTTGCACCGCATCATGTGGTGCCCAATCTAGATGTGTCCTGTTACCGATGGTGCCCAGCTCCTCACTTGACGGAGGTTTGACTGAGGTGGTCTTGGCTAGCTTTTGCCTCTGGAAAGGTTATTCTCTTTGTGGAGGGTCCTTTGAAACTATGTAGCTATCCCATCCCTCGTGAAAATTTCATTTTATTTATTCATTTATTTATACCAGTGTGGACTCATGTTTCATATTTTATTCATCAAGCTATAATGTTACTGTCATTATTTTGACATTCAAATTGTTCTGGATTTAGCCAGTAGGCACCCTTTCAAACTATGTGCTTTCAATCCATCTCCAACATTCTTTGAACAATTCTTTACTTTCTGGTATAATAAGACCTACCAGACTCATCTTGTACTTACCCTGCTCCAGACTTAGGAGGGGGTGCCATGGGCTCTCCCACAGAGCCCTGATTTCTTTTATTGCAAAAAAGATGATCAGAAGTCAAGATCTGAGCACTAAGTATGCTCTTTGCTATTGGATGTCGCTCATCCTAGACTACCTCAGTGGACAGAGTTAAGGAATTCCATTGATTGTTGTTATTTACAGTAATTATTTTATTACAGTAGTTATATTCTATAAAGTATCTTCAAATACTGAATTAGCACATAGCTCCTAGGAGAAATACAGGCTTGGGTTCCTGTAGGATTCTGGTCACAAAATTTTTGTCAGCCAGTCAGTACATAACCTTGTTTTATGTGTGTTTCTATTTAAAGATACCTTACTTAATATATATTGTTGATTCATTAACATTGAATTCATGGCCACCAGCCTGAACTAAGCTTATTTAACACATGCATTTTCTCTGTAAGATACATCACAGCCTCCTTCTGCTTAGGAACGCTAGACAGCACCTCGGCACTATGTTTAGGGGCCATTTTAAACAGCACAATCAACAAAAGGCAGAAGATGGAAAAAGCTTGGCACTAAATAAACTGTGAAACGGAGACGTTTAGGAGACTGAAACAAGAAAGCAGAGAGTTGCTGGGTGACCTCAGCTGGGAACATGCAAGCCTGGCAGCTCAAATGTTTTGCTGTTCTGCACTCGTCCATGAGGGACTGCAAACGTGCCAGGAGTATTGATTTTGGGGTCACAAGTAAATTTTAACATGTGGATTTGCAAATACAGGCTCTACAAATAATGAGGATCACCTGTGTATCTCTGTATGTGCACACTGCTGCAGGGCACACGCACGGGTGTGTCTAACTTGAAACCCGTGATTCACACCAATACTTCAGATTCCAGCTTAACACAATGGGCTTCCTTCTAATTTTTCCCTTTTCTGGGCCACCATGGCACCCCCTCCTGCATCCCTTCCTGGCACCTGCCTGATATTTTCCCACCTGATGGCTCTAAGCCTGAGTTTCTCAGTAAGGGAAGAGCCGTGGGCAAGAAGCAAGAGGGATGTGATTATGTCTTATGATGACATTTATGTTCTAGTGTGCTAACTTAAGATAGAGCGATATTAACATATTTATAAAGCCTCTTTATATCCTCATAATTGAAAATAATGCAAGTGTCATCAAAATTAAGAAAAAAATGTTTAAGCTGGTGAGCCCCAATGATTGAAAAAAACTGGCTTTATGCTACTGGTTTATGGCAGTACCATGCCATTTGGGAAACAGAAGCACCTGCTGTTTTCTCTAGGCTCAGGTATGGATGCTGGGTGTTGTAAGAGTGTCAGGAGTATGTCCCTGGCTGGGAGATCCACTCTTGTTGAAGTAGCCTGTTTCCCTTGATAGACAGTAGTCCCCAGAGGGCAAGGGACTGTGTCTGATTTATTCAGTACTGTGTCCCCAGGGCTTGGCATATGAAGTAACTGGTGAACATTTGGGGACTTGACCACATCCCACCAAGTGGTTGCCCAGCCTCTCTCTGAAGTCCTCTCCTTTTCCTGTAGTACCTCTTTCTTTTCAGTTGCCCTAGAATCTCCTATCCTTCCTTCCTGCAGTAAGCCTTCCAGGCCCTCACTACCCAGAGGGATCATTCTCCCACAAGTTTCTCAAGCCTTCGGAGAGATTTTATAACCTAGTAGCTAAGACCATCAGCTTTGGAGTTACCAGAGCCACATTGGGTTCCCAGCTCTACCACTGACTAGCCACATGGTCAGGAGCCTGTCCTAGAACCTTTCCCCCCAGTCAGTTTAATGATCTGTAAAATGGAGATAAGAATAATGGCTATCTCATGATTTTTGTGAGGATTAAATGAAACACCATTTTGGAAGTACTTAGGAAGTGGCTGTACATAGTGTTAGCAAAGATGTCAGTGGTGTATAATTACTATATGAGAGTGTATGTGTCATGATTTTATGTAAAGTACAATCCCTTTCCCCAACTTGATGACTTCAAATTGGGATACAGACCTTGTTTCCTACTTCTTGCTTGTATCTAAACCGCCCCCTGACCCAGCATCTACCTGCCCACCTCAGCTTAGTTCAGTGCTTTGCAGCCAGTATTAAATATATGTTGATTTGTCATTGAACAATCGTCCTTCACTCTACGATCCTTCTACCTGTATATCATCTTGCTAATAGAGCAGTTTCCTTCCCTTTTGTCAGAGTGCTGGGGAGGTGCCGATTATTTTTTCCATCCTTTCTTCTTTTTTGATTACGAATCAATATTCTGTATACCATGGTCAGTGTCACAGTCTGCTGCCTCTAGGAAATGTTGTTTTCGTTGCTTTCTCCTTAATGCAGGTGCTATCCTTGGTCCCTATTGTACTCTTAGGCTTTCTGTAGACAAAGAGGTGGCTGCAAATTTGCCCTCTGTTTTTACCCTTTCAGAACTATGACAACAAGCTCCCAGAAGTTTTAAAACACAACACATTGCTGACCTGGTTATCTTGTAGCCCTGGGGGTCTTTATGGTAAGGGCTTTTAGTAACTGGATTGGATTTTGTGAAACCATAGCAGTCTGAGATACAGTGGATAATGAGCCTGCTTGTTCGTGAGATTTTTTTTCTTGTTGTCACCAGAAAAGCAATTTGTTAAAAATAAGCCATGTTCTTTGAAATAATGTCCCCTCACTTCTTAGGGCTGACTTCTCCACTTAATAGGTGAGATCTGCTGGATTGCGTTAATCAACATCTATTCTGTCATTGCTCTGATGATTTTATGTTACGTAGAAATGTATGAAATGAACATTTGCTCTGATGCTTTAGTGCAAAAAGATCTTCCAGGCTTTATGAAATAATCTCTTTCTTAAAGATTTGTAATCCATTATCTTTGTGGTAGAACTGGAAAGGAATGCCAGAGATAGTTCACAGGATTATGTATTGTAAAACAAACAGCATTTAGGAATGTATAACTGGTAGCAGGGGATACAGGAGTAGTTAAGAGCTAGGGCAGTGTTCAGACTTCTGGGTTCAAATCCTGACCCTACCGCTTCTTAAGTAGCTCAGTGACCATGGGTAATTTATTTGTCCTCAGTTTTCTTGCCTGTGAAATGGATTTGATGGTTCAATTTTAGTATCTACCCTTATGGGCTTGTTGTAGGGTATTTGCAAGATGGATGGAATACATAGAATCAGGCATATGGTAAATACTCATTAAATGTATTTTGTTCTTTTTGATCCGTTTTGCCACTTTTATTGTAATCTGTGTTGCAGGGAGAGGGCAGAAATTAAAAATACACCTTTGTAATTATTTAGAATGGTCAACTTCTGTCCAGTTCCTAGAAAGTAGACAAACCTGTACTTAGTATATGTTGCATAGACAGGGGATCCCGTGTCCTACAAAACACACATAGAGCTCGTGTGGAGTAAATGGAACTCATGTACACTGCTGGTGAGAATGGAAAATGGTACAACCTCTTTGGGAAACAGTACGGCAGTTTCTTCCAAAAATTGATCATACACCTATCATGTGTCCCAGCGATTCTACTTGACATTTACCCAAGAGAAATATATAAGCTACATCCTTGCAAAGACTTTCACATGAACGTCAAAGGCAGGCCATTGGATACATGCACTCTTTACCGTAAGCTTTATTTGTAATAACCTCAAACTACACAAATGTCCATCCACATGTGGAAGGATCAAGAAATCATGTTATGTCCATTCAGGGGACTAAGACTAAGCATGAAAGACAAAGACAAATGATCTCTCAGCATATGCAACAAGAGGGATCAATCTCAAAATAATTATGCTAAGTAATGAAGCCAGGCCAAAAAAAAAAAAAAAGAGTGTATACTATAGAGTTCCTTTTAAATAAAATTCTGGAAAAATGCAAACTAATGATAGTGACAGGAAACAGATGAGTGATTGACAGAGGAGAGTGGAAAGCAAGAGTTGAGGGGGACCTGATTTACAAAGAGGCCTGGGAAAACTTTTGAAGCTAATGGCTGTGTTCATCATCGTGATTGTCAGGATTACAGGTGTATACAGATTCTGAAACTTATTTGTGTTCTATAAATATGTACAGTTTATTGTATATAAATTATGACTCAAAAATGAGTGCTTTTAAAAAATCAGGCTTACTGTACAAAAAACCAATAGGTTTTGCTGTGCTGCTGTAGCACAGAATTCATCAGCTGATTTCCATAAACATTTCTGAATCATTTATTAGCTATTTTGTTTTCTTTTGGAACTTGTAGTGATTTATTAGGATTTTGGGAGAACGATATGTCCAAGAGAATTTGAATTAAAAACTTTCTGTCTTCTGATCAAATCCTCTGTGGCAGGTAAGGGATTTTGTAATCACTGCATTGACTTTATAATTAGTCATTACAGCATCAACTATCCTAAAAGTTTTTGTAAACTTTCAATTTTGCTGCTTGTATATCTAAATGGCCCTCTACTCCTTTAAAAAAAATTATAGTTTTCTCACTCTTTCCTCCCTTTCCTTCTTTCTATCCCGCCACCTCTCTGCTCGAAAGAACATTCACTTCTTCGTTGTAAAAGGACTGCGAAGGAAGCCACCTTTTTTGACATGAATAGACTTATAATTAGTGCTAAAATAATTGTAATTTTTATTGAGAAAAGTTAAAACTGAGAATTGTAAAAAGTTTTAACCTAAAACATAGGCATTTACGTTTTGACCTAAAAAATATGTATGTCTTCAACATATGTCTCTGAATGTGTTTCTGATGACTTCTCCACCATCTTTCTGTCCCAATTCACTCCTGTGCTGTGGGGTGTACAGTTTTCAGTTTGAGATGGAGTTTCGCTCTGTGCAGTGGTGCCATCTTGGCTCACTGCAACCCCCGCCTCCCAGGTTCAAGCGATTCTCTAGCCTCAGCCTCCCGAGTTGCTGGGAATATAGGTGCTCACCACCACGCCTGGCTAATTTTTGTGTTTTTAGTAGAGATGGGGTTTCACCATGTTGGCCAGGTTGGTCTCGAACTCCTGACCTCAGGGGATCCGCCTGCCTCGGCTTCCCAAAGTGCTGGGATTGCAGGTGTGAGCCACCACGCCTGGCCTAGTTTGGGGTTCTTTACAGAGAAATGTGAATTTAAAAGATATTTGAAAAGTCATCTGAGAACAGGCTTCTTTATACTTAAAAAAATTCTCTCAATCTATTGACAGATGTCTGGCCCTCACCTAATTTGGCAGTAATTTTCTTTTTTAGCAATGCACACAAAGCATTGTATTGAGTTTTCATAGGAACAGCAACTCTTTCTTTTTGCACTCATACTTCTTTGGCCCATAGCATATTTAAATATGCAATTGTACAATAAATACAACTGGTCTGAACGGGTTTGAGAACACACTACTCTAGCAGGCCTACCATGTAATGGTGGGTGCAGCCCACCCACTCAGGAGTGACTTTTAATTTGGCAAATTGGTTAAGCAGAGCTTGGTTATAAGATAGTCTACTGTATATGCATCTTGTAGGAAATCAAAACACAGCAAACTAGAAACCATTTGTAAAGCCAGATCTTAAAGACAATACAATGTACTCTTAACATTTAGGTAGATTTTCTTTTAGTCTTTTATGTTCATATGCACGTGTGTATGTATGTAGTTTATATCATTTTGTATCCTGCAAACAAAGCAGTGATGGATATCTTGGAACATAAACACTCATGTTTATCTTTATTTATTTCAGTAAATTCCTAGAAATGAAATTTTCAATCAAAGGAGTCTCATCATATTTATGACCCTTGAATAATATTGCCATATTGACTGCCAAAAATATGGTGCCTCTCTGGAGGGGAGTGTGTGGGTTTCTCCATATTTCTTGCCAGCATGGTGAGTGTTCAGACTCCTGCTAAGATGATAGAGAATATCTTGTTTGGATTTGTATTTGGAGGATAACATTTTTTTTTGTATCTGTTTCCTCGCCGTTTGTATTTGTTCTTTTGTGAAATTTTTACTACTGTCCTCTAACAGTTTTGTATCATGATACTTGTTTTATTTTCTTAATAAGCTTTTAAGCTCTAAATGGTGTCTCTTTGGTACATAGTAACCTTTTGTCATTTTCTGTAAAAATATTTTCAAAGTTTATTGCTTATCTTCTGACTTAACTTTACCTTTTCACATTTTCTCTTGTGAAACCTCTTTGTGAGTTCGTCTTGCACTGTTTTTACTTAGACCTTTCCCAGTGTGACTATGATACGATAGTTGGGTTATACGAATGCCCATATGAACACTGTATATGCTCTTATGTCATGTCTGTTTTATTTGTCCTGTAGAGCCCGAGGATGTAATCATTTTTGGCTTTATAAGTTGGTATTACTGTCTGGCAAACAAGTTTCCATCTTTTCAACATTTTCTTTACTATTTTCCATACATTTTCTTCTTCTTTTTTCATGTTTTGAGAGACAGGGTCTTGCCCTGTCACCCAGTCAGGAATGTGGTGGTGTGATCATGAATCGCTGCAGCCTCAACCTCCTCGCCTCAAGTGATCCTTCTGCCTCAGCCTCCCAATGTGCTGAGATCACAGGCATGTACCACTGCACCTAGCCTATTTTCTTCTGAAATAAATATCTCTAGATGGAATGTAGCCTAGGCTCCTAGTCATGGTGTGAGTTTCTCCCCAGCTTTTGTATTCAGTGGGTAATTTCACTGGGAACCTCATGTGGAGTCAGAGAGCCTTTGCTGTCTCATCTGGACATTTGTCTCTTTGCTTCTTAACATCATTATATTCAACCTTTACTTTAAAAAAGTGTTTTTGCTACTGCTTTTTAAAAACCTAGTTTGAATTGCCTTGTTAGTCTCTTATTAGAAAGCACTTGATAAATAATAATTACTTTCTTAAATGAGCAGTGCAGAGATTACATGTTCCTGCCTGTGACTGGTGTGATCCTTCCCATCTGGCCTGGCTATGACAGAGTGGAAGGTGGTGTCTGCATGCGTGTCTTCTTGCAGGATTTTCTAATAGCTCTAATAGAAAAGGAGAGACTGCCATGCAATGCACATGTCTGTAAAACATCCCTGTTGGGGTTTGGAGTTGAATGCAGGGTTTCATGGAGCTCGGATTGTTTGGACTGTCCGTTAAAAATCACAGTGCTAGGCATTCTCAGGAGTGGGGTCAGTTGCTTTCTTTTTTGCCTGTCATCTTTATGCATTTGCAGAAATTGTACAGCAGCTGACACATGTCCAAGCAGAAGGCAGAAGTTAGCTAGGCCATGTCTGTTTTGTCACCTCTGTGTTATGGGTGAGACTAGAGGGTCTGCCTGAAGATGACCACAGTGACTTTGGCATGGGCTGCTCCTGGAACCATTCCTTGGATTCCTTGGTGATCACTTTCTGGTTTTGGCATCTCAGTCTGGCCCAGTGATACTGATGTTTTACATTCCTAATCTGTCATGGCAAGGCACTCACCTATCCTTGTTTGCACATTTATAGGGAGCTATTAGCAGACAAGAAACACGACTGTAACAGAAGCGGGGGGTACACTGGCCACTGTCACCCCCTTTCTCCAGCCTCTCTGAGCTCCCTGTGTTGGTGGTCACCACCCTGATCAGAGATGCCATCTCACAAGGCCTCATCCCCGCTTTCACCCTGCACCTCTGACTGCTAAATCAGGTGCCGTGACAGCATCTGTCTGTTTGAAGTGTCTGCTACACTGAATGGCTCTCTTTTGGAGTTTCTGTTCTTTTTGCTTGTCTTGAACTTCTAAATCAAATGCATAGAGGAGAAGGATGTTAGTGCTGAAGATGTAAAAGGAGGAATTTTCACCTTCTGATATTTAGGAGAAACATACTCTGTTGTATTTAAATTATGAAACCGGAAGCAGAACTGTAGTCTTCCAGTTAAAAAGTCCTTTCTGAAAAGAAAGAAGACTCTTGAAGGAAGCTGAGTTATCCAAGTGATTCATCATTCAGGCAATTCTTTTTTTTTTTTTTTTTGTAGAGACAGAATCTCACTATGTTGCCTGGGTTGGTCTCGAACTTCTGGGCTCAAATGATCCTCCCGCCTTGGCCTCTCAACGTGTTGAGATTACAGGCAAGAGCCACCATGCCCAGTGCCTCAGGCAATTCTTGAGATATGTGTTTGGTTTCTTCAATAACAGCCAGGTGGATCATAGTGGCCCAAGACCCTAGGAAATATTTTTAGTGTTACATGTAATTTGGAATTTAGTTTGAACATTTTCTCCTATTCTTTCATCCATTTTTGTTTAGGTATTCTGTTCAACTTCAGTGACTGTTTTCTGGTACAAGATTTGTAATGTTATTTTTACCTAATTCTTCTTTTCCCACTCCACACTCTTCCACGACAGAAAGTCTGCCTGGCGGAGGACACCTGCACTTGTTACCCTGAGTTGATTCCTGAAACTTCGGACCCCTGGGTATTAACAGAGGACTCAGTGGGAGCTCCTGGTCAGAGGACTTGGATGTTGTCATTGTGAGTTGTTTGTATGTTAAAGGTCTTCTGCGTGTGTTTTGGGGAGGTGATCATGACACACAGATTTCCACTAAAGCTCTGGGTACCAGCTAGGTACACTAATACACTGATGAGGGCCTGCGTCTCTGTCCATCCCCTGGAGGAAGGAATGACAGAGTCAGCAGAGCTGAGTGAGTCAGACCTTTGATGATTTCCTTCTTAAAAATGCTTTTTGTTACTATGAAGGTGGTTGATTCCTCAAGCCTAGAGAATTTGCAGATGTGTAAGGGTTTTCTGAAGCTCTCCAGTTTGTTTCTCCTGATGTGTAGGTTTTTAGAGTGAAATATTGTACTGGAGATGTTGAAAACCTTTTCTGGCTTTAAGTGTACAGAACAAAGGTTCAGTTAGAAAATGTGCATTGTTAAAATGGCTTTCCTTCTTGAGTTGCTGTTAATGTTATAAACTAAACTCACACCATATAAACTAGTTTACGGGACTGAATACTTGTGCCTTTCATTTTTGCAGAATAAGCTGGAAAGCAAATCAGCATTTCTGTCTGTGGCCTATACTATGCCCTGTTTTCTGTTCTTAGTTTGGATTAATTTATGTTTCTTGGATGCTGAGATGTTTGATTTTTTTTTTTTAACTGAGCATAGCAATGAATCTAGGTTTGTTTGTTTTTTCTCAAAACAGTATATGTTGGCTAGAAATCTTTCTTGGATTGGAGGTGAAAGGAGGGAGGCAGTATGCATGTTTTTTCTGAAAAATGCCATTTACTTTCCATGTTTGGCTCTGATGACACAGCTCTGCTCTGTTAGAGAAGAGTGAGGCGCTGGAGAAGCTGCTGGAGTGGGCGTGCCCATTCTCATAGCGCACCTCCAGTTTCTCTCCTTAGAGGAGCTGGCCCACATGCTCCATCCTCCAGTTTGTGAGAGCTATATAGATGGCATTCTGCATCTTGATAATTCTACAGAAAGTATTTTTAAATCAAGAGAATTCTTGTCATAAGAGTTGCACTCGATTTTTCATTAACAACTGTAGTGGGTTGAATAGTGTGACCCACCTGCCCCCCTGCCAAAATTGTGTCTATCTAAAACCTCAGAATGTGACCTTATTTGGAAATAGTTTTTGCAGATGTAACTAGTTAAGAATGGAGATAAGATCATACTGGATTAGGGTGGGCCCTGAATCTGATGACTGGCGTCCTTGTAGGAAGAGGAGAGGCCACACAAACACATAGAGGAGAATGGCATGTGAAGATGGAGCCCCCCAGAAGCTGAAAGGAGAAAGGAAGTATTCTTCTAGAGCCTTGGAGGGTAGCGTGTTCCCACTGAAACCTGGATTTCAGCCTTCTGGCATCTGTAGCTACGAGAGAACAAATTCCTATTGTTTTAGGACACCAAGTTTGTGGTCATTTTTTTTAGCTCTGGGGTACTAATGTAACAACCAGCCCAAAATGGCAGAGATTGAAGGTCTATCTCCCATTGACCTTCAGCTTTAGGTATCCTCAGTTTATCTAGGTTTTATTTTTATTTTTAGAGATGGAGGTCTTGCTCTGTTGCCCAGGCTAGAATGCAGTGGCCTGCTTATGGCTCACTTCAGACTCAAACTCTTAGGCTCAAGCAATCCTCCCACCTCAGCTTCTTGAGTAGCTGGGACTACAGCTGGGTTCCACCACACCGGCTATTTTTTTTATTTTTATTTTTTGTAGAGACAGGGTCTTACTATATTGCCGAGGCTAATCTCAAACCCCTGGCCTCAGTTAAT
Source organism: Homo sapiens (assembly GCF_000001405.40). Lineage (NCBI taxonomy): Eukaryota > Metazoa > Chordata > Mammalia > Primates > Hominidae > Homo > Homo sapiens. The sequence continues at coordinate 62,620,222 of NC_000015.10, forward strand.
CTTTATCGAGGTTTTAAACTGCAATGTTTATAATCAGTGCAGTAAAAATTTCCGTGTGCAAAATGTTCCTGTGTCTGGTGCACCTTTCATTTTAATTTGGCCAATATATAAGCAAATTTACCAGCATCCTATACCACTGGAAGAAGTTTTCCGTGAAAAACTTAATCTGAACCTTTGGAAATGGCCTGCCTACTGCTTTTGTTGTTGTCCAAGTGAATTCATTCATACTCTCTTTCTCTCTCTCTCCCTCCCTCCCCGCCCCACACCCTTTTCTTTCTTTCTTTTTTTTTTCTGTTGCCTAAGCTGGAGCGCAGTGGCATGAACACAGCTCGCTGTAGCCTCAACCTCCTGGGCTCAAGCAATCCTCCTACCTCAGCCTCCCTAATAGCGGGCACTACAGGAGTGTGCCACCATGCCTGGCTAATTTTGTAAAATTTTTTTGTAGGGATGAGATTTTGCTATGTTGCCCAGGTTGGTCTCAAACTCGTGGGCTCAAGCGATCCTCCCACCTTGGCCTCCCAAAGTGCTGGAATTATAGATGTGAGCCACCACACCCAGCCCCAAAGTGAATTTTCAGATTCCTGAAACCTGCTTCTTTTTTTTTTCTTTCTTTTTCTTTTTTTTTTTTTTTTTTTTTCTGAGACGGAGTCTCTGTCGCCCAGGCTGGAGTGCAGTGGCACAATCTCAGCTCACTGCAAGCTCCACCTCCCGGGTTCACACTGTTCTCCTGCCTCAGCCTCCAGAGTAGCTGGGACTGCAGGCGCCCGCCACCACGCCCGGCTAATTTTTTTATATTTTTAGTAGAGACGGGGTTTCACCATGTTAGCCAGGATGGTCTCGATCTCCTGACCTTGTGATCCGCCCACCTCGGCCTCCCAAAGTGCTGGGATTACAGGTGTGAGCCACTGTGCCCGGCCAAAACCTGCTTCTTATATAGCACCTTGGGACTTAAGGAATGAACTGTGTCTCTGAAGTATTATATTTATTTGTTTACCTTTGTCAGCACTCAAGGATTCAGGTTAGAGCATCAACAAAGTTGAAAACCCTGCAAAGGATGCAGGGTGATATTGTATGGCTGTGTCCTTTGGAAAGTTTACTGGGAAACATAGCATTTGGGGCACAATATGCTAGTTCACACTATTAGGGTGAATAGAAGGTAAAGTCGATACACAGATACTGAGAGCAAGAAAAAGAGCATCTTTCAAATGAGAAATGATTCTCTTGGTCAATAGAGATAAATATACAGTATCTTGGTGGCATTGATTCAGGCCCTCCAACTTTGTGCCCCCAGCCCTGTATTCTCAAATGTGTACTAGAAGTTTAAATCCAGAGAAGTTCAGGTCCTCATGCTGTGAAACTCAATCGTGCAGCAGTGATATTTTCATATGAAGGGGTGGCAGAGGTACTTATATGTTTGAGAAATGTTACTGAGCTCCTGCAGTCTTGCACTTCAATGTGATGTTATTTGCCTAGATTTCTTGGAACAGGGTCCCTCTTATTTGCTGCGAAGAGCTCCCTTATGGCGGGATTGGCCCAATATAAATGGAACATCATTACTTCAGAGTAGTTACTAGTAGCTCTTGCATTAGCAGGTACTAAAAAGGAATGGCAAAATGTGGGAGATTTTTCCTCACAGAATTGCTAGCTAATTCTACCAAAGGGTCCTCCCAACACAGATGGCCTCAGGACCTCAGGACATAAAACCAGTTTGGAATGGAGAATCACTCTGCTAGTGTAGATGTCAGTTGTGCACATTTAGGAAAATCTTGCTGGTATCCAGTAGAAAAAAACATGCTTTCCCATCCTTCCCCGGCAGTGCCATGTATGAGCCAGGCTTTTCTTGGCCTAAAGGACTAAGCTGGGGGGTGGGGGGTGTGTTTGCAAAGGGAAACATTACCAGTTTGATTTACTCTTCAGAGTAATCCTATGCTTTGTAGGCCTTGGTATTATTAATGTGCAAATTATTATTAGTCTTAATTTGGAGACTGAGGATCAGAAAATTAAAACGACTCACTCCAGGTGATACAATGAGATAATTAGTAGAACCTTCTGAGGTACAAAAGGAAAGAAGTGGAAAAGGGTGTGAGTGTGTGTGTGTATCTGTAAAAGTTGGGGATTTTGTGGGGGATGGTTTCTGCTTTCAGCCATGTAATTGCAAATTTGGAGGGACTCCTGTTCCAGACAAGTGGGGGAATACCCAGCACCCAATATCCATTCAGTCCATTCTGTAGGGTGGAAACTGATGTGTGATCTGTCCTGTTATGTATTAAGCACTTGCCCCTTGATAATCATGAAGGGGACACAGAGACAGCCATGACTCTCCTCTCTGCCCTGATACAACTTACTGTAATTAATAATATGGATTAAATAATTTTTTTACATGTATTTACTGAAAAATTTTATGTATCCTGTTCATAATTTTAAAAATGCAGATGTGGCATTTTGTAATCTGTCTTACACATACATTCACTGAGTTAAATTGCCTTATTCTTATTATTTAATATATACATTGATTTTGTTTTGTTTTGTGCTTGAGTCAGTGATAAAAGAGGGAAAAGCTTCCTTGGTCCTGCACTGTGTCATGGACACTCCAACTTTATCTTAATAAAATAAGATGGAGTTTGGGTTTCTCTTGGGCCAGTTCTGTATCTGTAATAACACTCTAAGCTGTCGACATAACATCCATCACTGCCCAGACCAATTGCTCAGAGCCCATCGATGTTGCCCATCATCTGTCTGTGTGCCCTGCACAGCTGGCCCTGAGTGCCAGCCTGTCTTTCTTACTCCAGCTGACAGGGCTAATCAGGGTGATCAACGTGGCCTCCAGTCCTCATGGTGTAGTCACTAAGTGGATTTACTTTGCTTAATATCCATATGGAGTAACTGAATGGGCAGTGGAGATTTTAACTAAGTCCTGTGCTGGTTAATCTGTGCGGGAGTGGAAAAGAATGAAACATTACTGTATCCGTATAAACAAAAGCTCTTTGGGACTGCACATCCTAAACCAAGTGTGTGTTTATAGAAAGTGTAGCACTTTAGAATTATTCTTCAGATGATTGTCTACGGCTAAGCATGAAGGGAACTATTGGTTTGACAAATGCAGGAAATCATTTGTTCTATTTTCGCTGAAAATCTCACAGGTCATAAGTCAAAGAGAAAGGTAGTATCTTTTACATAGCTGATCCAGTGATCTAGTGATGGTTCCATCTACCAAAACCAACTTACATTCATGAGCATACTTTTGCAGTATTGCTGAGATAATGATTCTAAGTTCACTCTGTGGTTCTTATATGAAATCCTAGACCTTTATGGAATGAGAATGCATCGTACCTAAATTAAAGTTTAAATTGTAGCTAATCTATGTCAACACCAACTGAGATCGCCATTTGGTGTTGACAGTATTCCTGGAATTACTGTTAACATTTATTTTGCCCAAAACTCAAAACATACATTTCCTTCTAATCCTTTGTTTCTTGGCAAGTTGACCATTATCAGGCAGTTTTCCACTTGATCCAGAACCTATTTCCCTTTGGTTTTACTGTTTCTTTTAGGTTTATGTATTTCATTTGGAGATGAGAATAAGTCCGGTGAGATAGCAAAATATGAGAGAAAGGCATATGGACTCTTGGTTTTGGAAGATTAGTTGATTTGTCATTCCACTGAGGATTGACCCATCAAACTCACTGCTGATGTCACATCTGCCTTTAGTTGGTTTTTTGCTTTAGGTATTACTGTACTTTTTCCTTTGCTGTCAATCACATGATGGCTAGGATTCAGGATTTTCACTGTATCCTTAACTACAGAGGAGCACAGGGGATCCAATACCTCACATGGGCCTGAGGATGGACCTGCTCCAAGTGGTTTGATAATAGAGCTACACGTGAGTTTTGTATTCCACTCAGAAATAATATATTAGTGTTGTTTTTAAATGGCCAAATTAACTCTAACCTTCATTAGATCCAGGAAGATCCATGCTGTTTGGCTTGCACCTTTGCAGGCTCTTTGCATGTGGTCACATTTTTTCATATTTGTACCAAGTTTTAGAAAATTAGTCTTAGCTGGCTTGCAATATTATTTTTCTGATGGATTTAAAAGTTATGTATTACTGCCAGAAGTTCCCTGCTTCTCAGCTGATAGAGTAAACCTCCACTGCCCTTCCGACTGAATCCCATCCTAGGTCCCTACAGAAGGACGGAGTGTTCTGTCCCTGGGAAGCCTTGAAGTGGGAAGGTCTCATAGGTGATAGGACGCATGAATGTGCTGTTTTACAGCTTTGTTTCAGAAGCTTCATCATTCATTGTTGACATTGAAAGGCATAAGATTTTCTCTTTTAGGTGCAGATAGGAAAGAAAATATCACAGAAGAGCAGAGAAGGAAGAAATAGATAAGCTTTGATGGTTTTCCTCTGCTTGTCAGGTTGTCTTAACACATTTCTCTTAAAAGCACTGGAGTGCTGAGTTAATTCCTCAGTAGTCCATTCTGTGATGTCAAAGGGGTGTGGGGGTGTCTGCATGTGTGTACGCACACAATTACGTACATAAGCACATGATGGCAGTAAGGGCAAAGAGAGTCTTGCTTTAAAAAGTAGGGTTAAAGACTGGTAACACCACGTCAATGTGACAGCTACTGACCAAATAAGAAAAAAACAATGCAGCTAAGAACGATTAAGCCTGTCTTAATCAGAGGCTATTGCCTTGGTTCGCTGGAGCATGGTGACCTAAAAGCTACTTGTACCAATAATGTCTTAGATTGCTTTCACTTTCTCTTTTTTAATTTTTATTTTTTGGCTGCCTGAAGGGAATATTGTTGTGCTTTCAGGATGACTGGAGGATTCAGGGGTGTGTGTTATTGTGCTGGAAGTCAAGGCTGATGTGAGCGTATTGGTGGGGGAAGTAGCGTGAGGACCCATCTGCAAATGTTGCTTGCATCTTGCAAACCACACAGAACTGTGGGGCTTGGTTCTTCACTACTGAATGTGCACATGGGGCTTCAGACTATGACTCAGGCCCATGACCTACTTTTCTGGTTACTCAAGGCTGAATGAACCCTTTAGGAAAGCTTGGCCAAGATGGAGTCATCTTGATCACCCCTGGAACCTTTCAATGCTGTGGCCTGTTGTGGAGTCCCCTCCACTAGGGTATGGTTGGGCTCTGCTGGCTGCAGTGTAAGCTGAGGATTTTTTTAGTATCAGAGACCAAATTAATTCATCCTTGTAATTGAATTAAAGGTAAGAAGGCATAGGCTGTGGTTACAGCAAGAAATATGGGGAAATGCCCTCTGCTACGAGATGGTCTTGGAGGTTTCTGCATCCATGCTGTTAGAACACGATGCTGCTCCAGAGCCAAGAGGAAGCCAGCAGCAGCTGGGAACAGTTAGGCTACTGCACGCAGGCGAGGGCTGGGGGAGGACGGGAACTCCCGCAGCATATGTGTTGGGGGCTGAGGGTGAAGCATGGGTTGATGCCGATGGGCAGAGTGGAATTTTAAATGGAACCACCTGTCTTTTTAGAGAATAAGACTCTCTCAAATCCAGGCAATTCTGGGCTTCTGTGTTGCCAGCCTGGCTTTCAGACTGTGCTCTGGTGATGTCGTTTCGCTGGAGAGGGCAGAGATCTGAGTGGGCAGAGTGGGCAGATGGGAATGGATGCTGAAGGAAGGACTGTAGGGCCCACTCCTGTGTGAGTGTGCAATAGAGGGGGACTGGGGATGTCTAGGCTGTAGGTGGGGTAGGGCCTGAGTTCCCCATGAAATCTGTCCTCAAACACTAGGCAGATGCCACCTTCTTCCATGGGTCAAAGGGCAAGTTTGAGAGAGTCTTCCTATACCCTTGACTTCCAGCCATTCATCTTAATGACTTGCAAGCATTAGGGATTATGGCACACATAACGATATACATGACAGATTAGCAAATATAGGTACATAGAAGACATTTTAACAGGAGCTGGTCTTGCATTTGAGGCTTTTTAAATTGTTGACTTTCAAATGATTTTATAGGTCACCAATTCTATCTTGTATTTTCTGGAGTTGTGTTCTCTGTGCTTAGGAAAATATAAACAATTATGTTTGTTGCTTTTCATCCAGTTGAACAAACAAAATAAAAACCAAAAGTAGGTATTTCAGGTTCATTTTGCCTGGAATAATCGCATAAATAGTTCACTGACATCTGACAGTATGTGATCTCTTGCTCCCTGGAATATTATAGTCAAAGATTCAGGTGGGCCAAAGCACTACTGACTTGAATATGGAAAATGAATTAACATGCTCACTACCGCCCTTCATTATTTTCTTCTCTAATTGTAATTATATCCTCAATCCTTTGAAGCAATTGAACATAAGAACCTGAGACTGAAGTTTGCATTTTCCCTGATCTGGGCAAGTCAGCGACAAGGATGTGCACCTAGACATGATGGCATGGGCTGCTAGAAGGCCACTCTGACATCACCTGGTCCTCACCATTTAGTTCACAAAGGAGGAACGTGAGACTCAGAGATGATAAATGCCTTGTCCAAGGACACACAGCTCTTATTAAGGGCCCATTTATTGCTACTTGGGAGGCTACAAAAGTAAGCTTTTAGTTAGATCAGATATCTGTGTCTACTGGTGTGAGGTTGACATATGGATGAAACTGAAGATGGCATAAATTGTGTTTGCTGGATGGTGGACACAGAGGGAAGAAACTTGAGGAGTGTAGGGTTAGTTGTAGCGCAAGGACGAATACCAAGGTGTTTCCTCTTGGCAGATATCCAGTTACATTAACATAAGTATTTTAAACTCTGCTCCGCTAAAATAGGATTGTGGATATATTGCTGGGGTTGCAAGGAAGGGCTAAGGTAAGTGCTCATGATAAAAGAATCAAGGAACATCTTGCTTTTTGCTTGCTTGTGCTGGCCACGCCTTTATTACACATGCCTTTTAAAATTTCATCATCACTGAAGGCTAATGCAGTTCTAGTAGTTAGGCCATTTTGTTTCTTGGCAAAAGAGAATTCTTAAGGGGATGATCCATCCTCTTGGATGTGCAGGAAGGAAGGTAGATATTAAATTTTCTATATTGTTGTGCCTTTTGGTAGGGTGGAACTATACCCAAGCACCTCAGTTGCTTTCATCAGGAGATGAAGTGATAGGTGTTCCCTTTCTGTCTTGCTGTCTTTGTTGCTCCTGATGGAGGGAGTTGGTGAATTTTGGGGGCTAGCCAAAGAGGGAATTAGGTAAGTATAATCTTTATTTGTGTTTTTTACCTTATATTCAGAATGGTAACATTTAACAGTTGTAATTATCCTTGAAATAAGCAGAGATTCATCATATACAGAATTATCTTGTGAAATGTTGATTTGTGCTTCCTAGAGGCTAACACAGAAATTGAACTGCTGTGTGTGAGACACATTATTTTAAAAGTCGAAAGAGCAATACTACATGCAGGCTGAGGGTTTTTTCTCTTAGCCATACTAGAATTACCTGTATTTATTTGAGTTTTAAAAATTGATTATTATGCCGTTACATCATTAGGATCAAGTATGTTAATTTTCTTTACGTTTTCTAATTTCCCTAAATTTTCCTTTTTTTTCTTTAAGAAAGCATCTTGTTAAAACTTCCAGAATTAGTGATTTTTATTAGGCAATTTTGGGCTCGTTTTACTCTCTTAATTCTTTCCAGGTGGGGCTCATGTTCTGTTTCCTTTGCCTGTGTCATGTGCAGTTTTAGCATTGGAATTTAATCCATGAAGATTCTAATTATGCTATGAATTTCATTTTCAATAGAGAAAATTACAAAAAGGGCAAAATCACACAGGAACTGTCAACATGGGAAGCAAACATTCTCGTTTTCTAGAGTCCCAATATAGAAATCAGACTTTCATAATTGTGTTGACATACATAGGTTCTTTAACTGAGAAGTCTAAGATTACCAGTAATGCTAATTGATGGTTATTGCTCAATTTAAATCTCATATTGCAGTTACTTAGTCTTGGTAACAAGGTGTGGACTATAATTTTTCTCCTTTACTAGTAACTCACTGTGTAATTCTGGGGTAAGGCTAAAATGGTTGTAGTTTTGAAACTATTCATGTACCTATGGGGGCTTCCCTGCCCTTTTAAAGCAGCAGATTCAGATTTCACGGTGTAGGCATCCCAGGGTGACTTGCATAGGCAAAACCCCAATTTACACAATGCAAATTACACAGGAGCAAAAGTGTAATAATACTAAATACTTAGAACATCATATATAGTAGGACTTCCATAACGTTTTGTTGAATTAAGTGGAATTATTGTAAACATGTATGAATTACAGTAGAGATTATATGCTTTTTCTAAGCCCATGCTAAAATAAAGACATTTTTCATAGAAAGATCTATATTTTCAGTCTCCATTTTTGACCCTCATAATTAAGATCTAGGATTAGAAGAAGGGGTGAGCATTCCTGTGTACAAAGCATGGAAAGACAATCCAGTTAATGAGATCACGCACTGGAGCAGAAGGTTGCATATTGCTGGCAAAACCGGAGCAGACAGTCCTGGCAACCTTATGGGATTTGGTCACAAAATGATACTGCCCTGTACCTTCTTCCACTCTAGGAATTCCCTGTCCTGATATCTGCAAAGTTTTCCCAGATGATCCTGGAGACTTAACCTATTTGACAGCATAATTCCCAGTTTTCTATTTTATTTATCAGAAAATTTGATAGTGGTGCTGGGCACAGTGTCTCTCACCTGTAATCCCAGCACTCTGGGAGGCCAAGGTGGGAGGTACGAGGCAGGAGGATTGCTTGAGCCCAGGAGTTTGCGACCAGCCTGGACAATGTAGTGAGATCCTGTCTCTAAAAAAAATTTAAAAATTAGCTTGGCATAGTAGCACATACCTGTAGTCCCAGTTACTTGGGAGGCAGAGGTGGGAGGATTGCTTGAGCCCACTTGAGGCTGCAGTGAGCCATGATCACGCCACCACACTCCAGCCTGGGCCACAGAGTGAGACCCTGTTTCAAAAATAAAAAATAAAAAAGGAAATTTTGGTGGTAGACTTCATTTAGGCTCTGCCACTTCCTTGGTGTCACCAGCTTTTTGTGACCTTGGATGGAGTAAATGAGATAAACATTGTGTGTCTGGCACATAATGTGTGATCAGTACATGGTGATATCATTTCTCTGTGAGATAGTGCTTCCATGTCAGCCATCTGTGACAGTTCCCCAGGTTATACCGATTCCAACTTCATGCTTTTCCTAAGAGAAGAACCCTAGGCTGAGCTTCGGGAGGTGTCTTGGTGTTACCTACTGTGAATTTTGTTTTTAAAGCTTTTTATTTTTGACCTGCCCTTTTGTGTTGATGTCTGTTAGTTTTGTGTGCTTTTCCCCCAAATGAGGTATTTTCCAAAGTTGTCCTGACATTCCAAGGTAGGGCCGTATAAGGCTAAGCCATGAGCCCTTGGAGGATAGCAGTTTTATTTTGTTTGCAAGAGTGTGACTCAAAACATGTGTCAGTAAAATGTTAGTTCCCTTTAGAATAATTGATATACTGATTTTACATATTTTCTGCTCATCTTTCAAAGTGTATGTTTTTGAGTACATTTTGTTTTTGGGACCCAACAAAAGGCAAATATTAAATTATTTTAAAATAAGTAGGGTAAAGCCCCAGGCAGCAGTTAAAATTGAGAGTCCTAATACATTGAAGCTTTGTGAAAATCCCTTAGAAAATACATGAGCATTTTAAAGGTAATTGAGGGCACCATAGATCATTTTAACATCCTTTTCCCATTGTTCTTAATCTAGAGAATCTCTTCTATGTCTTTAAAGTCAGGAAATTATCTTTTTTTGTTTCTTTGGTGGGGTTATTTTCAGTTGTGTCGTGTATATAACGAGCTGCCAGAATGATCATTAGTAACACTGTAAAATCACATCTACTGTCACAGGTAGCCTTTCTGTAACTATTGGAAAAACTGGAAATATGGCACCAACTAATCATCATTTTTGCTTATTAGTAGGTTGACTATCACTTGGAAAGAGGACAGGTCATTTAGGTAAAGCCAGATTTTAGGTATCAGAAGAGAGATCCAGAAAACAGACTTGGGTTTTAGACTAGATGACTTCTAAGGTACTTACCTTCCTTAAAAGTTGTCTAGGCTAAAACCCGGTGAGAAAGTTGAGGAGGGCCACTCAGACATTTTTGGTGCTGAATGAGGACTTGACTCCCTGATATTTTTGCTTTTAAATACATCCCACTCTGTTCCCACTGGCCCTGCGGTCATACTGGTGGGACTTAGCCCTAAGAGAGCACATAACTCAGAGGAGGAGAAGTGCCACAGACGTCGGGATCTCATCACAGAGGAAGGTCTGTGAGCAGCCATTCTCCAGCAGTCCGAGGCCAGGTTTGTTTTGACATTGATTTTTTTTATTTCTGTTACTGCTCTCTGGAGGTATATCACAACAAGATTTAATGAATGTTTTTTGGTCTGCGTTTATTTGATGCATGACCTGGTGATTTGAGTTCCACCGTTACCTTTTTTTTTTGGCTTTCTGATTATGTACCACATAACTAAATCAATAAAGAAGAGAATGGAGAAACAGCTCTGTTTAACATTTCAGGGGTGATGGAGTAATGCTGTCTATAAATATTTATATTTTTCTGAGAAGATGTCTTTTTCTTTTTGACATTCAGACGAGTTCACCAAGAGATTCATCACTAAAGAGAGGGGGAGGAGTGTGAAGGGGGAATGAAAAGACATCTTCCCCCCAGTAAATTTCTAGATGTCTTTCGAAAGATAAATAGAAAAGAAAACTTAAAAGATTTTTTCATTTGAATAAGCCATTTTTTTTTCTAAGGCATTGAAATGCTTAGCTAGCCTTTTCTCACCCAGGATAGTAACAATCAGGGGAATATGGATATATAACCAAAGGATCCCCAAAAGCAAAATAGACTCTGTTGGCTTGCAGCTTCCTATGAGTTCCGCAGCTTCTCATACCTCCCAGGTTGCAGTCTCTCTCTCTCCTTTCTGCCTCCTCTCCTTGTCTTGACTTCAGCCTTGTCAGAGCCAAATCACTTCCTAAAGGCCCCACCTCTTAATACTGTTGTATTGGGGATTAAGTTTCAACATGAATTTTGGAGAAGACACATGCAAACCGTAATAGAGGAAGCTTGCTCAGTGGATTCCTAAGTCAAGATGCCTTCTCTTCTCTAGCACAAATAATCACTCATCCATTATTTTTTCAGGTTTGATAGTTTTCTTCCTTTCTTCCTTTCTTCCTTCCTTTCTCTTTCTTTCTCTCTCTCTTCCTCTTTTCTTTCTTTCTTTCTTCCTCTTTTCTTTCTTTCTTTCTTCCTTTCCTTTCCTTTCCTTTCCTTTCCATTCCTTTCCTTTCCTTTCCTTTCCTTTCTTTCTCTCTCTTCTTTCACTCTCTCTCTCTCCCTCTCCCTTCCCTCCTCCCTCCCTTTCTTTCTCTTTCTTTCCTTCTTTTTCTTTCTTTCTCTTTCCTCCTCTCTTTCTGTCTTTCTTTCTTTCTCTCCCTCCCTCCCTCCCTCCTCCCGCTTTTTCTTCTTTCTCTCTTTTCTTTTTGTTTTTTGGTATAGACGGGGTCTCCCTATGTTTCCCAAGCTGTTGAATTCCTGGGCTCAAACCATCCTCGTGCCTTGGCTTCCCAAAGTGCTGGGATTATGGGCATGAGCCACCATGCCCGGCCTTGATAGTTTTATAGTGAGGTATTTTTTAATAGTCTCCTCTCTATAGATGATGATAAAATCTGTCAACCTCAGTTTCATCAGGAGCTGTGGTGATGTGCGAGCCCACAAGGATCACAGTAGGTACAGCCATTGGACCACCGGTAAGAGAGTGGCTCCAAAGTCTCTGTGGGCACTAGTTAGAAGTTATGTGTGCTCCCCCCGAATCTTTCATACAAACTTATTGTCACAGCTTTCTAGACAGCCCCAGCGCCTGCTTAGAGGCAGTCAATGATAATAAGTAGTTAACGGAGTACATAGTCTCATTCTGGGGACTAGTGCCCCTGTGGGGCGTGGCATTAAAGTTGAGCAGCTCTTGCTTGTGCTGGAGGCCATTTCTGTTCTGACTAAATCTCACCTGCTTAGGTCTTGTCTGGAAAGGTCGAGAAGGCCCCAGAATAATCTTGGAGCCCTTCAGGAACCTCAAGGACTCCTAACGACCTGAACCCTTAGAGGTGTGACTTCATCCTCGAATCACTTAGATGTTGGAAGGACTTTAGTGATCAGAGTGACCTAGGCTCTTATTCCAGACTTGTCACCCTGTACTGCTTGCTACTGTCCTCCCCGAGCCCTGTGGAAGCTCTTGGAGGGCAAGGCAGGACTCCTCTCTCACAGGCAGCAGCTGATCTACTACATGGCACCCGCCAACTCTCAGTGAGAGTTGCTGTGAGAGTTTAAGCCACATAAATGCAAGACCAGCCTTATTCCATCTTGTTTATTCCCTGAAGTAATCAGCACAGTATCTTGTGCATTATAGGTTATTGATAAATGGATGTAGATTGACCTGTATCCTTCCCCTAGGCTCAGAATCTGAACCTTATCCTCTATATCCACAAAATACTGTGTCCTAGATATTTATGTCTGCATTTCGAGGTGGTTGTGCAGAATGTGGAGGGAGACTCCACAAATCTGCCTCCCATCCCTTTTTATATGATGGAGGAGCGAACTGACAAGGAAAAACACCATTTGGTTTCATCTGTATTAGAGTAACCGAAAGTGGGCTTGTGTTGCTGTTGAATTTATTTATTTTAATTCCAGTATAACAAAAGCCAAAATAAAACAAACAACAAACAAAGTATAATTCTGCCACTCTAACAAAATGCTAACATAGTCTCTTCCCTACTTGGCTGGAAGCACCCTAAATTCTATGTAGCATCAATCATATCCTATTCTCACAGATATTTTTCACAGTGCCATGTAGTTAATTTTGTTAGGTGGTGCAGCACGGTGGTATTATAGCAAGGCACGGGCCCTGGAGGCAGATATGCCCTGGTTAGAGTCCTGCTCCTGTCACTTGCTAGCTTTGTGACCTTGGGCATAATGTATACATATGCATATGCCTATGCCCTTGCCTACACCAGCACCTGCATCTATGCTTATATTTGTTTATTTGTTTTGGAGATGGTGTCTTGCTCTGTTACTCAGGCTGCAGTACGGTGATGTGATCATAGCTCACTACAGCCTTGAACTCCTGAGCTTAAACCGTCCTCCTACCTTAGGCCCCTGAGTAGCTAGGACTGCAGGTGCACACCACCATGCCCAGCTAGTTTTTATATTTAAAAAATTTGTGTAGAGACAGAGTCTTGCTATGTTGCCCAGGCTGGTCTCGAACTCCTGGACTCAAGCAATCCTCCCACCCCAGCCTTTGAGTCAATGGGATTTTAGGCGTGAGGCCCAGCTATGCCTCTGTTTACATATTCACACACGTTTATAATTATTCTACTGATTACCACTTACATTTAACTGTACTATTTGCTATTTTGTGTCAAAAGAACTATATTTAGGCTTACTGCACTTATTAATATCCTAATTGGGCCTGTATTTAGCCTGGCTAAATGGATTAATTTGCCGGGGCTGTCCCCTAACAAAATACCACTAACTGGGTGGCTTAAATAACAAAAATTTATTGTCTCACAGTTCTGGAGGCTGGAAGTTCAAGGTCATGGTGTTGGCAGGGTTGGTTCCCTCTGAAGGCTGTGAGGGAAGGATCTGTTTCAGGCCTCTCTTGTGGCTTTTAGATTGCCATCTTCTCCTGTCCTCTTTACATCATCTTTCCTGTGTATCTGTGTCCAAATTTCTCCTTCTTATAAGGACAACGGTCAATTCGGATTATGACCTGCTCTAATGACCTCATTTTAACCTGATTGCCTCTGTAAAGGTGCCATCTTCAAATAAGGTCGCAGTCTGAGGTCCTGGGGGTTAGGACCTTAACATATGAATTTTGGAAGAAACACAATTCAGCCCATAGCAGTAAGCTAGGTGCACTGTTGGAGGACAAGATGAATATCAATTTTGTAGGTTGGTGCTGACAGATGACACAAGATTGTAGCACAAATTCCCATTGATGAGGCCCCTTTCCAATTCAGGGAGTTCTTTAGTCCTGCCATTTCTTTAGGGATTCTTACCTTTTATCCCTGTCTCTCTTTGACTGGTCTGTGCAGTTCTTCTGTTATTTTTCCAGCTTTATCTTAAGTTTTATATTTATTTTTGGAATTGTTTTTCAAGAATAAGTCCAGGTTGTGGAGATACAACAAACGTGACAGTATCTTAAAACAATCCTTTAAAACACTGTCCTCAACTGTGCTGTAGAGAATTCATCGTTTCATGTCATCTCTCATGGGGACATGTTTATTTCTTCCTTATGCTTTTGATGAAGTAATATGTACGTGTCCAGGCTGCAATTTGATTTGTTTTTTTGCTGTTTGAAAATACAAATCTTATTCATAACTGACTGATGAAATTGGTAAGACTTTTTATCTGGCTTTATTTTATTAACTAAAGGAAAATGATACTTCATCAGCATACTTCAATTTAGTTAATATTCTTTTTGTAATTCGGGTTCGATCTGGTAGGCAGTTCTAAAAACCTGGGCTTGCAGAAAGCAGCACGTGGCTGCTCACCATGCACATCCACATGGCTTTCTGTAGTAAAGTCTAGTCCAATCCTTCTTCTTCTCTCTGTCATTTCGACTGTTTGCAATATATTTTAAAATTTGTATTAAACATTTATCTTTTCTCTGCCTCTTTTCTGTAAATCTAGTTTATTGTCTATGCTAGATGGTTTTTCTCCCATTCATTCCTTTGTCAATTCTGTCTCTTGGTCTGGTCCCTTGCAGCTTGAGCCCTGGATGGCAGGATGGTTCTGTGGGGTGGATTGAACTATAAAACCTGGATTGATTATTGGCCTTCTCAGTTGTTAATGCATATTCATTTAACTAACGCATAAATCAAACAGCTGATACTTGTACATTCAGATTTCATTATTTCTTGTTGTTTTGTTATCTTCTGGGTTGTTTTGTAAAAATACTGATGATTCCTTTAACAAAAGGAAAAAATTTTAGCTTAAGAAAATAATCTGAAATAAAAAACAGAAGAGGTTTCAAAAAAAAATCCTTATTGCATCCTTATTTATGATAGGAAAAACTTGTAAATAGCTGATATACCCAAAAAGATACAGCTATTAAATTAAATTATGGGGCCTTATTTACAATATTATGTATTTATTAAAAACAATGTAAAGAGTTTACAATACTGTGGGGGAATATTATGTAATTAGAATGGGGAAAACTTAGGATATAGAATTATATAGAGCATATCATCTCAACTACATAAAATATGCATACATATTGGAAGGAAATGTGTCCAAATGTTAGTGGTATTTATCTTTGAGTGGGGTGGGATCAGACATGGAAGTCTAGATTCAGACAGACCTGGGTTAAACCTTCCTTTCCTCTTGTGTTTGCCTGTTACTTAACAAGACATAATCTCTATTAAGCCTAATTTATCTAGGGTAAATAGGATCTCCCTTACCTAATGATTTTCCAGAATCATTAGGTAAAGTGCTTAGTTCAGTGTATGACATATAATAATGCAACAAGTGAAAGTTCAATTATTAATAAAAACCACATTATCAATAAAAAACCATTTTCCCATTTTCCTGCATCCCTGACACAAGCACTGTATCGATTTCTCTATGTTCCCTTCCATTTTAAACAGCACACGTTAGGAGGCAGAACCCCCAGATCCGTGGCCTTGGTCGAGTTCACATGACTACTCTGTTTTGGTTGTCCTGCTTGGGCGAAGTCTAAACCTCTTAGCATGGGGTTATGTTGAGGATTCAGTGCCTTAACATAAAAAGGGCTTAGCATCAGTGCCAGGCGCGTAATCACTTACATGTGTTAGCTGCTACTATATACTTAAAATTTTTAAAAATATATGTATGTATTAGTTTTAATTCTTACATTCAGAAGGATGGGAAAATTACAGCAAGGATTTACATAACCTGTAGAGAACTAGACTTAATGACTTCTAAGTCTAAGATCAGGGATACTGTAATAGATAGATAGATAGATAGATAGATAGATAGAGTTTAACTAAAACATTGCAAGTTTTAGGTATAAAATGGGGGTGACCTTGGAATGAGTGGTGGTAGAAAATGAGGAGCCTTTGGAAAATCCAGTTTGGTCTGTGACTGCTGGATTGGCAATGTGATGATATGCAGATGGACTTTGAGTCTACACAAATGGAAAGTTTAGTCAGGTTTCTTGGTTTGTTTCAGTTCTCCAAATATATGCCAGATTTTTAGGTCCTTCTGATTTATAGTTAATAGGTTAACATAGATAAGTGGCAAGAATAGGTTTTTAATTTCTTTCCTTTTTTTCTTCAAAATTGAAGAAAATTTTGCCCAAGTCAAAAAATGTGCTTTTGCCTTTTTGAGTGATGTGTGGTGTGGGGTCTCAGCCTTTTCTTGTCTGGTCCTTGCAGGGGAAGGAAGTGGAGCTAGGAAGTGCAAGATTCTTCCATTTTTTAGGTGAAAGCAAACATGGTAATATAGGTTTGCATGGTCACTCGGCAACCCAAACCCATGCTGCTTTTAGCAGATGTCCTTCAGTGGGGGCCACACTATCTCACAATCAAATTAAGCGCAGCATGAAGAGAGTCACTTGAGAAGGAGCTTGCGCACAGTTCTTGTCACTCATTCTTCCAGGTTCAGTCTGGAAGAAAACACTGAATGCCCTCCCTGAGCACTTGTAGAACAAAGCTTCCCCCACCCCAACCCCACGTAAAAGCCAAGTATATCTGTATCCATCACAGTGGTGTGTGCCTTAATGACAAAGCTCGTGTTGCTCAGCCTCAGCAGGAGCCTGCAGAATATGCCTTCCTGAGATTGTATAGGCTGGCCACCAAGGGTCAACGAAAACAAGTAATGGGATGAGTTATTCCCTGATATCTAGACAAATGGTAAATAATTCATAGTTCACCTGGTCTTGACCTTCACTTTTATTTTTCTTCTATTTTTTTCTTGGAGCTGACCTTTTACATTTCTATTGTATCCATTTTTGTAAACAATCTACTTTCAATCATTTGAATAAGTTAATGTATAAAAGAATTCAAAGTCAGAGTTCAGTTTAGAGCCACCTTCTTTCTGAAGCTTGTAACAAGAGGAGGAAAATAGCAGGACTGAAAGGTAGACTCCAAGAGGACTGAAATGTATGGATGATTTATTCAGCTGTCTTGGCAACCACAGGGGAATAGTGAGATTGCTCGAGAGCTGACACAGCCTTCTTACGGTTCGACAAAAAACGACAGTATCTTCCACATACAGGCCAGGAATTCATGTATCTTCCCAGAACCTCTGTTTTTATCTGTGGAAGGGGGGTGCCAAAAAATGCAAAATCCTTTTAGCTTTCCAGCCTATTGATCATATCCAGGGACAAGATATACATGGAAGCGCCCTGGAGCACTTCATTGCTGAGTGGTCATCAGGTGATAGCATCTCCTGTTTGTTTCACTGGTGACTCAGGCCAGGCGGGCTGGTGTTGGAGCAGGGTCACAGCTGAGTGCTCTGAGAGTTGAGGGGAGCAGATGGATCCTTGCTTGTTGGGGCAGGGTTTAAAGACTAGTTTATGGAAGCAAAGCCGGATGCTGGGCTGACGGGTAACGGAGGACCTGGAGCAGAGGGTGGTAACATTTCAGACACACAGGCTGAAATAATTGAAGCAGTTTTGCAGGGATTGAAAAATCATCCATTTCATTAGTATCGAGGATTCTTATGATGTGCCTAGGAGACAGGAAGCGGGGTAGATGAGCCTGGGCGGTGGGTGGGGGCCTTAATCTTTGGGCTAAGCAGCTTGAACCTGATTTTCCATACATTTCAAAATGCTATGTGTCCATTAAAGATCAGCTCTAGGCAAAATCATAAAGCTGTGAGAACATAGGCGTCGGCTCCCCTCTCTTTCAGGCGGTCCTTTTTTCTTACTCCCCTGCTTACTGCCCTTTCTCCACTGTGCCAGAGTTCTAGTGTGTTCTGTAGTGCACTACCCCTTCCTCAGCAGAATTTCCTCTTAATTAGGCATCATCTTTAATAAAGGGCAGCACTCAGCTCAGTTGCCCGGAGGGTTCTGAAACTTACCATTTCTATGACAGTGATAGGCAGCAAATGCACATATCCATTTTTATAGCAAAGTTTAACTGGGGACAAATCTTTATGACCAACAATATACTTAATGATGGAATTCCAGGTGCCAGTGCCAAGAACTACCTGGCAATGGGAGGGTAGGTTGGAGGGATCCTGGGAGGACTCTAATGAACCGTGTGCATACCCTCTCTGTTCACTGTGGCAGTGTGAGAAGGTCTGGTTGTGCTTTTCTAGCAGTGTGAACTTTGGGAAGGTCTCTTGACTTCAAGGTTTTAGTTTCTTCACCTGAAAATGGAAAATAGTATCAAAGGTCTTTTCTCATCATTCTTGTATTCCATGTTGTGGGCACTCTCTTTGGTTCTTGGTGGAGGGTAGAAATGCTGACTTCTCCCCACCCCATTCATGCATTAAATAAATATGTATTGAACCCTTCTCTGTGTCAGGTACTTTATTGTGAGCAATACACGTGGTCCTTGCCCTTGGGGAGCTTCCAGTTATTTCTGACTGATGTGGCATTGGTTCTTTTTTTGAGTTGTGTATTTGCCCAGATGGAGAACTTCATCTTGTTAGCCATGAAGTTCAGCATCTGTGGTTCCTGGAGCGGGCTGTTGTTGAGTAGACATAGCTTGGTCTGCTGGATGTTGGCCCTCTGTTCATCCTTTAGTTGGGATATTACTGTGCATAATTCCTAATGACTAATTTAGGGAAAAATCTGGTTAAATCTTTCCATGGAGTGTTATGAAGTCCACAGATATTTATAGAGCACCTACTGTATAGTGGGCACTGTGATAGGCCTTGAAATACAGAGATGACTCCATTGATGTAGTTATTGCTCTCTGAGGCCAGCAGGGGAGATGGACTTCTAATGGCAAATATATTCCTGACACTAGGTTATAGATCTATATCTATATCTATATCTATATCTATGTGTATATCTATATCTATCTTATTGCTGCTATATTGGGGACTGTGGTGGCCCTGCCGTTTACTTAGGGATATATGGGGTTTGCACAGCAGCCCTGGAAGCCAGCAACTTGGCTGGAATTCTTACTGACCTGTGTGGGCTGCTGCTAAGTTCACACTTGTGGGGGTGGTTAATTATTTCTCCTTTGTTCATTTAGCACTTGAGTTTTAACGATAGTCATTTCTAGTTGAAGTGTTCAAACAGTAGTCCTGGCATCTCTTGCCTCCATAAGGGAGAACTGAGGGATTCTTACATAAATGTTCTCTCTTGTTTTCTGGTCTCCCTACTCTGGCTGCAAACAGGAGCTTAACTCTCCTGGTCCTATTCTAAGTGGCTGTTAGCCACATGGAAAAATCACATGAGCTGTGTTCATTGCTGCTTTTCCTGAGCTTACTATCGCATGGAGCGCTCTCAAGTGTAGATACCGAGACTAGGGGAGCCTCTCCACTCAGGCCCTGCCCTCTGGGTTCCCACCAGTTGGGAAGAGATAACCAGGTCCCAGTGGGTTGACAAAATTATTAGAGAGGGCCTTGGTAACTTCCAGGAAATGTGGCTCCTTGGTAAAGCTGGACTGACGATGAGATCAAATGGGATGCCCTGCTTCCTTCCCTCCTGGTCCCTCCTTAAATTAAAGATAGCTGGCTCCCAGTGAAGGCATGACTTGACTTACCTTCCTAGATGGGGACAGATAGGCACCTGTCTATGCCTGGCCTGCTCAGTGCCTGGAGTCTGAATGTTCAAGGCAAGCTTCAGGGTACCTGAGCCCAGACTGTCCTGCCGAGCGAGGTGGAGGGCAAGACCCTGGCTTTGGCATTTGCAGCACTTCTGGGTGGCTGTGACCCAGTGCATGGTGGGTTCTTACCTGCAGAGGAGCTACTTCTCTTCCTCTCTTGTAGAAGACAGGTAGGGAGTGGAGAAGGGGAAGCTCTTTCTTTGGTGTTTCTTTGAGAGAGCTGAATCATTCCTGGGAGATTGAGATGTAGACACAGATGAATTATAGCAAGTACAGCCATCCAAAATTGGGCACAGAGGCCTTCCCAGGAGGTCACGGTGGAGAGTGAGTGGCTAGAGGCAGAGAGAAGAGGGGGACGGTGGCCAGCTCTTACTCTTGTAGACCTCCACGGCCCCATTGAGGTATGGTAGCCTGGCCCTCTGGTCTTGCCAGGTGGGCACAAACCCCTGCTTTACACAGGAGTGTGCAGAGCCCCCATTGTGCCCCCCTAAGTTGCCCCTAGGCAGAGCTCATGAACAAGCCCCAGGGTGGAAGCTGATAGTAATGCCAGCCTTGCGCCAAAGGGTGAGGGCTTTTTCCCTCTTGAATTCTTAGGTTGGGGGAACCTAAGTGACCTCCAAGAGAAACAGCCTAGGTGCTATAGGAGTTAGCTGCTTCGCACACACACTCAGCCTCACAGCTCATCCTCAGAAAGTTCTGTGTCTAGGAAAAGCATGTTGTGTGACTGCGATAAGAATAAACACAGGAACTATGTTTATTTATTTTTAACTTTTATTTATTTATTTTTTTGAGACAGAGTCTCACTCTGTCGCCCAGGCTGGAGTGCAGTGGCGCGATCTTGGCTCACTGCAACCACTACCTCCCGGGTTCCAGCAATTTTCCTGCCTCAGCCTCCTGGGTGGCTGGGATTACAGGCGCCCGCCACCATGCTCGGCTAATTTTTGTATTTTTGGTAGAGATGGGATTTCACCATGTTGGCCAGGCTGGTCTCAAACTCCTGACCTCAGGTAATCTACCCACCTCAGCCTCCCAAAGTACTAGGATTACAGGCATGAGCCACTGCACCCAGCCCACAGGAACTATATTTAAGTGAATAAAGGGCTAACTAGAAGGTGAGCTCCATGTAGACAGGAGTTGTACCTGTCTTTGCCCCCTAATGCCTGTTAGGTTATCTAGTACATAATAGATACAAAATAAACAATAAAATGATATTTGTAGCTCAGATAGTGGCCGACTCAAGTATGCTGCTTCCATTGTTTGTGCAACTCCCATGACTAATGTTATTAATAATAATAACAAGCCCAGGCCGGGCACGGTGGCTCACACCTGTAATCCCAGCACTTTGGGAGGCCAAGGCAGGTGGATCACTTGAGGTTGGGAGTTTGAGACCAGCCTGGCCAACATGGAGAAACCCCATCTCTACTAAAAATACAAAGTTAGCCAGGCATGGTGGCACCTGCCTGTAATCCCAGCTACTCGGGAGGCTGAGGCAGGAGAATCGTTTGAACCGGCTACTCGGGAGGCAGAGGTTGCAGTGACCCGAGATTGCGCCACTGCATTCTTGCCTGGGCTACGAGTAAAGCTCCATCTAAAAAATAAAAATAAAAAAAAAATAATAATAACAAGCCCTTACCTAAGCCTTTTCTCTGTGCCTTTGACTCATTTAATTCTCTAGCGATCTTATAGGTAGATCTGTTATTATCTCCCATTTTGTAGAGGAGGAGACTGAGGCAGATGGCAGTTAAGTGACCAGCTCAAGTCACGCAGCTGGTAAGGCAGGTGGGGTCAGGGCACTTCGTGGTCCTCCCTTACAGGCAGAGATCCAAGGGAAGGCTGCTCATCTTGACCAATGACAGGCATTTATTTTGAAGAGAAGGAGGCCTCTGCTGGAGCTGAACTTGTTTGTCCCTGGGTGAACCAGGGTGATCCTGAGCAGCCTGCACTGCTGCCATCATCCTGGGCTCTTTACAGCTCCCTGGGACTGAAAAGTATATTTTAACAGGACAATGTCTGGGTTTCACCACTGGTTTCGTCAGCTCCGCTTCCACAAAGGAAACCACAGAAGGGTTTTGTGTTGGATCAAGCAACCTTCACACATACAATGAGGGCAGAAATGGTCAGAGTGAGACAAGATTATGAAAAGAAACACAATGCAGGTTTTATGAATTTATACCCAGTCTTTGAGTAAAGAAAAAACAAAAACAACCTTAAGATCCAATAAGATAGTAGTCATTCAAATTCGGGTAAACGAAAAATGAACAATAAGATAAAATAGAAAAAGGGATTAGACTATAACAACACTGCAAGAAATTGTACACAGATTTGGCTCTGAAGTTTCACGCAGTCAAACTAGAAGAGGAAACCTGATCAGCAATCCTAACCTCAGAGTCTGCACCATGAAAAGCCCGGAGAGGGGTTCGGGTGCAGAAGAGTAGACGCCAGGACCAGTTGCAGGCTTTGCTGCCCTGAAAACATCACAGTGGACAAGGAGCATAAATCTTTATCGAGGTGTGTTGTCTGAGCTGCCTCATTTTCACAGGGCTTCAGTGGATGTAAATTTCTCACAAGTGTGGAAAATACACACTCATCTTTAGTCTACATTTCTAGGTTGCTATATGTTCTAATCCTACTTTCTTTTTGTTGTTGTTTTTGTTTGTTTGTTTGTTTTCTGTTTTTTTTTTTTTTGAGACAGAGTCTTGCTCTGTCACCCAGGCTGGGGTGCAGTGGCACAATCTCTGCTCATTGCGGGTTCAATGAGCCTCCCGGGTTCAAGCGATTCTCCTGCCTCAGCCTCCTGAGTAGCTGGGATTACAGGTGCCCACCACCACGCCCAGCTAATTTTTATATTTTTAGTAGAGAAGGGGTTTCGCCATGTTGGCCAGGCTGGTCTTGAACTCCTGACCTCAGGTGATCTGCCCAACTCGGCCTCCCAAAGTGCTGGGATTACAGGCGTGAGCCACTGCACCTGGCCTTAATCCTACTTTCTTTTTGCTATAGGGTAAGTCATAGTACTTGATTCCAACAAGTGTCCTTTTTGCCAGGTACTTATTTTGTTGTGAGTGGTGCTAGAAGCAGCTCATTGCTGTGGTTCTTGTGGGGTGGTGAATAAATCCCATATGACTGGGTTTCCCTATGTCAGTGATCATCTTGGGTGAAAATAATTAAAATATCTTGTCTTTAAATATAATGTTGTAGATTACAAAGTATTGGCCTTTTAGAGACATTCCTGGGAAGTCAGTTGTTGGCCTTATCTCAAGCTTGGAAAAACTAAATCTTAATAAAATGGGGAGCCAGAAGTGAGAAGGCAACCCTGGGGCCTTTTAGTCTTACACTCGTGTGCAGTGCTCTGTAAGAATGATTAGTTTGGTTCCAGGATTTTTTTTTTTTTTTTTTTTTTTTTTTTTTTTTTTGGTATATTGTGTTCCTGTGATGCTTTTTTGCAATAGTTGTTTTTGGGTGATAAAAAAAAAGTTGAGGCCACAAGTCTCATAGTGAATGTAGTATTTCTTGTCTGTTGAACACCTACCCTGAACTACCCTCCATTCCATGCCCTGCCCCCTCTTGAGATGTAAGGATGAGGAGACTGAGGATCCAACGGGTATAGTTGGCCAAGCATTGAGTATCTATCAGGAAGCTCCTTCTGTGGGAGCAGGTTACCTCCTGCTCTCTGAAGGCAGCAGAGGGGAATTGACATGTCCAGAGGTCAAAGGCATCAGGAGGTGTGGAATTGAGCCTGCACCTCAGACTCTGCACCCAGGGTCCTTTCCGTGAACCCAGACTTAGCCACTCACCTTCTCCGCAATAGACCCGGGCAGCCATGTGCACTTGGTGCAGAATAGAGATTATGTATGGTGAGGAAGGGCACTTAGCTGTCCTGGGACTGTCTCTAGGACTATAATAAGGTGGAAACCATGTCTATGTAGATAACTTCCCTATGGAGTTTACAGCAACCATGTGATGTGCACTTTTGGATTACAAAGTCTTAAAAGCATAAATCTGAGCTACCGCCTGTTCCTCTGCCCCCTCCTAGCATACTTGCTCAGGAGACAAGTCTATACCTGCTGGGCCACCCCTCTCTTCCATCTCTCTCCTGAACCTGCTACTCCAGGCTCTCCCCCGCGCCACCCACCGCCCCGCCCCCATCCCACTAAAGCCCTCCAATTTGCCAGATTCAGTTGCAATGTCTCAGTTGCATTTTACCTGACCTGTGACCAGCAATGGGTACATGCGATCTCTCCCTTCTGTTTGATGTGCTTTCTCCTGGGTTCTACCCTCTGTCTGTTCTCTTCCCTCACCTACCCCTGTGCCTCCTTTGCCAATTTTTTCTCGTCTGCCAATTCAGAATGTTGTTCCCAGGGCTGAGTCATTACTGCTCTCCCTCACTCCCTAGGTGGTCTTTCTAGCCCCTCCCACCCAGTTCTCTCTCCATCTTTGCGTTCAATTCTATATTCCACCTCTCCACTGAATACCTCTCAAGGAAACTCACCTCCAAATCTTTGTCCCCAGCAGCCTTTCTTGACAGAGGTTTTCCTTCATGTCCTCCTGTTTCTGCTTCTCTCCTTCCTGTCTGCTTCCCAGCTCTCTGAGCCTCTCTCCTGTGCACCTTGCGGACCCCGCAGCCCCAGGCGTCTTGCTGTGCCCTGCAGGGCTCCCTCCTTTGATTCTGCTGCCCCTTTTGGTGCTTTCTCCTTGCTCCTCTGTGTGTCTTCTGCTTCCTTCTGAGCTCCAGTGTTAGGTCCTGCTGTTACATTTGGCTCTCGGGTCCATGTCATGGCTCTCTCTTGGCTTCAGTGGAATCTCTCTCTGCATGGTTAGGGGGACCATTCATTTGCCTTTCAGAAAGCTCAGTTTTTAGCCTGGGAAGGGCAGACTTCACGCAGCAACGCTTACAACACTTCGTTTTCCGAGGGAACAGACGATATTAACCATCCCATCCTCACCGTTGCATCCCATAAACAGCATCCATGACAGCATGGAGCTTTGTGGCTTTCCTCACTGACTCTTACCACCAGTCATGCTTATGGATTTTAGCAATTGTTGCCAGCCCCAGGAGACAGACTAGCCCACGGAATGATCTGCATCACAGCAAATTAGTCCATTTATCTCTAGAGTTTAAATTTTATTTCCCCCAATCGGGGAGTTGCTGGGTTAACTAGGCCTATAAAGAGAGGGGTGGAGGAAGCTTTTACATATGGCTTTAAAAGTCCTCAATATTGCAGTTGGGAATTGCCAGATATTTTGAACCCCTCTGCTGTGTCAGCAATCCAGCCACTGCCTAGGCCTTAGTTACTTAATTCAGTTTCAGGCAGATTCCCAGTGAACACTGCTGTTGTTTATTGAGAAGTGTATCCTGACCTTTCTCAACTAAGGAATAGTTTCACAATTTTCATGGCAAAATTCATTCAGAATGCAAGCAGGGGTCAGAATGACATTGCAGTTGGACGGCCTGAAAGGTTGCTTTGTGAGACCGTGTAAACCATGCCCGCATTCACCAAAGCATCTGTTGAAAAACATCTCCTGTATCCATGTGACCCAGCCACCTGTCGTTAGGACGCCAGCAATCAAGCATGCTGAGAAGCTGAGACCCTGGAGGCACTCGCTGCACTGCCTGGGCCTGGGCAGCCTGTTGTCCCCTCTGCCTTGTGGCCATCTTGTTGCCTCCTAGCACCTCCCTTCTTCCGTGGGAAGAAGCTGGAGTCCAGGTTTACTACCTGCAGGTTCTCTCATAAAACACAAGAAAGAGAGTGAGCTTGAAATACCTGTGGATTGATGTTACCTGGGCTGCTCTAAGATTCTATTAGCTACTAACTATAAAGGGCCTTGTTTTGCTTGCTAGGATGACACTCAGCTGGTTCTTCAGGCACAAAGAAAAAAGCGTTTGTGATACAGGTTTCTTTCTGTCTTGTGCCCAAGGAGTATATTTGATAGAGACTGGCTTGGGTTAAGTGAGTAGGGGACAGGTAAGTTTCTGGCCATGAAATAGAGCAGGCACTGGAAATACACCGTGAGCCACCAACTCAAAGGAAAAACACTGAGTTGTTGAACTTACATTTTTAAAAGAAAGCATTTATGAGCAAGTTCAAACTTAACCTAAACCTGTGTCTCGTCTCATCTCGTCTCATCTCTTTTCTTTTCTTTCTTTTTTTTTTTGAGACAGAGTCTTGCTCTGTTGCCCAGGCTGGAGTGCAGTGGCATGATCTCAGCTCACTGCAACCTCTGTCTCCCGGGTTCAAGCGATTCTCCTGTCTCAGCCTCCCGAGTAGCTGGGATTACAGGTGTATGCCACCATGCCAGGCTAATTTTCATATTTTTAATAGAGACCGTGTTTCACCATGTTGGACAGGCTGTCTCGAACTCCTGAGTTCAAGTGATCCGCCCCCCTCAGCCTCCCAAAGTGCTGGGATTACAGGCATGAGCCACTGCACCCAGCCACCTGTGTATTTTCTGAAACTATTGAACTGGAGAAGAAACAAAATATCTCCATAGTTTGTCTAAATCAAATCAGAATTGAGTTGCATTTTATTCCCTTTGAGACCCCAATCACGTGAAGCTTCTTGGTACCCTTTGGGTTTAAGATTGGCCTCTCTGGCCTCATGTTGATCTTTTCTTGGGATTCTATTTTATGCACTGTGCAGGGCTGATATCATTATAGCCACTTTATTTGTGAAGAAATTGAGGCAGAGTGGCCAAAGTGACTTTCTCAGATTGACACAGGCTCTTAGTGATGGAGCTGGGCCCAGAATCCAAGGGTGGTGGAGCTTTTGTGCCAAGAGGAGCACCTGAGAGGGCTTCCCTGATTCTTCTCTGTCCCCAGGTGCTGAGAGGACCCAGGGAACTGAGGCTGTCTTTAGGACCCAGTCATAGGTGCCCAAGGCTCTCTGCCTCTTGCCTTGAGGACATTAACCCTAGAAATTCCACTCCTAGGACCTTCTCTCAGAAACCCCAAGGAGGGGGACTACTCAGAGGGAGGTGTGGTGAACATCTGGAGCTCCCTCCTCCTAAGGGGTTCTACTTGTCACCCTGTAGTAATAACTCTTAGCCAATATGCTGTTGTTGTCCTCCTTTAAATTTTTCAAAATTGATTTGTAAAATTTGTTTTGTACCTAAAGTGTACTCTTTATTTGCTGTTTTATTCTCTTTCCATGTTTAAAGTTGATTTTAAAGTCCAGCACTTTTTTTGTTTTTTTTTCCCCAAGACAAATTATTATCGTGAACATCAGGGTTTGTCTCTTTGTGTTTTCCAGACATTCTAAGTGAGACTGTCCACATCATCTAGGAAAATGGTGGCCCTGTCCTTAAAGATTTGTGTGCGCCACTGCAACGTGGTGAAGACCATGCAGTTTGAACCATCTACAGCTGTGTACGATGCGTGTCGAGTCATTCGGGAACGGGTGCCTGAGGCACAAACTGGGCAAGGTAGGTCATGGGTTATTTACTGGCTTCTTAAAACGTGTTTGCATGTTTTTCACTTTTTTGCTAAAGAGACAGAGGCTCCAAGTGGTACACAAGCCTATTAGTGCATATGTTTCAAATGAAATACCTTCTTAGATCAGACACTACCTGCTTCCTCTGTGAGACTTGTGATTACAGTGACCATGCCCACTGCTGAGTCATCATTGTCACTGTGCCCAGCAACTTGACCCTCCCATGCATGAGGATTATGCTCTGCGGTTTACAGATCACATTCTCATGTATCATCTCATTGTCCCAAGAAAGTGCAAATGAAGCTGCCCTAACAGTATTGGCGGTATGTGTCCTAAACCCTGTTTCCCATGCATGAACGCTTTCCACTGCCATTGGAACCCAGGGCAGGTCTTATATTTCAAGTTTTTTGACAGGGACTTTATAAATTTTATCTCAAACCTTAAAAAAAAAGACATTTGTGATATATGTTTTGTTTGAAGTTTGGCTAAATCACTCATCCCCGTTAATCTGAGTTTAAACAAAAGCCACTTGTACCATTTTATTTTCCCCTTCCCTTTGTCTTCTCTCAATTTGTCTTTCTTTTATTTAGTATTTGACAGGCAGTTGAGAAATTGGATCCCTTCCAAATCAGTAAGTCTTTAGGTGAAAGTCGGATGAAACTTATCTTAAAAATGGAAAGAATAGGCCAAGCATGGTGGCTCACACCTGTAATCCAAGCACTTTGGGAGGCCAAGGCGGGAAGATCGCTTGAACCCAGGAGTTAGAGACCAGCCTAGGCAACAGGTTGAAACCCTGTCTCTAGTAAAGTCTGAAAAATTAGCTGAGTGTCGTGGTATGTGCCTGTAGTCTCAGGGCAGGAAAGTAGTTTCAACCCAGGAGTTTATGGCTGCAGCAAGCCATGATCCAGCCACTGCACTCCAGCCTGGGCGATGAAGCGAGACCCTGACTCAAAAAAAAAAAAAAAAAAAAAAAAAGGAAGAATAAAAATCAAACATCACAAGGGTAATTATAAATACAAAAATATCTTCTTGAAAAGATCTGCTTCTCATAAAATTGTTTTTGGTCTAAAACGTGATGATGATGATGACGATTTTTTTTTTTTTTTTTTTGAGATGGAATCTCACTCTTGTTGCCCAGGCTGGAGGGCAACGATGTGATCTTGGCTCACTGCAACCTCCACCTTCCGAGTTTAAGCGATTCTCCTGCCTCAGCCTCCCAAGTAGCTGGGATTACAGGTGCACACCACCATACCCAGCTAATTTTTTGTATTTTTAGTAGAGACGGGGTTTCACCATGTTGGCCAGGATGGTCTTGAACTCCTGACCTCTGGTGATCTGCCTGCCTCGGCCTCCTAAAGTGCTGGGATTACAGACGTGAGCCACCACGCCTGGACGATTATTATTTTTTGAGACAGGGTCTCGCTCTGTCACTGGAGGCTGGAGTGCAGTGGCCCCATCACACTTCACTGCAGCCTCAACCTTCCAGGCTCAAGTGATCCTCTCGCCTCAGCCTCCTGAATAGATGGGACTACAGGTGCACACGCCACCACACCCGGCTAATTTTTGTATTTTTTGTAGATACAAGGTCTTGCTATGTTGCCCAGGCTGGTCTCATACTCCTGTGCCCAACTGATCCACCCACCTCTCAAAGTGCTAGGATTACAGGCGTGAGCAACTGCGCCCCCTGGCTATTAAAACATTATTTATGCTATTAGTAGTGTTTCTAGATTACTCAGAAATAAGGTTTGCTACATCCCTAACTTTACTATTTGGTTGTCCAGTCATTTCTGGTGCCTTTACTTTTCTGTTCCCTTTTTCTGTTGTTTTTCTGTCGGATTTTTTTTTTGGTGGGGGTGGGGAGCTTGATTGCTATATAGTGCTGGTGAAGGTATAAACCTTTAAAGATTTTGAAGTTGCTTTTCTAAGAAACAGCAGGAGCTCTTACCCTCATCTGGGTCTCAGAAGAAAGAGAGAAATTTTGGGGTAGGAAATGGTACTGCTCCTCTCCTGCCACCCCACCCCCTTCGTACTTCCTATGTCAGATTAAGGGGTTCCTGCAGAGAACACCAAATTTAATTTTGCACCTTTTACATGATTTGTTGGTGGTCGGGGTCAGAGGCCTCATCTCACAAGGAACTCCTACCTCTCTTTTACACCGCTCAGTTGGGATGATGGAGGGGTCACTGGAGACGTAAAGGCTTCATTTGTCCCCCTTTGCCTGAGTGGCCTTGGGCATAGGTGGTCACTTCCTTAGTTTCTCCCCCGCTGTCTTGTCATTCTCCATGGGATGTTGGTCTGGTTTTTATAGCAAGGGATAGAGAACAAGCTCAAATTCAGTTAGAAAGAAATTTGGACTGCTTCTAAATTTTCCTACATTTTAGACACAACTACAGCCCACTGGTTTTAGGAAACACGGACCTTATTTGTGGGTGTTGCTTCTGCAACTCAACTCTTACTCCTCCAGATCTGCTCCAGCCCTGATGGCTGCTTGTGTTGTCAAAACGAAACATTGCTGTCTGGTGAAGGAGAACACCCACATCCTTGCTGAGTCAGCAGGCTCAGGGCCTGGAAGTCAGTGATGGCTTCATCACCACTTTGCCTTCTGTTTTTCTTCCCATTTATATTTCAGCTTCTGACTATGGACTCTTTCTTTCGGATGAAGACCCGAGGAAAGGGATTTGGCTGGAAGCGGGCAGAACACTGGATTACTACATGTTGCGGAATGGGGTATGCTGCCAATCCCAGTGCTGTTTCTTCATCCCTTTGTCCCTGGGCCTTCTTCCATAGACGCCAACACGGTTACGCTATTTTGATTCAAGGGCATCTTATTAATAGTTCGATGCATTGTACTTTGTAAGGGCTGTTCAGGTGGTGATAGAAAATGTCAGATATCCAAATTCTTGAGATTCCATAGAAGGATTGAAGCAGTTCGAGGTTAGTATTTTAAGTAGTTTCTACTTGTCGTTGTTGGATTTGGTAATTGTGAGATAAGATACAGCATCTTACTGTAAGTATGGAAGAGATATTCCTATGCCTGGAGATGGGAAGTAAGAACAAATGAGAGGGAAAAACGAAATGTAACCCTAATGGTAGTTAGAGACTGAATATTAGTGTTTTGTTTCTGAAAAAGAAACTTCAATTTGAGATGTGAGTTTAATAATGATCAGTAGTAGTAACAGCAACAACAAAAATGGTTGTGTTATGGAAATAGGGAGAAGTAATGAGTAAAAACATATTAAACATTTTGTTCAGCTTAACCTCCAAGATACCGGGTTTTGGTATGTAGGGTGAAGTGCACCCATCAGATTGATGGGTATTCCATAAAGTAAGAGTGAAATATGTGATGCCAATTAATTTGGATAAGAAATGAATAGTTTAGTTTTAGGAAGTTCATACTTCTAGTTTTAGGAAGTGTAGTAAACAAGTTACTTAAAAATATCCCCCAAACATGTTACCCCTGTTTGGTCTTGTCATTAATGTATTTTAACACACTCTTTTGAAAATCACGACTACTGTGATACTCCACTAATATGAAGAATGATGAGGATGCTATTTATGTCTTTCATTATTTCTAAGATATAAGGTAAAATGTATTTATAGTAAAAATTAAAAATATTTTTATATGCAAATAGTAAAGACATAGAGATAGTAAAAATTGCTTATGACAGGTTAAAAGATAATTGGAGACACACACTGATGTCTTTTTAACAGGCAAGTAGTCACCTCCCTCTGCTAATTCTCCTTAGAGCAGATCATTCTCAGCCTTGCAGGAGGTCATACTCTACTTTCATTTCACTGAGGATGGTTTTCAGTAATTGTAAGGCATAAGTATGACTTCTTTGGGTTCAATTTCACTATCAAATTTTTAAGAAATCTTTATGAAAGCAGTTATTTAGCACTGGAGAAAAAATTGAAGGTGACTCTAGGTGACAGATATAGAATGTTCAGTACACTATTTTTTCAACATTGTGCCGTGTTTGGAATTTTTCATAAGAAAATTATTGGGAAAATAATTGAAGATAGCCTAAGAGAATATAGATAGATTGTATATG
This sequence comes from Homo sapiens, assembly GCF_000001405.40. Lineage (NCBI taxonomy): Eukaryota > Metazoa > Chordata > Mammalia > Primates > Hominidae > Homo > Homo sapiens. The sequence continues at coordinate 62,651,507 of NC_000015.10, forward strand.
GAAATAATGAAAGAAACCAGACTTCACAAGTTCTTTAATACAATTTTAATTACTGGTCAAAACAAACAAGAAATAACCTGTATAGCTTTCAAGCCAGTAGGGGTAGGAGGGAAGAAATGCAGGTATGTTGACCATTAAAATAGGAGAAGTGCAGGGCGGCTTATGGAAACAAAGTGAAAAGAACGTATGGAATAAGATAGGGTAAACACTTTTAAATATATTAGGCATCATACAGAATGTAAGTAAATGAAATGCAGCAATAACAGAGATTCTCACTGAATGGAATTTTTTTGTAAGTCCAGGTCTGTACTATCTCTAAAAGACGTAGTGGCAACAATCCCCTGAAAACTTTGAAAGGTTTTCAAAGA